>NC_000008.11:135089222-135714222 GCF_000001405.40 Homo sapiens
ATCTCCAGCCACACTGGAACCCATGCCTCAGGACATTTGCACTCACTGTTTCTGTGCCTGGAACACTTTTTCCTCAGATATTTTCTTGTCTCCTTTCTCAGCTATCTCAGATCTGTGCTCAGGAATCTGGGGCTTGATATTTCATTAGCTCATTCATTGTGGAAAATCTTCAGTCATGACCTCTTCAAATACTGACTTTAACTGAGTGTTTACCTCATCTTTCCCTGGGACTTTAATTACTGTTAAATCTTTGTTGATGTTGTTGTTAGATCTTTTGATCATGTGCCAACTGTATGTTATGTTTTCTCTGTGCTTTCTGTCCTTTTGTTTCTCCATGATATAATCTGAGTATGTTCTACTGACCTGTCTTCCAGTTCACTAGTCCTTTCTCCCCTACTATATATGCTTATTATTTATGTGTTTATTTTCTGTTTCTTCCACAAAAATATAAGCTCTAAGAAAGCAGGAACTTGTATATATTTTTTCTTCCATGACTGTATTCCCAGCCTCTAGAGCAGTGCTTACCATAGAGGGTCCTTGATAAATATTTGGTTAATGAATAAAAAAGTGAATGAATGAATGAGTGAATAGTATTCTGAGTTACTTAAGAAGTAAATTTGGTTTAGATTTATTTAGTTTTTATTTGGTGGTAGAGGTAAAAGAGAAAATGTGGTGAATTGAAATGCTCTTATTATCTGATAAAAGATACCAATTACTCAAGAAATACAATCTTATTTCGTGGAATGACATTCTTAGGAGAATTTATTACTTGATACTATACATAAGATCCATTTAGTGACTTAGACAATATATTAAATGATACTTTCATAGTAGATGTACAAGTGATTTTATATGATTTTCTTGGTGCAATTCTTAATACAGATTGAGAAAATCTAATTTAAGCTAGGAGGTAAGGACTGAAAAAACCCAAGGTAACTAGAATGGTGATATTTGTATTTCTACAGGTAATTCCTAGAAATTTAACAATTGAATCCAGTAACATTAGCAACAGAAACAACCCCCAGAATTAGCAGGATGACAAAACGCAGGCTAGTGATCTCTCTGAGCCTCAGTTTTCTTTTTTGTTAAAGGGGAAAAATGGGATCTTTACTCCTTCCAAACTGCTGTGGATATCAAAGATAAAATTTAAAAATCCTGGGTAATAAACAGCTGAATAGATTTTTTACCATTTACAAAATGTTTTTATGTGCATTTTCATCAACCCTCACAATAGTTTTATAATGCGAGTGTTATTATCACTCCATTTTCCAGATGAGGAAATCAATTCTGAAAGGTGCCAGCAAGGCCAGCAAGCTGAGCTCAATACACACAACTTAGCCTTCTGCCTCTTGATTCAGTCCCTGCAAAGGAAGAATTCTCAAGTGGTAGAAACTCAGACATCAGGGCAGATGGGTCTGTAAGTTTCTGGAGGTCTTTCTTTCTCTTTCTCTCTCTTTCTTTTTCTTTCTTTCTTTCTCTTTCTTTCTTTCTTTCTCTTTCTTTCTCTCCTTCCTTCCTTTCCTCCCTCCCTCCCTCCTTCCTTCCTTTCTTGCTCTCTCTCTCTTCATTCCTCTTCATTCCTTCCTTCTTCTTTTTTTTTTTTTTTTTTTTTTTTTTTTAGTCTTGGTAAGTTGCTGAGGTTGGCCTCAAGCTCAAGTGATCCTCCCACCTCAGTCCCAAGGCGCCAGGACTCCAGGCATGAGCAACTACGCCTGGCTTTGGTGAACTCCTAATGCTCCTGTCGTCACTTCACATGGACCTAGCTCATCTACTGTTGCAGATGTGGAAGTAGATAAAAATCTCAAGAACTGGTTCCCCCTCAATACCAACCCCAAGGTCTTGGGACCAGATAAACTCCACCTAGTTATGAGACCTCTATACAAACCCCTATTTTTTCCTTAGGTAAAAGAAAAAGACATTTCATTTTTTTCCTCAAGAATCAATATTTGATTTTTATTTGGAGCTGAGTGTAAAGCCCCTCCTAATGTCTGACTCAATAAATTGACTTCATCCTTCGAACTTTGCCTCAGGCTACCAGAGTATGAGAAATGCCTTCACAAATATGAAAGATATAGCAAGGGTATCTTTTAAAATGTTAAAACTAAAATAGCCAGGACTCCAGGGGAACAGCCCTCCTTGCCCTCCCAGCCTCCTTGCTGGAGGTTGCGTTGCTACCTAGGTCTCATAAAGTCCTCGTTTCCCTGGAGGGAGAAGTGAGGGTATGTATGCCTGGAGCCTTCCAGGAGGCTTTTGAGCCCAGGACCTGGGATGGCACATCATCAGGGTTTTCTGCAGCACTCAGGACCACAGGCAGTGGCATTTTATCTCAACTTCGAAGATCTAAAAAACTGGGAGCAGATGAAGCATTTGTTTCATGATCTAACAGATTGGTCACTACCTCAGACGGCCGATTCTTTAGGAAAAAATATGCCAAGAAAATGCAATTACATGGATCTGATGCTAAAAGCCTCACAAAATACAATAATGATGCCATCATTTATTTTTCATCTTTCTTTGTGCCAAATACCATATGTGCACTTTATATCTTTTATTTCACTTATGTCTCAGTTTCTGTGTGATATGCAGTATCATTCTCTGTTTGCAAAGGAGGAACAAGCCTTTGAGAGGGGAAGTAGCTTGCCCTAAAGTCATGTGATAGGCAGGTGGTAGAGTTGGGATTTAAATCCGCATTCTGTCTGATACCCAAAGTGGTACTCTTTCCCTTTGCCATTATTATTATTATTAGTGGTAGTGGTAGTCATTTTTAGCATCTTATCATATGTGGTGGGCAGCTTCTAAGATGGCCCCAGTGATATCTGCCTCATGGCATTCATGTTCTTCTGTTGGGTGTGGGCTGCAGTTAGTGACTGTGCTCTGACAAATGAGATTCTGTAAAATGATGGGATGTCTCTTCTGAGATTATGTTACAAAGAGACTGTAGCTTCTGTCAGGGTTACTTGCTTCTTTCCTGCATCCCCTCTATAATCTTTGTTCTGGGAGAAGCAAGATGCCCATTGGAGAAGCCCATGTGAAAATAATGGATGCTTCACAAAGCCAGTGAGGAACTGACCTGCCAACAGCCACGTGAGAGCCTGGAGAGTCAGCCCAGTCTTGAGATGACTGTAGCCACAGCTCACACCTCGAGTCCATTGTTGTGAAAGGCCCTGGGCCAGAATCACCTAGCTAAGCATCACTCAGATTTTTGGCCCGCAGAAACTGGGAGATAATAAACGTATGCTGTTTTCAGTCACTAAGCTTTGGGATAATTTGTTATACAGTAACAGATAGCTACAGCATCTGTAAAATACTCCTTATACTAATACTATAACAATTTCTGTTACTTTTTAATATTTCACAAGGTAAAGAGTACATTCTAAGTGCTTTACATGTAGTAAGTCATATTATCCTTTTGACAACACTGTTCAATATCTACATTTTATAGATGAGGAGCAGAAACAGAGAAGTCAGGGAGCTGGGTCTAGAGTCTCTTACAGCTGAGCCCTATCTCTGAAAGTGAGGCCTTATATTGGGTCATCTGCCTTTAAAAGGACACAATGAGAGGAATCCACTGTGTACTGAAAGTGACTAGGCCATAACATGGCTGTGCTGGATTCTAGGCACTGGGCTCCAGGCTTCAGGCTGCAGGTGTGTTCAGGTCTTCTCCATATGTCTCTCATCCTCCTAGGACCAGTAGATACCTAGGGAAGATGATTTTCTTTATGTGTCCCACTCTGGGGCCATGCTGAGTCAGTGGTGGCTATCTGGGCCATGCTCTTCCAAAGTGGGAATTTGAAGTTCCCTGAAGCACAAAAGGAAACCCACTAGGAGGTCCTGTAACATCTCATCTTGGGACTGGCACACTACCATGTCTGCCTGCATTGCGGTTACTATGTAGACCAGCCGTGCATCAATGGGGCAGGAACTACTCTCTTTCCATGAAGGCAGGTGGGAGAAGGGAGCTGCCGGACAATAATCTGAGCTTGCACACCCTGTTCTGCAGTTGAGGGAGCACAGAGTTCAGGGGTGGTACAACCAGTAATTAAGTGCTGTTCTCTGTGGCTTCAAATCCTATGTTTTTTCTCAAAGAAAACCTTCCTCAGTTCTAATATTGTAGGGTTCTTTGGTTCTCTATGCAAGGAAAATAGATTAGAGCTAGCAACAAGGGGCTCTGAGAAAAGTCAGTAAAGTCTGAATTAGTTAGAAAAGGAACTTCACCTGGGAACAATCAAGGAGCAATTTGATTTGAGTAAATGGAAGAGCAAGGAGGCTGAGCCAATAGTGGACAAGGGAAGTGAGAGGTGCTCAGGCCACCAGGGAAAGAAGACCTAGATAGAGAATGTGGCATCACCCTGGCAGAGGGGAGTGGAATGAGCTGCCTGGGAAGAAGAGTTAGCTGGCGCAGAGGCAGGCATCTCCTGGGTTATTCTGGGGCTGCATGGCAGATGGGAAATGTGAGCACGGCATGGTGGGAAGCTCTGCAAGGGAGGTAATAACTCACCTGAATGATTAAACCACACGTTCCATTATCTCCCTCCCCAACTTCTGTAATCTAGGAAGCCAGAGAGAAGAGTCTTGGAGGAATTATTCAAAAGAAAGATGACTTTGTTGAGTTTGATGGCCGTGTTTGCTGAATTCATTTATTCTTTCACTCATGAAACATTTATTCTTTCAACATGCAGTTTTGAATCTCTGTTATGTACTAGGTAATTGCATAACATGCTGAGAGAATATAAAACCAATGAATAGGACGTGGGTCTTTCTCCCAGGGAACCCACAGTCAAGTAGGGGAAATACATGTAAACAAGCAGTAAAATATACAGCAGTAAGTCCTATAATAGAGGTGAGTACAAAGCACTGTGGGAGAAGCTAAGAGCCTTGAGGAATTATTGAAGAACTAGAGGAAGTGATAGAGGGTGCCTGAAAGATGGGAAAGACCATTCCCAGGAGAGACAGGGCAAAGAAAGGAGCACTGTAGACAGAGCTGTGTGTGCAAGGGTGTGCAGGCATGAAATGTCACTGCAAATTCTGCCAATAGTAAGTTCAGCATTATGGGAATGTGGGATCCTGACGGGGAGAGAGGGGTGAACTAGTGACTGGTAGGAATACACCAAAAGCAGGTAGGTAGGACAGTCTATAGCATAATGTGACTTCCTACCCACTACCTCACAACTCCTGCACTCAATGTTCTTTTCTTTTTCTTTTGTCTGCTTGAGGTTTTTTGTTTTTTGTTTTTTTTTTTGTTTTGTTTTTTGTTTTTTTGCTATGATCGAGTGCATGGATTTTTGATGCATATTACTGCTGCTGATCATCTTTAATCTAATATTCCTTTCTACACCTTAAGGCTATTAGGAAACCCACCAAAGACCTCACTCTGTTGGGTTAAATAAAGCCAATTTCTTTCACTTTTTCTTGGGGCTTTGGTTTTATTAGAAAAGGTAATAAAAAATATAGTTTTTAAAAAATGCAAATGTCCTCTCCCGTGGACCTTATGACCCTTTGGACTTTGAGGTTTTATTCTTATCTCCAATATGCAAGACATGCCTGAGGAGGTGTCAGGAGACTTCACTGAATGAATCAGGGAAAGGGAAAGACATCTTCCAGTCTCTGTGCAAGGTGCTTGGAATGTGGGATTTTCTGTAATCCTCCTAGGGTCAAAAAAGGTAGGTATTTCTTTTCCCAATTTGCAGGTAAGGATGCCCAGGCCCAGAGAGGTTTATGTGATTTTTCACAAAGTTACATGCCTAGGAATAGGCAAAGCTGGGGGTCTAGACCCATGCCTGTATGAATTCAGAGCTCAAGTTCTCCTCATTAAATTCTGCTGATGTCCCCTCATTTGTCCAACAAAAGCTTATACACTTTCAAGTAACTTGCTACTACCAAAGCTCACCAGACCTGGATCAGAAAAATTGCTCAACAGCAACAATCACAACGAAAACAACAACAATAAAAAACCCATAGCCACTGTTACGTATCATATCTTACTTTTACAAAGAGCCACGCCAAATCACTATTATTTTGTGTCCTGCGAACCATGTGCAATGATAGCAGAGCTATGATTAGTATCTTCCTTGTGTAGAGGAGAAAGCCATTGGAATATCAGGAAAATGGAATTTATCTTTGGTGTTTTTTGAAGTAGTTTGATAATTTGGGGGTCACAGGATTTGAAAACATAGCCTCTATAAAGCCTTGTGAACAATGAAGACCAGAAGTTTAGGGGTCAGGGAAACTTAAGAGCTGTGTGACCTTGGATAAGCCACAAACATCTTTGATCCTGAAATTCCACATCTTGTAGGGTGAGTATAAAAATAATTAATACCTTGTGTTAGGCCACATTAAACAAATTGACTTGTAAGACTGTCAAAATACAGCAACCTTTGGACCAGGGAGGGAACAAAAACCCTGAGGCTTTCTGTCAATAGATTAAACATAGGCATCTACCTCCTCTCTTTACTCAAACCCTTAACGGGAAATTAAAGAAGTAGAAAAATGCATGAATCCACAAAAAGGAAAAAACAAGAGGTGTAACATAAGGTGAGAGGTGACAACAAATGTCTGAACATTTAAAAATT
Organism: Homo sapiens; assembly: GCF_000001405.40. NCBI lineage: Eukaryota > Metazoa > Chordata > Mammalia > Primates > Hominidae > Homo > Homo sapiens. The sequence continues at coordinate 135,095,792 of NC_000008.11, forward strand.
GACGAACGAGTTAACAAAATAAAGTAAGTCAAGTATAAGAGCCTGGCAATAAAGGATAGTTGCATTGCCCCCACCGAAACTCAGGCATGCTCCAGGGTTGAAGGAATGAGGTGCAGAGAAAGGTGAGACTGCAAATGGAGGACTCGTAACTCTGTAGGAGAAGCAGCAAGCTTTTCCTCAGATGCCATCCCCTACCCCACACAATCAGGTAACTATTTTCCCCTCCCCTAGAAAAAGGTTTATTCTGCAGAAGTGGCTGTAGATGCTGGACACCAGGAAATGCAGAGAACGGAATGAAAGAGCCAAACTCTCCCATCTCCTTTATTGTTGGACACTAAGAAGGTAGAAGAGACTGAATAACCCCAAAGAAAATGCTTGTAGATCCTGGCATATTTCATTCCCCCAACAAACTGCTAAAACTCCATCCAACCATCCTACAATGACTGAAACACAGCTGTTAACATGCCCCACACATACCCACAGAAACTTGACAGCATTTTAGTGCCTTCCTCTTAAATATAAACAGACAAGATAGAATTCTCATGCATTTGAAGAAAACCTTCAATAAGATAGACCAAAAATGAGGGGGGAAAACCAACTCAGAGAAAGGGGAAATGATACAAGAAGCAGAAGAAAACTTCAAAATAACTATAATTAATTTCCCCAAAGAGCAAAAAAAGATAGTACATTAATGAAACAAGAATAGAAAGCTACACATTTTTAAAAATCCAAAAGCAAGGAAAAGGAATTTTAAATTAAAAATGTTACTGTGGAAATATGTTATTCAAAGGAAGAGCTGGAAGAGTAAGTGGAAATTTAGAAAGTTCAACAGAAATGGAGTAGAGATGGAAAAATGGAAGAAGAAACATGAGTAAATTGGAGAATCAGTGCAGGGAGCCCAACATCTGATTTAGAGTCATAAAGAGAGGAAATAAAAATGTTTTTAAAAGATGTGAAGATTTCTGCTTCCAGGAAGATGGAGTAGATAAGCTTTTTCCCATTACTCCCAGTGACAACTAAAAACTCTAGACATTGTATGTAAAACAAACATGAGAAGAATCTGCAAGGCAGAGAGAAAAGGACAGATAAGCTAGGCTAATTGTTGGGACTCAGGACCCAAGCAAAGACACTGTGGTCAGTTCTCGAGTTTTTTTCTGCCTCATATACCCCATACTTAGAGTTGGAAAGGCTGGTAATCCAGAAATGACAGTAGGCACAGACACACAAAAAAAATCCCAACAAAATCTTCTCTCTGTAGCCAAAGGATCAGAAAGAGTCAGCCTAGAAAGACAGAAAGCCTTTAGCCAATAGATACTTCACCCCAGCTAAACACCGCAGAAAAAACTATGGCCCTGCCACACCACTGATGCCGAAAAAGATTAAATTGGGAGCCTGGGCTTCCACTCTCATGGGGCTATAGTGGGACACCCCAACATTCCAGCTAGATGGTATCAGAGAACGCCAAGTAAGGAGCCTGGACTTTCATTCCTGCTAGCTGGAAATTCACCCCTTCCTGCCCCCCATGATGTCAGTGGAGACCAGGTGGGGAGGCTAGATTCCCTGACCTAGCCAGCTGTAATGAGACCTTCCTCTCTTTTCCTGCTGGGATGGTGCCAGAGGAAACCTATGGGAAGTTAAGACTTTCATCATTGCCCAGCAACAATGAAGCAACCCCCATTAGGGTGTTGGTTGAGATCACATGGTGCTCTGGAACCCCATGCCCATCCAGCAGTAGCAGAGAGCCCTCAACTTGGGTGTCAATGAGGGTGAATCAGGAATCTGGACTTTAAATTCCAGCTGGCAGTAATGGGGTGGCGGTTCCCTCCTTCCCCTGCTGGAGCAGTGCTCAAAAAAGCCAGCTAAGACAGAAGGTTTAAATAAGATCCAAAGTCTCATAAGTGAAAATGTCCAGGGTTCAATAAAAAATCAGTCATCATAACGAGAACCAGAAAAATCTCAAACAGAATGAAAATAGAAAATATATGCTAGCAACGTGATGATGAGATGACGGAGATGTTTAATTATCTGACAAAGATTTTAAAGGAGCCATGATAAAATATGCCACAATAAACAATTAGAAGGACTCCTGAAATGACTGAAAAGACAGAACTCCTCAGCAAACAAACAAAAAAAAGTTTCAGCAAATATATAGAAGATATAAGAAGAACCAAATGGAAATTTGGAAATTTTAGAGCTTAAAAGATATAATCAAGATAAAAAGCTCAGTGGACTGTCTCAACAGCAGAAAAAAAGGGACAGAGAAAAGACTCAGTGACTTGGAAGATGGAATAATGGAAATTACCTAATCTGAACAACAGAGATAAAATAGACTGATAAAAAAAGAAACAGAGTCTCAGGGACCTATATAACCATAAAAAAGATATAACATTCGAGTTATCACAGTCTCACAGAAGAAGAGACTAAAGTCTCCAAAGCAGAGAGAAGAATAAAAAGATAAACGTATTGAAAAAGTACTTGAAGAAATAATTGCTAAAAACTCCCCAAATTTGGCAAGAGATGTTAACTTCCAGGTTCAAGAAGGGGTGTGAACCCCAAATAGGATACACTCAAAGAAATCTATACCAAGACACATGATAATTAAACTTCTAAACATTAAAGACATTCTGCTGATTGTTTCCTTTGCTGTGCAGAAACCTTTTAGTTTAATGTAATCTCATTTGTCTATTTTTGCTTTCATTGCCTGTGCTTTAGGGGTCTTAGCCAAAAAAATCTTTGCCCAGATCAATGTCATGAAATATTTTCCCTATGTTTTCTTCCAGTAGTTTCATTGTTTCAGGTCTTATGTTTAGGTCTTTAATCCATTTTGGGTTGATATTTCTATGTGGTAAGAAATAAGAGTCTAATGTCATTATTTTGCATGTGGATATTCAGTTTTCCTAACACCATTTTTAGAAAAGACCATTCTTCATGTATCATGTGTTTTTGGTGCCTTTGCCAAAAATCAGTTGGTTGTAAATGTATGAATTTATTTCTGAGCTCTCTTTTCTGTTCCATTGGTCTATGTGTCTTTTTATGTCAATACCATGCTGTTTTGGTTACTATTGCTTTGTAGTACATTTTGAAGTCAGGTAGTGTGATGCCTCCAGCTTTGCTCTTTTTATTCAGGATTGCTTTGGCTATTCAAGGTCTTTTTGTGGTTCTATGGAAATTTTAGAGTTATTTTTCTATTGCTGGGGAGAATATAATTGGTATTTTTACAGGAATTGCATTGAATCTGTAGATCACTTTGGATAGTGTGGACATTTTAACGATATTAATTATTCTAAAACCATTAACATGGGATACCTTTCCATGTATTTGTGTCTTCTTCAATTTATTTCATTCATGTTTTATAATATTTATTGTAGAGATCTTTCACTTTTTTGGTTAAATTTATTCCTATGTATTTTATTATTTTTTGTAGCTATTATAAATGGAATTGTTAAAGAATGAAAGAAAATATGCAAACTATACATCACACAAAGGGTTAATATCCAAACTATATAAGGAACTCAAACAACTGCATAACAAAAACAAACAAAAGCCAAATAGCCCGATTAAAGAAGGGGCAAAAGACATGAATAGTTGTTTTCAAAAGAAGACATACAAATGCCCGAAAAGGTATATGAAAAATGCTCAACATCACTTATCATTAGGAAAATGCAAGTCAGAACCACCATAATATTTCACCTCAACCCAGTTCGAATGACTAACATATAGAAAAGATGAAAGATGATGTGGCAAGGATGTGAAGATAAGGAAATCCTTGCATGCTGTTGATGGGAATATAAATAGAGCTATTATAGAAAATTTTATGGAAGTTTTTCAAAAAATTAAAAATATTAGTAGCATATAATCCAGCAATATCACTACTGGGTCTATATCCAAAACAATTGAAATAAGCATGTCAAAGAGACATCTGTACTCTCATGTTCATTACAGCATTATTCATAAAAACCAAGACATGGAGGCAATCTAAATGCCTATCAGTGGACAAGCAGATAAATAATATGTGGTATATATACACAATAAAATACTATTCAGCCATAAAAAAATGGAACATTGTCATTAGTGACAACACTGATTAACCTGGAGAACATTATGTTAAGTGAAATAAGCCAGGCACAGAAAGACAAATAGCACATGATCTCATTTGTATGTGTAATCTAAAAAAGTTGATATCTAGAAGTAGAGAGAGTATAATGGTGATTATCAGAGGCTGAACAAGAGGGGATAAGGGGATGTCAATCAGAGCACACATAATTACAGTTAGAAAGTAAGAACAAATTTCAAGAGATCTATTGTAAAGCAAGATAACTATAATTAATAATGATATGTTGTATTCTTGAAAATATAAAGACAATAGATTTTATGTGCTTTCACCACAAAAATGATCACTATGTCAGGTAATATATTTGTTAATTAGATAGATTTAACTATTTTACAATGCATGTATACTTCCAAACATCGTGTTGTACAGGACGAAAACATACAATGTTATCTGTCGACTTAAAAATAAATAAAAATAAGTAAATAAAAACTAAAGACAAAAAAAATCTTGAACCCAGACAAAGAAAATGTCACCTTACCTATAGTGAAAAACAGTTCAAATGACAATGTATTTCTCATCAGAAATCATGGCAACCAGAAAAAACATGGCATATGTTTCAAGTGCCCAAATAAACTTAGTAACCCAGAATACTCCATTGAACAAACTGTGGCACATTTATACCAAGAATTATTTCTCAGCAAATTACTACTAAAAAGAAACAAATACTGATAAATGAAATAACCTGAGTGAATCTCCAGAAAATTATACTGAATGAAAAAGCCAATTCCAAAAGGTTACATATGATTTCTTTATTTCACATACTTGAAAAAAAATTTTAGATATAGAGAACAGATTAGTGGTTACCAGGGGTTAAGGAGAAGATGGGAGCTGTAAAGGAGTGCGTGTAAAGGGGCAACCCGAAGGCTCTTCGTGGTGTTCCTTACTGCATCATGTCAATACTCTGGCTGTGACATTGTACTATATGTTTGCAAGGTTTTACCATTGAAGGAAAATGATTAAAGGGTAAACAGGATCTCTCTCTTTGGTCCTTTTTACAAATGTATGTGAATCTACAGTTGTCACAAAATTTAATATTTAATTTAAAAATATTAGTATAAGAATTTTTCCAAGGCGGGAAAACATAATTTTACAACCTGCAAGTGTCCACCAAGATCCATCAATTTTTCATGAAATTCAAGAATGAAGTAAAGAAGGATCCTAAAAGTATACATGTGATACAGAAAATGAGGAGAAAGAAATGTGTCAATCAACAATGAGAGTAGGATGAAAATATTTTCAGACATGATAAGTCCTGAAACTTTTTACTTTCCATTTAGCTTTTTAAAAATTATTTTTAACTGACAAATAAAAATTGTACACATTTATGGGATACAATGTGACATTTTGATATTCGTTTAAGTTGTAGGAAGAGTAAAACTAATTAACATAAGCATCACTTCGCCTACTTATCTTTTTGTGTGTATATGGTGAGAACATTTAAAATCTCTTTTAGCAATTTTGAAATATATAATACATTATTGTTATGCTTACAATAATAATAATCACTAAAACTTATTCCTCCTGTGTAACTGAAATTTTGTACTCTCACCAACATCTGCCTTTTCTCTATTCCCTTCACCTGCCTATTAGTAACTACCATTATACTCACTACTTTCATGAGTTTACATTTTATAGATTCCACATGTAAGTGAGATCATGTAATATTTGTCCTTCTGGGCCTGGCTTATTTCACTTAACATAATGTCTCCAGGTTCATCCACGCTGTCACAAATGACAAAATTTTCTTCTTTTTTATGGCCGAATAGTGTTTAACTGTATATATATGCATATATCACATTTTCTTTATCCATTCATCCATTGATGAACATTTAGGTTGCTTTCATGTCTTGACTATTGTGAATAGTGCTGCAATGAACTGAGAGTGCAGATATCTCTTTCACATATGTATTTCAGTTATTTTGGATGTACACCCAGAACAGGGATTACTGGGATTTAGTTTCTATTTTTAATTTGTTGAGGAACCTCTATAGTGTTTTCCAAAATGGCTATTCTAATTTACATTTCTGCCAACAGTGTGCAAGGGGTCCCTTTTCTCCACATCTCCACCAACACGAGCTACCTTTTATCTTTTTAATATTAGCCATTGTGACAGTGATACAGTGATATCTCATTGTGGTTTTGTTTGCATTTCCTTTTATTTTCTTTTTTGAGACAGAGTCTTGCTCTGTCGCCAGGCTGGAGTGCAGTGGCACCATCTTGGCTCACTGCAACCTCTGCCTCCCGAGTTCAAGCAATTCTCCTGCCTCAGCCTCCCTAGTAGCTGGGACTACAGGCGCATGCCACCATGCCCAGCTAATTATTTTTTTGTATTTTTAGTAGAGACAGGGTTTCACCCTGTTGGCCAGGATGGTCTTGATCTCTTGACCTCGCGATCCACCCACCTCGGCCTCCTGAAGTGCTGGTATTATAGGCAAGAGCCACTGTGCCCAGCCCTGCATTTTCTTTTCTATTTAGCTTTTTAGAGTAAGCTACTGAAGGATGTCCTCAATCAGAATAATGTACCAGGAGAGAAGATATAGAACCCAGAGACAGGGGAGCTAACACTGAAATGAATTGAAAGACAGTCCTCAGATGGCAGCTGCGCTGAGGGCCTAGAGGTTAATAAGTTCAGGCCAAAGTAGGTAGGTGGGGGCTACAGGAGAGATGTCTTCCAGAAAGGAATTAATTAATCAGTGAAATTCATGAAGTACTTATTTGTGAGAAAATATTATTAACATTAGAGATAAAATTTGTTAGAAAATTTGGGATATAAGCAAATTCCCAACACCAACAACTAAAAATGAAGCAGTTAGTAACTTCTTGGAAAAATTAAAAAGCTAGATAAGAAAAGAAATCCTGTTATTAGTTCATAACTTGACTCAGCTATGAACATATGTACTTATAGCAAATTAAAAAGCTAGATAATTAAATTATCTAATTAAATAATTAAGAAATTAAAAAGCTAGATAAAAAAGAAACCCTGTTCATAACTTGACTCAGCTATGAACATATGTACTTATATCATCATAATAAGGTAAACATTGAATAATGATTCCACCAGAAATTGTGACAAAATTATAATCAGAAAGAAGAAAGAATAAAAGTGAAGGGTGTGTGTGGTGGGAGCTTTAAGGGGTTAACTCACATTTATGTAATATATTTAGATAATGTCTAAAATCAAGAAATCAAAAATGACTATAAATATTTTATGTAAAAATCTAACATGGGAATAAATGCAGAGCATATAGCTAAAAGCTGAAATTGTTTGCTTCTGAGGATAGGAGAAGATGGGGAAGTCAAGTGATGACTTGATTGAAAATCTAGTAATTTTGACTTTTAAAAAATTATTTTTTAAAATATTATAGATTCAGGGAGTACATGTGCAGGTTTGTTATATGGATATATTGCAAAATGCTGGTTTTTGTTTTGTTTTGTTTTTTGAGCTTCTAGCGAACCCCTCACCCAAAGAATGAACATAGTACCCCATATGTAGCCTTTCAACTCTTGTTCCTCTTCCACCCTCCCTGTTTTTGGGATCCCTGGTGTCTATTATTTCCATCTTTATGACCATGTGTACCCATTATTTAACTCTTCCTTATAAGTGAGAACTTAAAGTATTTGATTTTCTGTTTCTGAGTTATTTCACTTAGGAAAATGGCCTTCAGTTCCATCCATGTTTCTGTGAAGGATATAATTTCATTCTTTTTATGACTGCATAGCATTCCAGTGTGTAAATATATTACATTTTCTTTGTCGATCTACTTAGGTTGATTCCATGACTTTGCTATTGTGAATAGTGCTGTGATAAACATACAACTGCAGGTATCTTTTTGATAAATGGTTAATTTCCTTTGGATAGACAGTAGTTGGGTTTCTGGGTTGAATAGTAGTTATATTTTTAATTATTTGAGAAATCTCCATATTGTTTTCCACAGAGGTTGAACTGATTTACATTCCCACCAACAGTATATAAGCATGCTTTTTTCTCTGCATCTTTGCCAACATACGTTATTTATTGACTTTTTAATAATAGCCAACCTGACTAGTGTGAGTTGGTATCTCATTGAGGCTTTAATTTACATTTCTCTGACAATTAGTAATATTGAGCATTTTTCATGTTTGTTGGCCATTTGTATGTCTTTTTGAGAAGTTTCTGTTCATATCCTTTGCCCACTTATTAATGAGGCCATTTATTTGTTTTTTTCCTTGTTAACTTAAGTTCTTTATAGATTCTGAATATTAGTCCTTTCTTAGGTGCTTTGTTTACAAATATTTTCTTCCATTCTTAGGTGGGTTGTCTGTCTACTCTGTTGATTTTTATTTTGCTGTGCAGAAGATCTTTAATTAAGCCTGATTTGTCTATTTTTGAGTTTTTCTTTGCATTTACTTTTGAGGTCTTAGTCATGAATTATTTGCCTAGGCCAATGTCCATAAGAGTTTCTTCTACTTCTACAATTTTTAAAGTTTCAGATAAGTCTTTAATTCATCTTGAGTTAATTTTTGTATATAGTGAGAGGTAGGGATCTACTTGTATTCCTCTGCATAAGGCTAGCTGGTTTTCCCAGAACAATTTATTGAATAGGGTGTCCTTTCCCCATTGTCAATTTTTGTTGGTTTTGTTAAAGATCAATTGGTTGTAGGTGTGTGGCTTTATTTCTGTATTCTCTATTCTGTTTCATTGACTTATGGGTCATTTTTGTACCAGTACCATGCTGTTTTGGTTTGGCCTTGTAGTACAGTTTGAAGTCTGGTAATCTGATGTCTCTGGTTTTATTCTTTTTGCTTAGGATTGCTTCATGTATTTGGGCTCTCCTTTGGATCTATGTAAGTTTTAGAATTGTTTTTTCTAATTCTGTGAAAAATGACATTGCTAATTTCATAGAAATTGCATTGAATCTGTAGATTGTTTTGAGCAGTACAGTCATTTTTAACAACATTGATTCTGCCTATTCATGAACATGTAATGTTTTCCCATTTGTTTGTGTCATCTATGATTTCTTTCATCAGTGTTTTGTAGTTCTCCTTATAGATGTCTTTCACCTACTTGGTTAAATGTATTCGTAAGTTTTTTTAATTAAGAAATCATTATTATTATTTATTATTTTTAATTTTGGTGGGCACATAGTAGATGTATATATTTATGGGGGTTTACACGAGATGTTTTGATGCAGGCATGCAATGTGAAATAAGCACATCATGGAGAATGGGGTATCCATCCCCCAAGTATTTATCCTTTGAGTTACAAACAATCCAGTTACACTCTTTATTTTAAAATGTACAATTAAGTTATTATTGACTATGTCACCCTGTTGCACTATCAAATAGTAGGTCTTTTCAATTCTTTCCATTTTTGGGGGGACCCATTAACCATTCCCACCATCCCCCTAGCCCCTGACTACTCAGCTTCTGGTAACCATCGTTTAACTCTCTATGTCTATGAGTTCAATTGTTTTGATTTTTAGATCCCACAAATAAGTGAGAATATATGATGTTTTTCTTTCTGTACCTGGCTTATTTCACTTAACATAATGACCTCCAGTTCTATCCATGTTGTTGCAAATGACAGGATCTCATTCTTTTTTATGACTGAATAGTAGCCCATTGTGTATATGTACCACATTTTCTTTATCCATTTATCTGCTGATGGACACTCAGGTTGCTTCCAAATCTTAGCTATTGTAAACAGTGTTGGAACAAATATAAGAGTGCAAATATTTCTTTGATATACTGATATCTCTTCTTTTGGGTATATATCCAACAGTGGGACTGCTGGATCATATGGTAGCTCAAGTTTTAGTTTTTAGAGATACCCCTGAACTCTTCTCCATAGCGGTTGTATTAATTTACATTCCCACCAACAGTGTACAAGAGTTCCCTTTTCTCCATATCTTTGCTAGCATTTATTATTGCCTGTCTTTGGAAATACATCATTTTAACTGGGGTGAGATGATAATTCATTGTAGTTTTTATTTGCATTCTTCTGATGATAAATGATATTGAGCATCTTTTAATATGCCTGTTTGCCATTTGTATGTCTTCTTTTGATAAACGTTTATTCAAATCTTTTGCCAAGTTTTTGATTGGATTATTAGATTTTTTTTTCCTGTAGAGTTGTTTGAGTTCCTTATATATTCTGCTTATTAATCCTTTGTCAGATGGGTAGTTTGCAAATGTATTCTCCCATTTTGTGGGTTGTCTGCTCACTTTGTTGATTGTATCCTTTTGTTGTGTGGGAGCTTTTTAACTAGATATGATCTTATTTGTCCATTTTTGCCTTGGTGCCTGTACTTGTGGGGTGTTGCTCAAAAAATTTTTGCCCAGACCAATGTCCTGGAGAGTGTCCCCAGTGTTTTCTTGTAGTTGTCTCATAGCTTGAGGTCTTAGATTTAAGTTTTCAATCCATTTTGATTTGATTTTTGTCTTTCATGAGAGATAGTGGTCTAGTTTCATTCTTCTAAATATGGATATCCAGTTTTCCCAGCACCATTTATTGAAGAGACTGTCTTTTCCCTAGTGTATGTTCTTGACACTCTTGTTGAAAATCATGGTGGCTCATGTCTGTAATCTCAGCACTTTGGGAGGCTGAGGCAGGCGGATCACCTGAGGTTGGGAGTTCTAGACCAGCCTGATAAACATGGAGAAACCCCGTCTCTACTAAAAATACAAAATTAGCTGGGCATGGTGGCACATGCCTGTAATCCCAGCTACTCAGGAGGCTGAGGCAGGAGAATCGCTTGAACCTGGGAGGCAGAGGTTGCGGTGAGCTGAGATCGCGCCATTGCACTCCAGCCTGAGCAACAAGATTGAAACTCCGTCTCAAAAAAAAAAAGAAAATGAGAAGAAAATGAGCTCACTGTAGATGTGTGGATTAGTTTCTGGGTTTTCAATTCTGTTCCATTAGTCTATGTGTCTGTTTTTATGCCAGTACCATGCTGTTTTGGTTACTATAGCTCTGTAGTATAATTCAAAGTCAGATATTGTGATTTCTCTAGTTTTGTTCTTTTTGCTTAGGATGGCTTTGGCTATTCTGAATATTCATAGGTTTTTAATTTTTGGTTTGTTGTAGTTATAAATGGGATTGAGTTCTTTATTTGGTTCTCAGCTTAAACATTGTTGGTTTATAAAAATGCAGCTAATTTGTGCATTAATTTTGTATCCTGAAATTTCACCGAAGTCATTTATCATGTCTCAGAGTCTTTTGAGAAATCTTTAGGGTTTTCTAAGTATAGGGTCATGTCATCACCAAACAGAGAGACTTTGAGTCCCTTTTTTCCTATTTGGATGCGCTTTATTTCTTTCTCTTGCCTGATTGCCTGGCTAAGGACTTCCAGTACTATGTTGAATAGGAGTGGTGAGAATGGGCATCTTTGTTTTGTTTCAATTCTTAGGAAGAAGGCTTTCAACTTTTCCCCATTCTATGTGATGTTGGCTGTGGGTTTGTTATGTATGGCTTCTCTTATTTTGAGATATGTTCCTTTGTTCTCTAGTTTGTTGAGAGTTTTCATCATAAAGGGATGTTGGATTTTTTCAAATGCTTTTCTGCCTCTATTGAAATGATTATAAGGTTTTTGTTTTAAATTCTGTTTATATGGTGAATCACATTTGATTTGTGTTTGTTCAATAATCCTTGCATTTCTAGAATAAAGCCCACTTTATCACAATGAATATCTTTTTTGATGTGCTGTTGCATTCTATCAGCTAGTATTTTGTTGATAATCTTTGTGTCTATGTTCATCAAAGATATTGGTCTGTAGTCTTCTTTGTTTTGTTGTGTCCTTATCAAATTTTGGTATGAAGATGATACTGGTTTCGTAGAATGAGTTATGGAGGAATCTGTCCTCATCAATCTTTTGGAATAGCTTAAGAAAGATTGGTGCCAGCTCTTCTTTGTACATCTTGTATAATTTGGCGGTGAATTTTTCTTGTCCTGGACATTTTTTGGTTGGTAGAATTTTTTTTACTGCTTCGATTTCCTAACTCATTATTGGTTTGTTCAGGATTTCAATTTCTTCCTGGTTAAATCTTTGGAGGTTTTATGTTTGTGGGAATTTATCAATTTCCTCTAGGTTTTCCTGTTTGTGTGTATAGAGATATTCATAGCAGTCTCTGAGGATCTTTTGTATTTCTGTGATATTTATTGTAATGTCACCTTTATCCTTTCTGATTGCGCTTATTTGAATTTTCTTTTTTTCTTGTTTAATCTAGCTAGTGGTCTATCAATTTTGTTTATCTTTTCAAAGAACCAAGTTTTTGTTTCATTGATCCCTTGTATGTTTCACTGATCCTTTGTATGTTTTTTGGTCTCAATTTCATGTAGTTCTGATCTGATCTTTTTTATTTCTTTCCTCCTGCTAGGTTGGGGTTCTTAGCTTGGGGTCCTGCCAGCTTGGTTTGTTCTTATTTTTTAAACTCCTTTAGGTGTAACATTTGGTTGTTAACTTGAGATCTTTCTATCTTTTTGATGTGGGTATTTAGTGCTATAAATTTTCTTCTTAACACTGCTTTTGCTACGTCTCAGAGGCTTTGGTATGTTGTGTCTTTATTTTAATTTGTTAATTTTTGTTGATTTCTGAATTAATTGTGTTGTTTACCTAAAAGTCATTCAGGAGCAAGTTGTTTAGTTTCCCTGTACTTGTGTGGTTTTGAAAGTTCCTCTTGGATTGATTTCTAATTTTATTCCACTGTGGTCCAAGAAGATGCTTGATATGATTTTGATTTTTCTTGAATTTATTGAGACTTGCTTTATTACCAAGCATATAATCAGTTTTATTTGTGTATTTTTTAATTTTTAATTTTTTGGGTACATAGTAGGTGTACATATTTATAGGGTACGTGAGACATTTTGATACAGACATGCAATGTGTAATAATCACTTCATGGATGAGGGAGTATTTATCCCCTCAAGCATTTATCCTTTGTGTTACAAACAATCCAATATACTCTTTTACTTATTTTAAAAGGTATAATTAGATTATTATTAACTATAGTCACCCTGCTGTGCTATCAAATATTAGGCCTTATTCATTCATTCTAACTATTTTTTGTACTTACTAATCATATCTACCCCCTCCCCAGCCCCCTACTACCCTTCCTAGCTTCTGGTAATCATCTTTCTACTCTCTGTCTCCATGGGATCATTTTTTTATTATTATTCTTAGATCCTACAAATAAGTAAGAACATGCAATGTTTGTCTTTCTGTGCCTGGCTCATTTTACTTAGCATAGAGTGGATCTCCAGTTCCATTCATGTTGCTGCAAATGAATAACTCTCATTATTTTTTATGGCTGAATAGTAGTTCATTGTATATAGGTACCATATTTTCTTTATCTATTCATCTGTTGATGGACACTCGGGTTTCCTCCAAATCTTAGGTATTGTAAACAGTGTTGCAACAAACATGAAAATGCAGCTATTTCTTTAATATATTGATTTCCTTTCTTTTGGTTATATACCCAGCAGTGCGATTGCTGGATCAAATGAATAATTTTAGAGAATATTCTATGTACAGATGAGAAAAATGTATATTCTGCAGTTTTGTTGTAGAATGTTCTGTAGATGTCTATGAAGTACATTTGGTCAAAAGTACAGTTTAAGTCCAGAGTTTGTTTGTTAGTTTTCTGCTTTGTTAATCTGTCTAGTGCTGTCAGTGTGGTGTTGAAGTCCCCCACTATTATTGTATGGCTATTTTCTCAGGTCATCGAGTATTTGTTTTATAACTTTGGGTACTCTGGTGTTGGTTGCATATATATATATATATATATATATATATATATATATATATATATATATATATATATATTAGTTAAGTCTTCTTGTTGAGTTGAATACATTATCATTAGAACCAGTCATCATAATGCTCTTTGTCTCATTTTACTGTTATTGGTTTAGTCTATTTTATCTGATACATGAATAGCAACCTTTGCTCTTTTTTTCCATTTGCATGGTAAATCTTTCTCCACCCCTTTACTTTGAGTTTGTGGGTGTCATTACACATAAGATGGGTCTCTTGAAGGCAGCAGATGGTTGAGTCTTGTTTGTTTAATCTAATTTGCCAGTCTGTGTCTTTTAAATGGAGCGTTTAAGCCATTTACATTCAAGGTTAATATTGATATGTGAGGATTTTTTCCCATCATAGTGTTGTTAGGTAGTTGCTTTGTAGTCTCAATCGTGTGATTGCTTTATAGAATCCGTAAATTTTTTTTGTACTTATGTGTGCTTTTATGGTAGTAAATGTTATCCTTTTGTTTTTATGTTTAGAACTCCTTTGAGCATTTCTTCTAGGACTAGTCTGGTGGTGACAAATTCCCTTAGCATTTGCTTGTCTGGGAAAGCCTTTATTTCTCCTTCGTTTATGAAGCTAAGTTTAGCAAGACATAACATGCTTGGCTGGCTTTTCTTTCTTTAAAAAGGCTAAGAATATGCCCCAATCTCTTCTGGTTCATAAGGTTTCTGCAGATAAGTACTCTGTTAGTCTGATGCGATTTCCTTTATAGGTAGTTTGGCCTTTTTCTCTAGCTGTCTTTAAGATTTTTTTTTCTTGTTGGCCTTGGATAGTTTGATGACTATATGCCATAGTGATAATCATCGTGTATAGTATCTTGAAGGTGTTCTCTGAATTTCTTGTATTTGGATGTTGACCTCTCTGGCAAAATTAGGAAAATTTTTCAGATTTATTCCTTCAAATATGTTTTCCAAGTTGCTTAATATTTCTTCTCCCAGGAATACCACTAAATTCATTTGGTTGCTCTACCTAACCCCATATTTCTTTAAGGCTTTTTTGGTTTTGTTTTGTTTTGTTTCAATTGTTCTTTATTTGTCTGACTGGGTTAATTGGAAAGATCAGTTTTCTAGCTCTGAAATTATTTCTTCTGTTTGGTTTAGTCTATTATTAAATCTTTAAAATGTATTTTGAAATTCCTTTAGTAAATTTTTCAATTTCACAAGTTCTATTTTTCTTAAATATAGCTTGCTTATCTTTCATACCCCGAATTGTTTTCCTAATTTCTTTGTGTTGATTTTCAACTTTTTATTGGATTTCAGTGAATTTTCTTGCAATTCATATTTTGAATTATTCATCTATCATTTCATATTTTTTTATTTTGGTTAGGATCCATTGCTAGAGAGCTAGTGCAATTGTTTGGAGCTGTCAAGACACTATGTATTCTTTTACTGACAGAGGTCTTGCACTACTTCCTTCTCATTTGGAAATATTTCTGGGAAGAGTAGTGGCTTAAATCCTTGCAAGAAGGAGCTGTTACTTATTTTTGATTTTGCTATCACTTGGGTGAGACTTTTAACTTTTTTTAATTTTTTTTTCTCAAGTGTATGACTGTGATGTATGTTATATGATCATTTGGCTTCATTTCTGGGTGGTTTCAATGGGCCAAGTCTCTCTATGGGTTTTTATGGCTTTCTTATGGCACCTGGCACCCCTGTTGTGGAGTTCATGGCCTTCAGTTCAAATAGATTTTGACCTTTGTTTCCCAGCTGCAGTACAGCTATAGACCACAGATATGTTCCCCTGGTGGCTACCATCAAAATGGGCTCAGGGCACAGCCTCTTACCCCAGTTCAGAGCCAACAACTCCACAGTTTGTCTGCTGTTCATTGCCTGCACATTGCTGTTCTGTGTAGGGAGGGTGAGCTGGGCCCCACCTTTCGTGCAAGCCCAAGAAGCACAGAGTTACTTTCAGCTGGGGTACAGCCACTGCAAAAAGCACAAAAAGTACTTTCTCCAAGTGCACATGTACAGACTACCAGGGGAGAAAACCTCTAATGCCTTCACAACAGTGTAGAGAGGGTAGGAGATGACCCCATTCCATGTCTGTTCCTGACCACTGATGTGAGGAGGATTTAAGCCACTACTCTTCCCTGAGAAGTTTCCAAATCACCACCAATAGTGTTTCCCTGGGTCATGAGGACAGAAAAGCTCCCCAACAGTTTTGTGGTCAGCAGAATGCCACATAGGTAAGGGAGCAGAGAAGCACTCCTACCTGCCCTTGCCATGGGGCTCTGAGTTCCTCAGGGGTTTGTGTCTGCCAGACTCTTGCTGCTTTCCTTTTCCTTCTGTGGGCACTCCAGCAGATCCTGACTGTCTTCTCTCAGTTCTCCATTTGGAACATGTCCATGCATCAGTAACTTTTATTTTTTTTTCTGAGGAGAACTGGAATCCAATGTAACTAGTCAGCCATCTTGAAAAAGAAGAGAAAAAATATTTGACTTTTTAAGCCATGCACATGTATTACATTGATTAGAAAAAAAACTTAGGAAAATGAAAGGAAGAATGTGGATGTAGTTTTCTTCCACCCAGTTACTCTCTGGAGATACACTTGGTTATGTCAGATGCATTCACTCATCTGGGGATATTTCACAATATATAGACACACTTCCAGAGAATTCCTCAGTGCCCTTCATTCACATCAAAGTTTGTAATAACCACTTGATATGGTTTGGATGTTTGTCCCCTCCAAATCTCATGCTGAAATGGGATTCTCAGTGTTGGAGGTGAAGCCTGGTGGAAATTGTTTGGGTCATGGAAGCAGATCCCTCATGAATAGCTTAGTACCATCCCATTGATAAGTGAGTTCTTGCTCTGAGTTCATGAAAAATCTGTTTCCTTTAAAGGATCCTGGCACCTCCTTTCTCTCTCTCACTCCCATTCTCATCATGTGATATGTTGGCTCCCCCATCACCTTCTGTCATGACTGTAAGCTTCCTGAGGCCCTTACCAGAAGCAGATGTTAGCACTGTTTCATGTATATCCTGTAGAACCACAAGCCAATTACACCTTTATGTTAAAATAAATTAACGAGCCTCAGGTATTTCTTTATAGTAACCCAGAAATGTATTGACACAGAAAATTGGTACCAAGCAGTGAGTATTGCTATAAAGATACCTGAAGATGTGGAAGCAGCTTGGGAACTGGGTAATGGGCAGAGGTTGAAAGAGTTTGGAGGGTTCAGAAGAAGATAAGAAGACAACAGAAAGTTCAGAACTTCCTAGAGACTTTTGTTAGGTGGTTGTGACCAAAATGCTAATAGAAATATAGTCAGCTAAGGCCAGGCTGACAAGGTCTAAGATGTAAATGAGAAAGTTACTGGGAACTGGAGTAAAGGTCACCAGTGTCACACCTTATCAAAGAGCTTGGCTGTATTATGTCCATGTCTTTGGGAACTATGGAAGTTTGAACTTAAGAGTGATGACTTAGGGTGTCTGGTGGAAGAAATTTCTAAGCAGCAAAGTATTCCAGAATCAGTGTTTCTGCTTCTAACAGCCTACAATCAGATGTGGGAACAAAGGAATGACTTAAATTTGGAACTTATATTTAAAAGGGAAGCAAAGCATACAACTTTGGAAATTTGCAGCCTAGCCCTGTGGTAGAGAAAGAAACCAAGTAGGTTGTGAAGCACCTACTTGATAGAGAGATTAGCATGACTAAAAGGGAGCCAAGTTATAAAATCCAATGGGAAAACCACGTCAAAGACATTTCAGAGATCTTGGAGACAGCCTCTCTTATCACAGGGCCAGAGGCCCAGGAATAAATAATTTCAGGGGCCAGGCCAAGGGCCCCATTGCCCTACTCAGCCTTGGGACACTGCTTCCCATATCCTGGCTACTCCAGCTCCAGATGTGGCTCAAAGGGCCCCAGGTACAGCTCAGGCCATTGCTCTTGAGGGCAAAAAAACATAAGCTTTGGCTGTTTCCATTGGTGTTAAGCCTGCAGGTGCAAAGAATGCAAGCATGAAGGAAGCTTGGAAGCTTCCCCCTAGATTTCAGAAGATGTATCAGAAAGCCTGGATGCCCAGGCAGAAGACTTCCAAAGGAGTGGAGCCCTCACAGAGATATTCTACCAGGGCAGTGTGGAGGGGAAATATAGGGTCAGAGCTCCCTCACTAAGTCTCCAACAGGGCACTGCCTAGTGGAGCTGTAGGAAGGACTGCCACCCTCCAGACTCCAGAATGATAGATCCACGAAGCTTGCATCTTGAGCATGCAAAAGCCACAGGCACTCAACTCTAACCCATGAGAGTAGCCAGGGAGGCTGCACCCTGCAAAGCCACAAGGGTGGAGCTGCCCAAGGCCTTGGGAGCCCACCCCTTGCACCACTGTGCCCTGAATGCAGGACATTGAATCAAATAAGATTATTTTGGAATTTTAATATTTAATTATTTCCCTGCTTGGTTTCAGAACTATTGGCCCTTTCTTTTTGCCAATTTCTCCCTTTGAGGATGGGAATATCTACCTAATGCCTGTACACCATTGTATCTTGGGAATAAATAACTTGGTTTTGATCTCACAGGTTCATAGGTAGAAGGAATTCATCTCCAGGTGAGATGTTGGGCCTTGGATTTGGGACTTGAGGCTTTTGAGTTAAGACTGAACAAGTTATGACTTTGGGGTACTAGTGCAAAGGCATGATTGTATTTTGAAATGTGAGAAAGACATGAGATTTGGGGGGCTAGGAGTGGAATGATACATTTTGGATGTTTGTTTCCTCCAAATCTCATGTTGAAATGTGATTCTCAATGTTGGAGGTGGGGCTGGGGGGATTAGACTGGAACATGGGGGCAGATCCCTCATGAATGGCTTAGCATCATTCCCTTGGTGATAAGTGAGTTCTCGCTCTGAGTTCATGTGAGATCTGGTTGTATAAAAGAAGGAATATGGCTCTCTTTCTCTTGCTCCCGCTCTCGCCATGTGATGTGTTTGCTCCCCCATCACCTTTAGTCATGATTGTAAGCTTCCTGAAGCTCTAACCAGAAACAGATGCTGGTACTGTGCTTCATAAATAGCCTGCAGAACCATGAGCCAATTAAACTTTTTTCTTTATAAATTACCCAGCCTCATGTATTTCTTTATAGCAATGCAAGAATGGTCTGATACACCATAGTAACCTGACTAGATGCTCTGTACCTGAAGCAAATAAAGAGGGCAAGATAGAAAGACAGTGGACATACTGATACCTGTCTTTTTTGGCCCTTCTCTTTTGGTTCCTTGCCTTTATGAAGACTGGGTTGTGGTGATAGAGCAGATCCATGTACCACCTTAATGATCCTGTTTGTCTCCTTTATGACCTGCTGAGGGCTAAGTGATTGAAAAACAAGTGTGTTAAAATTTAGCTGCTAGCACAGCTATACCGATAAAGAAGAACAGGAGAAAAAATTAGCCCCCACAAATGGTTTCTTACATCTGACCGAAGGAGGAATCATTTATTGCTCCCTCTGCTCTGGTACAGGCTACGATTTCTGATTTGCACCATGCTGCTTTCATATTTTGAAAGTTTCTGCCAACAGGTAGATAATCCTTTATGTGTCATGGAGCTGAAATTCATAAGGCACCAGCTGCCTTGTGAGCAGAGAAGCAAAAAACATCCCCATTTTATAGACAAAAAAGTGAGATTTAAAATTATTCAACCATCTAGCAAAAATTTTTTAATGGGCACCAAGTATGAAGTGGGTACTTTTCTAAGCATCCAGATATGGAGAAGAAAGTCAAGATTTTTGTTTTCCAGAGTTCAAGGTGTTATAGGTATAGAAAGAAGTGAAAACTGTTACAGTGCTGTAGGATAAGTACAGTGATAGAGATGCCCAGGAAGTCATGTGAGCACAGGGGAGGGGTGCTGATCCATCCATTAATTCATTTATTCAACAAATAATTATTTAGAACTCAGTAATAAGGGCTGGCTGGATGCTGGAGATACATCTGAGAATAAACTAAATTTAGTCCTTGGATTCATGAAACTTAAAGTCCAGTGGTTCTTGGCTACGCATTGGAATCACCTGGGGAGGTTTAAATACCCTGATAGCCAGACCCACTGCATATTATGATGAGAGAGAGTTGCCTTAGTCTGGTTAGTGTTGCTCTAAAGGAATGCCTGTGGCTGGGTAGTTTTATAAAGAAAAGAGGCTTATTTGGCTCACAATTCTGCTAGCTGAAAGGTTCAAGACTGGGCATCTGGTGAGGGTCTCAGGCTGCTTCCACTCTTGGTGGAGGGGACAGGGAGCTGTCATTTGCAGAGATCATATGGCAAGAGAGGAAGCAAGAGAGAGAGAGAGTGGGGAGGTGCCAGGCTCTTTTTGACAGCCTGCTCTTGAGGGAACTCCCCTCAACCAGGGAGGGCATTAATCTATTTATGAGGGCTCCACCCCCAGGGCACAAACAACTCCCATTAGATCCCACCTCCAATAGTGGTCATCAAATTTCTACATGAGATTTGGAAAGAACAAACAACTAAGCTATTGCAAAAGTATCCAGGAATCTGTGCTGCTTAAATCTCCCCAAGTGATACCAATGTGCAGGCAAGACTGAGATTCATTGGCTCAAAGGAGAAGACTGGTAAGAAATAAGTAAACGCATAATGTCAAACGGTGATGAGTACAATAAAGGAAACTCATAGAATGTGGTGATAAAGAATTAGAGGATGGAGGGATCCTCACTGGCCACCTTGGCCAGAGGAGGCATCTCTGAGGAGGTGATAGTTAATTTGATACCTGAAAGATAAGAATCTGCAGAAAGCATTAAAGGAGGAGAAATAAATGAACATCGTGAGGCCCCAAGAGGAGAGAACTTAGCTTGCGTCTGTTCCTGGGAGGCTGGAGGCTATGTGGCTGTGAGCCTCTGCCTTAGGTATGCAAAGGGGGCCCAGCCTGGGGGTTGCAGAGCAACAGGTTGCTTCACATTTGGAAATGGGAACAATTTGGTTTATGCTGTTGAAATGAGAAAGGAAGAAAGATGGAAGATGGTAAGGGAAGAAAGGACAAGGAGGAAAATGAGCCACACTGCAGGAACATGAAGTTAGAGTTGTGTGGAAGGCTTGGGGATTTCTCCCTCTCTCCCTGCCCTTCCCTTCCTCTTCTTCCCGAACCGGCTCCTTTCTCCTTCTTCTCTCCTCCTCCTCCCCCTCCCCTTTCCCCTCCCCCTCCCCCCTCTCCTCCTCCTCCTCCTCCTCTTCTTCTTCTTCTTCCTCTTCCTCTTCCTCTTCTTCTTCCTCTTCTCCTTTCTTTCTTTTTAAGAATTAAGAATGTGGGGCGGGTGCCGTGGCTCACACCTGTAATCCCAGCACTTTGGGATGCTGAGGTGGGCAGATCATGAGGTCAGGAGATTGAGACCATCCTGGCTAACACGGTGAAACCCCGTCTCTACTAAAAATACAAAAAATTAGTGGGGCGTGGTGGCGGGCGCCTGTAGTCCCAGCTATTCAGGAGGCTGAGGCAGGAAAATGGCGTGAACCTGGGAGGCGGAGCTTGCAGTGAGTCGAGATCACGCCACTGCACTCCAGCCTGGGCGAAAGAGCAAGACTCTGTCTCAAAAAAAAAAAAAAAAAAAAAAAAAAAAAATTAAGCCTGTGGAATGCTAACTTTTGAAGGATTTGGGCTGCTAAGATGCATATTCCTCTATCTCCATCAAACCTCTAGAATAGTGTGGCTATGAGTACAACATGTACACTGTAGAAATTCAGGACACAGATGAATGTCCCATTTGGGGCCATGCAGTGTAAAAGAGTCAAGCTCTAAAGTGAGCTCACCTTGAACCAGAGGTTTGTGGCCGAGGTGTCCAGGGGAGCGTAAGCCTGGGAGAAAGGTATAGGATTTGGGGTCAAAAATTTACAAAAGGCCATACCATTCACTGGGGGGCTTCTTCTCTCCCTCCTATTACTCCCAGGATTCTGGCTTCTTTCTCACTAGCTTTCTGCTCCCATTCTTGCTCAGTCTCCAAACAGAAGCAGGAAAGAGGTTTTAAAAATAGCAACATGATCATGTTTCTCTTCTGCTATTAAAAAAAAAATCTGCAAACTCTCTTCCTGGCCAGCAAGCCCATGTTGTCAGGTGTGTCAGTCTCTTCAAATGTGTCTTCAGCCTCCCTTTGTTTCTCCTTCTGTCTGCTCTCTGTTCTTCTCCTGTAGATGGGATCTACAGGTGTGGGAGGTGAGTTCAATATACTCTCAAATTACTTACCCTGCTGGTGTTTCAGTTTCCTTGTTTTTGAAGTGGAGGTAGTAATAGTCCTTGCCTCATAGCTGTTGTGAAGCTCTAATGAGACAATGCCTGGACACAGCTTAGTCCCCTGTAGGGATCAGAGTGATCTAGGAAGGGTAGGTGCCTTGGGGGGTGGCGTTATTAATTATCTGGTGCTTCCCACAACTCTGGCATGAAATCCTAAAACAAGATATGTGTCCAATTGGGAAGCTATATTGAGTTACATAGAAAAGTAAGGTCCTAGGCAATCCCTCTATCTCTATAAGAGGGAGGAAAGAAAATAGCAATTCTTAAAATAAAATCAGTTTTATCTATTATAAAAGCATCACTTAAGATGTTTGAAACTTAAAAAAGTCAAAGAAACACATAAAAAAGCCATCCATGATTCTACCTACAAAAGACAACCATTGTTAAGATGTAGGCTGTATTATTGCCAGTTGCTTTATTAATGCACAGACTTTTATTTTCCTGTTTTTTTTGCTAGTTTTCAATTGCAATAATCAAACTGTCTAAAATATGTTAATCTTTTTTTCTTTTTTTGGAGCCAGAGTCTCACTCTGTCACCCAGGTTGGAGTGCAGTGGCGTAATCTTGGCTCACTGCAACCTCCGCCTTCTGGGTTCAAGTGATTCTCGTGCCTCAGCCTCCTGAATATCTGGGACTATAGGCACATGTCACCACATCTGGCTAATTTTTTGTATTTTTAGTAGAGACAGAGTTTCACCATGTTGGCCAGGCTGGTCTTGAACTCCTGACCTCAAGTGATTCACCTGACTCAGCCTCCGAAAGTGCTGGGATTACAGGTGTGAGCCACCATGCCCAGCCCAATCTTCATTTTTAAAATTTAACATTATCATCTGTTTCTTTATATTTAACAGTGAAAGTAATAACTAATAAATTGCTTACTACTGTCCAGGAACTGACTTAAGAATATTACATAAATAATGTCATTCAATAAGTTGGATGATATCTGCATTTTGAAGTGGTTGAGGTCAAGGCTTAGAGTTCAGTAACATGCCCAAGGTTACGTAACATGTAAGTGGCAGAGCTGGGTTTGGAGAAAGGTCTGTCTGACCCAGACCCCAGATGCTCAGTTTCCACCCTTCCTTCCCTGCTACAGGCCTTTGCTTGGGGGATTTTATGGTACAGGTTGGACAGTGCAGGTAGGAAGCCAGTTTTCGTAGGGTTACAGAAAGCAGCCCCGTCTGGGTGCCCTGGCCAGCAGCCCTTTGTTTTCTGTCACATTCCCCCCGGGGTGAGGGGTTCCAGAAAGAAGCATCACTTTCAGACTCACTTTTTGTTCTGCCTGTATTGAAAATTGGAGCTCAGTTAATACTAGTACTGCTGCTAACTCAATGGCATGATCCTTTTATGATTATTTCTTTTCTGAGACTTACTCCTGAAGGTTTAACTATAGAAATGCTTAAACATAGTTTTTGGATTTTTCATGGCCCAGGCAGTGTCTTTTATGTGCCTATGTCACCTGCTGCTGTCTGTTGTCCCTGGTCTTTAAATTATATCTGGCTCTTCCCCACTGCCACCCATAGGAAAAAGTCACTTGCAAGAAAAACGCATGCCCCACATGTTCAGAATAGTCCCCAAAGTGGCATGTACCTCTCTAATGACCACCCCCTTAACTTGGCTTATTAATTTGGATGATTTTTTGGTAAAAGTGACCAGAAAGCCATCCCATAAGCCAACAGAAAGTGTATTAGTCCTCATAATAGTAAAGGACAAGGGCTGGCTTCAGACACGGCTGCATCCAGAATCTCCAGTAATGTTATCAGGGCCCATATTTCTCCATCTTTTTGTTCTGCCCTCTTCTCTATGTTGGCTTCAACTCTAGATAGCCTGCTGTGAAGAGCAAAGTGGCTAAAATCCTTCCACCTCTGAGTCCAGCAGAAAAGAGAGTAAACGTGTTTTTGGAGCTTACCAAATCAAGGTTAATCCTCTTTTTCTCTCCTTTTTAGTTAGATCTGCTTTTGGTGGTAGAAACTGTGTGTTATGAGAGCATAGCTGTTTTCTGTCACTGCATCTATCTTTTAGAAAAAGTACTAGAATTTGCTGTAAGCTATGGCTAAGACTTCCTCTAAAATGTTCAGGACTTTCCAGACATGACATCACTCAATTTGGGATCTCAAGGGGTTCTCTAGTTTATCTCCTTCCTCAGGGGCATTAGGAAGGAAGGAGAAAGTGGGGGAGAGAGAATGGCTGAGCATTTTCTGTGGCCAGGCACTGTACTGGCTGTCTGACTTGTGCCCTTTCATTTAAACTTGCTCGTGACTCTAGTGACTGTAAGAGGAAAAAAATGAATCATCTCCATTTTACAGTTGAGGGAACCTTGGCTCAGTCGCTAAGTAGAAAAGCTGGGATCTAGATTCAGATCTATTGACACTGGGCCTGTGCTTGGAACCATCGCTTTCCTCCCTACGGGGGGATGCTTAGCTAGAAGAGGCGAAGCCTCAAAAGAAAGGTGGTTACTAACTTTCAAAACCTGAAGATGGGATGTAGAAGGGGGTCAAAGGTGGGCTGTCCATATAATTTATTCAGCAAGCTGGGGTACCTTCGAGGCTGAAAAGGGGTGCTATTAATAATTTTACCAGGATAACAGGCATCCCCTGTTATCCTGAGCTAAACTGGGGTGCACAGCCATTCCAACCAAAGGCAAACGAATGAAGGGCATAGGAAAACCGCCTTGGGCTCATTTTTACATATAAGAAAGTAGAGGCTCCAAATCACAGAGCTGGTTGGTAGAGCAGCTGGCATTCTTGTCCAGGTCTGTATGATGCCCAAGTTCATGCCCTCTTTTTCCACTACAGCCTTCTGCCTTCTGATGTCCTTGAATTCCATTTCTCCAAAGTACAGCTCCCCACTGGGCCTGGCGGTGGAGCTGGGCATTGCCAACTGCACCCCTCCTCTGCCAGCACAATGGGGACATCATCTTCTTCTTAAATCTGTTTATTCTCAGAGACATTCTGTCTTCACTTCCCCATATGGAGGCTTCCTCTGTGCCCAGCCCTGGGGACTAGGCAGGAAGAGAGGTGCTTTCCTTTTGTCAAATGCAGGCAGCACTGCAGGTTTCAGGATCCCTGTTCCCATCTGACTGCCCCATGTCTGTCTCTTCACCCAGATCCCTCCTCATGCACCTATGTGTTCATCTGTTCAGTTAATAGTTTATTAATCACAGCTTTGATTCACTGAATATTTATTCAAAAATAAGCCCTGAGTCAAGACCTCTGTTAAGTGTTGGGATTAGAAGAAAAATAAGGCACAAGTTCTCTGTCCTCAAGGAGCTCACAGACCACTGAAGGAGGCAGAAAGCTCTCATGATCCAGTCAAGGAGGTGTTGGGAGCATGAGGAAGGCCATTGCGGGTCAGTATTGCCACCTGGGCAGGGACGGTCAGTGACATTTTCTAGGATGAAGAGGAAGAAGTACTGTGCAATTAGTTACATCCATTTATCCACCCACAACTCATCCATCTTTTCATCCAACAATTGTGCATAAATACATTTGTGCCTGATGAGCATTGACAGCTCAATGTAATAGATTTTCAAATGTTCAAGGTCTTCTTCCCTAGCCTCTCTGCCAGACACTATATATAAAAGTGAACATGTCCTCATGGAACTTATAGTCTACTGAACTTAGGTCTATAATTGTGCTGAGCATAATAATCACCTAGGGACACTGTGGATTCCCAAACCCCACTTCTAAAACTCTGGATCATTAAATCAGGACCAGGACCTCAGAATCTTCACTGATACAGAGTATTCCAAGTATTTAACTCGGGTAAAGCATTGCTCTAATTGATGACCAGCAGGCCTTGAAAAGGGAGAAGTGAAAACTCAGACTAGACATTCCCGATAGAGACACAATGTTAAAAAAATATCCTAGAAGTGTGAAGGTACAGGAGTGTGTACAGGGAGAGAAAAAAATTCAATGACCAGGGAATGAGATATATAGGGTTGGGGCAAGCAGTGGGTGGTCTGAATTGAACACATTGGAAGATAGACGGAAGCTAGATTTTGATTGCAGGGCTGGGATTCATGCTGAGAAGTTGTGGCTGTATCTTAGAGGCAAATGGGAATGTAGAAGGTATTTTAAGGAGTCACTTAAAAAAAATCTCCATGAATCTGGAGGCCTCAGACATTTTCTAAATCTTTTTTATTTATTTACTTATTTTTTGAGATTGAGTCTTACTCCATCACCCAGGCTGGAGGGCAGTGGTGCGATCACACCTCACTGCAACCTCCGCCTCTTGGGCTCAAGTGATGCTTCTGCCTCAGCCTCCTGAGTAGCTGGGATTACACGTGCCCACCACCATGCCTGGCTAATTTTTGTATTTTTAGTAGAGACAGGGTTTCGCTATGTTGGCCAGGCTGGTCTTGAATTCCTGACTTCAGGTGATCTGCCTTCCTCCGCCTCCCAAGGCCGAGGGATTACAGGTGTAAGCCACTGTGCCCGGCCTGGCAATTTTCTTCATTTGAGAAAAGTAATATCTAACTTCTGGGTGATTTTAGGAATTTGATGAGATTCAGTAGCACATACCCTGCTCAGTAAATAGTAGTCTCCTTATTTGTGTTATTATCTGGGTCTCACAGCATGCCACATTCCTGAGAGGCAGGCAAAGAGGTCAGACCACTCTCACTGGCCGTGCGAGACCCCCAGGGATGGGACAGGGTGAACAGCTGACTGGAGTCAATGCAGTCACGGGAGAAGAAAAGTTGGAGAAATGAATACCTTGCTCCCAAGGCTTTTTTTGTGGGAAGAGAAGGAAATGAAGAAAAGAAGTCAAAACTTGGGAGGCATTTATTCCATACTTGGCTGTTTATAGACTAGGCTCAGTCATTAAAATGACCTCGGACTTAATAGCGACAAGTATTCACAATAATAGCAAACCCAGTAAAAATAAAAACAAAGGAGATTTGCTCACAGCCCTGGCCTCCTGGCCTTTATACCGCTCGCTGCTGGTTGTGCTATCTTTCTGCTTCGCTGTATTCCTCTCCACTGCTTTCCAATCTCTGTTCGTGACTACCTCTCCTGGAAGCAAACCTTTTCCAGACAAGGTCCCTGAGGGTCACCTGGCAGGAGCAATGCAGTCTCCTGATTCTCTGAGCTCCTGGAGGGCAGGCGTCCTGTCCTGGGCATCTTCTCTGCCTTTTAGCTTCCAAAGCCCTACCATTTCCAGCCTCTGCCAGCTCTTCATGGCCAATGCCCCGGCTCCTCTTTTTCCTTTTCAGCAGGGAGCTGGTTCTGGGAATAGTACCTTTGCTTACAGGGTCTGCTTCTCTCACTAATGAGTGAGTTGGGTGAGTGCCTAGAAGTCTATTAAAGTCGTTGATTCGTTAATTGTTTTCTTTTTCTCTTGGCTTAAAGATTCCAACATAATCATATTGTAATTTGGTGGCTGCACCACATGACTCGGCAAAAGGGGGGATTCCTAGAAGGGAGGGGCTGCAAGACCCTCAGTGCAATCACCCTTTCGTCCCTGCCCTTTGGGGCTCATGGGGCATCTGCAAAGCAGGCTCTGAGATGAGAGAGACATGGTGCTTGCTCCTATGGAATCCACTGCCAAGTGGAGAAGATTGATGAGTAAATGAATGAACACAGGAATGAATGAATACATGTGTCTTAATTCATGCATACTGTAGCAGAGACTGTTGGTCTCTCACTCAGATGCCCTGAGACCCTTCATACCACACTGTGCACCCCTTTCTCAGCCAGAGTCTGACACTCTTCCTTGGAGAACAGCCCTTGGGCTACTGGAGCCACTTTGCCTCCCTAGACTCAGAAGCCTGGAAGGATTAGTGGTCCTCAGTCTGTGACTGATGACTTTGGGAATAGAAAGGGCCATATCCCTTGTCTTAGGTTGGGAAAATTCAGAATTTACCTTCCTTAGGACTTTGCCTGAAATTTCTCCCTTTCCCTTCCCTTTCCTTCTTCTCCTGGTAGCTTCTTCCCTTTCCTTCTTTTACTGGGAGCACGTCAATAAATTATCACTTGCACACAAGTCCTCATCTCAGGGACTGCTTTAGTGAAACCCAACCTAAGATAGTCACACCCAAGCATACAGCTCCACATAAGCAAGGATGAAGAAAGGAAAAATATCAGAAGAGGTGGTATTTATAATCAAGTCCTGGGGAATTACTCATGTCACCAGGAAGAAAGACTAGAGAGAGAGGGGTATAGTCAATGTGTATTTTTAGAATTCCTATACTTTGAGTTTCACCTTCTCATGGTCAAAACTAGAGGTCACCTTCCAAGGCTCCTTTGAAGTCTGGCCCCAGGCATGTGACCTAGACGTGACCAATCTAACCCATCCTTGCTAGACTTTCACTCCATGGCAGGAGACACAAGATGACAGGGCAGGAATCTCATTCTATGGCCATGGTGGTGATGGAGGAGGTGATTGTGGAGGTAGAAGGAGTGGTCTCTTCTCAGACCAGTCCAGGGCTGCCATGGGGTTGCTTCTGGAAGTCAGGCCTGGAGCCTGTTTTCTCAATCATCCTACCGACTCATCTGAATCAACACCTTTTTGCCCTATCAGTTATTCAGCTCCCATTGCCTGCAGCCAAGTTTAGAGGGAAAGAAGGGAAGGAGAGAATTCCAGGCAGAGAAACAGTGTATGCAAAAGCTGGAAGGTGTGAAAAAAGGAACTGGCAACAGGCAGGGCAGCCCAGCATGGACCAGAGATGGAATGGGCACCCAAGGACCAGATTACTGTGTTCTATTCCACACCACTCCCCATGCAGCCATTTGCTTCTTCTGTTACCTCGGACAAGTCACTTCTCTATAGTTTTTTTTTTTTTTTTTTTTTGAGACGGAGTCCTGCTCTGTCACCCAGGCTGGAGTGCGGTGGTGTGATCTTGGCTCACTGCAAGCTCCGCCTCCCGGGTTCACATCATTCTCTTGCCTCAGCCTCCCAAGTAGCTGAGACCACAGGCGCCCACCACCACCCTCGGCTAACTTTTTGTATTTTTAGTAGAGACGGGGTTTCACAGTGTTAGCCAGGATGGTCTCGATCTCCTGACCTCATGATCCTCCCACCTCGGCCTCCCAAAGTGCTGGGATTACAGGCGTAAGCCACCACACCCGGCCTTCTCTATAGTTTCAAAGCAGAGGTAGCAGGACTCACCACGTGCTCCCTCTTGAGAGCAGTTTGCCCTCTGAGCTGTAAGTTGTGAATATCAACCTTCCCCTATGCCCTTAGTTTTGGAAGGTCAGGAAGGCTCACTCTGCAGCCAGAGGAGCGTCTCATCACTTTGTGGTCAGTGGGTGCTGATCATCCAGGTCCACAGGGTGCTGCAGTGAGTCCCAATGTCTCCCTTCATGTTGCCTCTCTGTCTGTGTCATGGAGGGTAGAAGGGGCTCTTTGCTGGTAGTCATCTCCCTCTCCCTTCCTCTTTTCTCACTCAATTCCTCCATCCTACAACAGGACCCTGCTTCTGAATTCTCTCACTCAGCTTCTACCAACCAGTTTCCTCCAGTTTTCCAGTGGAGCTAATGAGTCAAGGAAGAGATTCAAGTCTTTTAGTTTCTTCCTAGGAAGAAGGTATGTTGGGCAGGACTAGCTTCAGTGGAACATGAGAAAGCCAAGGTCAGTGAGACAGGAGCTCACTTCTTTCCCATGTGAGTGAGTCCCTCGGTGAACACTGGAGGCTCAAGTGGGGTTTCCTGACCATCAGGGACCAGGCTCCTTATCTGACCTCTGCTCTGCAAAGGCTGGCTTGTAGCTACATGATTCAGGAGAGCTTCCTGGGCTCCAGCCATAATGTTTGCATTTCAGCCAGTGGGAAGGAGGAGGGACCTAGAATGACAACCCTCTTCCCTTGAAGACCTTTTTGGGAAGTTTCAGAGGACAACTCTGTGGCCAGAACTTAATCATCTGGCCACATGGCAAGAGGGCCTGGGAAGTGTAATCTTAATATTGGGCAGCCTGTGCTCGCCTAAAAATCAGAGATGAGCTCCTAAGGCAGGAATAAAGCAAGTGAGTAGGGACCAATTCAGTTTGTGCCACCGTGGCGAGAAAGGAAAATGGCTCATGCTGGTCCAACTTCAGAGCAAAACACTGACCTGGCACAGAAGCTTTCTTCTGATCGTATTGCTACTGCCTACCATGTAACTATAGCAGTATGACAGTGAGAGTTTGTCTCTTTTCTCCGACTTCCTAGAGAATCAATTCCGTTGGCCTAGCTTGGTGCTGACCACGTTCCCCACTGGGATTTAGGGCAGGTGCTAAGTGTCCTGCTCCAAGAAGGATTTGAGATAGGCGGTGGCAAGAAAACGTCATCCCATTATTTTGAAAGCACAGTAACCTCAGCCCTCCCACACACTTCATTGAGCCCAGGATACCCTCACTGACTTTCTGGGGACCTTGACTCCACATACAAAATTCCAAGTGTAACTTTTCCTACTCCAGGAGAAACCCCTAAAGGTTTTTTGTTTTGTTTTGTTTTGTTTTGTTTGTAAATCTTAGTGAGTGAAATGACTCCACTATTGTCCAAGCCAGGAACTTAGGCATCCTCCCACCTCCCCCTCCCTGAGTCCTCTCCCCCCACCCAATTCCCCTCCCTCTGAGCACCAGCTTGTGTTCATGCACTCTCCATGTGTTCATTTCCTGCTGTTACCAAAGTAAAGTTCCACAAACTGAGTGGCTCAAAACAACAGCAAATTATTGTCTCACAGTTGTGGAAGTCCAAAATCAAGGTGTCGGCAAGGCTGGTTCCTTCTGGAGGGCTGTGAGCAAGAATCTGTCCCCTACCTCTTCCCAGCTTCTGGTGTTGCCAGTAGGCCTTGGCCTTCCTTAGCTTGTAGAGGGATCATGTCGATCTCTGCCTGTCTTCCCATGGTGTTCTTCCCTGTGGGTCTTCATACGGCCTTCTCAGACCAAAATTTGGTATTCTACACTCTGCTTGATGTAATAAGACTGTCATTTTTATTTCCTATTAATGAATATCATTTAGAGAATTTAAAAAAACAATTCTTAAAACAAAGATTTGAATGTTGGCAGATGACCTTATTTTATCTGAGAGAAAGTTGGTGCTTTTCCAAGACATAGTCCCAGTGAATTTCCTGTCTTCAATTCTGTTTCCTTTGAAGCATAACTG
The DNA here is from genome assembly GCF_000001405.40 of Homo sapiens. Taxonomy (NCBI): domain Eukaryota; kingdom Metazoa; phylum Chordata; class Mammalia; order Primates; family Hominidae; genus Homo; species Homo sapiens. The sequence goes on from NC_000008.11 coordinate 135,126,982, forward strand.
TCTGGGCTATAAAGAATTTTGATAAGATGATGAATGTTATTAATCCTAATTAAATAACCAATGATGCACTGTGGTCTTCCTGCCCTTCCCCTCTGCCTCTGATATGCTAGGTCTCTATTGCACCTGACCTAGACAGTTCTAAGAATCCTTTACGCAGATCTCAGTCTTCAGCTTTTCCGACATCTACTCTGTGCCCACACAGCTGCTTGTTCAAACTGTCAAAGACGCACATGAGACCACATCATCTCCTGTTTCAAATCCCACAGCTTTCAGAATGAAGTTCTGAAATGCTTCAGCCTGAAGTTGAAACTCCATCCCCTGACAACCGGGCCTCAATCTTGATCCCAGCCACACACCCTTTTCTGTGTTCCCCCCAAGTCAGGTTTGATTGCTTGGGATTAGATAGCTCATCGTTTCCTGCCAGCTCCATGCACAGAGGCATTTCCACAGCTTGCTGAGGGGGCCCTCTCCATCTGAGATGCTTTTCCACCCTTCTTCAGTCAGCCAACTTTTTTGCAAACACTAGCACCCAGTTGTAATGTCACTTGCCCTGTGATGGTTCCCTTGCCTTCATCTCCTGCCCTGGCCTTAACTCCAAACAAGTCAAAGCAGAATTTGCACATTTTCTAAGCTCCCTGCGGCCCATGCACATGCTGGTGAAGCTCACACCACTTTGCTGTACAGGAGCGAATGCCTGTCTCTGGCAGAGCATGAGCTCCTTATCCCAGGGGCTGGATCCTGTTCATTTCTGGGGCCTCAGTGTCTATCCCAACACGTTACTCATCATACACACTACAGATATGTGTGGGATGGATGGATGGATAGATGGATGCATGGATGGCTGAGGGAAGTTCTGACTCGTTTTTCTGAAAGTTTTGTTACTAACACAGCTCAGCTGTGAGTATCAGGAACCTTAACTTATTGAAATCTTGAATTTATAGCATAGGTTCTGACTTGTAATATGTGATGTTGATATAATTTGCTATTGCTTTCATTATTTTATTCAACACATAATTATTATATACAGATTCAGTACACAGCTGGATTCATATCTTTAAAATACACAAAGCAACATTCTTATGAAATTCAATGAGAAAAAGGACAGTCTGAAATTCCAGGTGACTCGTATTCACTGAGAACAATGTGAACAGGCCCCAACAGCCAGGGCAATTCGGAAGCTCCTGGGATTCATTCCTGAGCTCTGCAAAGCTCCCAGGGATGAGTGAGGCAAAGTTTTCACTCTGACCACACCTCATGGAGTTAATTGACTCGAAGTCCTAGAAGCCTCAGGAGGCCAACGTTGGCAAGAACTATGTTCACTTCTAGCCTTCAGAGGTCCGATAAGCAAGGAGAAATATGCATGAGTGAATGTGTTCACAAGAGAACTAATGGATGGATTGAGGGGAAAGGAAGATAATTAAGGGGTTGGAACAGTTATCAGTAAAAGGCTTGGAATGCATCTCAGGGGAGATCAAAGAACCAAGAAGAATATCACTATACTTTACAAGCCCCACATGGCAACATCAGAGGTCACTGGATGAAGTGAGGAAGGGGAAATTGGCTTGCTTGGAAAGAAAGGGCTTCTCAACTTCCCTAGCCCCAGGAGAAACCCCAGTAGAGGATATTTCAAACTGAAATTATATTTTCCTCCATGACTGTTACTTCTACCTAACATTCATCCTCTTCCTCCAATAACTAACTTTCATTTTGGCTTTTCCAAGGAGCATTTACAGGCATCTTTATATCTTATCCCCATGAGGAAGTTGAGGCATAGAGGTGATATGAATGGGCTGGGGCCACACAGCAAATTTGTGGCCAGATTGGGACAGAAATGTACCATTCTCTTGGCCAGTGAAGTCTCATTCAACTCATTATGAATGAGATAATCATTCTCAGAATGATTTTGTCCAGGCATTTAAGAAAATGTTTTATTGAAATATAATATACACATAGAAAGATGCACATATCATAAGTTTACAAGTTGAGTGAATTTTTGCAACCTGAATATCCCTAGGTAACCAGGACCCAGATTGAGAAACTGAACATACTAGCACAAGGAAGTTATCTGGGGCCCCCTGCCAGGCATTGCCCCATCACTTCCCATTTCTAATGGCCTGAGTTAGCTTTTCCTGCTTCTGTGCATTACATAAACGGAATCAGGCAGAACCTTGGGTCTGGCTTCTTTTGTTCAGTGCTATTTTTGTGAGATTCTTCAGTGTACTTGCATTTGGTTGTAGGTTGCTCCTTCTCATTGCTGAATAGTATTCTATTACATAAAATGCCACAATTTATTCTATATTGAGGGGCATTTTGGTTGTTTCCCATTTGGGGCGATTACAAATAGTGCTACTATAAACACTTTAATGTTTGTTTGAGTAAAGATACATATGCCATTCTGAGAGATGCATATTCAGGAGTGAAATTGCTGGGTCATGGAGTGTGCATATATTTACCTCTACTAGATCCTGCCAAACAGATTTCCCAAGCAGTTGGACCAATGCATTCCCACCAGCAATGCACGGCCACTCCTACGGCTTGACTATCCTCAGTGCTTTCTACTTTTTGTTGTTTTTATTCTTGTCATTCTTATAGGTTATAATGGTGTTGCACTGCAATCTTCATTTGAATCTTCTGAGAACTAATAAAAACAAACATCTTTCATATGGTTATTAAGTCCAGGGTCAGTGTCTTAGCTCAGGTAGCTATAACAAAACACAATAGACTGCATGGCTTAAACAACAAACATTCATCGTCTCTCACAGTTCTGAAGACTGGGAAGTCCAAGGTCAAGGTGCTGGCAGATTCGGAGTTTGGTGAAGTCCTGCTTCCTGGCTTGCAGACAGCCATCTTCCTAGTGTATTCTCACATGATAGGGACAGAGAGAGAGAGAGAGCTCTGATCTCTTCCTCTTCTTATAAGGGACACTAATCCCATCTTTGGGGTTTCATCCACATGATATCAGCGAAACTTAATCACCTCCCAAAGGCCCACTTTCTTAACAACACCACACTGGGGGCTGGGCTTCAACTCAGGAATCTGGGAGGGTTGGCGGGCACAAATATTCAGTCTGTAACAGTCAGGAAAGGGCCTAGACTGCCCTTTCTTGGCATCAGAATCTTGATTGCAATTGTCAGTAGGCATCTACTTGCTCCAGTCATCAATCTGTAAGAAAACTTGAAGAATTTTTTAAATATAGGAATATAAAAACAAAATAATTCATCAAATTACCTTAACCATCAAACTCATCATATTCCCTCAACTTAATTTGCTAGCATTTATTTAGCTTTTACTCCACACCAAGCCCTGTGTGGGACTCTTTATTTTAAACTATTCCATTTAAAGGACGGGAAACAGTTTGTTCAACTGTGGAATTAAGCAGATAGCCATGCATATGTCCACACACAGGTGTGTATGCATGTGCAACACACACCCCTCATGATGCAGTCCTGGTACTGGCTTCCCCTGTTCCCCACACTCCCTTCCCAACCCCAACTGCAAGAAGAGCAGTAAAGCTCATGGGTAGACATGACTGAGGAAAATGCTTCCTTCCTGACCCCACTGAGTATCTCTCATTCATTCACTGGACGTCTGTTCGTTGAGGATCATCTAATGGCAGGCTCTGCCCCATGCATAGGATACAGCCATGAAAAACCCAGGTGAAGTCCTGTCCTCATTGAGTTTATAGTTTACCTCTCTGTAAACTGCAAGATGAATAAAACTACACAAGAATGATCACAGAAACCAAGCCATAGCATGATGCATCAGAGTGTTCTGTTAATTATTAAACCCGTAAACTGACAACTCTAAAATGAAGCCCGATTTATGCTTATTTTGATGGCTTGGGAGGTGATTCAGCCTTTATTCCTCCTCCATCCTCTGTCCCACTAAACTAGAGCTCCACCACGCAGGAGAAATGGAGACAGCTTCCTCGGTGACTTTATATTCGTATTCTTTTCATCCCAGAAATGAAGTAATACTGGAGTGAAATGCTGTTTTAAAGTGAAGTTGTGGAAAGACTCACTTCAGGAAAAGGATGTGACTGATGGGGGAGTGGAGAATCTGAAAGATTTCGGAGAACATTGTATGTAATTATTTATGGAGTTCCTGAGAATTTGTTTCCCTAATGAAAGATACAAAGAGGTAACACACATAGCTCATCTCCAGTGCAAGATAACATCATATTTTCCTAATCAAATTCTTGGAGAAAATAGCTAAGTTTCATTTTTCAAGAGCTGCAGGACTCCAGAGAAAGGGAACTAAACCTAATCTTGGGGGAGGGTGGTGTGGAGGCAAATCCCATCCTGGGGCCTATCTTTGTTATAAATCTACAAATAAGGGACCATTTTCACTCACGATTTCCTTTTAAATATTATGCAATTTGTAGTTGAAGAAGAAAGAGATTCTTAACTGGTCAGTTTCTTCATTGACTTTGCTAATTGAAGCATTTCGTTAAATGAGTCTCATCCCTAATTTCCCGCCTTCAACCTGCATCAGCATGATCTGAACACAACACATCTTCTGATTTTTATTAACCTCAGTTCATTCAAAGACCATCCATGACTCCACATTGTCCAATGGGATAAAGTCCTCACTCCTTGTGGTTTCATTTGAAGCCCCAAAGTCTGGTCTCCACCTACTTTTCTACCGTAATCTACTACCCCATACACACAAGTGTGGGCAGAAAGAAACTAATCGTTTTGTTGGCTGGAAAACGCCTTCTGGCTTCCAGTCGCCATGCCTTTGTGTGGGGCCCTCTCCTCAGCTGAAGCATCCTCCCCAGTCGACCGCCACTTGCTTTTTCCTGTTAGGCTTTATTTGGGGTCTTCGTGTGCTTTGTCCTTCTGCTCTCACCTGGATTGTAAATGTTTTGAGGAAAGCCTCTCTTCCCCATAGGGCCCTAATGAAAATGTCTGCCCCCAAACTACACAAGGCCTTCTAGGTAGGAGTGCTGAAGAGCTCTGTAAAGCCATATCCACCAGGGCCCTTCTTTAACAGTCAGAGAGCCTCACTGTTTTGTGAGCATGGTAAAGCCTGCAGCATTCTTGTGAGTGTTAGGCAAGAAATCCAAAGCATTTAGCATGGTACTCGGCATGTTATGAGTGCTAACAAGTTCTCCTGGCCTTGTTGCCTTCTTCAATTGACCCTCATATAAAAAAGGACTACTTCTCTGGGATCTAGTAATTTACCGATGGCACAATATCCAGAATAAATATTACATTATTATTTACTTCTGATTGCTGTTTGTAAAGAAGAAAAATATCACAGTACAGAAAATGCAGTTGGGGTGAATGAGTGCCGCTAAATTGTAAGCAAACATGGAGCCCAGGGCAGAGAGAAGAGGGAGCTGCCTGGGGGATCCGGCAACAGCAGACAGGAAATGCAGCGGTGCATTGGTGGAGCAGGAATTGACCCCCCGCTCTTGTTCATGCTTGAGTCTGTGGAAATGTCACCTTGCAGAAGAAACAGGCAGTGCTGGGGCTTTGAGGGGCTTTCAGTTTGTTCTCACCTACTGTGAGGGTGGGAGATGAAGAAGTGAGCCGCAGAACACATGGAAACCCACGGCTCTCTGCTGTGACAGGCAGCCTAGCGTTTTGGTCTCACTGGACAAGTTTTGGTCATCTGAAAGCAAGAACTCTGCCATTTTGCAAGCCCAGGAAAAGATGCTGAGGTTTTTGCCAAAGTCAAAGCTGAAATAAAGACTTTCTCTGCCTGACAAGGAAAAGCGTGACCCACAAAGCTCAAGACTGAGGCTGTGCTCTAAAGGGGTTGCCCAGGGGCAAAATTAGGAAACTAACTTTAACAGTGGTTTCTTCCTTCTTTACTTAGAGGACAATTCAGGACTCATCTGGGTGTAAGTCCATAGTAAACTATGTGGTATTATTTGAGGGGTCTGGCAAGGGACATTATATCTAAAAATACTACCCTCACTCTGGATTTCCATCATTAAAAGTCATGCCCTTGAATACCCAAGTGATTTATTAACTCACTTAATAAATGTGTTTATTTATACCAGGCTGCCTACCATAAAGAATTTTAAATATCTTACCAGAACATATTTACTATAAGCTAAGGCATGAAGAAGAATTTTAAAAGACTAAGTGGAAATAAAGGTAGAAAATTGCAGGTAGGTAAAACTAATACAAATATGAAAGGCACTGGGCTCTCTAAAAGTGCTATAATTGAATCTAAGATTTGTCTCTAAGCTGAGAAAACAAAATAGAAGACATAGCAGGTTATACAAATTTTACTACCAGGAAAAAAAATTGTATATGTTGGCAGAATAAAGGCTCTGAGAAGTCCTGCAGCAGGTAACAATACAACATAAATAACATCCATTTATGATTCTCATGACGTTCCAGGTACTGTTCTAAGTCCATTGCCTGCATCATCTCATTTAATATCATAATAGCCCATGGAGCAGAGTGCACCTGACCCCACCTTCCTTCTGTGTGCCTCCCTGAAATGCAGAGGTTGGGATTCTGCAAGTGGAGTTCTAGTTTAGCAAAACGTGTCCCACCAGTGAGCTTCGCTGTGGTGAGATGGGGAAGGAGGAAGTCAGGCTATAGCCATGTTCCTTGGGTGCTGGCTATTTTTGCTCTCCAGGGGGCATGATTGTGAGGATGCCAATGTCCAGATGCCTGCTTTGGGTGCAGCAGCATTTGCAGTGGGGACAGCAGCATGACTGACCTCAATGGCCACGTCACTGCAGCAATGGCACTGGTGGCTTCCTTATCCCTGAATTGTAGCTACCATGGTGGTTCAAGAGATGATCTTATGATTTCTCACTTTTCAGATCTTGTAGAGTCTGCAGCAAGTCAGTTCCACTTTCTTTCTTTCTTTCTTTTTTTTTTTTTAAATTTCCGGGAGTCACTCTTGCAGGTCCAGCCTAGAATTTTCTCCTCCAGCCTTTCCAGGGATTTTTGAAATCACCTAGTTCCCTACACTGAATCCTTTTCTGCTTAGAACACCTGGAATGTTTTGTTTCCAACATGGAATCTTGACTGACATAGGCAGGTATTAACCTCATTCCTATTTTATGGAGGAAGAAATTGAGTCACAAAGAGCTTAAAAAGTGCACAAAGTTCACATCATTCTGAATAGCCAAGCAAGGACTGAAACCTGGTTCAGTGTGATGCCAAAATCTCTTATCACTTACTTGTTTAACTCAGAATTTCTCAGACTAATTGATCCCAGAATTTGTTTCTGTCTAACAGCTCTTAATATTCTATGGGACTAATCTTCAATGAGACCACTTTCAGACATTGTTTTTACAGGTACATTTGTTTTTAACACTGTGGGTTCTGACTAGGTAGGACTTGGCTAACTCAGTGGTAAGATATGAAAGGAGGTCCACCCTTCATCTAGACTCTGGAAAAATACTTGGCTTGGAAGTTGGGAGAAAAAGCAGTCTAGCCAGCAGCACACAGGAGACTTTTGAAGTAAAGAGCATGGGGTCAAAGCAGTTCTCTATTTGAGGCAGAACTTGCAGTATGTTTTGTGGGACACTTCATTGCTTTCTGTAACTTAGTTTATGCATCCATGAAATAATTTATGATACCTTTCACTCCCTGGTATTTTTTCAAGAGAGATGATATTCATAATACTTTGGTCAGAATCCTTCCTGATGTGAGCCACAGAAATCCAATTCAAACTAGCTTGAGCAAGAAGACAAATATTTGGCTCCCAGTCTTCCCAGACTCCAGCTCACATCCCCATCGCTCCTGCTAACTTAGGGCCAGCAGCAGTGCATCTGTTCAGAAATCCCTCTTCCCTCATGGCAGTTTTATTTCAGGGGCTGCTTTGTACTTCCACAGCTCTGGGCCAGCAGTAACTGAGTTCACACAACCAGTTTCTTTAACTCTGAATTTTGCAAAGAAGGGATAGGTGTCTTGATATAAGCTCTCCCAGGAGGCATCCATACACATTGTGCAAATTGGCTCCCTTCTCCCAAGAGCTTTGCATGCAGACAGGGGCAGGCCTTGCTGAACCACACACACAAACATGCTTGTAATTCACGTACAATGGACATCTTGTGCTCTTCCTTGTTAAAGTTGGAGGTTGTTAAGGAAAAAACTTGGAGGAGTATGCTGAAAGAGGCAGATGTGTTAGAAAGCGGAGTAGAAAAGCTCCCTATCCAAACTTCACTTTGAGACTTTAAGGTGTAGGGATAAGTCTAACGTAGATCAATGCTCAGTGAATGACAGGCATTCTCAGGAGGTCTGCATGCTTTCCTTCTGGTCTCCCTGCCACCTTCTTCGCACTGGCTGTGTCTTGTTCTTCTATGTGCTGACCTCCTCCTTCTGCACTCCTGCTCTGGGATTCATGGTCATTATGTTTATGTTAATGGCTTTCAGGAGGACTTGACCCTGGCTGGAGGGGCCATTAAGTCTGATGCTCCCTCTGGGAAATCCTCCCACTCTGCTGCCTGGCAAAGCTTCCTGGGTTTCTCTGACAGGCGGCTGGATGAAGCTGGGGTCCTCAGGGGATCCTCGGTAGAGAGCGATGCCTGATTACCCGTTAAATTGAAACACGTACCAGGACATCTGAAACAAGGGAAAGAAAAATGTCAGAAATGTCAGTGTGGCAGAGTGGGAGGAGCATAGCCCTGGAAAGGAAGGAAACTGGAGCTGGCCTTGTCACCTCCTAGTGGTGTGACCTTGGCCAAGTCCTTTTGCTTCTCTGGGCCCTGATTTCATCCTCTGTAAAATGCAGAGGTTGGAACATGGGAGCTATATAGTGCCCTTCAACTGTGGGGGAGTGTGGTGAAATAGTTGCTCTGTTCTGGACGCTTTATAAACATGGTTTCCTCTGGACTTTGAAGAGAACCCGTTTCATAATGAAGCACAGAGTGGTGCAGGGACTTGCAATAGAAAACTCAGAGAGAGCAGGCCATGCTGGGGTTTCAGCACAGATTTGTTCATCCAGAAGTCTGCACTGCCTCCTCCAGGCCATCCTGTCTCCTGCACCACTCCTTGGGCAAGCTCCCAAGTCACTATGCCAAAGACCAGCCTAGCTAGATTAACTGGAATGTGAAGATGTCATGGTGAATTGTAGACTTTATTTCTTGGTTATTTAAGGGTCATGCAGTAGGAGAACAAGAAAGTAGAGGGGAGGAAGAGGAGGAAAAGGAAGAGGAGGGGAAGGAGAAGGAGAAGGGGAAGAAAACAATGACTTTTGGTGTTTCAATCTGTAACTGGAAAAAAAAAAAAAAAAAGACACATCTGAGTCCATTCCTCTACCTGAGGACACTGAGCCAGTGGGTGAGAATCTCTGGTAGGGATCAGGTCCCTGCAGACTGTGGGGTCTTACAATTATTAAGCAAAAGCTGTGCTCCCCTCCCAAGTAGTCCTGAACTTCTCTACATGCCTCAGCACAACTCTCAACGTTTTATATTGTTACTGCCTATTTCACTTGTGTCTCTTCATCCAAACCCTGAATGATGTGAGGGAAGAGGGTAGAAATGACAGAGTCCTAGAATCTTAGAAAGTTGTCACTATCTGTCCTGCCTGGGGTTCTTGGGGCCTCCTCTGACATGGTTCTGGACAGCTGCTTTCTTTATTTCTGAAGGTGGGGCTTAGCACCTCCCCTGCTCTCTCCTTAATAGGCAGAAAAACAGTCCCCCAAAGATGTCCACATCTAAACCCCAGAACCTGTGACTATGAATATGTTAGGTTATGTGGTAAAGGGGAATTAGCTTGCAGGTGGAATTAAGTTTACTAATCCACTAGCCTTAGCATAAGGAGATTGTCGTGCATTATTTGTGTGTGCCCAGTGTCATCACAAGGCTCCTTAAAAGTGGAAAAAAAGGCCAGGCGCAGTGGCTCATGCCTGTAATCCCAGCACTTTGGGAGGCCGAGGCGGGTGGATCATGAGGTCAGGAGTTCGAGACCATCCTGGCTAACACGGTGAAACCTCGTCTCTCCTAAAAATACAAAAAAATTAGCCAGGCATGGTGGCGGGCACCTGTAGTCCCAGCTACTCGGGAGCCTGCGGCAGGAGAATGGAATGAACCCGGGAGGCGGAGCTTGCAGTGAGCCGAGATTGCGCCACTGTACTCCAGCCTGGGCGGCAGAGCGAGACTCCATCTCAAAATAAAAATAAAAATAAAAAGTGGAAAAAAATAGGCAAAAGATGGGGATCATAGTGATGCAATGTGAGGAGAACTCAACCCACCATTTGCTGGCTTCGAAGACTGGGGAAGATGTCAAGAGCCAAGGAACACCCCTAGAGAAAGGCCTCTAGAAGCTGGAAAGGGCAAGGAAAAAGATTGCCTACTGCAGCCTCCAGAAAGGAGTGCAGCCCTGCCAACACCTTGATTTTAGCCCAGTGGGTCTCCTTGTGGACTTCTAAACTACTGAACTATAAGATAACTCTCTTAGTCCATTTTTGCTGCAATAACAAAGTATCTGGGCATGAGTAATGTATAAACAACTGAATTTTATTCCTCACAGTTCTGGAGATTAGGAAATATGAGGTCAAGTTTCCAGCATTTGGTGTCTGGTGAGGACCTTCCTGCTATGTCCTTAAATGGTGGAAGAAACGGAAGGGCAAAAGGGGCCTACTTAATTCTCTCCAGCCCTTTTATAAGGGACTAATCCCATCCATGAGGTAGAGCCCTTATGGCATCATCACCTCTTAAAGGTCCCACCTCTTAATACTGTTGCATAAATAAATTTTGGAGGGGACACAGACATTCAAACCATAGCATTCTGCTCCTGTTCCCCCAAAATTTGTCTTTCTCACACAAAAATACATTCATTCTATCCCAATAACCCCAACAGTTTTAACTCATTCCAGCATCAACTCAAAAATTTAAAGTCCAACATCTCGTCTAAATGTCACAATAAAATAATTTAAAAAATAAAAATAAATAAGTATTATCTAAATCAGATATGGATGAGTCTCAGCCAGGTGTGGTGGCTCATGCCTGTAATCCTAGCACTTTGAGAGGCCAAGGTTGGTGGATTGCCTGAGGTCAGGAGTTCGAGACAAGCCCAGGCAACACGGTGAAACCCCATCTCTACTAAAATACAAAAAATTAGCTGGGTGCGGTGTTGCATGTCTGTAGTCCCAGCTACTCGAGAAGCTGAACCAAGAGAATCACTTGAACCTGGAAGGCAGAGGTTGAAATGAGCCGAGATTGTGCCACTGCACTCCAACCTGGGTGAGAGAGCGAGACTCTATCCCCCCGCAGAGAAAAAAGAAAAAAGATATGGATAAGACTCAAGTCATGATTCATCCTGAGGCAAATTCCCCTCTTGTTGTAAGCCTTTGAAATGAAATAAGTTATATGCTTCCAAAATACAATGGTGAAACAGACATAGGATAGACATTTCCACTCCAAAAGGGAGAAATCGGAAAGAAGGGGTAACTGGTCCCAAGGAAATCCAAAACCCTATAAGGCAAACAACATTGACATTTAAGTATTGAGAATAATTTTTGACTCTGTGTCCCCCCTTCTGAACACACTGGTTTGGTGGTTGGGTCCTCAAGGCCCCAGGCAGCCCCATACCCACTGCTTTCCTGGGTGCAGCCCATGCCGCAGCTTTCACATGTTGGAGTCTCTGGCCTACAGCTATCCTAGGCTGGAATTGCATGCTGATGGCTCTACAGTTCTGGGGTCTCAGGGACTGGCAGGCCTCCTCAGATCCACTAAGCATCGCCCTAATGGGCTTTCTGGCCCACCTTGTGGCAGTTCTCTGCCTGGGTGCAGTGGGTTCCTGAGGCCTCCTATGAAAGACAGATGGAGGCAGTAAGACCCACAGTCCTGTGGATGCTCTAAGCCTCTCTCTTGGAACCATCTGCATTCAAGGCCTTGGCATTCTGGGACTGTGATGAGTGGGGCAGCCATGAAAATCTCAGAAATGCCTTTGAGGTAATTCTCCCATGGTCCTGATGAATAGCATCTGGCTTCCTTCTATCCCTACTATCTCCTTATCAAACAATCACTTGGTCACACCCTTGGTGTTTTCTTCCAAAGACCCATTTTTATTCTTTATAATCTGGCCAGGCCAATAAATTTTTAACTTTTTCTTCTCTTTTAATTATAAATTCCACCTTTAATTCATTTCTCTCTTCTTACATTTTACTGTTAGCCATCAAAAGAAGCCATACAGCACCTCAATGCTTTGCTTAGATAGTTCTTGTGCCCAATATCTTAGTTCATTACTCTTACATGTTTCCTTCCACAAAGCCCTAGGACACAGACATAATTCAGCTAAGTTCCTTGTCACTTTGTAACAAGGATGGCCTATTCTCTAGTTTCCAATAAGATATTCCTTATTTCCATCTAAGTCCTTATCAGAATGGCCTTTACTACCCATGTTTCTACCCACTTTCTGATCATTACCACTTAAATAATATCTAAGATGGGGGCTCTGTCTGCAGCTCTCTTCTTCTGAGCCCTCACCAGAATCACCCTGTATGGTTCATTCATGGCAATCTAGGTTTTCTTCTAGTCTGCCCTTCCACATTCTTTCAGCCTCTACTCATCACCTAGTTTCAAAGCAACATTTATATTTTTAGGTTTTGTTATGGTAACACCTCACTTCTCAATATGAATTTCTGTCTTAGTCCATTTGTGCTTCTATAACAGAATGTATGAGACTGAGAAACAATGGAAATTTATTTCCTCACAGTTCTAGGGGCTGGGAAGTCCAAGGTCAATGCACCACCATTTAGTGTCTGGTGAGAGCCTTCTTGCTGCATCATCACATGGTGAAAGAAACAGAAGGGCAAAAGGGGCCAAAGTAGTCCTCCCTGGCTCTTTTATAAGGCACTACTCCCATTCAGGAGGGCAGAACCCTCCTGGTCTAATCACCTCCTAAACCCCACCTATTAATACTGTTGCATTGGGGATTAAGTTTCAACATGGATTTTGGAGAGGACACAAACATTCAAATCATAGCAATAATAAATTTGTGTTGTTTTAAGGTACTGCCTGTGTCATAATTTTCTACAGCAACCATAAGAAACCAGTACACTCTTCCAGCCCTGCTCTTAGAGATGGCCTTACTGTTCCCTTCCTCCCTATAGCTCCCTCATCATGAAGATGTAATCTTGACAGAACTATCTCTGAATAGTTCCTTTTGGGCATGTGATATGGTTTGGCTGTGTCCCTACCCAAATCTCATCTTGAATTGTAATCCCCGTAATCCCCACGTGCCATAGGAGGGACCCAGTGGGAGGTAATTGAAGCATGGTGGTGGTTTCCCCCATGCTGTTCCTGTGATAGGGAGTGAGTTATCACGGTTTTATAAGCGTCTGGCATTTCCCCTGCAGGCACTCATTCTCTCTCTTGCTGCCCTATGAAGAGGTGCCTTCCACCATGATTGTAAGTTTCCTGAGGCTTCCCTAGCCATGTGGAACTATAAGTCAATTAAACCTCTCTTCCTTATAAATTACCCAGTCTCCAGTGGTTCTTTATAGCAGCATGAGAACGGACCAATACAGCACATTCTTTCAGTGCTGGGAGGGAAGAATGCCTTCCTTGGTCTGGCCCTCCAGCTCACTTTCCTTCCTGTCTCACTTCCCCATCTCTGGCATCAGCACTATCACTGCAGGCTCATGAAGTCCCTCACTCTCTCTGAATTCTGACTCTCCACTTTCTCACTGGATAAATCTGAATGAGCATCAGTTTCGACAGAGAAAAGCTATGGGTTTTGCTTTCCAGCCTCCATTTGCCTTCCTCTTCATAACATGTCCCCAAATTCCTTCTGGAGCATCCTTCCTGTCCCAGGCTTAGTACATGTACTTGGGATGAGTAAATTCTACCTCTGGCTGCAAGTGTAGACGTGGATCCAGCCAGGTCAATTTCAATTTTGCTTTCTACTGGTCAGAATTATTGGCTTGTAAATGCCAAGTGGCCAAGTCAGGGTTAATAGTATACAAAAAAACATTTGTTATAACTGCCAAGAAGGAAGCATGCACCTTTTCCTACTTACCAATAACTAAATATGAGAGGAGATGGAGGCTGACCTGGACCACCATGTGGAGTCTTGGGGCCAAACCTACACAAAGGAAACCTGACTTAAGAAACAAAAGGCAAGCAAGTCCTAGTGACATCACGTGAGCTCCTGGACTCAACCATTCCTGAAGCCAAATACCCCTGAAATTTTCAGTTCTTATGTCCATAAATTTTGTTTCATGTTTGACTTAATTTGAGTGAGCTTTTTGTTGCTTACAATGAAGAATCCTTACTAAGAATTTTATTTTCTATTAGATGCAATGTTAGTGACTACTTTACAAAGTTGATAGAAGTCAATGTAATAATAGATATGTCAGTACTGTATAAAGTGCAGTGCAGCACAGAGGGAGTCGCTGTGGTGAGACCCCTGATCCTGGTGGATCCAGAGCCATAAGGCAGGTGACATTTACTGGCTCATGGGACATTAATAGACTCACTGGCTCTGGCGAGACCCCCTGCTCCTGTTGGATCCAGGGCCACAAGGTAGGTGACATTAACTGGCCCATGGGAGGGTCAGTTCCAGGGCCTTGATATTAGCACAGACCTCATCTGCGAAAGTGTGAGAAATGCTCCCAAATTGAACACAGATATCCTGCAGACCCCAAGGGAGAACAGGGAGGTGTTTTACCAGAAGAGCAAAGAATCAGAAGCTTCTTGTGGCAAGTATTAAGCGGCCAAATGAAGCGTCAGGAGGACCATGAAGCTCAGCGTTGCTGACCTGCATTTCTGATGCCAATGAACCATGGGAAACAGACTGCTCCGGAGTAAAAGTCACTTTGTCATTCTTCCGTCACGTCTCTTTCTCGCTGTTAACACTCGGCTCAGACAGACAGCCTGCCGTATGGTCACATAGGAGCAGGAAGACAGATGGGCTTTATTTGCTCTGAGTTTTCAAAGGGAAAACAGGGTGGTGATATTAAAATGCTACCTTTGCTCCTGAGGACAAGTAGCTAGGACTATGCATCTCACTTCAGTAGGGACAGGGGTGGAGGAGTGGGGAAAGGGAGAGAGAGGGAAGGAGGCCAACATGGGTGAGGAAGACAGATATAAGCAAGAAAAGCAAGGCAGCAAGGAAGCAAGAAAGGGTGCGAGAAAGCACAGGGGAAAGAAAAGAAAAAAAAGTGAAGCCCAAGGGAGAAAAGAAGCGGGGAAGGAGTAGGAGAGGGAGAAGGAATAGAAGGAAGGGTGGGAGAAAGGCCGGGCCTAGCCTCTTAAAGAAAGGAAAGGAAAGGCTTCTGCAATGAGGACAGGAAAGCGGTAGGCAGCGACCTCCTGCCCACTCCCGCGAGAGGCAGTCTTGCCCATGCCCTGTGAGCTGCACGCGGGGAACAGGTCAGCCATGGCTCTAACTCCTCCCCGAGAGTCACTTCATTACTGCTGAGGAGGAAAGAAAGAAAATCACCCCAGTCATGGAAGTACAGTGCAGGGATTCTAGAAGAACAAACTGAAATCCCAGAGACTTGGGAAGAATGAGGCGACCTCCTTGGGTCACTTATTTTGGGTTTCTGGAGCTCAGCTTCTGCATGTGTGAAAAGGAACAAAATAGGAAGTAATTTTTTCATAAGTACAATTCCCTTCTTTTTCAAGGCCACCTCAGTTCAGGATCACACTTTCCCATCTTATCTCAATATTTCTCCCATATAAAAAGTTGTTCTGATGACCATTAATTAAGGAATAAATCCAGGAAGAAATGGAAACAACAGCTCTTCCATAGCACAGGGCGATCTCCCTCCCCAAAAGTGCCCTCTGTGTGATCAGTATGACAACAAATCTCCTATGATGAGTGAATAGATAGCTGTAAAGAGTAAGATACTAAATGTATAGGTAATTGCTTTAACACCTTACTCTCTGGGCTCAGCTACTTTCATATGTAAGAATCATTCTAGCTATTTTCATCATAAGCCCTTTTGTTTGAAAGAGGAAGATGAAGGGACCTCCTCTGAATATGGTTCAGGCAGATACTTATTTTCCATGGCTTGTGCCCTTTGGGTGGGCCATAAAGAAAGCAGGCTTGGCTGGGCGCAGTGGCTCACGCCTGTAATCCCAGCACTTTGGAAGGCCGAGGTGGGCGGATCACCTGAGGTCAGGAGTTTGAGACCAGCCTGACCAACATGGAGAAATCCTGTCTCTACTGAAAATACCAAAAAATAGCCAGGCTTGGTGGCGCATGCCTGTAATCCCAGCTACTTGGGAGGCTGGTGCAGAATTGCTTGAACCCAGAAGGTGGAGGTTGCGGCAAGCTGAGATCTTGCCATTGCACTCCAGCCTGGGCAACCAGAGCAAGACTCTGTCTCAACAACAACAACAACAACAAAAAAAAAAAAAAAAAAAAAAGAAAGAAAAAAAGAAAGAAAAGAAAGAAAGCAGGCTTAGCTCAGTAGTAGTGACCATACCAAGAGGAGAAACTCAGGGAAAAATTCTCCTAACTCTTGGACTTGGAAGGTCTAAGCATACAACATGATAAGAACAACTGTTTCTTTTCCCTTCCATCCCATCTCATCCACAAAGGTATGAATTTCAGTTTTCCTTGGCATTTCCATGCCATTTTTAATATATTTTTCTAGAATGATATACCAGTTCTAGATTAAATTGTAGCTTCTTCCTTGCAAGCTGTGGTGAAATTGTTTTACTGTTATGAATCTCATTTTCCCCCTCTACACAACGGGAATAATTCCTATTGGCAAAGACTCTTTCCTTGTCCAAACTTGAGACAGGCACCTTTGACATTACCAAGTCAGTTTACTGAGAATCCTCACCCTTGATATCTGATCACCCTTCATATCTGATCAAGATATCTCATATCCTGTCTGCCATCTTTGATGTCTAAGCCCTTGGCCTGCCTTTAGCAAGAACCCTGTTAGGCCAGTTGAGCCAGAATTTCCCTACCCTGAAAGTCTTCTCTTAGCAATTTTCCATCTACTGTCCCTGCTCACCCTACTTGTTGGCTATAAATCTCCACCTGTCTTTGTTATATTCAGATTTGAGCTCAGTTTTACTGAAAACTCTCTCCCTTGCTGCAGTAGTACTGAATATCATCTGTCTTTACTACCTTTAACTAGTGTCTGGCTCTAGTTTCTGTTTGGCATTAACTCATAAGGTGATTATTGGATTAAACGATATTACTCATTTGTAGCTTGAAGATTTTTTCGCCAATTTAAGAAATGACAACTACATTTAAAGTCCATGGATATCTGACCCACTAGGGGACCTTATTAGGAAAAGTGACCCTGATTTAACCTGCATTGCACCTTTTGTTCTGAAAAAGGCAGTGGCAGAGTTTTTCCTTGAGACTACTTTTGGGAGTTGGATAATCAATTTTGGCCATTGATACTTGGACTGTGTGTGGTGTTTTGAGGATTGTTCTTCTGTACCCTTCTACTGTGCCTATCTGGATGCTTTGGCCCAATACCCAATGTCTAGAGGCCAACTGGGTCTCTTCCTTCACTGCCACCCTCTCCATCCCATTTGCCTCTCTTGTTCTGTTTTCCATAATCCATGTCTTTTCTTTCTTGATCTACTCTCTTAATTTAGTCAATCATCACATCTTCCAGTAGCTTCCTGAAAAGAATACAGGAAAGACAATTTTTTGAGAACTTAAATGTCTACAAATATCTTTATTCTATCTTCACCCTATATTGAAAGTATATAATTCTAAGTTGGACACAATTTAATTTGAAAAGTTTAAAAGCATTCCGCCATCATTTTCTAGCTTCCAGTATTGCCATGGAAAAACATAAACTAATTCTGATTACTCATTTATCTATATATGAAGTATCTTGTTTTTCCGATTGGAAGCTTGTATGATTGTGCCTTATTCCCTTATTCCTATTTCTTGGAACTTTTTTGATAAGACAACTTGGTTGGATTTCTTTTTACCCATTGAACGGGGTTCCTGGTGCATCCTTTGAAACCAGAGACCAAGACATTGAGTTCTAGAAAATTAAAAAATAAATTTCTTAGATGATTTTCTCCCCTATGGTTTCTCTAATCTCTCTTTCTGGAATGCCTACTATTTGAATATTGAACTGCCTAGGCTATCTATAATATAAATAACATATATATATATATATATATTTGTGTAATATATATAATACTTATAATATACCAGCTATAACTATAACTATGTATAACTATTTAACTGTAGTCATGGAGACTGCCTCAATTTCCAAGACTATTAGATTTTTACTTTCTTCTATCATGTTCTTAATTTATATTAGTTCTTTAGTATTTTCTGAATGTTCCTTTCTAAAAATGCCATTTTGCAATTGTTTTGTGAAAGCATTGTTTTTCCTTATGTCTCTAGAGACATTTGAGAAAATTTCATTTGCTTTTTCTCCTTGTATAGTTTCTGTTTCATGTTTTCTCTAAGTTGTTTAGTTCTGATTATTATCTTCTGTGTTAGAAAATTTTCCCAAATAAGTATCTGGTGACCTCCTAGCCATCCACTCATTAATAGAAAGGGAACCAAAGAACCAAGAGAAAGTTTGGAGCCCATGGGTGGGGCTTGTGGACACTGGGGTCTAGCATGGGGTTATATGACTAAGACTACTTCCTTGGGGAAAACTGTAATGTCAATACTTAATGTTTCTGCTCGAGCTGGTTACATTACCCAGATATTTTTGACCTTGGTCCTGAGCCTTCAGGCCTGACTGCTTCAGTCTAGGAGCATTCAGTATCCCCACATCTCCTGAACCTCTCTTCTCAGTAAGTTACCCCTGTCATCAACTGTCTCCCAGTCCAGACCTTATAAAGCTCTGGTCTTTTGTCAGGATGGATGAGGGACAGTCACCATGGGGATCTAAAACCTAGACAAATCCTAAAGCAGAATTCCAGGAGCCTTTCAATTTTGCTTTCAATTCCACAGATGTTTATGGATTCTGGGTTCTGGGGTATTGCTAAGGATGCTGTATGACTTTAACCATTGCTAGATTAGAATTCAGCTTTGTAGAGCTTTCTAGTTTAATAACCATTCTCCCATCTGCTTTACAACTCCCATTCTCTTTCCTTCTGTCTCTTCTCCCATTCTCTTTCTGCATATGGATTTATGACTTTGCTCTCCCCTTAGTGGTGTGAACCCCAAATATCTGAGACAGGTCTTAGTTCATTTAGGAAGCTTATTTTGCCAAGGTTGAGGATGTGCACCTATGACACAGCCCCAGGAGGTCCTGATGACATGTGCCTAAGGTGGTTGGGGCACAGGTTGGTTTTATACATTTTAGGGAGACATGAGACATCAACCAACACACGTAAAATGAACGCAGGTTCAGTCCAGAAAGCCAGGACAACTCAAAGCAGGGATGGGGCTCCTGGGTCATGGGTAGATAAGAGATAAGTGGTTGTATTCTTTTGAGTTTCTGATTAGCCCCTCCAAAAGAGGCAATCAGATATGCATTTATCTCAGTGAGCAGAGAGGTGACTTTGAATAGACTGGGAGGCGGTTTGCCCTAAGCAGTTCCCAGCTTGACTTTTCCCGTTAGCTTGGTGATTTGGGGGCCCCAATATTTATTTTCCTTTCATAGTGGGGTTTTATTTTTGGAGAAGGAAACAGAAATAAATGTGTGTTCAGTGGTTACCTTTACTTGTCAGTGCATTCTTTTTAAAAGAGATAAACAATACTTCAGTGGAATTTCTCTTTCACCGTCCAGAACCTCTGGGGATGTATGTGCCTAATGTGAGCAATACTTTGGTGGCAAAGTGGAGAAACAATGAGGAGATTCTGCACAGATGGTAGTCTACTTCTCCCTTTTTTTCTTTTCTGTCAAAGATTAAGTATTTGGGTTATGTGAGTGACAAATTTAGTTCTTTCTCTATTTCTTCATGTTCACTCTCTGAAGCAAAGAATCCTTAGAAGGATGATCACACCTTGACCAGCTAGACTTTTTAAGGGTAAAAGTCAATCAATTTAAATGTCAATGTCAACTTAATGTCAGGCTGTAGAGTTAGAATTCTTCTCCATTCAAAATGTCAACCACTCCCTGTCCATGACTGGTACGAAATTGGAAATAGGTTATCTAGATAAACATACATCCAAGGTAAACTCCTAGAGAATTTAAGAGTGGGGAAAGACATTCAGTTGGAACTAGGACAGCTAATAATGTAAAAGTACATTTATAAAAATCACAGTAATTGTGTCTATTTAACTTGCAAAGCACAATACCCATTGTTATAGGATGTAAACAATTGCATGGATGGCGTTAGACCAGGAGGTATCTGGGTCCTTTTACTAGGCTTGGAAGTGAGTCAGGGCTAGTGGGCTATTTTGCTGGGTGACAGGGTACTGAATTGCAGAAGCAGCCTGAAGGAGTCTATTCAGAGTGGACTTATGGACAGGAGCAGAGTTTGTAGTGAAAGAGATAATTAGGCAAAGGGTGAGGTGCAGCAATGGACAGGAGCGGCCCATATGCAGGGGATTCCTGGGATGGCTGAGCCCAGGACAGATGGAGGAGGCCCCAGGAATTGACTGGAGTCAATTCAGGACTAAGGACATGTAAAGCCAGCAAGCACTGAAACCTCTTTTGTGAACTGCTGGCTACTTCGCTGGGGCCAATTCAATCACTTAATGAAGCAGCCCTAGCCTGGATGACCAGAATCAAAGTTCAAGGAAGGAGTAAGCTGTTTATGAAAGAGGTATCAGAGAGCACAGATTTTCATAGGATCACAGACATGTAAGAGGCATATTTGTTTAATGTCTTGATGAAGATACTCTTGCCAAGAATACAACACCCTGGTCTTGCAGATATCCATTGATGAAGCAGTTTATCGAGTAATCAATATTACCATATCTAATCTTGGAGTCTTACTCCATCTCTCATTCTCCTTTCTTTCTCTCTGTCTCTGACCTCTTTCTCCCTCTCATATACTCTGTCTCTCTTCTCCCCCGTTTCCTCTCTGTGTCTGTTGTCTGTCTTCACGTCTGCGTGGCTCTGCTCTGCTCTCCTCTCCTCTCCTCTCCTCTCCTCTCCTCTCCTCTCCTCTCCTCTCCCCTCCCCTCCCCTCCCCTCCCCTCTCCTCCCCTCCGCTCCTCTCCTCTTCTCTTTTCCTCTGTGTGTGTGTGTGTGTGTGTGTGTGTGTGTGTGTGTGTGTGTATTTCTCTTTCCCTTGCTCTGCTTCCTCATACCAGGATTTATAAAAGAGCAAACAACTCTGCATGCAACCTCGAATTCTACACTACTCTGTTAATTACTACATAGTGAACCACTGTTTTCAAATACTAATGGAAGTGCCCCTCAGTATTTCTATGACCTCTTTGGAAGGATTACACCAAGAAATAGGAGTCCTTTCCTGGATTTTAAGTTTTAAAAAAGTAGGTCTTTTCAGAAATGGGGGGAAAAACTTGGGTAAAAATAATAAATGAGAGAAATAGATGAAGATCCAAGCCATCTACTCCCTTCATAAGCCCAAGTTAGAACATTCTGGTTTGGAAGAAGAAAGCAATAAGGAAAAAACATTTTGGACTCCAGTGGGTTGGGTGTCTAATATGTGACCCCAGACTTTGTCCCTAGTACTTCTTCTGGATCTCAGTCTTATTGATTTGGAAGGGATATGGCAGGCTACTATGTATTTCCTAATATCGATTTTCCCTTTTCTTCAGGGATAACATTTTAAATGATCTGTGAATGTTTTTCTTTTGTCTATACCCTTGAAGAATATTTTTGTTGGGCAAAGAATTCTGAGTTTAAAGTTCATGCCACTACCCCCTCTACCTCACCTTTAAAGACATTATTCCACTGTTTTCTTGACTTCCTCTTTCCATCCCTCCCTCCCTCCTTCCTTCCTTCTTTTTTCTTTCAGCAGCAAATTCACTTGGCTCAGCTCAAAGTACAAAGTCTTTTTCCCTTGTGGTAGGCAGCAGCTATTATAACTGTTCCATTCTTTCAACCTTATCTGTGTGGTTTGAAGTCTGTTCCAAGTAAGTGTAGTTGAGGCACCAGCCAAGGATTAGGGAAGAGTTTGTGTGCAGAATTTAGGACTCTCCCTTTCTGAAAATCTCCTTCATGTAATTTCTCCTCTCTCACTTCCCAACTGCTGTGGTTGTCTTGAACGTTGTCCTCTGCTTCTTCAACAGGACTCCAGGTTTCATCTTGAATTCTAGACTCAACTGGAATAACTGACTGGTTCTGCCCTCAGGCAAAAGTTTATAAAATGGAAAATCCGGTGTCATTTTTCTCCCATGTCTAGAGTCCAGTTTCTGCCTTCTCTTGGTCACTCTCCAATACCTTCAGGTAGTTGTTTTATATATGTTTTGCTTATGTGTATGCATATACCAATCTTTCTCTCTCCAACACACACACACACTCTCTCTCATGCACACACATGGACAGAGGTTATAGTTATCTGTGGGATGATTGGTCTAATACAAGATACTTCACCATTACTATAAGCAGAACTGTAAAACTCAATGTTACTAGGCAGTAAATGTTATGTCTAAGCCAGGGAAAGATAAACTATGGCTACATTTTTTTTTTTAACTTATCGTATATGGCTGCTTTCAAGGTACAATAACAGAGTTGGGTATTTGCAATGCAGAACTGCTAAACCAAATGGCCCTCAAAATCTGAAATATTTACTATCTGGTCCTTTGCAAAAAAAGCCTGCCAATCCCTAATCTGCAGGAATGGATAAACTGTATATCTTAGGCAATTCTATATAAATATTACCTTTTGTTACTAGGATTTTGAAGATAATTAGATCATAGAAATTTTAATGTTACATTTTCTGGCAAGAATTTGGGCTAGAAACTCTGTATGTTGTTGATTAAATAGAGTTCTATATGCCTTGGTATGTGGAATGAGAATTAGGGCTTATAATTATTAATCGAGTGCACACAAGTAGTGAGGCCAGGATATGAGTCTGACCTAGGTCATGTTTCACCAAGATTTGTGTACTTTCCACGACACCTGAAGAACTTCCTCACTCTTAGGGAAAAAAATTCTTGTAATTTAGCATTTTGTGAAACTCTGTGGAGAAAGCAATTACAGCTCTGACTTGAACTACTAGACACTCTTTTGAATCCTCTTTGGGCTAAGAACCTCTTAAGGTCAGAGGCCAATTGCTGGTCTCCTCCCTCCACTCCTTCTTTGCCTACTTTCTTTCCAGCTCTCTTTTGAGATAGACACATTGGCTCTTATGCTTCAGTATATCAATTCCACTCCAACCAGGGGTGCTATGAAAGATCCATGCTATTATTCATGCATTTCCATATGATATGTATCAATTCCTAACCCTGCTTGTCTTCCACCTCCAAAAACATTTTGTTTGTTGGTTAAATTGGGTAAATGACTGCCACTTTTCAAGATTAGGAATTTTATCCAAATTTCTTTGTTCTTAAAGAGCACAGAAATGTTTTTTTGTTTGTTATTTTATTTTTATTTTAGTATTATTATACTTTAAGTTTTAGGGTACATGTGCACAATGTGCAGGTTAGTTACATATGTATACATGTGCCATGTTGGTGTACTGCACCCATTAACTAGTCATTTAGCATTAGGCATATCTCCTAATGCTATCCCTCCCCCTTCCCCCCACCCCAACCCACAACAGTCCCCGCAGTGTGATGTTCCCTTTCCTGTGTCCATGTGTTCTTATTGTTCAATTCCCACCTATGAGTGAGAACATGTGGTGTTTGGTTTTTTGTCCTTGCGATAGTTTGCTAAGAATGATGGTTTCCAGTTTCATCCGCGTCCCTACAAAGGACATGAACTCATCATTTTTTATGGCTGCATAGTCTTCCATGGTGTGTATGTGCCACATTTTCTTAATCCAGTCTATTGTTGTTGGACATTTGGGTTGGTTCCAGGTCTTTGCTATTGTGAATAGTGCCGCGATAAACATACATGTGCATGTGTCTTTATAGCAGCATGATTTATAGTCCTTTGGGTATATACCCAGTAATGGGATGGCAGGGTCAAATGGTATTTCTAGTTCTAGATCCCTGAGGAATCGCCACACTGACTTCCACAATGGTTGTTTTAGACCAATGTGGCTGAAATTACCATTTTATTTATTGGCACTCTTAACTCTCCAGAAATGTGTTTCTTGATACAAAAATATTATTCATAATTTATTTATGATGTTGTTACTTGATGAGGGGCAGTGGGAATCAGAGAGGAAGAATGAGAGTGGATGAGGCAATTGTAATTGTGACTTCATCTATAGTTATTGATAAAGCCAGAGGAATTGCAAACAATTGAGTCAAATCAGTGAATAGGACACTGAATTTGGGGGAGGTCTGCATTTTTATATAAAAAAGTATTAGCATTTGTTAACCCTGGATGGAGGATACATAATAGTTATACTTTTTTTCTGTTCTTTTGCATATGTTCCAGATTTACATCTCTAGCCAGGAACTCTGCTGTGAATTTCAGCCTTGTGCGTATAGCTGCCCACCCACCATTTCCACTTACAGGTTCCATATACATCTCAAACTAAAAATGTTTAAAAGAAAAAAGAAAATTAGAGAAGGGAGGAAAGGAAAAGAAAGAGAGATGAAGAGCAAAAGAAAAAGAGGGAAGGAAGGAAAGAAATAAAGGAAAGAGAAGGAGGGAGGGAAACACTCATTCACATCCCACCCTTTAAAACCTATTCTCTTCATTTTTCGAGATCCTCCTTTTGGAACAGAAATGCCTGTCCCCCAGCTGCTGGGAATATTGCCTGCTTATCATTATTTTTTTAAATTATACTTTAAGTTCTAGGGTACATGTGCACAACTTGCAGGTTTGTTACATAGGTATACATGTGCCATATTGGTTTGCTGCACCCATTAACTCGTCATTTACATTGGGTATTTCTCCTAATGCTATCTCTCACCATCAACCCCCAACCCCATGACAGGCCCTGGTGTGTGATGTTCCCCTCCCTGTGTCCAAGTGTTCTCGTTGTTAAATTCCCACCTATGAGTGAGAACATGTGGTGTTTGTTTTTCTGTCCTTGTGCTAGTTTGCTCAGAATGATGGTTTCCAGCTTCATACATGTCCCTGCAAAGGACATGAACTTATCATTTTTTATGGCTGCATAGTATTCCATGGTATCTATGTGCCACATTTTCTTAATCCAGTCTATCATTGATGGACATCTGTGTTGGTTCCAAGTCTTTGCTATTGTGAATAGTGCCACAATAAACACATGTGTGCATGTGTCTTTATAGTAGCATGAATTATAATCCTTTGGGTATATACCCAGTAATGGGATGGCTGGGTCAAATGGTATTTCTAGTTCTAGATCCTTGAGGAATCACCACATTGTCTTCCACAATGGTTGAGCTAATTTACACTCCCACCAACAGTGTAAAAGTGTTCCTATTTCTCCACATCCTCTCAAGCATCTGTTGTTTCCTGACTTTTTAATAATCGCCATTCTAACTGGTATGAGATGGTATCTCATTGTGGTTTCGATTTGCATTCCTCTGATGGCCAGTGATGATGAGCATTTTTTCTTGTGTCTGTTGGCTGCATAAATGTCTTCTTTTGAGAAGTGTCTGTTCATATCCTTCGCCCACTTGTTGATGGGGTTGTTTGTTTTTTTCTTGAAAATTTGTTTAAGTTCTTTGTAGATTCTGGATATTAGCACTTTGTCAGATGGGTAGATTGCAAAAATTTTCTCCCATTGTGTAGGTTGCCTGTTCACTCTGATGGTAGTTTCTTTTGCTGTGTGAAGCTCTTTAGTTTAATTAGATCGCATTTGTCAATTTGGGCTTTTGTTGCCTTTGCTTTTGGTGTTTTAGTCATGAAGTCCTTGCCCATGCCTATGTCCTGAATGGTATTGCCTAGGTTTTCTTCTAGGGTTTTTATGGTTTCAAGTCTAACATTTAAGTCTTTAATCCATCTTGAATTAATTTTTGTATAAGGTGTAAGGAAGGAATCCATTTTCAGCTTTCTACATATGGCTAGCCAGTTTTCCCTGCACCATTTATTAAATAGGAAATCCTTTCCCCATTTCTTGTTTTTGTCAGGTTTGTCAAAGATCAGATAGTTGTAGATGTATGATATTGTTTCTGAGGGCTCTGTTCTGTTCCATTGGTCTATATCTCTGTTTTGGTACCAGTACCGTGCTGTTTTGGTTACTGTAGGCTTGTAGTATAGTTTGAAGTCAGGTAGCCTGATGCCTCCAGCTTTATTCTTTTGGCTTAGGATTGTCTTGGCTATGCGGGCTCTTTTTTGGTTCCATATGAACTTTAAAGTAGTTTTTTCCAATTCTGTGAAGAAAGTCATTGGTAGCTTGATGGAGATGGCATTGAATCTATAAATTACCTTGGGCATTATGGCCATTTTCAAGATATTGATTCTTCCTATCCATGAGCGTGGAATATTCTTCCATTTGTTTGTGTCCTCTTTTATTTCATTGAGCAGTGGCTTGTAGTTCTCCTTGAAGAGGTCCTTCACATCCCTTGTAAGTTCAATTCCTAGGTATTTTATTCTCTTTGAAGCAATTGTGAATGGGAGTTCACTCATGATTTGGCTCTCTGTTTGTCTGTTATTGGTGTATAGAAATGCTTGTGATTTTTGCACATTGATATTGTATCCTGAGACTTTGCTGAGGTTGCTTATCAGCTTAAGGAGATTTTGGGCTGAGAAGATGGGGTTTTCTAAATATACAATCATGTCATCTGCAAACAGGGACAATTTGACTTCCTCTTTTCCTAATCGAATACCCTTTATTTCTTTCTCTTGCCTGATTGCCCTGGCCAGAACTTCCAACACTATATTGAATAGGAGTGGTGAGAGAGGGCAAACCTGTGCCAGTTTTCAAAGGGAATGCTTCCAGTTTTTGCCCACTCAGTATGATATTGGCTGTGGATTTGTCATAAACAGCTCTTATTATTTTGAGATATGTTCCATCAATACCTAATTTGTTGAGAGTTTTTAGCATGAAGGTCTGTTGAATTTTGTCAAAGGCCTTTTCTGCATCTTTTGAGATGATCATGTGGTTTTTGTCATTGGTTCTGTTTATGTGATGGATTACATTTATTGATTTGCATATGTTGAATCAGGCTTGCATCCCTGGGATGTAGCCAACTTGATCGTGGTGGATAGCTTTTTGATGTGCTACTGGATTTGGTTTGCCAGTATTTTATTGAGGATTTTTGCATCAATGTTCATCAAGGATATTGGTCTAAAATTCTCTTTTTTTGTTGTGTCTCTGCCAGGCTTCGGTATCAGGACGATGCTGGCCTCATAAAATGAGTTAGGGAGGATTCCCTCTTTTTCTATTGATTGGAATAGTTTCAGAAGGAATGGTACCAGCTCCTCCTTGTACCTCTGGTAGAATTCGGCTGTGAATCCGTCTGGTCCTGGACTTTTTTTGGTTGCTAGGCTATTAATTACTGCCTCAATTTGAGAGACTGTTATTGGTCTATTCAGAGATTCCACTTCTTCCTGGTTTAGTCTTGGGAGGGTGTATGTGTCCAGGAATTCATCCATTTCTCCTAGATTTTCTAGTTTGTTTGTGTAGAGGTGTTTATAGTATTCTCTGATGGTAGTTTGTATTTCTGTGGGATCGGTGGTGATAACCCCTTTATCATTTTTATTGGTCTATTGGATTCTTCTCTCTTTTCTTCTTTATTAGTCTTGCTAGTGGTCTATGAATTTTGTTGATCTTTTCAAAAAACCAGCTCCTGGATTCATTGTTTTCTTAAAGGATTTTTTTGTGTCTCTATCTCCTTCAGTTCTGCTCTGATTTTAGTTATTTCTTGCCTTCTGCTAGCTTTTGAATGTGTTTGCTCTTGCTTCTCTAGTTCTTTTAATTGTGACGTTAGGGTGTCAATTTTAGATCTTTCCTGCTTTCTCTTGTGGTCATTTAGTGCTATAAATTTCCCTCTACACACTGCTTTAAATGTGTCCCAAAGATTCTGGTACATTGTGTCTTTGTTCTCATTGGTTTCAAAGGACATCTTTATTTCTGCCTTCATTTTGTTATGTACCCAGTTGTCATTCAGGAGCAGGTTGTTCAGTTTCCATGTAGTTATGTGGTTTTGAGTGAGCTTTTTAATCCTGAGTTCTAATTTAATTGCACTGTGGTCTGAGGGACAGTTTGTTGTGATTTCTGCTCTTTTTCATTTGCTGAGGAGTACTTTACTGTCAACTATGTGGTCAGTTTTGGAATAAGTGTGACGTAGTGCTGAGAATAATGTATAATCTGTTGATTTGGGGTGGAGAGTTCTGTAGATGTTTAATTGGTCCACTTGGTGCAGAGCTGAGTTCAAGTCCTGGATATCCTTGTTAATTTTCTGTCTTGTTGATCTGTCTAATGTTGACAGTGGGGTGTTAAAGTCTCCCATTATTATTGTGTGGGAGTCTAAGTCTATTTGTAGGTCTCTAAGGACTTGCTTCATGAATCTGGGTGCTCCTGTATTGTGTGCATATATATTTAGGATACTAAGCTCTTCTTGTTGAATTGATCCCTTTACCATTATGTAATGGCCTTCTTTGTCTCTTTTGATCTTTGTTGGTTTAAAGTCTGTTTTATCAGAGACTAGCATTGAAACCCCTGTTTTTTTTTTTTTCTTTCCATTTGCTTGGTAGATCTTCCTCCATCCCTTTATTTTGAGCCTATGTGTATCTTTGCATGTGAGATGGGTCTCCTGAATACAGCACACTGATGGGTCTTGACTCTTTATCCAATTTGCCAGTCTGTGTCTTTTAATTAGGGCATTTAGCTCATTTACATTTAAGGTTAATATTGTTATATGTGAATTTGATCCTGTCATTATGATATTAACTGGCTATTTTGCCCATTAATTGATGCAGTTTCTTCCTAGTATCGACATTCTTTATAATTTGGCATGTTTTGGGGGTGGCTGGTACCAGTTGTTCCTTTCCATGTTTAGTGTTTCCTTCAGGAGCTCTTACAAGGCAGGCCTGGTGGTCACAAAATCTCTCAGCATTTGCTTGTCTATAAAGGCTTTTATTTCTCCTTCACTTATGAAGCTTAGTTTGGCTGGATATGAAATTCTGGGTTGAAAATTCTTCTCTTTAAGAATGTTGAATATTGGCTCCCACTCTCTTCTGGCTTGTAGAGTTTCTGCTGAGAGATCCACTGTTTCTCTGATGGCCTTCCCTTTGTGGGTAACCCGACCTTTCTCTCTGGCTGCCCTTAACATTTTTTCCTTCATTTCAACTTTGGTGAATCTGACAATTATGTGTCTTGGGGTTGCTCTTCTCAAGGAGTATCTTTGTGATGTTCTCTGTATTTCCTGAATTTGAATGTTAGCCTGCCTTGTTAGGTTGGGGAAGTTCTCCTGGATGATACCTTGAAGAGTGTTTTCCAACTTGGTTCCATTCTCCCCATCACTTTCAGGTACACCAATCAAACATAGATTTGGTCTTTTCACATAGTCCCATATTTCTTGGAGACTTTGTTCATTTCTTTTTACTGTTTTTTCTCTAAACTTCTCTTCTTGCTTTATTTCATTAATTTGATTTTCAATCACTGATACCCTTTTTTTTCCAATTGATCAAATCGGCTATTGAAGCTCGTGCATGTGTCACGTAGTTCTAGTGCCATGGTTTTCAGCTCCATCCGGTCATTTAAGGTCTTCTCTACACTGTTTATTCTAGCTAGCCATTTATCTAATATTTTTTCAAGGTTTTTAGCTTCCTTGTGATGGGTTCGAACACATCCTCCTTTAGCTCGGAGAAGTTTGTTATTAACGACCTTCTGAAGCCTACTTCTGTCAGCTCGTCAAAGTCATTCTCCATCCAGCTTTGTTCTGTTGCCAGCGAGGAGCTGTGATCCTTTGGAGGAGAAGAGGTGCTCTGGTTTTTAGAATTTTCAGCTTTTCTGCTCTGGTTTCTCCCCATCTTTGTGGGTTTGTCTACCTTTGGTCTTTGATGTTGATGACCTAGAGATGGGGTTTTGGTGAGGATGTCCTTTTTGTTGATGTTGGTGCTATTCCTTTCTGTTTGTTAGTTTTCCTTTTAGTAGTCAGGTCCCTCAGCTGCAGGTCTGTTGGAGTTTGCTGGAGGTCCACTACAGATCCTGTTTGCCTGGGTATCACCAGTGGAGGCTGCAGAACAGCAAATATTGCAAAACGGCAAATATTGCTGCCTGATCCTTCCTCTGAAGGCTTTGTCCCAGAGGGGCACCTGCCTGTATGATGTGTCAGTTGGCCCCTACTGGGAGGTGTCTCCCAGTTAGGCTACACGGGGGTCAGGGACCTACTTGAGGAGGCAGTCTGTCCATTCTCAGAGCTCAAACACCGTGCTGGGGTGAGAGTCGGGGAGAGAGTTTAGAGCCTGCTCTGGAGAAGGAGTGCCTGAGTCCCACAGGTGCTTCCCAAAGTCAACGTTTGGAATATGAGGGGGAGGCTCCACCTTGGCCCTGCTCTCCAGATCAGCTTTGGATACAGAGCTATTGTTTGCCATTGCTTTTGCTGCTGTTATTTTTTCTCAAAGTATTATTCATCTTCAGAACACACAAAGAGAAGTAATATGGGCTTTATTTGGGCACAGAACACCACTCTTAAATTTCTAATAAATAACAGGTGAAATGTTTGAAGGGGAGAAGAAAGTTCACATTTACTGAGAACCTGCTATGTGCCAGCACTTCACATATATAATTTCATTTAATTCTTACTTAATGCATAGATCATCTGAATGTATAGTTTTTTCCCCATGTAATTAAAAAAACCTGGCTCTGTCGCTTTTTAAGAACTATCATTCTCTTATAGATTTGGATAAAAGTGGTGGAGGCCCCTGTCTTTGCCCACTCTGCTCTGACTACACTTACCTCCTTGTGTTCTTCAAACACAAGAGCACATCCCCAGCTTCAGACCTCTGATCTGCTCTCTATCTCTGGCTGGCCCCAAAAAGGGCCTCCAGGTGGGCCGCTCACCTCAATCTCAATCTTTTTCTTAGACCTCACCAAGTCTCCAAGTCCTTCCTGGTGACCCTATTTAAAATTGCACCTGCCTGCCGCTCTGTCTGTCATGGCATGTTTAATCCCACCTCACCTAGTCTGCTTTTACTATTTTTCCATAGCACTATCACTTTTTCATCTACCATAAAGTATACTTATTTTCAGTTTATTATTTATTGATAGTCTGCTCCTTCTGGCATGTAAGCTCTGTAAGAGTAAGGATCTTTATTCTGTATCTAGCAGCACAGTGTCTGTCTAGCCCATCAGAAGTGGTCAAAAGGCTTTGTTGTGTGAGTGAATGAGTGGGCTTCCTCCTCTCCTTGGCCAATTGGTGCTATACTTGCTCTGCTGTACTTGCTCCTCTCCTCGTCTCCATTTCCACCCTGGGCCTACACTCACTTTGAGGTTGGCCACCTCCTGGAACACGAGAGCCACCTTCTTTCTCTGATGCTTTGCTGCTACCACCCCATTGGCTTCAGAAAAGGGAATTACACATGTCTCTTCACCTTCTCACCCTAGGCACTTATTGCTGTAAACTTTAATTCCTCCAAGCCACCAATGCTCCAAGTTTGTGGCATATAATACTTTAAGTGACAGTTTGGAGGAAAATGGGGTGAATGGCAATAACACGTTGTACAGGGGTCAACTTTAAATAAAATGTCCAATGTCACTTCCTGATGCTAAACTTTTGCCAATCATTCCTGATCCACAGCAAACTTTTTGCTGGATTGCCTAAGGTGTCAACCTTCCACCATCTCCCTGCATCCCTTCTTCTTATGGTTACTACTTTCTTCCATCCCCACTTTCCTGGGTTTTTGGCATCTGATGAATTCCATCCTCTGCATCAAGAGTGTAGCTCTCAAGTTCATCTTAATTTATTGCACAGAGTCATTTTGTTTTCCTTTTTGTCATCATCACCATCCAAACCATTATGATGCTTCACTGTTTATAAGAAAGAGGCTACTGTATTTTGCTCAGTCCAATACCCATCTTACTCAGATCTCCACCAAATAACCTGAGGAGCTGTGGGAGCTTTGAAGTTCCAATTTTATTTTCTGATTATGGGTTTTTGTAAGAGCCAGGCTGAATGTTTAGTCAGGTCTCATGACCATCCGCCATGTCCCTAAGTGGAAAACATTTGATGGGAATCTGGCTAGATGAAGCCCCCGAGCATGAAGGCTAACGTTCTTCTCTTTACCCTGGTAATTCTTAACCCTTGCTAAATGCATGAATCATCTGAGGGAGTTATTAAAATTCCAGATGCCCAGGCACACCCCAGACCAATTAACTCAGAATCTCAAGAGTGGGACTCAGACTCCATCTCCCATGCTGGATGCAATATTGCCTACTCTGCAGTCGATTGAGAATCTCTGTGTGACAATTCCAGCAATTATAAGGTGGGAGTTACCTGTTTTAGAGATATGAAGCTGAAGATTAGACAGATGAAATAGGTTACACAGCCTGCACAGCCAGCTCCTTGTGGAGGATATCAATCATGAGAGTACACATGAGTTCATACCCCAGAATTCATGTTCTTCCCATTAGAAGTAACTACCATTTCATCTCTTAAGGGAGTTACACATGGAAACAAATAATTTCAGTATAATGTTACAGTAGAAGTGTTGTAAATGCTTAACAATCACAGAAAGGAGATGATCTAACTTCATGCGAGAGGTCAAGAAGGGGGCTTTTGTCAACTTTTTCTTTTGCTGGACAGCCGTTGACATTTTGTTTTAGCCTGGTTTGACTTGGATAAGCAGGTTGAGAGGCAAAGAGAATGAAGTACCTGAGTGTGATGGTTAATATTGAGTGCTGACTTGATTGGACTGAGGGATACAAAGTATTGTTCCTGGTGTGTCTGTGAGGGTGTTACCAAAGGAGATTAATGTTTGAGTCAGTGGACAGGGGGAGGCAGACCCACCCTCAATCCAGGTGGGCACTATCTAAGCAGCTGCCAGCATGGTTAGGATAAAAGCAGGCAGAAGAACATGGAAGGACTAGACTGGCTGAGTCTTCTGGCCTTTATCTTTCTCCCACGCTGGATGCTTCCTGCCCTCAAATATCAGACTTCAAGTTCTTCAGCTTTTGGATCCTCGGACTTACACCAGTGGTTTGCCAGGGCCTCTTCGGCCTTCGGCCACAGACTGAAGGCTGCACCATTGCCTTCTCTACTTTTGAAGTTTTGGGACTCGAACTGGCTTCCTTGCTCATCAGCTTGCAGATGGCCTATTGTGGGACTTCACCTTGTGATCGTATGAGTCAATATTTCTTAATAAACTCCCTTTCATATGTACATCTATCCTATCAGTCCTGTCCCTCTAGAGAACCCTGACTACTACAACGACGGATGAATTAGTGCAACCCTTCAACCTCCAAGGGACAAATCCTCGTCAAACTCCCAATGAGCTTGCAAATGTCTCTCCTCTCATTAGCCAGGGTGAGAGTTTTCCCTGCTCCTGTTTCTGCCCTTCTAGGATGATTCATTAGTTACTGAGCAGTTCTCCTTCCCCTGGGGTCTGCCTTGAGATGACTCCTTCAGGATTTCTTGACTGTAGTTAGGCTGGAGTCTGATTCCTAGAAATGGTCACCTGGGAATAAAGGCCATCAGTGGGACCAGGGGCTTCTTATACCTAGGATGTTGCTAAGTTCTGTGGAAGATTATGCTTTCCTGGGTGGCTTTTTGTGTGTATGGTGGGACAGGATGGTGCAAGGGGAATAAACATAGTGTGGCAGAGACAATACTAGGTGTTCTCCAAATCCTGTTTTATTTTCCTATATTTTGGCACACTGACTACTA
This sequence comes from Homo sapiens, assembly GCF_000001405.40. Classification (NCBI taxonomy): domain Eukaryota; kingdom Metazoa; phylum Chordata; class Mammalia; order Primates; family Hominidae; genus Homo; species Homo sapiens. The sequence goes on from NC_000008.11 coordinate 135,160,596, forward strand.
CATTTCTCTGTTTCCACTGAAGTTAAATGGAAATCATGTGATTGCATTTTGTCCAGGGGGATGTATAGAAATGACATAAGCTACTTCTAGACCTGACCATTAAAAAAACCTCTGAGCTTCAATGTATTCTATAAAAGTGGGATGATGTGATCTCTACTTCATAACCCTATGAGGTTACACCGAGGACATTTCTATGAAAGGATATACTGTTACCACTTGAGTACAAAAAGCATGGTTTGAGTGTCATGGTTTGATGTGTCATGCTCTGTGCTAGATGATAGAATTATGGTGGCAATGTCCTCGAGCTCATAGGGCTTTTAGTTTAGTGGAGATAACCTATGTATATCTCAGATCCCCACTGGGGGCATTTACAAGGTCCAAAGGAGGCTTTAGAGAAGGGCACTAAAGTGGGAGAGTGAAGGAAGGCTTCATTGGGGAGGTGATGGTTGAGCTGTCTCTTGAGGGATGAGTAGGAATTTGCAAATTGTTGAAAAAGGAAGAAACTGTAAGTAGAGGAGCAGCACTCACAAAGGCCTGGAGCATAACATCATGGCTTACTCTTCAGGTCTTGGTAGATGACTGGTTTTATATCTTCCATTTCAAATGTATGTTTTTTATATTTTAATATTTTTGAATGCCGTATGGGTATTGAAACTAAGGAAATATAATAGAACATGTAGGTCTTTCAACGACCTACACTTCCAAACATAAATATAAGATTTAAAAATGCAGCTTACAAAACAACAACAAAAAAATGAGGATTTCTGACCCATGAGATAGAAAACCCCATTTTGGGAGGTAGCCCATTTTTATGTTTTTGGGGTTAAATTTGCAGAGTTGAATGCATCTAATTTATGCTTTTATATTATGCTATTGAATGCAGGAATTATTCCTGAACTACTCTATCATTTACCTGAAAAATTCAAAGTCTACTTCTTCTATGAACTCAAGGATTTTAGTTTCAATAACTCTGATTTGTGAGTCCCTCCTATTGATGACAATTATTGAAAAAGGATGTTAGGGAGTTTGCAAAATAGCAGCTCAATCATGGCAATTTAGGAAATAAAGGGATGGTTTCACTTTGGTTTTGGCATGGAAAGTTATTTCCTCAGACAGAAATAAATGCCATTATTTCCCATGGATTTTGACAGTTCCAGCTTTCTCAGTTCACTTTCCGTGTCAAGCATCCAAGTTCTCTGCATAACCAGAACCTTGGTGGAACCTGAGTGGCAGTGGCAGAAAACTCCAGGTACAAATTAAGAAATGCATTGTGCATTAACATAGTGGAGCCGGGGCAGAGTAGTGAGGACAGTAGAGAGAAACTCTTCTTCATATGTGTTACCCACAAGAAAGTCAGAAGTGTTTTGAACATCTTATTGAAATTTATGAGTATGCAATGGCTGAAGCGTTTTTAGCAAATAAAAGTTACGGATAGTATAGATTCATTAGAACAAATGAAATAAATGTCATTGTTGTCTATTTTTGTGAAGGTCAAAATATGTTAGGGTTTTTATAGGCTCGCTGAGTGCTGTTCCTTCTAGCATTCCTTTCCCATTGGGAATTATGTTTCTATGCTGAAAATAATCCCATATTGTGATTCCAAATTTTGTTTTTGTGGTTGAAAAGGGATGAGTTCATCTCAAATTCTTGTTCTGTAGCTGAGAAAATTCTTTTCTTACGTCTTCTACCTGCCACAATTTTGTTGTGTCTCTGTTCTCTTCTATCCCCAAGAGCTTTGGCATGGTCACGTTTTGTTTAAGAGCCTTTATAAAACCTAGGTCTGCTTTCTAACAATGCCAAAACCAGTTTATCTGCACTCCTCTTCCCATTCACATGACTCTGTCTTGCTTTTGGCAATGGGACATCATCTCCTCAAACAGGAATTGTCATCATTTCCCCTCATTCTTGACATCTTCACATTGTTTGGCAACCTGCTTGGATTTTCTTACAAGCAATGCCATGAGCCTGAACACACCTCCTTTGTGTTTTGACACGCATCTTCTCTGGGGAACTTTGCTTTGTGACAGTTATCATAAGATAATCAATTTAAAAGAAGAGGTGCTTGACGTTGCTGCAGAAACTTCCTGAAGGCTGGTGAAGTGTGGGCAATGACAATCGTCTTTTCATTCTGACTCAGATAACTTGATTATATTTATTGTTGTGGGTTTTCTTTTTTTCTTCAAAACTGCAAAGTAGTGGGCGAGGTTGAAAATCTTCTATGTACCAGAGAATTTGCAAACATATATCAGATATTTTTCACAACAATAATCTTGTGATGTTAATATAATTATAGTAACTTTATTTTATGAATGAGAAAAATAAGAGTTTGAGAGGTTGGGAATCTTGTCCAACTCTATTCAGATCCTCTGATTAAAAAGCACCAGCAACTGAAGGAAAGAAATCAGCTCTATAGTTTTGGAAAAAGCTCTGCAAGTCAATAAATTACAGTGATCATTTTCATTTTTACATCTTAATGCTTCTTGCTTCATGTTTCTCTTTATTAGTTACAGTAAAACCCTCTGCTAAAGTAACAAGAAGAACAGTAATAACATGGCTTAAAGGGCAAAGATGTTTCTTTCTTTCTCATGTAACAGTCTGAGGAAAGCATTCTATTCAATGGCAGCCTTTACTCCACAGAGTCATTCAGGACTCCAGGTTCCTTCCATCTTCTGGCTCCTTCACCTCCTACAGCACGTCCTCCGCACAGTCAAAGGTGGGTTACTGTCATGTCTTATGTCCACCCAGTGGGGAGGAAGAACAGAAAAGGTAAAAGAGGCTGTCTTAAGGCAACAGATTGAAAATGACACAAATCATCTCTACCGTAGTCTAACTAGCCAGTCATGTGCTTGAATATACTTCTGTTAATACCGAAGAAGAGATAATTGATTTGAGAATCTAAAAAATAATCTGCACAAAAATATTATTATCTTAAAACTTGTATGTTCCAGTAATATCTGACTGCCTGTTTATTTCCCCAGAGTTGGCTAGCTGTAGAATTAATTTTCTTCATATGTTTTTCTTCTGTAAGTTTAGTGAAGGCAGACACTGTGTACTCTGCATCTAGGATCCAGCAAAAAGTCCTGCATGGCTGCATGTAATGGACATTCAGTAATTATTTGTGATAATCCCTAAGCCTAAAGAAGAGGAAAAAATCAGGAAAATTCAGCATGGTTTTTTGTTTTGTTTTGTTTTGTTTTGTTTTGTTTTGTTTTTAGATAGAGGCTTGCTGTCACCCAGGCTGGAGAGCAGTGGTGCGATCTTGACTCACTGCAACCTCTGCCTCCTGGGTTCAAGCGATTCTTATGCCTCAGCCTCACCAGTAGCTGGGATTAGAGGCATGTGCCACCACCCTGCTAATTTTGTGTATTTATAGTAGAGACAGGGTTTCGCCATTTTGTCCAGGCTGTTCTCGAACTCCTGGCCTCCACTGATCCACCCACCTTAGCATCCCAAAGTGCTGGGATTACAGGCATGAGCCACTATGCCTGGCCAGCAATGAATTAAGGGAAAAATTAAGGTGATTTTTTTTTTCCTTTTCAGTTCTTGGGAGAATCAGGACAGGTGTGGATGCAAAGTGGTTCATATCAACTGCTCCTACATGCTGGACTTGAAAGAAGACCCTAGGGCCAGTCGGCCTAGGGATATTCAGCTAATTGAAGAGAAAATATGATGAAAGGGTTTTCCTTTAAATTCAAAATAAAAGCAAATAAGTTGAAGGTCACAAACACCCAAAAATGTGTATTAATTATAAGTGCCTAAGAATTCTGCCCCCAAAGACATCTCAGCTGTCCTGGTTTTACTTCCCATTGATCCCCTTAGAAAGTCTGTCCTCATTTAATAGCCAAAGATGCCCCCCTCTAAACCTGCAGGTGAGAGCTCCACAGGTGACCCAAGTCAGAAAGATGAAATTGGAGTAGACTTGGCCATGATGTCTCTAGAGATCATTAGTTTGATCTTAAACTCAGAGTTCTTAAAAAAAGTCTTTCACATTCCATTCAAAAGAGATGACATCTCTAAATTGCAGCCCATGTTTGTTGTAAAAGTCTCTGGATGCTCGGGAGAGCCAGCTTGTTTCTTATTGTGCTCTCCCTGCATTTCCGTGTTCAAGTGCAGAGCCTGAATCACAGCAGGTCCTCAATAAATATTTATTAAATTAATTGATTGATTAGTTACTAAGAGGATGTGATAAGTATGGGAGGATGAAGCATTGAGGAGTGTCTATTGCAATCTTTTTATTTTACTGATGATCCAAATGATGCCCAAAGAGGTCAGGAGGACTTAGTCAAAGTCCCACAGTGAGTCAGCTTGAGAACTGGGCCCAGGATGCAGCTTCTTTGGACTTCCAGCCTCAAACTCAATCCATTCTACATTAGCAACAAATAATGGTGATTTGTAAGGTTTTACTCTGTGGAAACCACATTCACACCTGCCTCTGTGAATGCATTGCTCATAACATTCTTTCTTCCAGAAACACTCCTCCTTGTCTTTACCTGTTGAGTTCAGGGGAGACTTTTACCCCCTCCATGTGGCATTTGACCCTCCTCACTTCCCCATTCCTCTTGATTCTCTCTTTTCCTTGAATTCAGAGGTCTAGTTCTCTCTAAGCTTCCTCCTCTCTGTCTTCTGGCTGGTCTTCAGAGTCATATGCCTGTTTGTCTTTCTCTCTTTCTCTCTCATCACCCTTGATCCTTCAACTAGGGGGCTTTGGCTAAGGTCCCTGACCTTTGGCTAAGGTCTCTTTTTTGAGCAGAGGAATTACTGAAATGAATGAATGATAAATTTTAAAATGAACCGGGTCAAGTAATTTATATTTGCATGCTTTAGTATCTGCTTTTATAACCTGAGTTTAAGCAACTTAAGTATAGTGAGCACTGGACTGAGGACATAGTAACACTCTATGATGACTTGTTGAAACATGACAAAGTGAATGAAATTTAGAATTCTTCAGGTGATTCCTCTTACTAGGGCCTGTAGATTTTTTCTTTCCTTTCATTTTTCCAATTTAACACAAAGGAGACCAAGACTAATCTGTGCATAGCAAGGTCTGCTTGAGTTTAAAACCCCCTCCTCCTGTCATCAATAAGACTGAACAGAGGAGAATTAACAAAACAGGGGCCATCTCTCATGTCTTCTTAACAAGTAGACCAAGATTCATGATCTGGAGGGAAAGATTGGAGAAAAAGTGAGCATAGAGTCGTGATCATTTCTGAATCTGAAATGGGGGGGTCTCAGGACCCCCATTTCTGCCTCTTAGAGATACAGTCTTTCACCATCTTTGATGGATTCCTTCATGGGTGGGACAGTGGGTGGGACAGAAATAAGCTAAAAGGGGAAAAAGGATCTCTTTGTGTTCAGCCTCCTCATTGCAGAAAACAGAGACATCCTGGTAAGAGAGTTGGAGCAGAGAATTGACAGTCCAGATATGCCTCCTTAGGCAAGTGAATTATTATCACCAAGCCTTTACTTCTATTCTCAAAAATGGGGATTATCATATCTACCTTTCAGGGTTGTAAGGAAATGAGATTAAGAACATAAAATTCTTGGCAAGGTAGCTAGCTCATAGTAAGCAATAAGTTGTAGCTGTTACTATTTTTACTATTCTATCTTTTCTCAAACTTTTTTCAATGAATATGAATTAGCCTATTCAATGAATATGTTCAATACTACAAAAAGTGGGTATGTATCAGAATCAAGCTAAGTATTGCTATGCTAACTGCATACTCTGGTTCCTGTAGAGGCAGTTCTCTTAAAGAATTGGCTCCTGAACTTGGATTTCCCTTCTTGTGTCTCAGCCACCCTCCCTCTCTCTCTTGGGAGAACCAGCTTCCCTCTCTCCCTCCCTCCCTCCATTCCTTCCTTCCTTTCATTTTTCTCATCTATTCATTTACAACTTATAATCACCAATTTTTTTTAAAAAATTGAGGTAGCTTGCACCATAAAAACAGCAAGTGGTGACATGGTTTACCTAAACCAGAAGACTTAGACTATTTTAAGAGAAGAGAAAGAACTGGACCAAGAGCATAGGTTGATATTCATTCCTCATCGAAACTTTCAACATTCATTGATCATCTTATTAATATCAAAAAAATCAGTTAAGGAGTCAGAACGTCTCTGCCTCCCAAGAAGCTATTGTCTAAGTAAAGACAGAAAGTCATTAAAAACACGTATTTCCATTTTAATATATGTACAGTGCAATCTCAAGATTTCAATAGAGCTCTAAATTTAGCTGCGTTTCTTGGTAGCCAAGGCAAAAGTGTGTATAGAACACGGTGAGTTCAGTCTTTCTCTTTATCTAGTAAAAAGGACACATGCAAATTATTCTGGCAAGAAAGCTAAACCTGGATTCGCACTGTTACTGAGTTAGCTGTGACCCCTGGCTACTGTGTTCACGCCATTCATAAACAAACCCTAATTCAAAAATAGTAGCTACGGCATGTTCTATCATCATAGGTTATGCAAACATTGTGTATGGGAGGGTGTGGGAGTTTCAGCACTTAAGAGAAATAATTATTTCATTCTAAACAGTATGATTTTGCCTTTGGAGTATCTTGGTCTTCCTTTTCTGGCCTCTCTTTGCCCCTAATCTGTTTCCCATCTCTCTTCAAGCTCCTTTCCACTTGGGATGCCCTCCGATTTTCCAGGGCTGAACACTGCTGCACCTGTGGGCTGCCCGCCTCTTAATTACCCTGATGTTCTCAGCCTTATTAATTACTCTCTAGTCCACCTAGGTAACCCACCCCTGCTGACATCCTCTAGATTCTGCTCTTTGCTGAGTTTCCTCTGACAACTGAGCCAACCCCTGAAGAAGCTGGGTGAGTGGGCACACATGGGCGTGCAGGTCTCTGCTGCACTCTGTGGCTTTCTTTTCATGACCACCTATGCGTCTCAGGCATCAGCTCACCTCTGACCATCATATCACGGTCAGAATGATTCTTGACATGTGCAAGAGGCTTTGCACTGGACAAAGCACTTTTGCACATCCTATTCATACTACTTCAGTGAGACTATGTGTATTTTTTAATCCTGCCATTTCCACTTTATATGGTAACTGATTTTTTTTCTATTTTTTTTTTCAAATATCATTTTGGAAGAGAGCATGACATTCTGTCTTATACATAGAGCAAAAAAATGCTCCATTGTTGGACAATTGGGGCATTTCCAGTCTTTTAAAAGCTACATTACGTTAGGAATTGTATAGAGATCTGGACTCCACATCTCAGATTATTTTCTGAAGCTGGATTCCTCTAAGGGAGATTCTGAGTCAAAAATTACAAAGCATATAAGATTCTTGAGAACTATTTGATCTTTGCCTTATTGGTTTTATTTTCAAGTGGGTCCCCTTGTGGATACTTTAAAAAATATTAGTAAATGTTCTTCTAACTGGATGGTATGAAATAATTCATTCAGAAAGATATAGTTGGCTCTATAGACATACACACACACACACACACACACACACACACTGCTAACTGTAATTCTTTTTCATTGAGCAAACGGTAAAATTTCTAGTCAAACGTGAACAAAAAATGTATCTCTACTCTAATTCTGCCAGAACCTGTTCTTTAGTTGTTATTCTTCTGCCTTGAATATTAATGTCCTTGATCCAGTTTGCCTCACGTTCCAGGACAGCCAGTGTGTGCTTAGAAGGTCTTGCCTTGCTGGGTTTTATACTGTTTTCAGAGAATTGTTTCTATCTGCGGAGAGGGCAGACTTCCCAGCCACTATCCCTAGCTACGTCCCTTCTTAACTTGCTCCTGCACCCATATGTGCAGTGATGGAACATAAGGAGGCCTGCTACCTTCAGGGAGGGCTCTGCAGAATGTTTGATTCTATTGACGGTGACTGTAATTACTCTCCCTGTAGCCTGTGACTCCATGTGTATTTTGTGACACTTCCCGTTGATCCAAATAGCTCATAGACCTGTCCCTAGGGCTTATCTCCCAGGAGTCTCCACTCCTCCCAAACATGCCTTCTTATCAAGTTACCTAGTTGTGACTGGTTTGTTGTTTAAGCATTCATGCATTCATGTGGGCTTTGCTACTCTTTGAGCAGGATTATTTGTCCAGCTTTGGCATACAGGCAACTCTTTACTTTCAAAGTGACATTGTATCATAGCAGTTTTTGTGATGCCGAGAAAGGGCTGGGTTTTCTTCTCATGTTTTGGCATTTCTTAGTCCTGAAAGTGCCTGGGACAGCAAAGTCAGGAGCAGAGTGGGGGAGGGGAGCACCAAGGAGCAGAGAGACGTTTTACAGGTAATAAAGATATCAGTACCGGTACCTCATATTTCACAGGGGAAAAAAACACAGTATGTTAGAAACCAAGAGGAGAATTTAGCCCATAAGTTTGGAAGCTATAACAAGCTAATTTGCTCCCCACAGACAGTTCTGTAAGAAGGAAAGTCGGTTTGGGCAGACGAAGCCTATTTTAAGGAGTTAGAGCTCTTAGCTCAAGTGAAATTGTTTGGGAAGAAACCCCTGGTGGAAACCGGTAAATACTTGCTTTGCAAACACCACCTCCAGCCAGCTGTTTGCTTGGAGCTGACAGGGACACGCTTAGGGGCAGCCTCCCAGCTGCCGAGTGGCCACTTGGAGCTGGGAGGAAAGGGTTAAAGTAATTGAGAATTTGTTGGCTTCTGCGGGGAAGCTGAAGGGAAAACCACACAGAGGAACTCATGAGCCCTCATGAAAGTTTAATTCGATTTCGTGAAAGGAGAACAACTTGTATCTGGGCGTGCTGTGTTTAATATTAAAGCAAGAATGAGCTTCTAAGACAGGAATGGAGCCGGGTAAAACCGTAATCCCACAGATGGATCGTGTTTGTGTGTGCGTGTGTGTGTGTATGTGTGTGTGTGTGTGTCTTGGGGAGGTAGAGAGACAGAGCTCCAGTCAAAGTGTTGGAGGGAGGATCAGCCCCAGGGTCTGGGGCATGGGAGGATCTGGCTCAGGCCTTCTAGTCACAAAAGGCCTCAAATGTAGCCTTTTTCCCAAATGGTGCTTAATGAACATTCACAGGGACAGCTTGACAGAACAGATAAAAGTCGATTTCCTTAAATGAACTTTAAAACTTGCCATCAGGCCTCAGGGCCTGGCATGCACGCAGAATTTATATTTTAAAATAGATTATATAATTATACTATATAAACCAGTTATGTGTCTTTGCATTTGTTTTTGATGCTGGAAGTGTTGATTTATTGAAAGTAAACACTTAAAACAGACCACAACTTTGGTAAACCTGTTGTGATGTTTTTTCATCTTTTTACTATAATCAGAAACTCAAATGGGAAAAAGCCAGGGCTGCTAAGAGGCCTTGTTTGAACCTGAACACAAATAACAACCACAATAATAATAAAGGTAATTGATATTAATAATGATAATTATTATTACTACTAGTTAGAGGGTCCTATGAGCCAGTAAGAGCTGGACTCTATTGTGGGTGCTATAATACATCAGCCTCATATGTAAAGCCTACTTTCTGAAGCCTGCCACATACTGAACAGTAGGTAGGGGTTGTGGGCCACTTTCAAATATGCACAGTCACTTTTTTTCCTACCAGGTGTGTTTTTTGCTTCTTAGGAATCAGCTGTGTTTGTTCCCAAACCAGTTTATGCCGGTTGTCCTTACAATCAAATGTTTAATTAGGAGAGAATGTGATCAAATATGATGGCAAGAAAAAAGTTGCTATTATTATGAATTCCAAGCTGGAAGCTTTGGAAAGAATTTATTGGGCTCTTACTATAAACTGAGCTCTCTTCTGAGAACTTGTGTGCATGATCCCCTTTCTCATTATTATAACCATTCCAGAATTCAGACAGTGGTATACTTACTGCAATGATGATCACAGTGAAGCTCAGAGAGCTTAGGTAACTTACTCGAGGTTACACACCTAATGAGGGGTGGAACCACAATATGAACCAAGGCTGTCAGACTCCAAAGCCTGTGTGCTTCACCCCAGACTGCAGAGCTCAGCCCCATCTATGCTTAACACTGCATTAGGTTTGCCAGGTAGTGGTGAAAAAGATACAAGTCTTTGTCCTTGAGTAGCTCAGAGTCCTACCGGGCAGGTGGACGAGTAAACAGACCATGACAATAAAGTTGAGGTCGATGCTGTGAGAAGGAGAGACCTGGGACTCAACAGGAAGGCAGACTTGCAGCATCTTACCCAAGCTTGGCAGTGGGAACCAGGAAAGCTTCTGGAAGCAGGGATCCTGGGCTGAGTCTTAAAGAATAAGCAAGCAGATAGCAGGCCTGTGTGCTACAGATTCTACCCTGGATCACAGCAGCCCACTTGGTTAGAGCTTTTCCCCTGTGCAACTCTGTCCTCACAGCTCAGCCTGGCCAGGTACCCTGATCACCTGATGGAATGATGAAGAAAGCAGATGGGAGCCCAGCATCCCTACATCCCCATGCCTGTGGGTCTGGATGACATTGTTGCCCCAAGGCCTCCCCAAGTTTCATTCTGATTTTCTGCAAGGTAAATAGGGCCCTGTCAAAAACCTAGAATTTGCTGACCTTGCCTCGTTCATCAGTTTAAAGGCGACAAGTGAAGGCGGGTAGGAGGGGGCTGGGTGGAGGCTCCCGGGACTCTTCTGGGCTCATTTGAAGTGGGAAATGCTAAGTCTGCCATATTTAGTGGCAGGCCTGGGAGTGTAGTTGAAATCACAGAAGCAGCACTTCCCCTTGACTCTGCCATGCCCTTTAACACTGCCTCTGGGCCTTGCTAAGTGGTGGCTCCCTCCTCACCATGGACAGGGGCCAAGGGACCAGCAAAGATTCTCAGACAGCTCCTTGCCTGCCACGCCTGTGGATTTCTCTCCTTTTCCTCCCTCTTACTTTGAAAGCTATTGGCTTTCTTCATGTGGGGTCTCTAAAGGTTCTTTGGGGGCTGTGAAAAACCTGTTCAAAAGGGAGCACTGGTGAGAGAGGACAGGAGGAAGGAACAGCCTCTAATGGAACCCGAAGTCTCAGTAAATGCCTGTGGGCCCCCAGACCTCATTCCCCTATTGTCAGCTGCCTTTTAAGAGACAAAATCTTGATGACTGGTCAAGATGGCTAATTGGAAGTTATCCCCTTACACAACATTCTTGGACTAAAAGCTTTCTCAGTTCTTTGAGACTGTGGCTTTCACAGATGTCAATTTGATCCTTTGATTATGTTTGAGCTCAGCACCAGGTCTCCTGGGAATTGCTGAGTACCTTGCCCATTTCTTCGGGGCCTGGCAACAGCTGGGATTTAAATCTGCCAGTGAAGATGTTTTCTTCTCCACCTACTAGCATCTGATCAAAGTCTTGGTCCATCAATTACTAAAAATAATAGTAATAAATAAATAAATAATAGTAATAATAAAATAATAAAAGCTGCAGAATCAACACTTAAAAAAAACTCTTCTCCTTGCCATTTCAGGATGTCTAATTAATGATGTGAGTGGGTAATTTGCTGCAGTGCTCACTGATTAATTTATCAAATGCCGAAGCCTTTCCCGTATGCCTCTCAGTCCAATTAGTTAAGCGTTAGATGTGACAGGCAAGGCAGTGTCTCTAGGAAACCCCCTGCCTCTCCTGATCGTGGTCTCCCTGCTTTGAACATCCCCTGTGGCTCAATTTCTCTCCCTATTACTCCTGGGTGAATAGCCCACAGTTGGTTCCTAAGTACCCAGCACATCCCACCCTCTCTGTCATGAGTGGTTCAAAGCAGGCTGTAGCTCAGGACAAAGCCACAAACTCATGAGATGTCTCAGAAGGGCCACAGCCACTGATTCCCTGATGCTACTCCTCAGCCCACAACTTGATTAGACTCAGTGTAGCTCTTTACAACAGACCCACTTATGTTGTTCTCTAATTAATTACAAGCAAGGCCTCGCCTGTGCCTGGTGTATTGTCTTTTGCAGAGTGGCTTTCACACCTGTTGTGATGAAGACTCAAGGATAGTAATTATTATCATCTCTATCAGAGAAGAAAACTGATGCTTAGACAGGAGGATGCCAGTTGTCCAAGTTCACTGCATCATGGATCTGATTGACAATTTTGATGTGTAACACGCCAACCTAAATCTCTGTGGCAGTCAATAAGGAGCATTTATTCAGCTCACTTTTCTATGTGTTAGCTGTGAGCTGGCTGATTTTGACTGGATCTCGCTGGGGTAGCTTTGTTCTGCTCTGTGAGTTTCTCATTCTCCTGGAACAGAGGGTGGGCCTAGATGTGTTATTTTCATGGTGATGGTAGAGACACAGGAGCCTAGACTTCCTGGCACAGATTCTTATTTCTCATTCTATCGGCCAAAAGACGTATCTAACTGAACCAAATCAAGGATTGGGGAAATATACTCTGCTCCCATTAGTGGGAGGAACTGGTAAGTCAAAGGACGGGAGACATTCATCAAGGAGGGATAAAGAATCATGGCTAACAGTGCAGTCTACCACAGTCAGATGGGGAGAAGAAACAGCCAAAACTCTAACCATGGTTTTGCTCCATGTCTTTTATCTTTTCACTGCACAAATATTTTGAAGATGCCTACAGTATACCAGGCACTTTAAAGGATAGCGCAGTGAATAAGCAAGACAGTTTCTGTTGTTATAAAGGTTAATTTCTAATAAAAAGAGGCAGAAAATGATTTTTTAAAAATCATTTAGTTTTAAAAATCAGCTAGTCATATAGACAATGTAGAGCAGGAAATAGAAATCCTCTATGAAAGGCCAGATAGTAAATATTTTAGATTCTGGGAGCTACAGAGTCTATGTTGCAACTAGTCATCTCATAGCTGCAGCATGAAAGGAGCCAAAGACTGAACAGGTGAGGCTGTGTTATAAAACTTTATTTACAAAGAGAAGTGGGGATAATATTTGGCCTGGGGGTTGAAGTGTGCCAACCCCTGATTCACAGAATTTAAAACAGCGATGGGATAGAAGGAGCAGGAGCAGTGACTTCAGAGTGGGTAATAGAATGGATTCGTTTGGGGCTATGATGTTTAGATAAAAAATTAAATAACAAGAGGGAATCAGTTAGGTGAAAGTCATGTGTAAGTGGGTCCAGGCTATGGGAAGAACTAGCACAAAGGCCTTAGGGTGAGAAGAATCTGACGTGTGCTTGTGTGAAGCAAAAGACCAGTGTGTGGCTGGAGCGCATGGGAGAGAGGGAGAGAGGAAGAGGAGCTAATAGCTAAATTAGTACATGTGGGCTTTATTCTAAGTGTAATAAGAAGTGTAAAGGAAAAATTTTTCACTGGACACTTGTCAAAAATGACAAGATAGATTTTACTTGAGCTACTATAGTAGGAAAAAGAGGGACCTGAGACTCAATGTAGATGTACAGGATTCCGCTCTACATTGTATAATTTGGAACTGAACTCAACTCCAAATAGAGCAAAGATTGCTGAGGAATTTATAGCCAAGGAGCAAAGTGAGGGGGTCATCAGATGGAAAATTACTAACAGGAGCTTGATCAGACATCAAGGGTAGGGGAATTCTTGCTAAACTATCTTAAGAAGATTCTTGCTGAAGGCAGGTTAAGGATTTACATATCAAGGGTAGAGAATGAGGAACTTCATCAGATATGAGGGTTGAGGATTTTCACTAAACTGGGCTTAGCAGACCAAGGTCAGGGTGGGCAAGCCAATGGCCTAGTCAAGAAGATGGCTCAGAGGAGCCAGACTAAAGCTTGGTCAAGGATGAAGTCTTTATTAGAAGTCCCTGTAGGATTTTGAGCAGAGAAGTGAGGTGATCTCATTTATAATTGATCAGATTGGCTGCTATTTCCATATTTATTACAAGGAGACAAGAGTAGAAATGGGGAAGTAGTTAGGAGAGAGGTGTTGGTGACTTAGACAAGAGGTATATCAGTGAAATGGACAAAAGCATATGGGTTAGGAGGTGTTTAGAAAGGTGGTTAATGGAAACTTCCAACTGGTTGGACATAGGAGTTGAATACAAGGACAAATCCAAGATTAGCCCTAGAATTTGGATTGAGCACATGGAAGGAGTGCTGTGATCTTACTGAAATGGAGAAGCCTTGGGGAGGAACAGCTTTGTAGGGCAGGAAGGAATAGAATTCTATTTGGTTCAGGTAAAGTTAGAGATGGTATTAGACATCTATGAAGAGATGTAAAGTAGAAAATGGATCTATGAACCTAGAGTTCTGTGGAAAAGTTCTGTCTGAAGATACAGGTTTGAGAAGCTATCTGTATGTAGATCGCATTTAAAGTCATAGGGATTGCTGAGATTACTTAGGAATAGTGTTGAGATAAAGAAGAGAAGTTCTCCAAAGATTGATTTCTAGGCCATCCTAATATTAGAGATTGGGAAAAGAAGAGGAAACCAGCTAAGAAGACTAAGAGGAAGTAACCAGTGATGTCAAAGGAAAACCAAGAGAATGAGGTGCCACAATATTTAAGAAAAAGGATGACTAGTTGACGGTGTTTGCTGTTGCTGAGAAATACAAAATGATATAGCTGAACTTCTTTCAGCCTCTGATCACCACTTTTAGTGAGTGGTGAGGATATCACTAGTATTTGAATCATCCCACCTATGACAAAGGTACAATATCTGTGCTAAAAGTATAAATTATTTACTAAAAGATACTGGGAATATTGACTCATGATATATTTTAAAATTAGATCCCTGCCTCACACGATACAGGAAACCTTTGTTTTCATAGAAACATAAATATGATGGGCAGAACTATAAATATATTGGAAAATGTAGGAACTTATCTTTCAGATTTTGAGGTGGAGAATAATTTCTTTGAAAATTCTTGAAAGGAACTATAAGAAAAAGAAATGGATTTGACTACATCAAGTATTAATATAAGGTTGCTGTTCAGGAATGAAACCATAGACAAAGTTAAAAAATAACCTGCTAAGACCGAGATAATATATTTTCAAAATATATAACTGACAAACTATTTTGAGCATCTAAATTTTGAATATCAGCAAGAAAAAATTAGGCACCTTAAGATTTTTTCTCTGAATAACAAAAAAGGATATGAATAGATAATTCAAAAAATAGCAACCAAGTATATGATGGGTTAAGTTAATCAGAACAATGCAAATTAAAATGCTAAGGAGCCATCACTGTAAATGATAACTAGTTAGCAAAATAGGCACCACAATAGAACCTGCAGAGTATTGAACACTAGTCCTAATGAAGGAATGATTGGTTTCATGTGATAAGAGCAAGCAGCGCCTACCTGGAGGCAATGCTTTGAGCTGTGTTTTGCTGGATGCATGGAAATCCAACAGACAGAGAGGGATGATTGGAATCAGGAGGTGCAGTAGCCTCCTCTTATCCACAATTTAGCTTTCTGTAGTTTCAATTATCCATGATCAACTGTGGTCCAAAAGTAAATGGAAAATTCCAGAAATTAGCAATTCATGAGTTTTAAATTGCTCACTATTCTGTGTAGCACAATGAAATCTCTTGCCATTCTGCCCCGTCCACCTGATATTTGGATCATCCCTTTGTTCATATACACACAGTATATGCTATCTGCCTGTTAGTCACTTAGTGGCCATTTTAGTTTTCAGATGGAAAAAAGCTACTGTATTCAGAGTTCAGTGCTGTGCACTGTTTTGAGCATCGACTGGGGATCTTGGAACATATCTCCCAAGGATAAAGGGGGACAACTGTAATTGATCAGAAGAATAGAGTTGCAAATATACCAATAGAAATGATTTTTGATTACACCTTTTGCAATGAAATGTCAGTTACCAATAACCCCACCCAATGCCTTAGGGACAAGTTGGGAGGCCACGTGTCCAAGAATGACTCCTGGAAATGGCTAATGTGTGGAAGAAAATCCCAAGGGCAAAGCACCCATTACTAAAATGTGATGTTCTGAGCCATACAATTAGAGATTTTGCAACCACTGAGTCAGTGTAGGGACAGCAGGCAAGCAGATGCTCCACAGTATGCTTTGAGAGATGCTTGAAAGGCACCCAACTTCTCCAAAATCCTGAAGGCATCTAAAACTTCTGTGTTAAGTGTTAAGGCCCTGGCACTCTCAGTTAAATACGAGCAATGTCTAGGAAGAGTAAGGCATGGATCAGATTTGAATTTTGATGAGAGGGGAAAGTCTGAATTTGATGGGATCTGAGGCTGAGGAAAATTTTACAGAGCAAGATTCACAGCTACTGGTGACACTGGGAACTTGGCAGGGAAGTCCTGATATGGGGAGTTAGAGGCTTCTGAAACATGTTCTGATGGAGTGGCTTTTAGTAACAAAACTTGATGAGCTTTAGTTATTCCTCCGTTCCTCTCTCAATCCATTTATTCATTTGTCAATTAGTTATTGAACACATTCTGTATTCTAGGCAGTTCACAGGGCACCTTGACCCTGACTACATAGGGCTTGGAGTCTAATGGGCGAGGTAGATAATACTTGTGCCAACAATAAAATTAAGCTTGCAGCTGTGATTGGGTTGGGGGGGGTCACTGTTCTTCAAGAGTGTGTAATGGGGAGTTTTGACGTACTCAAGGGTATCTGAGAAGGCTTCCATGAGAAAGTGACAATTGAGCTCTACAGCATGGGAAGGACTTCACTAGGTAAAAACACCAGGAAAGAACCTCCATGCAGAGAGACCAGCCTGTACAAAGGTGCTGCGGCTGGAGGGAGCCTGGAGAAATGAGTTCAGGATGTCTTGAGCAAGACAGTGAAGAAAAGGATTGAGATGTACAGAAGAAAAGGGAGCCACATCTCCTGGGGCATTTTAGGCTGTGCTAAGCACATTTGCATTTGTCCCAGGCATAATGAAAAGTCAATTAAGTGTTTTAAGCCAAGAAGTGACATAGTTTTGCATTTCAAAATGATCATTTTGACTGCTTTGTGGAAAATCGCTTTAAGGGGGCCAAGCTGAGAGCCAGGTGAAGGGAGTATGGCATTGCTCAGATAAGAGACAACGATGGTTTAAGCTAGAATGGTGGCTGAAGAAATAGAGTGAAGTGGATAAATGTAAAACATACTTCAAAGATAACATGGTCAAGGCTTGGATATGGGCTGATGAGAGGGAGAGAGGTATTAAGGAGGACACTTTGATTCTGGATTGCTCAACCAGATGACAGGGTAGTTCACTGAGCCCAGGGTCCTGGAAAAGATCTAGTTGTCTATAAAATGGGGATAACCTTGCCAATCCTGCTTTTCTCACAAATTTGCTGCCAAGCTTCAACGAGATAAAGTGTGTGACAATGCTTTGTAAATGATGTGGTGCTGTAGACATATAAACTATTATTATTCACCCACTTGCTGGCCTTAATGGCTCAGCAGTACCCTGTGAACCAAATTTTCTAAGTAAATCTAAGTTCTCACTGGGGAGCAAACAAAATAAGTTAAACCCATCTTGGCAACAATCAGAAAAATCAGGCATAATAAAATCCTTGGGGCAGAAAAATGTCTTTTGCCAAAACTACAGCCCACTCAGAAAAGTCAAGTTCCAAGTTTCCAACTCAGATGAAATGTTTCACAGTTCTACTTCTTCTCATAGTTGGCAAGTGACAATATAGCAAACGGAGGAAGCTTCCCTGATTATTAGACTTTCTGGACCTCTTTTGTCTTGCAAAACAATATTTTGAATGACACCCAAGTGATTCAGAAGTAAAGACTCAACTGACTTACCAATACTGACAACGTGGCATGCATCATGTGTTATGAATTTTTCCTCCTTTCTAAGAAGACATCTTTTAGTCTTTGCTGACTTGGAATGTGATGCAACTAATGGGTTTTGTTTTCATGGGGTACCTATTATTTCCACAGATAATGGCAGCTCTGAGGAAACTCAAGGGCATGGAGCCATCACCAAGTTATGTACATCAAATTTCCAGCCAGATTCATTACTTGCATGAAAAAGCCCCTTAGTTTTTAACAACACTGTGGATCTCCCTGTGCTCAGTGCATCTGAGAACAAAATTCATGCTCACACTAATGGACCATCAGGATCCAACCATTCTTCTTCCATTTGGTGTTCTCTCTCACCACTTCCCACAATGTCCTCTGACCCTACAGAATATTCCTTACCATGACCCATGCTGGCCTTGGCTTCTGGCTAACTTTTCATTCTTCCAGATTCAGCAAAGGCATTTTCTCTTCCATGAAGTCATCCCCAGCTCCTCACCTGAGCTTTCTTAGGAACCTGGTTTTACCTCTAGCAGAGCATATACCACATGGGTTGGGGTTTGTAGGAAGGTAGGCCCTGGCATGGAACCTCTAATTTTACTTCACTCACTCTGTCTACAACCTTGGCTCAGTTACTGTTGTTGACTGTTTTATTAATGGTCCCCCCACAAATCACACCTGCCAATACCCACACCCTTGCATGGGTCCCCTCCTACACTAATTCTGGGCTTGGCTGTGTGAACTTGCTTTGACCAATGGGGCATCAGTAAACTCTGCCCAAGAAGAGGTTTGAGAAGCACTGGTGCATAAGATCTTGTGATCTTGGAATGCTGCCATGACCTAAGAAACTCGCTCGAGAGACCACATAGAGTAGACCTTAGGTGACAGTCTTCATCGACTGCCAGATGTGAGTGAATCCTTTTTCAACATCTCTCCCCCATTGAGCCTTCAGAATAATGCAGCCATTTGAGTGACCCTGGGGAGACTAGCCTGCCCACTTGAACCCAGTCCAAATTGCAGAATTATAGACAAATAAATGATAGTTATTTCAAACCAATGAGTTTGGGGAGTACTGATACACAGCAATAGAGAACTGAAATACCCAGTTACCTGGGTTCACCTCTACCAGAGTACTGACCACGGAAGTTGAGTTTCTAGTAACACCTGACTTTGAATCCCTAATTTTGCCATACTCAGTGGCTGTATGACCTTCGATCAGTTACTCTTTCTTTTTTCTCTTTTTTGAGATGGAGTTTCACTCTTGTTGCCCAGGCTGGAGTGCAATGGCACTATCTCGGCTCACTGCAACCTCCACCTCCTGGGTTCAAGCGATTCTCCTGCCTCAGCCTCCTGAGTAGCTGGGATTACAGGCATGTGCCACCACGCCCAGCTAATTTTGTATTTTTAGTAGAGATGGGGTTTCTCCATGTTGGTCAGGCTGGTCTCGAACTGCCAACCTCAGGTGATCTGCCCGCCTCGGCCTCCCAAAGTGCTGGGATTACAGGCGTGAGCCACCGTGCCTGGCCTGATCAGTTACTCTTGAAGCCTTAGGCTCATCATCTGTAAAACAGGCACAATGCTGCTTACATCAGAAGGCTTTATGAAGGTAAAAATAAATAATGTGGACAAATTGCTAAGTGCAGTTTCTAGCATAGAATACTCAGTAAAAGTAAAGGGAGTAAATATTATTATGTTGAAATCCATTCCTCTTATTGGTCTGGAGCTTCTCGATCACTAGAATTAATCATTAATCAACTCAGTATTCCCAGGCATATCACAGTGACTGGGGCAGATGAAGGTCTAAGTCAGTGTTTATCAAATGAATAAATGAATTAATGATGTCCTTTCTGGTTTAGTTGGGAGTTTTTACACTAATACTCAAAAGATTGTGTTTCTGTGACCTCAGTGGAAACCCATTAGTGAGTGGCCTGTTGGATGAATAAACAAATGACCTCAGAGAGCCAGAGACATGGAGCAGCTACATTTGGCATTTAGACTTTCACCCCTCCTGAATGAGATGGACCTATTGCATGGTTCTCAAACTTGGCTGCACAATAGAACCCCCTGATACCTGGTTCCCAAAGACTGATGTGATTGGTCTGGGGTTTGACCTGGACATCAGGAGTTTTGAAAGCTCCCCAGGTGATTCTACTATGCACTCAAGTTTGAGAAGCACTGCTTGGGAACAGAGGTTCCCAAATTATGGATCCATTGGCCAAATCCATTCCACGACCTACTTTTGTAAATAAAATTTTCTTGGAATGCTGCCGTATTTATTTGTTTATTGTCTATGGCTGCTTTTGTGCTATAATGACAGAGGTGAGTGGTTGTAACAGAGACCATGTGACCAACAAAGTCTAAAATATTAACCATTTGGCTGTTTACAGAATGTGTACAGACCTCTGCTTTGGACCATTGGAAGATCATACCCCTCTATCTTCAGCTTTCACCATCACAGCTCCCAGCACCTCTTACTCAGTCATGCATGGTATCACCAGGTCTCTTTCCGACTCCATGACATTGTTATGAGAAATTTCACAGCTGAGTTAGGTAGTGTGTTATAACTGCATTTCTACATTTTCTATCTTGACCAAAATTTTCTTTTTCTTCTAATGCTTGTCTTAATTGCCTTGTTTGCTTTGGTTTCTGTGTACATCTCACAGGTTGTCTGACATAGTTGTAAAATTCCTCTGGGCACAGCCAAATGCTTCAGATAGTCCCGCCCATATCTTGAAGCACTCCTTTTGCTATCCTCCACACCCTTGCTCTTCTGTGCTGGATTTACTTTTCTGGACCTTCATGTCTTCCCCTTTTTTGGTTTACTCACAATTTTTTCTTAATAGCGTCCCTATTTATGAAATGTCACACTTCCTCATTGCTCTTCTAGCTTTCTTTTTCATTCATTTCTTCATCTTTACTTTTCTGCTTTTTTCCTACATTTACTTTGTCTTCTATTCATATATTGAATTTTTATTCTAATGCCAAATGTTTAATTTCCAAGAGTTCTTTCCTCTTTCCTGAATGTGTTTCAAATATGTTCTTATTTCTTAGGTGCACAGCTTATGTCTCTGAGTACGTTAATGGAGGACAGGAAAAGATATAGGGAATTAGTCGGGTGTTTTACTGAATATTTTTAAAAGGTGAATTAGGAAGCGTTAGATTCTTTTCTAAACTTTGAAACACTTCAGATAACTTGGGTGGCATCTATTCACTGAAGGTTTGAAAGAATTCTTGTGAAAAACTGTCAGAAACCAGCGTCCTCTTCTTAATTTTTGTTTTACATCTTCCCCAGTTTTAGCTCTGGTTGTTGTTATATTGGGGCGTTTTTTCCTTCCATGATCAATATTGGTAATTTACAGTTTTTCAGGAAATAATGCATTTTATCCAGAGTTTCAAACATTCAAACACATTGTTCTCACTTAGCTGTTTAGAACTTCTCTGTATTTGGATACCTGGTCCTAATGTAGAGTGCAGGCTCAGGAGTGAGATGAATTTTTTTCCAAATCTCAGATATTTCACTTACTGGCTCTGTGATTTTGAGCAAGTCAGTCAACCACTATAAGCTTCATCATAATTCTTCTGTATTGTGACAATTAAGCACACAACCAATTTCAAGTATTTAGCAAATCTTGGTGAGTCTTCATTGAATATTATCTCTCTAGTAAACTAGAGCCTCAAGATTTTCCTATGTAGAACCACAAACAATCTTAGGAGGAAGAGCAACAAAGCTTAACTGTACCAGACAAAGTGATTCCCAACTTTGGGCCATTACACCATCTGTTTCCACTGCTGGGAATGATATTCTCCCATGTTTCCACATGGCTGACTCCTTGTTGTCATCCAGATGTGATCACAAATATTCCTTTCTCAAGAGTCCTTCCCCAGGGCTGTTGCCTACAGTTGTCCATGTTGTGCACTGCACAACTGCAGTGGGCACCATTCCCATCAAAATTTATGCTAATGGTGTCCACTAAAGTTGTACAGGCACAATCAGCCCAGTCATGCTAGGTGGCCCTTGTCCTCTCTGACCATGCAATCTAATAACCCACAACCCCATCCCAGTCATTTTTTATTTCTCATCCTTTTTAACATTTATCCACAGTACCTATCACTATCCAAAATAATAATCTCATTTAATTACATGTTTACTTGTTTGTTGTCTACCTGCCCACGCTAAAATGTAAGCTTCAGAAGATCACGGGTTGTCACTTTATTGTCCACGCTGTAGTCCCAATGTCTAGAAGAGTGCCTGGGACATCACAAATGTTCAGTACATTTACATTAACTCTAAGGGCCAAATTGGAAAGAGGCATCAGAGAGGGACAGCAATGAGGAAGTGAAAAATCACAAGAAACCAGTGAATCAACTTTCTCTCTCTCTGCTCTTTGTCTCTGCTTCTCCTATCTTTGCTGCTTCATCTTGTTCTCTGCAGGTCAGCTGTCCAGCTTTGTGCTCTACGTGCTGGGTGGATGATGGCTGCTCCCACACTTCCGAGTTACAGTTCCATCCACAAGGAGGCCACACTCAAATCTCTCTTAGGTCTGATCTCACACTTCAGAATGAGAAATTCATTTCAGTTTAAGCCATCACCGGTTCAATCAGCTATGTTCAGGAGATTGAGGCCATATGATAAAGCATAGCTAACAGTAAGAGGTAGCCTAGGGAATTTCTTGGAGAGCAGAGGTTTTCATGATCTAGATGGACTCCAACATTGCTCATACAGGAGGGAGTGGAGCTGCAGGTTCAGGTAAGAGGTGATAAGTCCAAATGCTCAGAAGTGTTTGTGTGATAAGGATCCAGAGTTAGGCAGCTTTTGGTATTTGGCTGTGTGACATGGAGCACACATTTAGCTTTATTTTTCTTATTTGAGAAATGAAGGCACTGGATTCAATTATTTTTTTGGTTATTCCTGACCCTGGCATTTCCTGAGTCTTGTAATGTGCCAACTCCCAGGTTAATCAGCTCTCCCACTTGCCTTCAACTCATTCTCGAATCTCCATCTACTAGTCCCACTGGCATTGGAAAGGCATAATGGAAAACTTCAACCTCCATACTGTCCACAAGAAGCCAGAAAATTCTGAGAAATCTGAGAACTAGGGGTAAAAAAAAAAAAGTTAAGATTCATAAAAAAAGAGATTGCTGTATTTTGAAACATAATGAAGATCACAAAAGAAGACAAATCAAAGATGTTCAGACTTTGATATGGTTTGGATCTGTGTCCCCACCAAATTCTTCTGTGAAATTGTAATCCCTCATGTTGGAGGTGGGCCTGGAGGGAAGTGATTAAATCATGGGGTTGGTTTCTCCTGAATGGTTTAGCACCATCCCTCTTGGTACTGTCCTCATGATAGTGAGTGAGTTCTTGTGAGATCTGATCATTTAAAATGTGTGGCACTTGTCCCTCTCTCTCTTGCTCCTGCTCTGGCCATGTGATGGGTGTGCTTCCCCTTTGCCTTCCACCATGTTTGTAAGATTCCTGAGGCCTCCCCAGGAGGTGAGCAGGTGCCAGAATCATATTTCCTGTATAGCCTGTGGAACCATGAGCTAATTAAACCTTTTTTCTTTGTAAATTACCCAGTATTGGGTAATTATTTATAGCGATGTGAGAATGGCCAAATACAGACCTCTAGATCAAAATAAAGTGAACAACCTTGAGGGAAAAGAGAAAAAAACTGTAAGGAAAGGTGAACTTAGCTGAAAAAATGATCAAGATGCTAAAAATGGAGATTATAGTGTTCCCAGGTGGAGACACTCTACAAATGGATTGGTGCAATCCTTTCCCCCATGTTATGAAGCTCCTAGCCTTCAGAGAATGTGTTCTAAATCCTCCCAACATCCCCAACTATTATTACCCCATTAGTACCTTTGTGTGTGTGGGTGTGCTTTGAGACAACTTTTCAGATGAAAGATCGTTAAAAACAGAGAGCTCTGTGAAGGCTGAAGATCTGAGAAGGCTCAAGGGCTTAAGTGATTCTGGCTGTGATCAGCAACTGCTGAGATGCCTGGAATCAGACACAAAACTAATTGAATGGTGGAGAGTTGACAGATAATGGAAAGAGGTACAAGACTGGTCATCTGGAGAAAAACTGATGCTTTGATGAAACTTTCCACTTGTTTGCTCTCTACAGGCATGGACTATATTATTCGTGTTTCATTTTTCACCCCTAAAAGCAGCTGGCAGGATGTTAGGTGTAAAGGAGGCATGATTGTATTTTTGTAGAAGGAACGTCCATGTTGGATCAGTGATGCTTATCATGCCTACGCAAGCCTTTACCTCTTCAGAGTCTTTCTTTGTAATTTTTTGGTCTGATATTTCCTCTTTAGCCAGCCTGGGATTCTTCAAGGCTCTCTCACACTGCGCAAAATTCATGGGTGCTATTAAAGTCATGGGTGCTATTAAAGTGTGTGGGATAACACACTGCCAATGAAGCTTGTTTTAACAACATTGACCTTAGAAACTCAATTGTCCTTAGAAATGCTTTAATAGATCCTGATCATCTTCAGGAAAAAGTCCAAATATCTTATCATCACACTCTAGCCTTTGAGAAACTCCTTCAGTTCATCTCTTACCACTTTTCCGTATCAAACCTTGAAGTCCCCTGAATCTGCTATATTTCTGCTAGTTTCTGAACCTTGCACATTCTATTCCTCCCTTTCCAGGAATGTTCTTTCTCCTCCTCCTCCACCAAACTCATGCTTTGCTATTTTTTTTTTTTTTTTTTTTTTTTTTTTTTAACAATTGAGCTCAGATGCACGTCCCCCTCTGTCCTCTCATAAACCACCATAGCAGTCATCATGGAATCAGAATCACGATTCATTCCTTCCTTTTCTTCCATTCTAGATTAAAAGCTGCTTGAGAGTTAGAATTCTAACTTTTTTTTCATCACTATACCCCAAGTTCAAATGGACACACCTTGTTTATTCTAGGTGTTCAATAAATTGTTTGTTGAATGAATGAATGAATGAATGAGGTGATAGGCTAAAGAGCAATCCAATAAGAGGGCAGAAGAGCATTTCTCTGTTAAAAACCCCATTCTCTTCATTTCTTCATTGAGGAACTTCACTCAATCACTGTGATTGGAGCCACACTCTGGATCTCTGAAAGCTACTGCCATTATCAGAGCTTATGTAGGGAAGCCTCACAAGGAAGTGGAAATTCTTAACCTTGGACTCAGGCTGATATTGACAGCATGGATAAAAAATTCAAAATAAATGAAAGAAGTAGCTGATCTTGCCTCACCTGTCAATGCTTACCTTTAATAATATATAAGTCAAAAACTTTACGTGCTGCAACTTTTCTCATATCGGGGGAAAGAAGGTAGAGTTGGGGAGAGACCTATCCCAGCTCATATGGAATTTAGTGTTCCTATGGTTTGAAGTTCAGGTCAAACATTGGATATCCAGGGTCCTATAGCTAGTTATGGAAGAGGTGATAAAGGGTGAGTGTCTGGATGACTAGATGAATAAGCAGGTGGATGGTTGGATGGATGGTTGGTTGGTTGGTTGGATGGATGGATGAATGGATGGATAGATGGGAAGAATGGTGGGAGAAAAGAAGGCACATTGAGCAAGAAAAATTTATTGAACTTGGTAATTCATTATATAATGGAGACAGAGGAGGCTGAAAAGTTAAATATAATTAACAGTTTCCAGCCTGGAATACTAGGAGAACCATGATAAAAACTAGAAAAGAGAGAAGGGTAAAAGTGCTTTAAGAGCACTTCCATGCTTAGGCACAGATGAGAAGTGATTTTGTCTTCCCAACGCTGAAGGATTTATTCTGATTGTAGAGATAAGAGGAGATTTTATTGGAGAAGATTTCCAAATGTTGCATTGTTCCAATAGGATCTTCAAATTTGCTTTCCACATATTTTGCTCTGCTGAAAGGGTGAAAGAACTGAGTTAGTAGTGTATGTGTACAAGGATGTATGAGTATAACCTGAAAATGTCTCAGGTGTTCAGGAAAACTGGAGGTTCTGGTACTTAAAGCTTTCTGATTACAAAACCATAGCCACAGAGAGTTGCAGACATGAGCGTGAAAAGTGGATAAAATCAAAAAGGAAAATGCTTTTATATTCAACAATTAATAGTTATTGCTATAGATGAAAACAGGCAATACAAATACAACACATGAAGGGAACAGTGAAAGGACGTATTAAGTCTGACCATGGAGAGAGGGGTAAGTTGGGGAGGGATACAAGGGGTGAGCCTGTGTCATTGTGCCAGCCCTCCCACAACCACATACAGCATTTGGCAGGACTCCAACTCTGACTCAGGAGTGCCATGGAGTAGGGTTTTGAGTGTGAAAATGATGAAGTCATATAGCATTTGCATTAATCAGAATTCACAATCATACCCACGGGGAATGAATTCACCCCTGCCAACCTCCTAAAAGAATAGCTTAAGGGCATGTTAACATTAAGCCTAAATTGGGGACTGAAACAGTGCCAAGAGGAAAATTATCTGTAATAAACACCATTTGTCAAGAAAAATGGCCCAGAGTGCACAGAAGCAGGTAGACCCCTTGGCCAATGGGGGAACCCTAACTGGAGGATTCAGCAGGTGGTCCAAGAGGCAGATGGTCACTTCCTGAATCACAACCACATGTACCATGGGGATGTGTTATGGGTCACTTGAGAGCATTCTTGTCAGCAGCTCACCTGCCCGCAAGCCCAGGAAGTCACTCAAGTTTATATATAAAGGAGGAGGGTAGATATTGTTTGTCCTTCTCTCCTTTTTTTTTTTCTGGAGTAGGGGAGACAAAAAGAGAGCAACAACAAGCTCCTTTTACAAAAACCAAGGACATTAGCTTTTATTCTTGGACTGACAAAAATAGATTTGGGAAAACATTTTCTGCAACCCAGGAAAATAAGGGAATCTGAATTAGCATTTTGAAATTCAAACTCAAGACCTAGGGGGAAGGTTTGAAATCAGGAGTAAGATTTTCCTAGACAGAGAACAAAGGCTGGAGAGTTGCAGAGGAAGGAGCTAAGATAGCTCCCGGGGATTGGAAAGAGCACCTTTCTGTGTGCTTGAGAAAGGGCACTAGGAGAAAACACTACCTGGCTAAGGAAGTCCGAGGAAATACAGGAAGGGGCTGGAGCCTCAGATTTGAACACAAAGCAGCTCTGGCTTCAAACCCCAGCCAGACCATTCACCAACAGGACAGTATGGGAGTGATTTCTTTAACCTCTGGGCTTCGATTTCCTGCTCTGCAATATATTTACCCTTCGTGGTGTCTGAATACACCATTAAGTCCATGTGAGGCACTCACTTACCAATCAGCACAGAAAGGGAGCCGGGGAGGCTTCCCGCAGAAGCGTGGTGAAGCCTTTGAGCTAAATTTTAGAGAAAAAGTGGTGGCAGCCATGGAGCTCTGGAGAAGGACTGCAGATTGCAATTGTCTACGTTTTTCCAGTGTCCTCTTCACCGAGCCTGTCTGGAGTCTCTGTGAGCTGACTCACCCCTCACCTCCCTGGAGCCTCGGAGGCTGAATTTTCAAGGGTGAAAGGCAGCCCTTCTGTCTCAAAGTAGTTTTTTTTCTTTCCCAATAGATCAGGCAAGCTCATTGCCTGGGGTCTTTAAAGAACAAGTTGTCAGCGGTTAGGCATTTTTCACAATGCCTTTTATTTTTTTTTCATCTCTGATAGGTAACCTTGGACAGTCTAAGTGTCAGCTCAGGAATCTCATGGTGACAAGCCCCTCAGCAGCCTGTCTAAACTCACACTGGGAATAATCAGAGGCAATGGCTGAACTAAGAGGCCCTGGAAGTTGAGGAAGACTTGCTGGAAAGCAAGATCTCTTTGGGTTTTCCATCTCTGGGAGTTTACCCTGACAAAGAGTAAACTCGCAGATGAGGAGGAACATCCAGAGTAGAAGTTCTTCTGGCAGAGGAGGGGCAGCGTATTGAAGAGCCTGTCCACCTGCACTGGCCACCATGACCTTTCTTTACATACCTGAGCATCTTGCTAGGACATCTGATGTGTGCCAGGCATGGGGCTGGGCTCCAGAGCCACGAAGGTGAATAATTGTTGTCTCTCCATCTCTAGGGTTTAGACCGCTATTGAAGACACACACACACATACATACACACACACACGCCAGCGCAGCATGACATTTTTAGTGAATGGCAAGACCAACCACTAGAGGCTGAAATCAGAAATTTGGTTGTCGTCTTTGATACCTTCCCACGTAGAAAAAAGTCAGCCCACGATGTATCTTCTGAGAAGAGGCAGCCCACATGGAAGATACGGGATGTACACTCCCTCTTTGTTGATGTAGCCATAAGACTGAGTGTTTAATGCCCTCAAGGAGAGCTTATTTGTACATGAAAAGTCACTCACAAATTATCTTGATTTGAAAAGTTAATATTGAATGTATAAAGTTTAAAAATAAAGTTGTGTTCTTTCTCAAGCTTTTACTTTCAGCTTATAAATATTATTCTTATGTTTGTAAAAGTCTAGCAAAAATTAACAATCACTTAAAAGGAGACCTTGATTAATATATACGTCCCATTTATAAACTTTAAGGTTTTCAATTGTCTTTATAATTTTGATACATTCTATTTTTAGTACTTTAACAAAATTTCTCATGTGCTCAAGTCTTATCACTCTAATAGATTACATTAAACTCATAAACATAGTGATTCTTATGGTATTGAAAATATTCAAGTACTGTATATAAATCCAGTAAAAATTCAACTTAAGTCCAAATCAATTACTAAATTATTCGTTTTAATTGTGATCACAAAGTTTAACTGCTATTCCAATAAACCAAACTCTCTTAAGTACAAGAATTTCTATATGAGTCATACATTGCTCTTAGAATAATGAATTAATAAAAACTATATATTATTTTTTGGTAAAAGTGTGTCCACAAGTGTATATATGTATATGTATATATACACACACACACACAGTATATATATACACACACTATATATATATACACTATATATATACTCACACCATATACATATATACACAATATACACTATATATACACTATATATATACACGCTATATATATATACACTATATATATATACACTGTATATATACACACACACTATATATATACACACTATATATATATATACACACACACTAGAATATTAGCAATTGTTAATTCTGGCTGGCGGGCTTTTGACTGATTTTTATTTTTTTATTCAAACCTTTCTCTTTTTTCCAATGAATGTGTATCACTTTTTAATCCAGGGAAAGACATAATTTTGAAAACCTTTTTAGGTGCTTGTTCTGAGATGGATCTTAGGCTTGGTCCCATGGGGTTGTCCCCAGATGTCTAGAGCCTCTGTGTAACCTCCTTCCTGGGTCAATTGGAGGCTCAACCCACCTGCTGCTCAGGCCTCATGGTACATGAATTTGATGACTCGTTTTGTGCACAGATACTTCTTGTTTCAGGCTCTAAGGTTTATTATTACTAGGGTTTAATAAAGAGAGGAAACAGAGCCATACTTCATAGTCTGAGCATTATGGGCTATAAGCAAATTCAAGTTAAATTTAAGAAAAGCATTGATTAGAAGCTGTTCCCTCGAGGCCTGCTGGACAAGTTCACTGCTTAACTGGGTAACTGATTGCCTGACTGTCAGAGTGACTGAAAGACCAATGAATAAATGAATAAAAACATGAATGAAAAAATGATTTAGCGACTAGCCTTAAATGTTTGAATATATGTGCAAATGAATGGGTAAAATGACTAATTATGTAATCACCGATTGACTGACAGAAGCAAGGACTAGCTTGATAAATGAATGAGTCAAAGAGTCAAATGACTGCCTGGGGCTAAATGCGTGTGAATAATTAATTGGCTGAATAACAGTCACAATTGAATGGATGAAAGAGTACATGACGGACAATGTATGAGTGGCTAAACTGTTGACCGACAGACTGAGTCAATGAATAGGTGAATGAAAGAGTGAGTGACGGAGTGAGTGAATTAAAGGATTGTCTGACTTCCTGATTGTATGTATGTGGATTAGTTGACTGACTGAATAATGGTGCTTCAGAACAACAAAACAATTGAAGGACTACAATAAATGAGAACCTGACTGAATGAAGGAAGGACATTTGAAGGAGAGAGCCTATCACTGGAACTGTTTACCTTGAGGTTGTCATGCCTTCCTCCCAGCACAGCAGCTTCAGCCCAGTCCTGTGCAGCCACCTCCCTCAGTGTTCCTGGGTACCTGAGTCCCACTGGGCAATGACCAAGAGCCCTCCATGTTGCCTGGCCTAGGTCCCTTTTTTTCACTTCATTTGTGGGTGGAAACTGACCCAGGTTTGGGCATATTCTTGCCCTTAGGATTTTTTAACAAGTCTTGACTTCTCGGGATTGTCCCATGATATCTAAGAACACTGGGTCAGACTTGAATCTCAGGTCATTCCACTCCTGGGCACATTGGAAAGGATCTGGAATGCAAATCTTGGCTGGGGTCCTTCCCAGCCTCTGGTGGAAGACATTGAGACCTTCGATTCTAAGGACATTCTCTGTTGGGTGAGAGGTTCTATGGCACCAGGAGCTCTGTCTGGAGGCCCAGACCTCATCCACCTCAGTACATGGGGGCTGATGATCTGTGCAAGTTTATTCTCAGGCAATGTTTACCTGTTCGCTCTTTTACTGTCAACTCACTTGGTTTGGTCTTATTCCTCTAGCTTACCTGAAGCAGATTAATCCTTAAAAGAGTTTTTGTTTAAATAAACTCTTCCCTAGTGATCCATTCAGACTCAGCATCTGGGGACACAGCCTCCCACCCCTTCTCTCCTGCCAGCTTGAAGCTGCCTCCACAAAGAGAAAGATTTTGCTAAAAGGAGGCTGTATGTATTATCAAAAGATTAGTTAATTGGGAGCTCACTGAATGCCTCTTGTTTATCAGTTTCAAATCACACAGTGGATCTATTTATATTTGTTAAAGGAGCATTTTAGTAGGGTCTTTATTCTTGAAGGGAAGCTCGGAGGTAAGTTACCCCCGAAACTCAGAGTGAAAACCTGCCAAAATTTATGGGAAAGAGGCTGAAAATAGACATAATGTTTATTCATTAGGAGCCTCTCTGAGCGTGTTATCAGCTGTTGGCATGGAATTGGAACATCACCTATGAATGCCAGGCTGGAGTGAGGGTGAGGCTGACACGACCATGGAGACAGGACTTGATGACTGTGTGAAAAATCATCCTACTTGGTTTAAACCTAATAAACAAGAAATCCTAATTAGATGTCGACTTCCCCCTCAGGATTTGCAGAGCAGGCTTAACTTCTCCCAGGATCTTTGCAAGTGTGAATAGTCATTCTAATCCTGGGAATAGGACAGAGAATTAAACCAAGTTTATCCCTCTCTCTATCCAGCGTACCCTTCTGCTTCCCATTCTTGCAATTCCCACAAACTACTGGACTGTAGCTTCACACCTATTTTACTTACCCTGTGCAGTGTCTGGCACATGACTAGTTTTGATAAGTGATTGTTGATGATGTCAATAAATAAAAGAAAGTATAACCCAATTCATCCTCCAAAGCTTGGATCAAATTCCCATCATCATTTAATCTTTCCTGACCCCACTTACAACATGGCACAAAAGAAGCATCAAGAGCCTTAGAGTCAGGTCAACTTAGTTTCATACTGCAGTTCCTGCACTAATTAGTTGTGTGTTTAACTTCTCTCAGCCTGTTTCTTCTTCCTTATTATCACTATAATCACCATCATCACAATAATGACTCCTGTTGAGAGTTTATCATGTGCCAGTTTTGCACATGGTATGGGTCATCTTTTAATCTTCATAAAACTATTATGTAAGTTCTAGTATCTTCAATGTACAGACGAAGAAATTGAGACACATGGAGAACGAGCAATGGTAGTAGCTACCTCTTTATAAAACTTACTGTTTGCTAGCCACTGCTCTTAGCATTTTTAAAGCCACTCAATCATAAAACACCCAGTGTGGGCCAGTTTGTCTACAGATATCCTAAATTTAGCACTGAAATTTCTACATCCTGAGAAAACCCTCAGTCCTGGGCAAGTAGGACAATTGGTTTGCTCTACTCAATTCTCATAACCAAATGTGAGAAAGGTATTATTCCTCCAACTTACAGATGAAGAAACTGAGGCACAAGAGGTTAAGTAACTTTCCCAAGTCCATACCTAGAGCTAATAAATGGCACAACAAGGCCATCGGTCCCAGAGTTTAGCCACTGCACTCTGCTTTCTCCCAGGAAGAAAAAGGGAAATAATTTCTCTTTCATTAGATTGTTAGAGGCAATACATACTCTCTAACATGTAGTAAGGGTATAGTATATAGCTTACTTTTCTGCCCCTTCACTTCAAAACTCCTGCTTTATCTTCATCTTTATTTTAAAGGGCCTCAAAGAATCACACTAGCTGGTCTCCACTTTCTAACTTTCCATTCACTTCCAACCTGTCCCAGTCTTACATCTGCCCCCATTACTTGTCTGAGAAAGACCTCTACCCGAAGGTCATCAAATGGCCCATGGATTGTTTTATCCATTGGTCTCTCCAAAGCCCCCATTCTACTTCCCTGAACTATAAGAGATGGTCTGTGTGTTTGTTAAATTAAAGCAAATAGAAATGAATTGAGTTGGAATAAATCCCAAGGCATTTTACAACCCTGATCTCTCCTTCTTTTTTTAAAAAAATTTTTTTCCTTGGTTCCCATGACTGAATTTTCACATGTCTGAATGCTCTCTGTCAGACTTCATTGATCCCCTTTACCTTTCGTCTTCTTAAATGTTGCTGTTCAGGGTCTTCATCTGGCCTCCTTTGTTCTCGCTATGTAGTCTCTCACTAAGTTATCTCATTCACTTCCTGGACTTAACTGCCATATTTATAATGCTAAAGTTCCCATTCCTTTCTCCTGAATTTCAGACACATATAAAAATGCATTAATAAGAATAGCATAGGTTATGTTGCAATAATAAATAAACCCCCAAATCTCAAAAATTTTATATATCAAATACATATTTCTTGCTCATGATGCATGTCCAACACAAGTCAGTCAGAGACCCAGGCTGGTGGATGCTCTGCCACCTCCAAACACGTGTCCTCCTTAGTCCCTGTGGCAGCAACATTGTGAGCTGGAGGGTTGTGCAATAACTCTCAAATACTTTGGCCTGGAAGGGGCACAGATCACTTCTGCCCCCAGTCCATTAGCAAAAACTAGTCATATGACCCTGCTTAATTGAAAGGATGCTGGGAAATGTAAGAAAGCTCATGGACATAGAGTGGGCAGTAAATGCCTCTGCCAGCTCGGCTGGCTCCTAGACATCCCACATAGCCTTTAGCAAGGTAGTTCAGATTTAGCAATTTTCCCATGGAAGTCAATACCTTCTACCAAACTGTTCCATCTCCTGTATTTCTAATCTTTTAAAAGAAAAGGGTCAATCTCAGCACTGTATCTGGAGCTGTAACTTGCCTCTGCTCCCCTACTTTAGGCCACTTGTGAAACCTGACTTATTTTATCTCCTTGATTTTCCTTGTCCTTGACTTCTTTGAATCTAAGCCTACTTGCCTGTTCCTAACCCATTAGTCTAAATTTGCTTCTCAACAGCTCTTTGCTGGATTTCTGAAGTGTCTCCTATTACTCCAGCTGTTCACACTCCTTCTCTAATTCATCCTTCCTAAGGCTGCCAGAGTGGGCTTTGTTTGTTTTTCCTAGAGTGCTAATCCAAGCACACAATGTCCCTGCTTAAATACCGTTAATGTCTATAACCTTTTGAAACTCAACTGGTCCAAAACCTAACTTCTTATCTTCTCCCTCAAATCTCCTCCCCAGAAAGTTCCCCCATCTCAGGTAAAGGAGCTCCATTCTTTAGTTGCTCAGCCAAAATCCTTGACGTTATCTTTGGTTTTTCTCTTTTTCTCCCATTGCACATCCTATCAATTAGAAAATCCTATTTGCTTTACTTTTATAAGATATCCAGTATCCAATCAATTCTCACTAGCTCTCTCACTCTGGTCCAAGCCACCAACATATTTCACTTGGATCAATGCAAGAGACTTCTAATTAGTCCCTTGCTTCTATTTTTGCCCCTTTCCATCTATCTCATACAGATCAGTAAGAGAGACCCTTTCATAAATAAGTCAGTCAATCACTTCAGTGCTCAAAACCCTCCCATGGCTCCAGATATCATTCAGGGCAAAAGCCAAAGACCTCAGGATCTCACAATCTGGATACCAGATGATCCCATCTTGGACAGACATTCGCTTCCAGGACTCTCCCTTTGGATCACTCCATGTGGTCACACTGATCTCCTTTTTCTTCTTTGAATTCACCAAAGTCCTTTGCTTCCAGGCCTTTACTATTCTCTTGGCCTGGAGAATAACCCCAGATCCTCAGGACTGGATCCCACCCTTCGGGTCTTTCGTCACATACCATCTTCTCTATAAAAGCCTTCCTTCAAGGCTGATGTAAAATTCATCCTCTCCCATTGGCCACTCCCTGCCTTACTTTTTATCCATGCGCTTATCACCATCTAACACACCACACGGTTCTTCTTCTTTATCTTGTTTATCATCTGTCTCTCTCAGGAGAAGGTAAACTACATAGAGACAGGACTTTGCTGTCTACGCCTTTACTGATAGATACTTAGTGCCTTAAAGACTGCCTGGGACATAATAGGTGTGCAATATATATATTTTAAGTTGTCCTGAAGGTAATGGCTAATCTTCTTAGTACAGCCTTCCCCTATTTGTGCAATTTCTTTGCTGGCCATCCTACCTTCTTCTTCCTGGTTTTAACCCAGGATTTCTAAATTACAATCTGGACAATGCCCATCCTGCCAGCATAGATACGTTTTAAAAATGTTTGGGAAATACTTCATATTCTTGACCCTCCCACCACCCCACAAAATTGGCTAAGTTTCATAATACATAATGGCATAATGGAAAATTCAAGAAGTACTGCAAAATGTTTAATTTTGTTTCTAAGCTTACCTGTTAGTGAAATCCTTTTAGATGATTTGTAGTAGTATCCTGTGCAATTATAGTTCCAGTGTGTGGCTTTTCTGCTGTATTGGATCTTTTAGTTATCAGAATGTATCATATTACTTATTTCGTCTCATTGTGTTTTCTCATTCTTGAATTTTCAAATGCCTCTATGCTACACGCATATACACACACACCCATGCACACACTCACATGCATGCACATACTCAAGCACACACGCTCACTGTCCAGAGCAAACAACTACTTCTTTCTTCCTTTATCCAAGTGGTCACTTCCTCTATGAAGCCCACTTTGATCCCCTACTCCTCTAAACTACTTTTTTTCTCTCGTGCCTGCATCATGGCCTGGACAGTTGCTGATCAGAGCATCCCACTTAGTTAATTCCAGGTATGTAATCACTTGTCTGCCTTCCTGATTAGCTGTAGCTTCCCAAAGGCATGTGTGGTATCATTTCATCATTATATGCATGGCATGCAACCTGCTACCTCCCACATAGAAGGGTGACCTTCATCAATAGAAACGGCAACCTTATGGGTCTTCTGGAGTTAGGCCATAAGAATCCTTGAAAGCTTCTGCCTGGTTCTCTTGCATCTCTTGCTGTCAATACTTTCCCTTTCCAAATCCGTCCACATCCACCATCTGTGAGAAGCCCAAGGCATGTAAGGAAGCCTTTTGTAGGTATTCTGATAAAGAATCCCAGCTGAACTCCCAGCTGACAGCCAGTAGTACCTGGCAGCCAGGGGATGAGCCATGTTGGGCGTCCAGACATGTTTGGCCTTCAGATGGCTGCAGTCCCAGCCACTCTCTGCCTGTCACACATGGAGACCCCAAGTGAGAACCATTCAGCTGAGTCCAGTCAACCCGCAGAATCAAGAAAGATAAAATTATTATATTAACCCATTAATTTTGGTAGTAATTTATTAGACAGCAGTAGGTAAATGGAATAGTTGTCCCATCCCGCCTTGCCATGCAACATGTAAACAAGCTTGGTTTAAACTTCCCCTTTGTGGGCAACCCTGCTTTTTCTAATGAAGTAACTTTGGAATGTGAAGCACATCCTTTCCTATTCAAAAAGTCTTGTAAGCTCTTAGATCTGCTAATTAG
Source organism: Homo sapiens (assembly GCF_000001405.40). Lineage (NCBI taxonomy): Eukaryota > Metazoa > Chordata > Mammalia > Primates > Hominidae > Homo > Homo sapiens. Next base: position 135,196,260 of record NC_000008.11, read on the forward strand.
GAGTAATCCCCTTTAGTCCAATTACAATGTGGTCATGGTGTACCTCCTGCTAGAGTCTGAACTAAACGACCAGATCCCTCCTTTTTCTTTTTTTTATTTTTCCTTTTTTTTTTTTTTTTTTGAGATGCAATCTCACTCTGTTACCCAGTTTGACTGCAGTGGTGTGATCGCGACTCACTGCAACCTCCACCTCTGGGGCTCAAACGATTCTCCTGCCTCTGCCTCCCAAGTAGCTGGGATTACAGGCATGGGCCACCATGCCTGGCTAATTTTTGTATTTTTGGTAGAGATGGGGTTTTGCCATGTTGGCCAGGCTGGTCTTGGATTCCTGACCTCAAGTGATCCACCCGCCTCAGCCTCCCAAAGTGCTGGGATTACAGGCCTGAGCCACTGAACCCGGCCGATCCCTCCTTTTTCTATCTGTGCAAATTTCATCCTATTTAAGAGCAGGATGTCTTTTTAGAAACCTTATTCTGTAAATACCATCTATTTCTGTTTGGTATTGAGAAGTGCTCCATGAGCCAGTGCCTCAGTGTGGATAAATTGTTGTGACATATTATCCTTTGGCTATCACCCACAAGATACAGTAATTGGCTTTCAACAATTCATCTTAAGACTTCTATGTGGCACCTTCTCACTTAGGTATCTCCCCAAGTGCTCCCACATTGTGCTCTCCTATTTGCAGAGCTCTTTCATCCCATGATGGCAGCATTTCATTTTCATGGTGGCTTGGTTTACAGTGGTTTCACAGTTCAATCCCTAGAGGTCAGCCTTATTTTCTTAAATTACAAAGTATTGGTGAGACAGGGTGTGCTACTTACAGCCCTCCACTCAGGACCACCTAAAGCAAAGCTGAGATTCGGGGTAGGAAGACAATTTAGGACCTGGAGACCAGCTCTGGGGTTTCCCTGATGGATGACTCTTCAGCTGATGAGACCCTGCAAAACATTAACTCCCTCATCTGAAAATAGACATCCTGCCTCCTTATATCCTCAGGATTATCAAATGAGATAAGATGAATTAAGCTTCAGCAAGCTCACTAGATGACCTCTAAGTTACTGTTCGCTGAGGTTCTAGCACAGGGGTTCCTTCTTAATGAAAATTAGGAGGTAGAATTAGAAGTTAAACATCCTCAAATTCACCCTTGTGCTCTTTTGCCTGCATCTTTCTTCTTCACTAAATTTGCAGCCCCTGGAGGGCAGGGACTTCTGACAATTGTCAAACCTCCTCTCCTCCACAGTGCCCCAGGCCATGCCATGCATTTAGAAAACCTGAGAGGGATAGAAGCTTTTCAGGGAAATAGAGTAAGACACAGGGCAACTGGTTACATTGAAAAGGAAATATTAGATATAAAAGAGTAACCTTAGTGTAACTGGGTACTTTGGATTCACCATGTTCTGTGATTTGTGCCCTGTGTCCACCAGAGACAACCACCACTGGCTTGGGAATGCCATCACTAGGTTTAAAACACATTCTGAAAATGACCAATCATTCATTAAAGAATGATTATTAATATGGCCATGAAAAATGCATGACTCATATTTAATAGCAAAACTAACTCTGTTGCTTTTGCCCACTGGTCCTGTTGCTGCCCACTGGAGACATTCAGGTAAGCTCTCACCTTCCCAGATACCAGGCCTCTGGGCTTTCGAAGTCAGTGACCGTGTCTCCCCACCATTTCTCTCCAGTCCAAACACCCCCATTTCTTCATTTGATCCTCAGGTAACTCTTTCTAGTCCTGTCACTATCCTGGACTCCCTTCCAGGGGGAAGTCATGTTTGTCTCTGTCAATCTAAGCACATCTTCTCTAGCAGCTTGTATCTAAGAAAAAAAATTCTGTTGCATAAATACATCCAGGGATTCTTGGTAGCCATGGCTTGCTCAGAACCATGGGGCAGTTGTATCTGAGCCTGGTGAGATTTTCTTAGTGTTCCTAAACCCCAAGAGAGACACCGTGTTTCAGCTCTGATCTGACCCAAAGGTCCATATGAGACAGTCTACTTACAGCTAGACTGATCCCTGGCTTATACAGGGCTTGCACGAACTCTGCAGAGACAAAGACCCAGATCTCTTGCTTACATTGCAGCACTGAATGAAAAATCAGAGGGAGGGAGGGCATGATTGGAGGGAAAAGAAAAGAAGGAAGGAAGAAAGAAGAAAGGAAGGAAGGAAAGAACAAAGAAGGGAGGGAGGGAAAGATGGAGAAAGGGAGGAAAGAAATCCTATTTTTTTCTGGAGTGTCTTCCACATTTTAAAGGCTCGCAGGATGATTCTGAAGATGAAAGACCATCAGTCATTACAATATTCATTGCACAGGATTTTACTGGGTGTCTACACTGTGCCAAGCACTGTGCTAGTCATCATGTACATCAACATTTTAGTTATCCATAGACATAAACAAATGGAGCTCCCACCCTAGGATCCGATATAGTACAGAAAATAGACAGGAAATAAAATTATGACAAAGGAAACAGTAACACACACTAGCAGCAATGAAGCAATTATATGATACCAAACTGTGCTGCTGTTGCTTTGCAGAGGACTTAATGGTCTTACCAGGAAATGAGTTTCCTCCATCCTCCCCACACTCAGTCAGCCATGGCCTCCCAGGTATTGACAGTGAAGCCAAGGACCAGTCTGGTTTGTAGTTATTAGGAAATGTCGCAAAGCTCGTGGTACTTGCAGCCATATCAGGCATAGGTGATGGATACAAGATGAATATGCATTCTGGTTTACCCAGGACAGACATGGTTTACACCTGCTTTCCCAGTGTAATTCTTAATAGTATACTCTGTCACTCTCAAATGTGTCCCAACATGGATGGTAAATTATATGGTCACCCCAGTGATAAAATATAATCTCAATCCCAGCTTCCCTTCAAGAAGAAAACTTTCCCAAATTTTATACAGCCTAAATCACATTTTATATCCAACACTTTTCCTAATTTCCTACTTGTTCTGACCCTTTCCATCATTATTGCAAATGACATCCTATCATCAACAATGGAGGTAGTGGCTGATAGTGATTAGAAGCCAGGAGTGTTTAATTTTATTTTTTTATAGATTGTGTGCATAATTGCCCTTCTGTGGACACTTACCACCCTGCGATTTGGAGCCCCCAACAATCAGTGTCAGGTGTGTGTGACTTTGAAGGTGTGCCACACTTTGAAGCACCAAGGTCCTGCTTAGATTCATCCTTGTCTTCTAGAGTGAGTTCTCGCCCAGATGAAAAAAAAAAAAATGCCAGTATTAAATAATCCCCAGTGAGCAAATATGAGGAAACTCGGACTTTCTCAAGGGCCCCAATCACAAAGGGAGTCAGAAAAACATCCTAAGACAAAGAAACATTCCAAATTAATAAGACAAAAAATCCTCAGACTGTGTCAGAAAATGTCACAATAAAAAGGGGACAAAGGGGAATGCAAGGTAAATTGGTGAAGTGGGTTTGAGACACCTAATTTCCTAAAGAAGAGCAGGATAGTATAGAGGTTTTAATCATTATAAAGATATATCCAAAGGGATAAAGAAGAAAAGGAATTGCAGCAGCAAAGCCAACTATTTCTTCCCCATGTGTACCCATCTTGGATCATCCACTTCCCACAGTTCTGGGACCCCTGTTTGTATGGGCACTGGAAGCCACTCCTAACTGGTCACACCTGGTTGGACCAAAGGTGGACGAGTGACCCCAGACAAATCAAGCCACCAACTACCGACTGGGTTGAGCTGATCCTTCCCTTTTGTACATGCATTCTCTCTCTCTCTCTCTCTTTTTCATCATAATTTGAGCTATGTGATACATCCACAAAGTTAGGCAGTATTAGATGCTTGCATTGTAAGATCATGAGGAATCAGGGTGACAATTTCAACCTTCTGCTTCCTCAACCAAGAAAATCAGAGACAAGTCACTATGATGACCCCCCGTAATAGAAAGTTGCTCCTAGTTCCTTGTGAAACTTTCAGCCTGAGTGTGTGAGTTGAATATTTTTTAATTTGGGAGGGGGGTTGTTATTTATAGGTTTCTGTTTCTTACAACCAAGAAATCTCTAACAGAAAGAGGAAGGCAGATCAAAGTAGGTTTGAAATGTCAAAAAGCTACAGTAAAGTTGCCCTATGCATTACTTTACCTCAATTCCACGGCGTTTTTCCTTTTTAAACTTCCCCAACAGACTCCAGAAAAATACTGACTCCTCCTCCTAGGGAGAAGATAGGACATCAACCAGTGAAAGGGAACCTGTCTTGGCAAAATGGTCCTTCTTGACAGTTCTTGAATCCAGGACAGCTTTTGAGGTCTGATCTCACTCAAGAAAGCATTCCGCTCCATGCAGTAGTGATGAAGGCGAGCAGGCGTGTGAAGATTGTAATTTTGGCCAGTGTGGGAGCAGACACAAAGACTGGGAACCGTAGGAAGCAGAAGACTTGTATGAAGCACAAAGAAATGAGGAGCTAGATTCAAGCACTGTTTTGAAGACTTTTATGTTTGCTGGCCGAGAATCATTATCAGTTACTTATTGAGGAAGGCAGAGAGCAGAACTCATTATCTGTCCCATATATAAAGAGAAGAAACTGTGTATAGTTCTATTCCACAATGTAGGTTCAGTCTGTCTCCATACATTATTTATTTTCATAAATTCATGAGTTAAGAACCCCTCCAAGCTGTGACTAAGTGAAGGTATTGCTCTGTCTAGGTAGCTGGGTACAACCACTGCAGTCATTATTGTGGGACCCCCAGGGAGAAGGCTGAGCTCCTTACCGTGGACAGCCTTGGTTGAGCTATTTATGTGGTTGACCATCCAGAAGGGAGGTAGAAACCAAACACAGAGTTCCTTTCCTTTTACTAAACCACAATGGCAAACGTGTAGATGGAAATTCGTAACTCAATCTGCCCTCCCTTTTTCCACAGAATACAACAGACATACGTGGCTATCTTGGTTTTTGTTGTCTTTTAAGCAAAATTACATTGAATGACTGATCAGGTTTCTGGTTGGTTGTCTTGGTGTTGGCCTACAAATCCTTTGTGGCAGGTGGCAAACCACACACATGAGAGCATGGGCTCTGGAGCCAGAACATCTTGGTTAACTCTAAGCTCTAGTGCTTACTAACCACCTTTCCTAGAGTCACTTGAGTTCTCTGGGCCTGTCCCCACATCTGTGAAATGGGACATTATAACTACCTCATGTAGGTTATCATGAAGGTTCATTAAGTTAAATATGCAAAGCTTTTAGAACGAGTCATAGCAAATCTGTCCAGATGTGGAATGCTGGCCTCCTTGATTTTCAAAGAATGCAGAAGACCTCATATGCCCAAAGCATTTATGTGTCTGTGAGTTTTACCAAAGATCTAGGGACTTAGAGCAAATACAGGTGAGTGTTACTGTAGAGCCCAGTGATCCTAGGAGTGCTTTGTCCTGTTCACTGGCCTCCTGAGGGCCCCAGCTTCATTTCACCTCAGGACTCTTTCTCTTTCCACCTCTTTATGTACAATACTGACAGCAAGGCTGAAGGGACCTGCCCCTGGCCAGGGGACATCTTTCTGCTTTCAGGGGGAAGCCATGGATATTTCTGTGATGCTGGGGAGATACAGGATGGACTCTCCTCTGTCCTTCCTCAGGATGATTGCCAGAAAAAATACAGGACTCCCAGTGTATTAGTCTGTTCTCACACTGCTAATAAAGACATACTCAAGACTGGGTAATTTATAAAGGAAAGAGATTTAATGGACTCCCAGTTCCACATGGTGGGGGAGGCCTCACAATCATGGTGGAAGGCAAATCAGGAGGAAAGTCACATCTTACATGGCAGCAGGCAAGAGAGTGTGTGCAGGGGAATTGCCCTTTTATAAAACCATCAGATCTTGTGAGACTTACTCACTATCACCAGAACAGCACAGGAAAGACCCACCCCCATGATTCAGTTACATCCCACCGGGTCTCTCCCACAATATGTGGGCATTATGGGAGCTACAATTCAAGATGAGATTTAGGTGAGGACACAGCCTAGCCATATTACCCAGTTAATCTGAATTTCTTTACATTTTAGTATAAGCTTGTCCCAAATATTGCATGGGGCATACTTACACTAATTTTTTTTTTTACTTCATTAAAATTAAAATTTAATGAAAACTCCTGTCTTTTTATTTGACAAATCTGGCAACCTTATCTCCCAGGTCCTTCTATTTTGCTCTTATCATGTCATTTGTTTATTGCCTCTTTATGTCTCCGTCTCCCCAGTCTCATGAGGGCAGTGATGGCATCTTTTCATTTTCACATTCTCAGCATCTATACAGTTTTCATCACTTAGTAGATTCTGAGTATGTGTTTGCTGGAGAAATGATACAAGAAGCATCATTTATTATTCTCTGTTTTGCACTCCACCTCAGGTACACATACTCACAGACACATCAACAGCTTTCCAAGCACGTGGGTTTTATTTCATTTGTTGATCAACCTGCAGTGTTTCAATGCGAAGAACTCTCTGTACCTCCCCTCCATGGTCTCATGTCATCTCAGCGTCTCAGCAAGGTCTTGAAATCGTGAAAGGTCAGAGCTCTCCAATCTGTAGTGATTTGGGTCACCATTTCCTTGAGACTTCCTTCGCCTCTTCTTTGATTAAAGCTGTGTTTGCCTCGTCGTCTCCTGCTTTTTTAGCAATTACACTAATTAAGCTAATTTTTCTTTGTTCTCTCTTGCAATTTGCATAAATGGCAAATTTATATATAGTGCCCTTAATTCTTCTATAACTGCTCTGTAATTAACAGGATGCTCAGGCTAAATATAAATAAGTGCAGAAGGAAAAACAGCCTTCTGCTAAAATGCTGATAAAGGCTGGGAGAAAAGAAAGGCAGAAGAAAGAAAACAATTTTAAGCTCTGTTCCTAACCCATTATGCCTGATTGAGACACAGTTGGAGGACGCTAGCTAAAGGTCAGCCACTGCATAGGTATCTCCAAGTGCCCTGTCTCTGGAGCAATTTCAGGACAGAATTTGGGCCATTTGCTTGCAATTATAATAACATACAATTTCTCACGGGGGTGGAGCAGTGTGGTATGGCAGTCAGTGGGGTTGGGTGTAATGCCTAGTTCTACTTCTTACCAGCTGGGTCACCTTGAGCTGAGGAATCACAAAGCCAAACACCTGAACTTCAGGTGCTTTCCTGTCACCACACAGTAGAACACGCAGTAGCCCTGTTATCCCACTATTTCTCAGATGTGAAAATATACAGTGATGGAGATGTGCTTCAAAAACAGTACTAAATCAAGGCATTCATCTACAAATGTGAATTAAAGTAACGACACGTAGCTATACATTAGTCCTTTGTTAATTCGTTTAGGGTAGTGATTACAAAGGTGGCCTTTGCCCCAAACTATGAGAATCCCAGAAGAGAACTTAGGAAACACCATTCTGGACATAGGCTTTGGGAAATAATTTATGACTAAATTCTCAAAACGAATTGCAACAAAAAATTTGACAAGTGGGACCTCATTAAACTAATTAAACAAGAGTTTAATATTCTAATATTCCGAATCTATAAGGGACTTAAACAATGGAACAAGCAAAAACCAAACACTTCCATTTAAAAAATGGGCAAAAGGCATGAACAGACACTTCTCAAAAGAAGACATGCAAGCAGCCAACAAACATGAAAAAATGCTCATCACTAATCATCAGAGAAATGCAAATTAAAACCACAATGATGTTGTCAAGGCTGAAGAGAAAAGGGAATGCTTACACACTGTTGGTGGGAATGCAAATAAGTTCAGCCACTGTGGAAAGCAGTTTGGAGATTCCTCAAAGCACCTAAAATAGAACTACCATTTGACCCAGCAATCCCATCACTGGATATATATCCAAAAGAAAACAAATAATTCTACCGAAAAGACTTACATATTCATTGCAGCACTATTCACAATAGCAAAGTCATGGAATCAGCCTAGGTGCTCATTAATAATGAATTGGATAAAGAACATGTGGTACATATACGCCACAGAATACATACTATGCAGTCATAATAAAGAATGAAATCATGTCCTTTGCAGCAACATGATGCAGCTGGAGGTCATTATCCTAAATGAACTAATGCAGGAACAGAAAACCAAATACCACCTGTTCTTACTTACAAGTGGGAGCTAAACATCAGGTACTCGTGGACATAAAAATAGCAACAATAGACACTAGGGACTACTGGAGTGGGGAGGGCAGGAGAGGGGCAAGAATGGAAAAACTAACTGTTGGGTATAATACGGTTTGGTTTTGAGTTCTCACTCAAATCTCATGTCAAATTGGAGGAGAGGCCTGGCGGGAGGTGATTGGATCATGGGGGTGGATTTCCCCTTTGTCATTCTCATGGTAGTGAGTGAGTTCTCATGCCATGTGATGGTATAAAAGTGTGTGAAACTTCCTCCTTTGCTCTCTCTCTCTCTTCTGCCACCATGTGAAAAAGGTCCTTGCTTCCTCTTTACCTTCCACCATGATTGTAAGTTTTCTGAGGCTTCCCAGTCATGTTTCCTGTTAAGCATGTGGAACTGTGAGTCAATTAAATCTCTTTTCTTCATAAATTACTCAGTATCAGGTAGTTTTTTCATAGCAGTGTGAAAATGGGCTAATACAGAAAATTGGTACTTCAAGTGGGGCACTGCTATAAAGACACCTGAAAATGTAGAAGTGAATTAGGAACTGGTTAATGAGCAGAGGTTGGAAGAGTTGGAAGGGCTCAGAAGAAGACAGGAAGATGAGGGAAAGTTTGGAACTTCCTAGAGACTTGTTGGATGGTTTTGACCAAAATGCTGATGGTGACATGGACAATGAAGTTCAGGCTGAGGTGGTCTCAGATGGAGATGAGGAACTTATTGGGAACTGGAGCAAAGGTCACTCTTGCTATGCTTTCACCAAGAGTCTGGCTGCATTGTGCCCCTGGTCTAGGGATCTGTGGAACTATGACATTGAGAGAGATAATTTAGCGTATCTAGCAGAAAAAAATTTATAAGCAGCAAAGCATTCATGATGTGGCCTGGCTGCTCCCAACAGTGTATAGTCATATGTGTTCACAAAGAGATGGTCTAAAATTGGAACTTATGTTTAAAAGGGAAGCAGAGCATAAAAGTTTGGAAAATTTGCAGCCTGACCACATGGCAGAAAAGAAAAATCCATTTTCAGGGAATAAATTCAAGCTGGCTGCAGAAGTTTATGTAAGTAAAGAGGAGCTGAATGTTAATAGCCAAGACAATGGGAAAAAAGTCTCCAGGGTATGTAAGAGACCTTCGTGACAGGACTGGAGGTCTGGGAGGGAATAATGGTTTTGTTGGTGAGACCCAGGGCCCAGCTTCTCTGTGCAGCCTCAGGACATGGAGCTGCTCCACTTCCAGCTGTGGCTAAAGGGTGCCAAGGTACAGCTCAGGTCTTTGCTTCAGAGGGTGCAAGCCCCAAGCCTTGCCAGTTTCCACATGGTGTTGGGCCTGCGGGTGCATAGAAGGTAAGAGATAAAATTTGAGCCTTTGCCTAAATTTCAGAGCATGTATGAAAATGCCTGGGTGTCCAGGCAGAAGTCTGCTGCAGAGGCAGAGCCCTTATGGAGAACCTCTACTAGGGCAGTTCAGAGGGGAAGTAGGGTTGGAGACCCCAGAGAGTCCCCACTGTGACACTGCCTAGTGGAGCTGTGAAAAGAGGGCCACCATCCTCCAGACTCAGAATGACAGATCCACTAACAGCTTGCACCATGCACCTGGAAAAGCTGCAGGTGCTCAATGCCAGCCTGTGAAAGCAGCCATGGGAGGTATACCCTGCAGGATGGCCACAGGGACTGAGCTGCCCAAGGTCTTGGGAGCCCATCTCTTCTATTAGCGTGCCCTGGATGTGAGACATGGAGTCAAAGGAGATTAGTTTGGAGCATTAAGATTTAATGACTGCCCTGCTGAGTTTCAGAGTTGCATGGAGCCTGTAGCCTCTTTGTTTTGGCTAATTTCTCCCATTTGGATTGGGAGCATTTACCCAAAGCTTATACCCTCATTGTATCTTGGAACTAACTAACTTGCTTTTGATTCCACAGGCTCATAGGTGGAAGGGACTTACTTCATCTCATATGAGACTTTGGATTGTGGACTTTTGAGTTAATGCTGAAATGAGTTCAGATTGGGGAACTGTTGAGAAGGAATAATGTGTGAGAAGGGCATGATATTTGGGAGTTGCCAGGGGTGGAATGATATAGTTTAGATTTGAGTGTCCCAAATCTCATATCAAATTGTAGGAGGGGCCTGGTGGGAGGTGGTTGAATACTGGGGGTGGATTTCCCCCTTGCTGTTCCTGTGTTAATGAGTTCTCATGAGTTATGATGGTTTCAAAGTGTGTGGCACTTCCCCCTTCACGCTCTTCTTTCTGCCACCATGTGAGGAAGGTACTTGCTTCCCTTTTGCCTTCTGCCATGATTGTTAAGTTTCCTGAGGCCTCCCAGTCATGCTTCCTGTTAAGCCTGTGGAACTGTGAGCCAATTAAACCTCTTTTCTTCAAAGTTACACAGTCTTAGGTAGTTCTTTACAGTAGTGTGAATATAAACTAATGTAAGTGCTATGCTCAGTACCTGGGTGAAGGAATCATTTATACCCCAAACCTCAGCATCATGCAATATATTCAGGTAACAAACCTGTATATATACTTCCTTAATCTAGAATAAAAGTTGAAAAAAAATGGTCTTTGGATCTTGGTCTTCATTCTACCTCTGGCTCTGTGACCTTGGGAAAATTGCTTAATGTGTCAAAACTCAAGTTCCCTTTTCTGTAGAGTGGGATACAACAGCCTCATGAGGTTGTTTGTAAGACTAAAGAAATATCATTAAAACACTTAGCATGGTGCCTGACAACTAGGAAGTTCTCAACACAATTTAACTTTCATGCTTGTCAAGTCACATAATTCAGTCCTCACTGGTTTTAGGTGAACAGATCACATTGAGTTTCATATAAGTATATGGGATCCAGACCTAGAACCTTGGGTGGTTCAACCAACAAACTCCAGAAAGACCTGTCCAAGGAGAGACTCATATTTCCCCCAGTCTTGGAGTTGTGATCATAATCATTGTTAACAACAACATCTATGCTTCATTTGTCTTTATTCCCAGAAAAGTCTATGGAGAGTCAACTCTGTGCCAGGTACTGTCCCAAACACTGGGCACACAGAGATGAATGAGACCTGTAACCCTAGTACTTGGGGAGACCAAGGCAGGTGGATCACTTGAGGCCAGGAGTTCAAAACCGGTCTGACTAACATGGTGAAACCCCATTTCTACTATGAATACAAAAAAATTAGCCAGGCATGGTGATGCGTATCCGTAATCCCAGCTACTCAGGAGGCTGAGGCAGGACAATTGCTTGAACCTGGGAGGTGGAGCTTGCAGTGAGCCGAGATCATGCCAATGCATTCCAGCCTGGGTGACAGAGCAAGACTCCATCTCTCAAAAAAAAAAAAAAAAAAAAAAAAAAAAAAGAGAATGAGACCCTGTTCTCCCGGTGGGGAGACATACCGGTAAAGAGATAATTCCAAACTGTGAGTCAGAGCAATGCTAGTCTCAGGTGCTCAGGGAAGGTGGGGCCTCTCCACATGGATCAGTGGCTTCCAAACAAGATTGTGTTTGCATCATGCACAGGTGGTCCATTTCAGTGTGAGAAGATTGCTTACAGTTTCTGTTCTCTCATTTTTTATATGTGCCATTTAAAACTTATGTTTTGATGTATATTTTATATTATGCATTATGTAATGCATATACACAGGAGTTCATGTTCACAAAATTTTTACTGACAGTGGAGTGATATCAAAGGATACAAAGAAGGATTGGCAAAGAGAAGATCAAAGAAATGGGAGTTAAATGAGGAAGGTTTATCTGAAGAGAAACTTGGAAGCTGTAAGCTCCATGAAGGCAGGGACTATTTGTCTCTTGTTCTTTCAAGTCCCCAGGTTGTAGAAGGATGTCTGGTGCATAAGAAACACTCAGTATCTACTTAATGAGTGACCAAGATGTGATGAAAGTGCAGGAGGGGAGATGAGAAGCCTCCTGAAATGTTCATGTGTTATGGCCTGAATGTGTCCCCCCCAAAATTCCTGTGTTAAAGTCTTAACCCCCAATGTGATAGCATTTGGAGATGGGACCTTTGGGTGGTAATTAGGTTTACATAGGGTCAAGAAGGTGGGCCCCCATGATAGGATTAGTGTCTTTATAAGAAGAGGAAGGGACATCTCTCTCTCTCCCCCAAGTCTTGAAACAAGGATAGCCACGTGGGCATGTTACAGTAAGACAGCCATCTGCAAGCCAGGAAGAGAGGCCTCACTAGTGCCCGACCATGCTGGCACCCTGATCTTATACTTCCTTCCTCCAAAACTGGGAGAAATAAATGCCTATTGTTTCAGCCACCCGGTCTACGGTATTTTGCTATGGCAGCATGGGCTAACTAAAACACCACACTTACATGACCTTGAAGTGGCTGTGAACTGAATGAATTCTTAGATCAGGGAAGGAGGAAGCATGTTTCAGAATCAGGGAAGGGCAGGGGCTAAAGTACATAGGCTGGAGATAGCAATGTGCTCAGGGGACCACAGCAGCTTGCCATTAAGTGGGAGATGCCTGTGAGGCTGAAGGACAGACAAGAAGACAGAGTCAGGTGCTGGAGGACTCCTAGGCAGGGTGAGGAGCTTGGACTTCACACTGAGGAAAATGAAATCACTACAAGGCACACACAGGGAGCAGCATGCGTGCCTTTTGGCTGGACACTGTCTAGCAGAAGTGGAGAAGGGAACACCTTCACACTAGCAAACGGCTTTTGGATCCAGAATCTCACTGAAACTAGTTTAATTTCCTCCAAATGTATGATTGGTGGTTGGCTGAGACATCCAATTGTTGTTCAACATGCAGGAAGGTAACTGTTGGGGGTCCCCAAGACCACACCCAGGTTTAATGATTCCCTAGGAGAACTCAATCACAGGACTTAGCCTATAGTCTGACTCAGAGCTATGGTTTATTACAATTTAAGGAGGTAGAGCAGAATCAGCAAAGTGAGAAGTTGGAGGGGTGAAGTCCAGAGGAATTCAGGAGCAAGCTTCCAACGCTCCTCTTCCAGTGAAGTCACACAGAACATGCACAATACCTCCAGCAATGAATGTGACAACATGTGCCAAGTGTCTACTGTAATATATTATATAACTATAGAATATAATAATATTATAATACCAGGGAAGCTTGTTAGAGGCTCAATGTTCAAGGTCTTTAATGAGGGCTGATCATGTAAGATACCTACATGTGCCAAATTCCAGTCTCCCAGAAAGTAAGCAGATGTTCAGCATAAACCGCAATTCTTGGACAAATAGTTGAGGCACTGTGAGTCAACCTCATCAGTTAGGAAAGAGTGGGAACATTCCCAATTTCCAGCTTCCCAGATACCAGCCAAGCACCACTTTGACAGCAGGACTTTTTACGGATGAGCAGTTTCAGGCCTGCTGTGTTAACTCTTCTCTGTAGAGTGGCCTTGAACATTATTATAAAGATGTACCCACCCACATGAGAAGATACAAAATGGAATGTACAAAAATGGGGTGACTAGAACCACTCTGACTTGAATTAGAATCCCAAATTGGCTTTCATCAAGCAACTCAAACTTTCAAAAAGCCATATAATAATGTTCAGCTCCTTAGTGAAATAAGGTACCACTAATGTCACATTGTATTAATGACAGTTAAAAGGGATGATGTATTAAAGTGTCTGGCTCCATCAGGGCTGGTTTGTTTTACCTTCCTGCCCAGCATGGTGTTCAGCACAGGAAAGGCTTCCAATAAACTTTTATTGATTGACGAGGTCTCTTTAAGTAGATGGTCAGCAGGGTGTCTTTTAAAAGACCAGAATCAAAGCTGGCATTGGTCAGCAAAAATTGGTGTCCATGAGTAGACATTTCCAAGGATTCTTGAGTGTCTCCGAGATACTTCCATATTTTTCTTGTCTGTTAGAATTCAAAGACCCATTCTTTAAACATTACATCACTGGGGAAGTACTCAATTTTTTAAAAAAAAAATTGAAAAGAGTTTTAAAATTTTGGTCGGAAGAAATATTTTCAATAATTTTGGGGGTAGGTGAACTCTTTTTTACTAAATTATTTTGTGAGAAATATTTAATGGTGTCAATGGAGACGTGCCTTTTGTACGAAATGTAAGTCATTGCTGGCCCCACAAAGGCAATCTTTGTTAGCTTCTCCAATCTTGGGTGATTGTCACTTTAGCATGATGCTAGGGAAAGAACACAGATTTTGTCTGAATTCCAGAACTGCTTCAACTGCTTGTCATCCTTCATGTGATGTTAGACCAGCTGGTTAAACTTTGTCTGGGTCTGTTTCTTCTATAAATGAGAATAAAAATAATCCCAAAATAGTTTTGTTATGTAGGTAAGATAGAATGATGCAAAGCTTCTGCATAGTAAGTGGTCACTAAATATTATTTCTCTTACTGCAGGTAAACGTTTGATTGTTTAGGATCTAAACTTAAGTAGTAGTTTTACCTCCAAACCAGCTACTTGGGAGGCTGAGGCAGGAGAATCACTTGAACCTGGGAGGCGGAGGTTGCGGTGAGCCGAGATAGCGCCATTGCACTCCAGCCTGGGAAACAAGAGTGAAATTCCGTCTCAAAAAAAAAAAAAATGCACTTTTATACATGGTTCAAAATAATAATCACTACTTTTTCATTGGAGAAGATGAGGTACTCACACTGTGTTAGAAAGATTTGCTGAGGGACAACACCCAGATCTCAGCTGCTTACAGCAAACATTTATTTCTGGATCACATCACATGCTGGAAGTTGTGGTTGGACCGTGGCTGCTGAGGTTCTGATGGGCTCTGCTCCACAAGTCTTGTTCCTGGATCCAGCCTGAAGGAGAAGCCCCTATGTGGGACACACCCATCCCTGAGACTGAGCAGAAGAGCGAGACCAAGAAATTACATGACAAGCTCCTGCTCAGAAGTGGCAAAGTCCCTTCTACATATATCCTGTTGATCAAAGCCCAACAGTAACAGAGCAGGAAGCACACTTGTCCCATGTGAAAGGGGAAAGTATTTGTGAACATTAATATGACCTTCTACACATCCATGTTCTCCCATGCCTCTGCTCTCTATAAATGATGTTTGTACACTTCTTTTAAATGAATGGTGCTTGACCATTTTTCTTGTCTGAATTTGGAGTAGCATTTCTCAAAGTATTCAGTGGACATCATCAGTGTTTCCCAAGCTCATTGGATCATAAGCTACCCTCTCTCTTTTTTCCTGTGCAAGTGATCATTATTTGGAACAAGCTTTAGGAAACACTAGTTTAGAGAACATACATTAGGTTTTAAAAGAACTTGTGAGGTTCTGAGTCATTAAATAAGTACCAGAGACAAATGGCTGGGGTCAAGGGCGGATTCACAAGGCCGGAGATGAACATGAGGAATTCTTTCGGAGCACAACCTGATATGATGGGCCCTGGAGCAGCAACTGTAGAGAAGGGAGGTGGGAAAAGGTAAAACCTGAATAGTAGAGAGAGTAGGTCAGCTATCAACTCCACGCCTGGCTCGAAGTATGCAGTCAACACACACACTTGTTGAATGACTGAATAAATGAATAAAGCCCAGGGAGGCTCAACTGGGTAGGGCAGGCTTGGCAGTGCCAAATGCCAGTTGGAGAACAGGATCAGAGGATTGAGTTAGTTACAAGGGTGCTGTGGAACCTTTATACATCTCAGCCTCACCTCCTCCTTCAGCCATGGTTTCAGCCAGCTTCACGCAGGTGTGAGCTGGCGATATCTCACCAGGGAATCTGTCACGTGTCTCCTGCTTCTTCTCCTGGACTTCTCTAACCACATGTTGGAACCTTGGGCACTTATGCATATACAACCCAGAACTGAGAGAGAGTTAACACCGATGGAGTAATTTTGACCAATGGGGAATGGGAGCTGATGAATAAATGTCTTACCCATCGACCTCCCCTAGCTACTTCTAAGATACTTTCTATAGGTTTCTTGGGTGCTTTATGATGGAGCAACCAGTTACTGTTTGTGTCCATATTGCTAATGCATCTGATTTTGACTTTACGTAGTGTATTACATAGTATAATGATATTATAATACCAGGGAAGCTCGTTAGAGGCTCAGTGTCCAAGGTCTTTAATGGGGGCTGATCATGTAAGATACCTACATGTGCTAAATTCCAGTCTCCCAGAAAGTAAGCAGATGTTCAGCATAAACCACAATGCTTGCACAAATAGTTGAGGCACTGTGAGTCAACCTCATCAGTTAGGAAAGAGTGGGAACATTCCCAATTTCCAGCTTCCTAGATACCAGCCAAGGACCACTTTGACAGCAGGGCTTTCTACGGATGAGCAGTTTCAGGCCTGCTGTGTTAACTCTTCTCTGTAGAGTGGCCTTGAACATTGTTATAAAGATGTACCCACCCACATGAGAAGATACAAAATGGAATGTACAAATGGGGTGACTAGAGCCAGTCTGACTTAAATTAGAATCCCAAACTGGCTTTCATCAAGTAACTCAGACTCTCCAAAAGCTATATAATAATGTTCAGCTCCTTAGTGAAATGGGGTAGCTCTAAGCCACAGTGTATTTATGAGAGTTAAAAGGGATGATGTATTAAAGTGGCTGGTGGCTGGCTGAGACATTCAATTGTCTGAGATGCACGAAGGTAACTTGAACACAGCATTGTATGGACTCTCCCTCCTCCCTGTTCCCTCTGTCTTTAGCCCAGTGGGGCAGTGTGGAAACAAGCTTCAGGAATTATAGGGACAGAGAAAAGCAGGCTGCCCAGCATGGGCTGTGAGGGTCAGGTGAGAGAAGACTTCCTGCAGAATGTGATATCTAAGTCCAGTCTTCTTTCAGAGAGAAGCTGTCTTTCTCAATACTGAAAATCTTGTGGAGCCTGAAGGTGAGAATCCCTTTCCCCCATCTCCTCTCTGCGGCAGAGGAGCTGATTGGATGCCCAGTTGCAATTCCTCACTTCTCCTGCTGTTTTGAAAGGTTCCGATAAGAGGGAAAATATCCTCTCTGGGGAGCCCTTGCCCTTTCATGATTTGCCAAACACCTCTTCAGCAAGGTAGCCAAGAGCCTGCTGCAGCCAACTGAGATTCAAAGAGAAAGCAGATCTAAATGAAGGGTTGGAGTGAAAAGACTGTGTTTATTGTTGCTCCCTGGCATCCTAGGCGATCTTCACCAGAGGAATTTCAGCAACGGGCTCACTGCCTGCAGGCAGTCAGGGAACGAAGGGCTTCTCAGGAGCAGCAGATACATCTGTTTAAATGGGAGAGAGGCCCCAGTGGTGAATTGGGAGCTGTTTGGTGCGCTGCAGGGCTACTGCCCTGAGTATTTCTTTGGTGCTTATCTCTTAGTAATGTTAGTTATGACTAAGTATGAAGCCCATGATTTTAAAAATGAGGGAGCTTAGGGAATGAGGAAAGACCAAAACTATAGTCTAAGCCCTTCATTTATAGTTGGAATCTGAGGTCAAAGCAGGGAAATGACCAACCCCGGGTCACAGAGTGCATGAGCAACACAACAGAGCCCAGTTACCCATTTCCAGCCTCCAAGGCAAAGGATGGTCGCTAAGCTTTTAAGCTCTGGCCAGATTTATTTCCTCCAGAGGTCTCCCGACATTCTTCCAGGCTCCAATATATGCAAGTGTAGAGATCCCAATGACCAGTGTTGGACAAATTATTGCCATAAATCAATTAAATTTCACATTCACTTACTGCATTCCAGTCATAAACTTGGGTTTGTGTTACGTCCTGGATAACGAAAGGTGTGAAGTCGAAAGCAGCATCCAAACAAAACACACTCCGCTCAAATTGGTCCTGCCCTCAAGATCTCACAACTTGGTAGGAGACATAGACTTGTAAATAATCAAATATCACACACTGTGAACAACCCAAAGGTTAATATTTCAGTACAGATATACAGCAGAACAGAAAGCCACGAGGGTCTCCATGGTCATCCGTCATTGTGCCAGATTGAATAGTATTCCACAAAAATTCAGGTGCACCCAGAACCCCAGGAGGTGGCCTTAGTTGGCAAATGGGTCTTGGCAGATGTAATTAGTTAACATGAGGTGGTATTGGATTAGGACAGGCCCTAATGCAATGACTGGTGTCCTAATGAGAAGACCCTGTGAAGACGTGAACACAGAGGGACATCATGTGAAGATGGGCAACAATCAGAGGGATGCATCTCCCAGGAACACCAAGAACTGCTGAAAGTCACCAGAAGACAGGAGTGGGCCATGGACTGTATTTTTTCCCAGGGCCTTCAGAGGTGCCTGACCCCGCTAACACTTTGATTGTGGACTTCTGGCCTCCAGGACTGTAAGAGAACACACTTCTGTTGTTTTAAGACACCCAGTTTGTGGCATTTTGTTGTGGCAACTCTAGGAACCTAAGACACTCATCAAGTTAAGGGGCTTGGTTTTATGCTGTAGGGGATGGCAGGTGCCATTTTAAATATAAGGCTGTCTCATATTTCTATGCTTTTCTGCCCTTTTCTCTACCACTCGAGCTCTACGGCATCATGGTTACCCTCCCCAGCATACACACAACAAGAACTTTCTGGGCACAGCTCCCATCTATGCAGAAAATTGGCCAGGCCCCATCCACAATCTAGATGGGTGTGCTGCCTGGACTCTCTTCCCAGCCCTCCTACCATCCATATCTCACTCAGCCATCCTCTGACAGGAGAACTCACATATTGAGCAACTGTATCTCACTGAACTCAGTCTATCTATCAACAAGTCTGTGAAATATGGTCACTTTAATCATCCCTTCCTATAGATGAGGATGTGCCAGTCTCCACATTCCCTCTACCACACCTCAGGAATCTCCTCTTAGTTTCTTTGGCTGATATCTGATAATCCCATCAATGAATTCATTCCAGATATGAAAGGCTGGCTATGCCTTAATATTTACTTGTCCCAGATATTTACCTTTCAACAGGGAAACCTAGAAAAGTAACACCTTATTCCAGTAGTTCCCAGCCCTGATTCTCATCCTTGGCTATGTATTGGCATTGACTCTGTTACAAAATTAGGAAAAGAAAATAGGTTCTACTCCAGAGACTCTGGCTCAGTGGGTCTGTGTGGGCTCTATCAGCTGAACTTTTTAAAAGTGCTATCTGTAGAATTCAGCATAGACTTCACAGCCACTCATTGGCTCCTGCCCTCTCTCAAAGACAAAGCTGCTTAGAAATGTGCTCAGAACTAGAGAACAGACAGTTAAATCTGTGTAAATTCCTTGGCTCCTACCAAGAAAAATTATGTAAATGCCTCCTTTCTT
Organism: Homo sapiens; assembly: GCF_000001405.40. NCBI lineage: Eukaryota > Metazoa > Chordata > Mammalia > Primates > Hominidae > Homo > Homo sapiens. The sequence goes on from NC_000008.11 coordinate 135,215,569, forward strand.
GGCCTGTAAATCCTTCTGGTTTTTTTTTTTCCAGTACGTCCATCTTTCTTTCTACAAAATTACTCAAAATCCACCTGTTTAATAAGTTCTCTGCAGACCCCTTGAATCCTTGTCGTTAAGACTTCATCTCCATTCATCAGCCTATGTTGAACATTGGCTAGGTGTAGTTTGATGATTTATAACACATTTACCAGGTGCAACAAGCTTGCACAGATTTTAGTTCCTAGAACCCTCATAATAACTCTCAAAGGTGGTATTACTACGCCCATCCTTGTGAGGTCCAGAAAATCTCATTCTGAGTTGGCAAAACTCTTTGTATTAGTCTGTTTTTACACTGCTATGGAAAACTGCCCAAGGCTGGGTAATTTATAAAGAAAAGAGGTTTAATTGACTCATAGTTCTGCATGGCTGGGGAGGCCTCAGGAAACTTACAATCATGGTGGAAGGGCAAGCAGGCATGTCTTACATAGCAGCAGGTGAGAGAGAGAGTGAAGAAAGTGAAGGGGGAAGAGCCCCTGAGAAACCATCAGATCTCATGAGAACTCACTCACTATCACAAGAACAGCATGGGGGAAACCACCCCATGATCCAGTTACCTCCCACCAGGTCCCTTCCTTGACATGTGGGGATTACAATTTGAGATGAGATTTGGGTAGGGACACAAAGCCAAACCATATTTCTCCTATAGTCAGTAATGGGGAGAAGGCAGGTTAGAACCCAGTCTCTCCACAAATCCAATACTCTGTCCATGAACCACAGGAAAGAATTGTCCAAATGCAAGTATAAAAGTAAAACCTCTGTCATGTACTTCAGGAAAAATGTACATCTTGGGGTATTTATTTACTGAATAAACTTTTCCTGGCTGTCCACATGTAGTAGGTCCACTCTTCAGTCAAGGATACCTAATGGATGCCCATTGTATTCTGCTCTCATGCTGCTCATAAAGACATACCTGAGACTGGGTAATTTATAAAGAAAAGAGGTTTAATTGACTCAGTTTCACATGGCTGGGGAAGCCTCACAATCATGGCAGAAGGTGAATGAGGAGCAAAGTCACATCTTACATGGTGGAAGGCAAGAGAGAGCATGTGCAGGGGAACTCCCATTTATAAAACCATTAAATCTTGTGAAACTTATTCACTACCATGAAAACAATATGGAGGAAAGAGCCCCTATGATTCAACTATCTCTAGCTGGCCCCAACCTTGACACGTGTGGATTTTTACAATTCAAGGTGAGATTTGGGTGGGGACACAGACAAATCATACCACTCATTAAGTGCCCAGCACTATTCCACGTGCTGAAAACAATAAAAGTCAGATAAGACTCATCCACTGCATTTAAGGAGTTAGCAGTCCATTGGGTGACACAGACTGGCAACCATAGTAGCAGGGCAGTGCATTGGTGCAGCCATAGAGACAGGCACACATTATTATGGGAGCAAAGAGGAACCTGCTCCAGGAGCCAAGAGAGGCTTCCAGACAAAGTGGCCACTGAGAGTGTTTCTAAAAAATGACTAGGAATTAACTGACAGATAGTGACAGAAGAATAATTTATACAGAAGAAACGACATGGAGGAAGGCTTGGAGTCAAGAAGTAGGGCTGCATGTTTGAGTGGGTGTGCTTGTGTGTATATGTGTACATGCATATGTGAGTATGAACATGTGTGTGTACATGTGAGACAGCAACAAGGAGCTCCCTGTGGCCTGAGGGTTAAGTGTGAGGCAAGGAGAAGGAGACAGGGTTCAGTAGATAGAGTCTTGTGGCCTTTTTCCAACCTCTCATTATGTTGTTTGGACTTCATCCAGGTTGTCATGGGGAGATATAGCAAATAGGAGAAATGGGCACTTTATTATATTATTTCTCTTTTAGGAAATTTCCAATATTCAGTACATTATAGAATGTATTTGTTACTGAGCAATGGGCTCGCTGTCTGATGATATGCATAGAAGTGAATACAATGGCACCAGCTTTTGAGAAAAGAAAGGCTTGATTGCAAGCAGACTGGCAAAGAGACAGGAGGCAGCACTCAAATCTATCTCCTGGAGCTGGAGTCTGGGGGCAGATTTTATAGGCAGAGAGTAACAATGAGTGACAGGAAAATGCAATGAGGTGTGATCTGATTGGGTCATACAGAGGTAGTGCTAGGTCCTTGGCTTCTAAGTTAGTACTGCAACAAAGCAGAGTACCCCTCACTTCTTGACTTGGTCTTTCATCCTTGATCCAAGTACTTAGGCTCTGCACGTGGTTGATTTTGTCATTGTGGCTGGCTTGGTGGGGGTTGGGGAGCGCACTGGCTTTCTCTGGACATGCTCAGGTCACTGACTTGCAACCTGGGGATCCATTGCAACTGAAAAACAACTCACCATTTTGTTACTGACAAAATTGAACTGGTTCTGCAGTTACATATTGATGTGGCAAACAGTGATATACTCACCACCCAGAATTAACATAGGTTAATATTTTGTCCTCTTTAGCTTAGAACTTTTGTAAAATGTGAAACATCAAAGATAGGGTTGAGGTTCCTTCTTAAGGCTTCTAATTCCACTCCTGCTCCTTGGGGACAGATACTGCTATCAATGTGCAATTAAGGATGAAATTTCCTGGGCTTACTTTGAACATTGCACTCCATGTGCACATTTCCACCTAGATTGCCTTATGAGTTTTTGAGACTTACTTAAATGGTAATATTCTGTATGTTGCATTTTCTCACAAAGTATTTTTCAAATGACATCATGTTTTCCATATCTGTCAATACTGATACCTGTAACCCTAGTTTCCTCATTTTAACTAATAAGTAGTATTTCATGAGAATAAATAGAACTCAGCTTAAATATTCTTTTATTGGTAAGAATTTTGGTTGTAATTTTTGTTACAAAGTTTACAATAAGTATTTGGACATGTGTCCCTGTGGTCGTATGTAAGAGTTTCTTTGTGGTATATTTCTAGGTATAGAGACTTGGCAACTAGTTATGTGGATTTTCAACTTTACTACATATTGCAAAGTACTTATACCAGTTTACCACTTATTGCAACGTATTATACCAATACATACTCTCACCTACTGTAAAATAAAATGGTATCTCATTGTGGGATTTATTTGTATTTTGTATAGAACTGGTGACTTCGAGCATCTTTTCAGGTTTTTCTTTTTAATATTTATTGGCCATTGTATCCATTTTTCAAAGACTTGCCTATTCTTTCTTTTTTTTCTCTTAGTTATTTTTTTCTTTGTGATTTGTAAATTATTCATTTATTCTGGACATTAACTTTTGTCCATTACATTTGTTAAATTTTCTTTTTTGGTATGTCTCTTAACTTTTTTTTTTTTTCCTGAGACGGAGCCTTTCTCTATCGCCCAGGCTGGAGTGCAGTGGCGTGATCTCAGCTCACTGCAACTTCTGTCTCCTCAGTTCAAGCAATTCTCCTTTCTCAGCCTCCCACGTAGCTGGGACTACAGGCACGTGCCACCATGCCCGGGTAATTTTTTTATTTTTAGTAGAGACAGGGTTTTGCCATGTTGGCCAGGCTGGTCTCGAACTCCTGACCTCAGGTGATCAGCCCGCCTTGGCCTCCCAAAATGCTAGGATTACAGGCATGAGCCACTGTGCCCGGCTTTAACTTCTGTTTATGGTGTTTTTGTTGAAAAAAAATTTTTACCTGTGATACAAATATGTTCATTGGTATTTTCTATAAACTGTGATTTTTTGGCTCATTAAAGAAATCCTACCCAATCCAGATACACAATATTTTTATATTATTTTTGCAAGTTATAAGCTTTGCTTTAAACTTGCTTGTGTGTAAGAAGGGATGTAATAATGTGAGGTAGTGATCTAATTTTATTAATTTACATATAGTTACTCAATTGCTCAACACCATTAATTGCATAATCCTTTCTTGCCCACTGATTAGTAATTTCACTTTATTTTTCAAGTTGATATATATGGGTGGATTTCTTTTTAGGATCTCCTTTCTCTTTCATTGATGTATATGGCAAATTGTTTGGAAAAATGGTCAGAACTTAATGTGAAAACAGTGGTAATGGTGGGTTAACAGCCTTTGTCACATGATTTTACTCTTTAATCCATCAATGTGGTAATTTGATTAATGGATTTTTCTAATATTGAAGCATTCTTCCATTGTGTGTGTGTGTGTGTGTGTGTGCATGTGTGTTTAAATACCTTGCTGGAATGCATTGGTTAATATTAGGATATTTACCTCTTTGTTCAAATGATAGTGCCAATATGTTTTCCTACTATTATCCTCATTTTTTTGGTATTGTTTACACTAGCCTCATAACTTAGATCTTACAATACCCACAGCAATGGTCTTAGTTTCAACCAGACATTTAGATTCTAGATCTCAGTAGGTCACACCTGGCACCAGGATACACAGAAGGATGCAGGCACCCCTTTTTGGTGACAGTCCTTGTAGCAGCTCACACAGTAGTCTATTGTCTAATCTCAGATCACACAAATGACAGCTCAGGTGCAAGGGAAAAAGACCACACAAGTGGATTTCAGAGCCATCATGTCTTAAATCCCCCACCTAAAATAAGATCCAGTATAGCTGAAACAGCTCCATGAACACAGTCTCTAGAGCCTCACAAGGGATGTGCCCAGTTACCAAGTGGCTGCACACGGGAAGGTCAAAGTTCTAGCTTCCCACCAGGTATGTATGATCTGTCCGTCCACAGTCCTCCTAGGAATGATACAACTTACCCATCACAGAGCTTTCTAATTTTTTTCTAACCATACATTATGTTGCCTGGAACAGGGCTGACATTCCACCTTTATCAGTTGCCCAGGATTAATACTCAGCCACATTTGTCCATTGGGAAAGAGAGGTTTTTTGGCTTTTGACCCTTACCCACAGCTAGTGTACCTTTTTCTAGTTTCTAGAAAAGCTTGCATAAGATAGGAGTTGTCTATTCCAAGAAGGTTTGGTAAAATTTGCCTGTGAAATTATCTTATGCTGTTGCTTTTCGGGGGTGAGCAGATGGTTGACTACCAACTTAATTTACTGAATGGTCAATTCAGAATTTCTATTTTTGTTGAGTCAATTTTATTAATTTTAATTTTTCTGAAAATATGAATTTCCTTCAAGTTATCAAAATTATTGTCATAATACTATTTGCAGCATTGCTTAATGATTGTTAAAATTTTTCCTGAAGCTTCAGTTATATTTTCTTTGTTGTTCTTGGTATTGTTTGACTCGTCTCTTTTTTCTTGAGCAATGTTATCAGAGAGCTGTTTTATCAGTGAACTACCTTTTTAAAAATAAACGTCTTTATGATGTCCTTATTTTCTATTTAATTGCTTTTTGATTTTATCTTTAAGTTTCATTCAGTTAATTCTATTTTTTCCTAGCTTTTGAGTTAAATATGTAACTTTTTGTGGTTTAATTTTTTTCCAATATATACATTTAAGAGAATGTATTTCCCTCTAAGTATTCTTTAAGTTGCATTACTCAAGTTTTAATGCATAATGCCTTTATCATCATTCACTTCTAAATTACCATTATGCTTTCTACTTTAACTCATGAATTATTAATAGTGCTTTTCAATTTCTAAACATATGTTTTATTTGTTTCTTTGCATGACTTCACTCAAGTAAGGTGTTAGCAGCCTATTCTCTTTTACAGCAATAAAATAAAAGGTGTCCAGAAAAGAAATTATGGTGGAGGCCACAAATACGTTGGGTTTATCTTACAGAACAAAAAGAAATAACCTTATTTCATAGATCAAGCATACAACTGCATAGAACAATGTTTATTTACTAAGTTTATTCTACTTTTTTATGGGTATGTTATCATTCAGCCGAGGTTTAGTTACTACACAAAATATGTAAGGAATACAGTTGGTTCTGAGGACGCACTTTATTGAAGTAACAAAACAAATATGTGAACAGCTCTGTGATGGGGCCAGCAGAGAGTCTATGGAATAGAAAAGGATTGCCCGGCCCAGAGATGAGTGGGAAATGAGGAGGGTCCACAGACGCTTCTGGGAGAGGATGGCAGGGCTGCACCTTGAGGAGGAAGCAGGAGTCTACCCAGAGAGTGGAAAATGGTTCTCCAGGCACAAGGATTAGCTGGGACAAATGTGTGGAGGAGGACAGAGTAGGTGGACTTGGCCATGATACAATACTGGCTTGAGTTCTGAGTCATTTCTTAGTGTCTGGGAATCACACCAGGAAAACAAGAGGATTAGAGTATTTGGATTAAGGTAGGCTCTTCCAGTGGTGGTTTGTATGTTGTGTTTCACTTCTATCCGTAATCCTCCAGCCTTTCTGAGGAGGCACACTGCTCCCTTGCTGGTGGGCCCAGGTGGGCCTTCCTTACCGTCCTCCAAGGGATAACAAAAGCTGGTCAGTCTCAAAGCAGCTAAAATTGTTCAGCTGCCTCACATCTCCACAGGTGAACAGAAACCATAGTCCACAGTGATTGGGCTCTCACCATGTGCCAGGCACTGTGCTTGATGCCCTACATGTGTTATCTCATTAATTTTGGAGCAAGCTGGGGGCAAGTCCTGCTACCATGCTTCATATCACAGATGAGGATACTGAGGGTTCAGGCTGTTAAATATTTGCCCAAGGCCACTGCCATGAGCTGAATCATCCATAGGAAATAATTTCCCAATTTGGGGTGAGAATTTTCCCCCCAGATTCATATGTTGAAGCCCTATTACTTCATATGTTGATGGTTTCTGGAGGTGAGGCCTCTGGGAGATTAATAGGCTTAGATGAAGTGGTAAGGGTGGGGCCCTCATGATTGGATTAGGGTCCTTATGAGAAGAGAAAGTAGAGGGCTTGCTTCCCCTCTCTCTACTTTGTGAGGACATAGTAAGAAGGCAGCCATCTGTCTGCATGCCAGAAAGAGAGCCCTCACTGAGGAAGTGAATTGGCTGGCAGCTTGATCTTAACCTTCAGGATTGTGAGAAATACATCTCTGTTGTTTCAGTCACATAGTCTAGGTGTTTTGTTGTGGCAGCCTGAGCTGACTAATACATTTTTACAGCTATTAGGTTGGTGCAAAAGTAGTTGCAGTCGTTGCCATTGAAAGCAATGGCAAAAACCGTGATTATTTTTGCACTAACCTAATAGAAAGTAGCTGAGATAGGATTCAGTCTCTTCAGGCCCAATACAAGAGCCCGTGTCTCCCTCTGTCTCACTGGAAAATAAGAGCATGGGCTCAATCTGTGGGCCTCACACAGGTAATAATGCAGACTCATGAACAATTCTGAACATTGCCCAAAGCTCTGCAGCAGGTGCATGTATACAGCATGGTCTCACAGGTAAGCAAAAGCAACAGCCAGCTCACTGTGCAATTTGTCAGGTAGGACGCTCTCAGTTAACAGTAACAGAACAGCCAAATAAACATGACTTAAACAATAGTGTTTTATGTGCTTTTTTTTCAACAATAAGCTGCCCAGAAGCAGGTGGTCCCAGTACTGACTCAGCCAGTACTGACTGAGCATCTTGACAATGTCATCAAGGACTCAAGTATTCTCCTGTCTTGGAGCTGTCTTTCATGGTGTATAAATCATATTGCCATACATGGTCCCAAGATAGCAATGGCAAAAGCAAAAGGGAGGCACAAGCGCTTTGGCATTTTTTATGTGTTTTTTTTTTTAGTCTATTTTTATCATGGAGTGAGAAGGAATATTTTCTAGAAGTCTCCTCCAAACATGGGAAATTTCTCTTTATGTCTCATTGGCTCAAACAGATTCACATAGGCAAGCTGGAGAGTAAGAGCCCAGTATCTTCATTCCCATCACTGGAAGAAGGGGGGTCTGCTAGGGACAAAGAATAGGGAGCAGAATTGTTGTTGGCAACCCACAGCATCTGCCACAGAAGCTCAATTTAACAGAGTGTTGTATTGCTGTTTGCTGCTTTCCACTTATTGTCTGTTGATTTATACACATCTATGATTAATTTAGGAAGTGAAAAAATTGCTTTACTCTTTAAGAAAGAAAATTTGTTTGACGGAAACACTCTCAAAGCTGAGAGTCAATCATTTATTCAAAATGCAAAAAAAAACATTTACTGAGAACCTACTTTATGCCACGCTACGTACTGTAGACAGAGAGATGAAAATAATTTTTCATATAGATAATAATAATAATAGTGGGTTCCTTTGTGGTAGAAGAATTACAATAACCTCTTTCTTTATTAGCTCTCTTCACCTCTAGGGATGATGGATCAGTACTTATCCTAAACCATTGCACTCTCCCCATTCTGCCTCAGACAAGACATGAGCTGGAAAGACTAAAATGTGGGGCAATGCATGCATGCAGGATTTATCTCCAGGGAATTTATGAGCCAAAGCAGACAAACACCATGAGGTGGTAATTCGAGGAAACATCACATTTGCTGGTTTATTTCACAGCAAGTCCCAAATTTCATAGGTCATAGCATCCTGGGTTTTCCATTGGAGGATCTACATAATTTTACGACTTCTTATCATCCCAGAGTTTACATTCCATGCAGGAAGCGGAATCCCACACCTGTGATCCCCTGACAACAGTCCAGGTCCCAGGTGTCATGAGCGAGTCAAGCAGAGGGAGTGGTTACTGGAGGAGCAAGCTGGCCTTGCAAGGCCTGGGAAGGGTGTGGGCAGAGCAGGGGTTCGGGCCTTTCACCTGAGAGCTGGCTGCAAACAAGGCTTAGAGAGGAGAATGAACAACAGCAACAACAGTAATAGTAAAAACGGCTCTGTAAGAGCACTCAGTATGAGTTCCACACTAAATTATTTAACCCTTACTTCAAACTTGTAAGGCAACTAAGGTATAGAAAGATTTAGAAACTTACTAGAAAGCAAGGGAAATGGGTTTTAAGCCAACATTTACCTGCCTCCAGAACTTTAACCAACACATTGGGATAACACAAGTGCACCTGTTGGCCCAGAATGGACTGTTCACATACATGTGGTGGAAGTTAGACCAGGAAAATAATTTGGGTCAGATTGTCATTTATTTGAGGGATGGCCATGAACTTCTTGAGAGTAGACATTGTGTTTCATTCAATGTTTACTCCTAATACCTGGTATATAACATGTGACTGATAGGTGTTTATTAATGAATGAATGGGTGGAAAGATGTTATACGATTTAGATCAATGGAAAGTTGAATTATGGAGTTTGGACTTCAACCTTTGGTTAATGGGGAGTCAGGAAAGTTTCCTGAGGAGGAGACAGGAGAATAGCACTGTTTCAGGATTGAGTTGGCAGTAATGTGTAAAATTTTCATTCTCATGTCCTATAAGGCACAGCTAATTTGATTGCATTCCACATGGGGAGTCCTGGCTCATCCCAGCCAGCTCAGCCTAGGTTGGTGATCTCGGCCTGCAGGTCCAAAGAGGTAGAGGAGTCTGGAATAGGCAATAGGGAAGTCTGGGAGCCAAGAAGTATAGCCAAATTCATCCTCCTCTGATATCTTTCCTGCCTGCCATGCATGAGTCCACCCAGACACCCCTGATGGCATTGACTTGGGGACGCTCTCCTGGTTCCAACTCCCATTTGTCACCTGGGTCTCCCATTTGCCACCTGGCTCCCCCATTTGCCACCACTGCCATGCATTTCCTGCCTGCCATGCATGGGTCTACTCAGGCCTCTCTGATGGCATTGCCTTGGGGACGCTCTCTTGTCCCAACTCCCATTTGCCACCTGGGTCTAATGGCGTCACTGTAAATTCCCTTCAGATCTAGCTTTTGCCCCCCTGCCTGTTCCTTGGGCTTAGCCCTTTAAACTCCTCCCTATTCCTCACACAATCATAGTCTCTTCTTTAGAAAGGCTGTCTTTGTTTTGTCTGAAGCATTCCCAGAGTTGTGAAATGTGTGCCTGGCTGTCAGAAACAATGATAGGACTCTTAATGTCTTGGTGCTTTAAAATGGATATGGATATTTCATTTGCTTGCTTTTTTATATTACCTTTGAAGTCTTGAAAGACAGGTACCCTCTTCTCACATTTTATTCAGATTGCCATTAGTATAAAATACAACTTAATTGACCCAAATTAGGACGCACTTTTGGAATGGAAACACACACACACACACACACACACACACACACACACACACACACACACACACACACACTGGCTTTAATTTTTCATTTAGTCCTGATTCTGCAGTTGAGGGCAAAGGAGCATGACTTTTGAAAGTGCCAAGGTGTATGTAATTTTTGAAGACAATGTACAAATTAAAAATAAGTTGCCAGCCTTCATGAGTTTTTGCATGTTCAGACACTGTTGATTGTGGGCAGTCAGGTGTATTCGGTGTTTCAGTGAGGCATGGAAGATGGATGGAAGAGAAAACATGGGGTTGTTAGCAAGGCCAGTGTTTGAGGAGCTAGGAAAATTCTCACTTTCTTAAATTGGTAAAGCTATTGGCAATATTTTGCTTCCAGAAAAGGAAGATGAGGAAGCTAACATTTGAGCAGGTACAATGACAAACTAATTTGCCTGCAAATTCCAAGTTCCATGGAATCTGTCCTATTCACTCTTTTCCTCTCAGAGCCTCCACACATGTGAAGGCCCCCTTCACAGGGAGCTGGAAGTCATCCTTCTGTGTAGCATCAGCCCACTGGCCAGTACCAGAATAGGCTTGCAGGGGCAAAGATAAGCCAGTGTCCTAGAAAGAGGCAGACATCAAAAGCAGCTAAGCCAGATTGGTCCTCATGATCACCCCACCTTCTACCCCACCCACCATCCAGATGTACCTGGGCTTGCCTGAGAGATTTCAGTGGGCCAGGGCCCGTGCAAGGGCAGCTGCTCAGAATCTGACTAAAGGCTAGGCTTTGTTTGGCTAATCGAGGTACAGGGTATGTAAATGGTTGAGATATGGAGTAGGGGCAAGGGTTTCAGACAATAGGGTGAGGAGAGAGAGAGACGACAGCTTCTTTAGGGAAGGGAAATTTGAGGGAAAAAAATGCTTAAGGAAGAAATTCAGAAATTTGGGCATTGATGTATGTGATTTATTTCTATTCTTTGTAACCTTAAATAGCCTTCAGGAAGAATATTTTTGAAGAAATCTACCTCTCTTTTCCAGGTTTTAGGAGTTGATGTATGATGTGGCCGAGAGGGGGTAGTTTTGAGGATGTGTATGTGTGTGTTTGTGAGTGTGTCGGTTTGTATTTTCATGCTTATGTATTGAGAACAGACTTAAGTATACACTGGGGCAACCCAAGAGGTTTTAGCTAATCCAGGTTACAGCATTTTACAGACCTCAGAGTCCTTTAAAATGGCACAGGATGAAGGTGGTCAATGGAAAGCCATAACTTCCTCATCCTACTGTACCCAATTCTGAGGACTCTGTTCCTAAATACCTTCTTGGATGAGAATCCCAGGGCAACAATGAAAGTTCCTAACAGGAAGTTATGAGGGTGCTGCTAACAAGGTGACTGTAAAGATTTGACAAATATCTCTCACACGACTTTAAAAAATGGGGACCAGGATGCTCACTAAATAGAGAAAATGCAAGGGATATTTCACACATCCTAAGTGAATGATAAGGGATATTGTACAACTGATATCCATTTACCATTTCTTATTCCTAAGTAATTTTTGTTCCCTGGAGCTTGAAAGAGATGCTTGACAAGGTTTTATAAAATGCAGGTTGAAAAAGCACAGCTTGCAGAGTGATTAAAATGCATCCTTATTGTGTTCTCCTGCCATCTATTTAATATGTGTTCAACCTTCTCCTGCCCCTGGATGAAAATAAGGCAAGTCCATGACTTGTCTGGTGACTCAGGTAACTGGCGGTTCTACAGTCATTTTAAGTCTCCACCACGGCCTTGATTCAGTAATTGAGTGCTCAAAGATATTAGCCCTATATCTCAACCGGATTTGATAGTGAGTGTTCCTCCTTTCCCCACATCAGGTGTCTTTAGGCTAAAAGCTTGTGGAGGGAATGGTGGAGACCTGGGGCCTGGCTTCTCCGTTTCTCAGTTTTTGCTTCTACAGTCCCCTGAACCCCAGCTTCTCAGCACCTTATGACCCCTTGAGGATTGGAGGAAAGGGAGAAAAGGTAAAGGAACAGCACAAGTCCCTTGCAAATACCACCATCATCAGCAACCCTAGCACCCGAGGACCTGGTGGAGGCCTGGACATTCTTGAGCACTTCATGAATCCTACCACTGAGACTCCCCTGACGTTCCCCCAACCCAGATGGAAGCAACTTGACTTGGGTGGATGCTTCACCTTTTCCCTCAGATTCTAGGAATCGAGGTTGTTCATGATGGATCCCACCCCTACTTGGGGCAGCCCTATTAATTGGAATGTCCCCATCCTGGCTTTCTCTCAACCCATCTCAGTCCCATACTGACTCATGGAAAACATTCGCATGTTCCTTGTTCCAAAAAACAATGGATCCCCATGCAGCAGGTGCCCTGAGTTTTACCCCCAAAATGGCACATCAGCCCTCCTCCACCCACTGCATTTCCTGGTTAGCAGTTATATCTCAATTGCAGGGAACACATTCCAAAGCTCTTGGGGTGACCCCATGGAAGACTCACCACACTTGACGTGACACCCATAAATACAATTGCATCTCTGAGGAAACCTCCTCAGCAATTTTCTTTCTTTCATTCCCTTAACACTCTTTAAAACCACCACAAGGGCTGGGTACAAAGGCTTACACCTGTAATCCCAGCACTTTGGGAGGCCAAGGCGGGCGGATCACTTGAGGTCAGGAGTTTGAGACCAGCCTGGCCAACATGGTGAAATCCCGTCTCTACCAAAAATACAAAAATTAGCTGGGTGTGGTGGCACATGCCTGTAATCCCAGCTACTTGGGATGCTGAGGCGGGAGAATCGCTTGAACCCGGGAGATGAAGGTTGCAGTGAGTCCAGGTCGCACCACTTTACTCCAGCCTGGGCAACAGAGCGAGACTATGTCTCAAAAAAAAAAAAAAAAAGAAGTAAAAGAAAAAAAAAAACACAATGAGGAAGAGGAGCCTACTGCTTGGGCAGGTCCTCTGACATTTCCTTCGTAAATTCCATATGTGGAGACCTGGATTTGAATCTCTCATCTGTTACCTCCTAGTGCTTATCATGAGGCTTACCATGAGCCTTCAGTTTCAACATTCTGTTACAAATTTGATTCAAGATTATTTGTGTGCCAAGAGAAACTTTAATTTTTTCTCCCTTTGGTTTCCCATCCAAATGTTCTGTGCCTTTGTGGTTTTATGACTCAGACTCTAAGACACACTAAGTCACAAGATGGAATGACTCACACCTGGTCTGTACTCTCTCTAAAGCTCTAAAAAAAGGATGGCTATATTGAACTAAGTCTGAGAATTCTAGAATTCTAGGTAAAGCAGATTTAAAATGGAGAGAGGTTTTTCATACTGAGAATTAAAGGAAGAGACCTCTGCATTATTCTGGGAATATGGTAGCTATAACCAGGTAAAAGTACCTGAAAAATGAAGGTGAGATACGGTAACATCTATTTCGGCATCTACTATATCCTAAGGTGAATTGCTGTGTGCCTTATATACTTATCATTGAATTATTCAGATTATCACTTAATCTTTAAAACAAACATGCCTGTCCCCTAGCTAGCCTTCATTAAACACCCCCATCCCCAACCTTATTGCTGAGGATATTTTAAAGAATTAAGGTTAAGCTGTCAATGTTTGACTTACTTCCTGTGCTTCCTCTTCATCAACCCTCTCCTGATGACCCAGATCTGGGCACCAGAAGAATGGAAGAGCTGTTGGGGTAATGTGGATGTAAGCAATCTAGGAAGAGTCCCCTTTCAAATCACAGCATCAGCTCAGCCTGGATGATGGTAGAGACCATTAATTACGTCCCTCCTACCTTTTCCAAATAAAGCATATTTTAAGTTAGTCAAGTGAACAATCTGGAAGTTGTTTCTTTTAACATATTTAATTCTGGCAGCTCTATTGAGTGCCTGCAGTGCTGGACGGGAGCTGAGTGTCAGGAGGGATTACGGATAGGAGTCCTGTATCTGTAGTCCTGCCCTTCAGGCATTCATTTGAAGGGGAGCAGACAGTGTTCACATGGATCCCTCAGATCCAGTTATGACAAAGGCCCTTGTGAGGGTAGGTGCCTAGAGCAACATGGGCCCAGAGAAGGAAGCTGCTGAGGAGAGATTGGAAGGGAGATTCACCAAGGGGAGCTTGCAGTTAGAGAAGATGTTGGGATTCAGAATCAAGGATTGTACATGAGGGTTTGTGTATGAGGGTTCTGGGCTCACTTTCCAATTATTCCTGAACTAGCCAATGTCACAAAAGGGAAAGCCAGACACATTCCCTTGTGTCTCGGGGACTTGGGCATTAATTTGCCTGGCATAATGGAGAGGGTATGGAATGTTTAAACACCTTGATCTTAGCTTCTATTCTGCTGCCAATCTGTCTTGTGACATCACACAAACACATTTTTTACTCTAAGCCTTCATTGTCCCTTGAGCTCTCAGCAACCTGCAAGGCAGGCAAGTCAGGATTTATCCTCCTCATCTTGTGCAGAAAACAAAACTCAGTGTCAGGGAAGGGAGGAAGGAATGCTCTGATCTGAGCTTTACAGTTGCCCTGCAAGGTGAGCTATCACCCTCAGCCTCATTTCACAGATAAAGCAACATACTAGAGAGACTAAGTTATTTTCCCCAAACTTGTGCAGCTGGCTTAGGCGAAAGCAGGTGTTTCCAGCCATGCTGGCCTGCCTCCAGACAGTGTGTTCTTCCACTTCTGCTCACACATTTGGAGCACAAAACCTGGGGTGTGATTTTCAGAAAACGTGAAACATCACCTGTTCCAGAGTGAAGACGTTTCATGCTTTAAAAAATCTAATAAGGCATTCTGCCTCCTGTAGCTAATCTCCAGCTCTGAGGCAATGTCACGAGTGGAGTATCATGGAAAAGACCATCGAACTTCGTGTTGCCATGCCTTTGAGAAACCATTTTTTCCCTTTCTAAAGCAAACTAAATATGCCATCAGTGAAGCCTAATTTAATAACCCTTTGAAAAAGAAGCTCTGGCCCTCATTAAAGTGGAAGCCACTTATTACCTTGTCTATCATCATCTGGGGAAGGGTCCCATGACCTACCATACCCTGATTCACCCCAAAGCCTACAATCAAAGCCATCTTGTGCTATTATTCTTCCAAACTCTTTCTTCTTCAAATACTATTACATTTATAAAATCTTGAGTAAAATGACTTTGATCTAGTATCCCAATATAGAAAAACATCATTAATTTAGGTGTCATCAATTCATACAATGTGGAAATCTGGGCTTATGTGAACTGCATTTGCTTTTCTACTTTGTAGTTTTCTAAAAGCCTAATGCTTGCAGTTCCATGAACTCATTTCATGTCTATCAAGTTCTGCTGGTACTTATTGCCAACTTTCCTTCAAATTGGTCCCTCTTATCTCCCTCTTTATTGTTTCCTCAATAGTCCTGGCCACAACTGTGGTCCAGTTGCCCCAGACTCTAATTTTTCCAGGCCCAAGTCAAGTCTGCATAGAACAGTTGGGTGATTTGCAGAAAGACCGCATTTGCTCCACACACATCTCTGGGAACCTCCACTCTCTGCTGTCTACAAGTTGAAGTCTAATCCATCTCCTTTTCCAGGTTTTCAAGACTCTTTATGTCTCATACATGCTCCTCTTCTCTAGACCCCTCCCTCTTCACTATTATCCTTACTTGAACTCCACTCAAAACATATTCTCCATCATACTTTCCCAAGATGACTTACTTTTTCTCATCCTGCATATCTGCTCATGTTGTTCCTTTTGACTAAAATTTTTCTCCTCTCCCACCTCTGGGAGACTGCTATTCGTGTTCTGGCTGGCCTGTGTTCATATTCAGGGCAAACTCAGAAATAAACTGTAAAATCTTCCAGGAAGATTTGCCTGACCTCTTAGTCCTGAAGAGGAATGTTTCCTTTGTGTTCTCATGGTCTCTCATACTTCCCTGCTGTTGGCCAATCACCCTGAACTATTTGCTGCTTATTAATTTGTCTATATCCCTTTTGAGACCATAAACCTGCAAGATTGGAATCACCCAGGTATCCTCAGAAAAATATCTGGTGCATGCAGATTCTCAGTCAACATTACATAAATAAACAACAAACAATTGAAGATAGGCATATTGATGATGAACGCTGCATGTAAGGAAACCACAGCTCAGTTTTAGTGATTTTAGTGATTTAACCCAACCGATTTATATTCTTCCTTCACACCATGCTTGATCCATCTCTGTGTCTCCAACTGCACCAGAATAGTGCCTTGGGCACACTAGGTGCTCAGTCAATGTGTTTGGATGAATAATAGTGCAGGTCATGCTGGCTCTGGCTATGACCAGGTGGTTTTCTAGGGGCTGGAACCCAGTGTGGCCAGGAAGCCGGCAGAGGGAGAGCTCAGTAGTCCCAGTGATCTAAAAGTGAGTCCCACTGCATCCGTTTTTGTCCTCTTCTCTGTAGTCACCTCGAGAAGGATGGGGAGGAAGTAAAAACAGCTGGGTGATCCCATTAACAACCAATAATCTGGGAATGCTGCTGAATTCGTTTGAAACTGAACTAGCAGTAACTCCCTATGGGTCCATTAACCTGCAGCCAAAATTAGATTATGTAGAAATAACATTAAATAAAGAGCCACAGTGCTCAGTTAATTGAGAGGCAAACTTGTAAATTGTAAGATCATTCTCTTTGAAAGGCAGACTATTCCATCACCTCAAGACCCTTGGGGGCACTCATAAGTGTCCAGTTTGGTGTTCATTTTAGAGAAAACACATTTTCTGTAGAGGCACTTTAGAAATCTATTTGTTGTAGAAACAGTCTGAAATGAAAAAAAATTACAAGCTTTGGAGTGAAACCGAGGTGAGATAGATTTAAATCTTAGCTCTATTACACACTAGCTCTGTGACCTTAGAGAAGTGACTTAATTTCTCTGAGCCCCAACAGTCTTGCCTCTTAACTGAGGGCAATGGTGGTAATAATATGTATCTCCAAGTCTTGTGAGGGAGGCAGGCACATCTAAACATCATTGCAATACAAGGAAGGAACACATTGAGGGATGGTGTTATGGAAGCAACAAGGAGAACCTCACCTGACCAAGAGAGCCAAGAATGGTGCCTCGAAGAGATGCCAGCTGGGCTGAATTCTAGAGCATGAGCAGGTGCAACTGGATTAAGGCCGGGCCACTAGTACTTGCTTTGGAGACAATCTAGGTTTTGATCACTAAGAACACAAGGAGATGGAGGTCAATTTACTAATCAGAACTCCTCGAGTTTTGATTTTACCCCATGTGACTGAAGAAAGAGCTTTAATAATGTGCTCACAGTGAGGGACAAGCGTGAATAACTATGGCTGGTTTCCAGACTGCCTTGACTTAGTTTTGCACACATTTGAGTCCAGAAGAGACTCACTAGGTCTCGGCATAATGAAACCAGGGCCTCTTGGTCATCGAATGCCCCTCAGAGCTCTCAGTCTCTCTAAGCAAACTCTGTACAAATTTTTAAATAACACTTCAAAAAAAAGCAGCAGCAGTCTTTGGCTGGGTGCGGTGGCTCACTCCTGTAATCCCAGCACTTTGGGAGGCCGAGGCTGGCGGATCACCTGAGGTCAGGAGTTCAATACCAGCTGGCCAACATGGTGAAACACTGTCTCTACTAAAAATACAAAACTTAGCCAGGTGTGGTGTTGGGTGCCTGTAATCCCAGCTACTTGGGAGGCTGAGGCTGGATAATTGCTTGATCCCAGGAGGTGGAGGCTGCAGTGAGCCAAGATCATGCCATCACACTCCAGCCGGGGCGACAAGATCAAAACTCCATCTCAAAAAAAAAAAAAAAAAAAAAAGAAGAAGAAGAAGAGGAAATGAACCAAACTATTGGTCTGGAAGAAGGTTGCCCAGCTCCATGAGAAACAAAATTGCAGCTCTCTGAGCTCAGGCCTCTGGAACTGCGATCACTTCCATCCCCACTTCAGGACAGCACCTGGCTCAAGACAGCTGCCTGTCCTTACTGGTGGTCACTTCGACAGCCAAGTGCTCCCAGCCTCTTCAGTCATAGGACTTGATTTGGAAACCCATCACCACCCTCCCTGCCCCGCTCTGGCTGTCAGGTTGTCAGGGCTCCTCTCTCCTCTCTGGCATAGCCCAGAACTGAGTACAGCAGACCAACAGGGGAGACTGGCCCAGAAGAGCATGAGGTATCCCATGTTTCCAATGGGATGCTATGCCCCTCTTCATGGTGTCTAACTTTGTAGTTCCTCCAGGACTTCACTTACACTCTGAGTACATAGAGGATCAAAAGGGGAAGTGGCATGTTTTAGTGGAAAAGACAGGTTGTGGCTCAGAAAATTGATTTAACCTCGGGTAAGGCACTTGACAATTCTTGGCCTCAGCTTCATAATTTTACTTACCTGTAAAATAAGAGTTGTTGTGGGAATTAAATGACAGACGGCATGAAAAAGCTTGGCACCTTACCTAATACATCGGATCGGCTCGAGAAATGGTAGACTTCTTTCTGTCTTCTCCTTCCTTTCCTGCCTCCCTTCCTCCCACTCCTTCCTTCCTCTCCTCCTCCAGCCATGTCTCCCTCCCTCCCTCCCTCCCTTCCTTCTCTCCCCCCAAGCCTCCATATTTATTTCCTTCCTACTAAAATTTTCTTCCACATTCCCTCTCATCCAGTCCTCAATGAATCCTGAGGACAGCTATCAGTGGTCACTCTCTTGGGCTTGAAATGGAACAGATCTTCTTGTTCCATCTCTTTCTGATAGCGCCAGTTCCTGCTGAGGACAGAACATTGTCTTCTTTTCTCCCTGCCTCAGGCAGATGGCAGGGAGTGTTGTGTGTTCCCACAAAGGAGCGTGCTGTCCCCGCTCCCGAGTCTCTCAGCGAGCCCTGTCATGGAAGGCATCCAGGAGAATGTGGAACTCCGCACCCGCTTTCTCAGAACAGAGGAGCATCCATGACCCTCAGAATCACAGCATTGAGAGGTACCACAGGATGGGCCCCATGTTTGAATGGTCTGTGCACTAGGGACCGAGACCCTGAGGACAAGCCTGTGATTGGTGAGAAGTCCTGCACATTGCACACTGTGCTTCAGCTGATGGGGGCGGCAGGACTGATTGTCATTGTCCCTACTTTACAGACTAGAAAACTGAAGCTCAGACGGGCTTAGCAATTTTCCCCAAATTACACAGTAGTTAGGAGGTAGACAAAGTTTGCATGCCTGGTCATGGGAATCCAAGTTCAGTGTTCTTTCATTATGATGTTTTGCCTCTGCATATTAAAAAACAAAAAACAAAAAACAAAAAAAAAAAACATGAATTTTCAACTGAATGTAGGTAAATAACCCAGGAACTTAATTATATTTTTTTCCTTCTGGTTCTGGCTTTGGCTTAGCTTCTACCTGAGAATCAACCTCTCCCTACAACAACTGTTTCTTCTTTTCTGACATTCTATATTCTTTTTTTTTTTTTTTTTTTTTTTTTTTTGTGACTGGGTATCACCCTGTCACCCAGGCTGGAGTGCAATGGCTCACTGCAACCTCTGCCTCCTGGGCTCAAGTGATCCTCCCACCTCAGTCTCCCAAGTAGCTGGGACTACAGGCATGCACCACCATGTCTGTCTAATTTGTTTTTGGTAGAGATGGGGTTTCACTATGTTGCCCAGGCTGGTCTTAAACTCCTGGGATGAAGCAATCCTCCTGCCTCAGCCTTCCAAAGTGCTGAGTTTATAGGCACAAGCCATCACACCTGGTCACATTCTACATCTTTGTTGGGGGCTGCACTATGGACCCATTATTCACGCAAAACCTGGCAATCATCCTGAACTCTTACTACTCCTAACCCGTGCCCCACTCCCCGCCGGTCGCCAATGCTCTCCTTGCCATGTACAATCAATGCCAGGACCTGTACCTTTGACTTAACAAATACCTCTTGCATCTGCCCCTCCTCCCTGTACCAACTGTGCCCCCATTCACTGCTCTGCCCCAGGCTCTTCCTCACCCAGTAAAGTGCAATGACCTTGAACAGTTTGCCTTTTTAAAGGTGTTTTCTGTAAATCTATGCTCCATGCATTGGTGGGAAGATCTTTCAACACCACAATGGATACGTTCAGTGGCCACTCAGTTCCTCAAAGAAGCAACTGTTTATGAAAAAATGTGCCTGAGCCAGGCATGGTGCCACAGTCTTTGCAAGCAATAGCTCTAAATCACAAAGTAACTCTACAAAGGAAGCTTTGTTATCCCAGTTTCACAGCTGGAAAGTGGCAGAGCTAGACCTCCAACACAGATCTGTCTGACTGCACAACAGTGCTCTCTTCATACCCCACACAGCCTCCCAGATAAAATCTTGTCTCCTTAATATCAGTTGCAGCCCCCGTCTCCTGCCTCCAGACACCTCTCACGCCCTGCTTTCCAGACACATCCCCCTTCCTGAAGTTCACTCATCTCCTGACATGGTTTTGTGTTCCATGGCTCCATTTGTGTTCTTCCCTCTGCCTAGGATGCCTTCCTCTGTCCAACTGTCCCCTCAAGCACCACTCAGCCGCAAGACTAAGGTTAGAATCCAGGATTATCTCACTCCGATCTCTTCTCCTTCCCATTGCAGAGCCCTGTCTCCCACATGGACAATTTTCACTTCATTCTAGGTTACGATGCTGTAATTGGCATGGACCAGGATGGAGAAACGCCACCAGGGAATGCTTCAGTTGGTAGTTAATATAAAGGGATAGGTCTCTGTTGGCTCTTTGTGGAAAATTATTTCAAGAGTTGATTTTTAAATGTAAGGGAAACAGGACTTTATTCCCTTGTCAGACTAATTACTGCACTCCTGAGTCATGCTGATGAGATGGCTTCAGAAAAACAACAGTTCTCCCACTGAGCCATAGGTCAAGGGGTTCTGGGTGTTTTCACAGAAGGTTATTGTTTTCAAGGGGGTTATTGATGGGCTGGAGTGTGAGGTTTCTTGAGGAATAAAACTATCACAATTAATCTGTTTAGAACTTCTGTATGGGGAGAGGGTGTTATTCCTCAGCAGTGAATGACTCAATGAAAAACAGAATATTCGTGGTACATGTGCTCCATGCTGTCAGGCTTGTCAATACCAAGTTTGAAGACAAAAAATAAAATAAAATAAAATAAACAGAAAAAAAGAAGGCTTTTTTTTAAGTGATTAAGGATGAAAGTGCTGGCTGCTGACCTAGGCCTCTGTGAATTTAGAACCCAAGATGATCCCAGCTGTGTGATGGGGCAGGACCCTTAGTGTGGGAGCTGGGCTCTGTCCCTCACATGTGGGTAGATTGTGAGACCCATATAGAGTCAGGGGACCTGAAGCTGGGTAGGGTCTGCAGCTGAGCTACTGGGGACTTTCTGGTGTCTCTTAGCCTCCCTAGGACCCACATTCATTTTCTATAAATGAGATTTGAGCCAATTCACTGTCTTCCTAATAATCACTGTTTTCTTGTAATCACACACCACTGTTCTCTTAAAGCTTTTCTTTCCAGTTAATTTAAATCAACCCTGTTTTAAGACTTTGCCATTTATGAAAGAATAATATCCATAAAATCATGGCTTTGATTTGCTAATTACATGTTTTCTAATTAACACTGTATCAGTCAGAGGGTCCTTGGTTGAAAGCAATTGAAAATCTTTCAGCCATCTTAAGCAGAGTGAGATCTTATTGGAGAGATTCTCGGGGCTCAGGTAACTTTAGGAGGCTAGAAGATCAGGCTTGAAGACAGTAGGGATTGAAGTTGTCCTGGTTGACTAGACAGCAGAACCACTGCATGAAACTGGGATGACTGGTCTCTGCGAAGCACCACTGCCACACCACTGTCACCACAATGAATGTGGCTATCAGACACCCATGTCACCATATCATCTATCTGCTCAGAATTCAAAATCACAGGGACAGTGTCTGGTTGGCCAAGCTCAAGTCACACTTGCACTCTGCCTACCTTGGGACAGGTGTGAGGAGGATGAAAATCTGGTCCCTTTGACTTCCATAGGTGGCCAAGGTCCTCAGGAGTATACAAAATGGGAGATTCCCCAATAGGGAAAACAAGGTGCTAATGGAAGACAGATTGAATAGTGGGTAGTAAAAACTTGAAAATAAAGAAAAAAACTCCCCAAAACAAAAAATAGGTATTTATTGCACTCATTAAAATAAATACATAATTATTTTTTGTATTTGAACTAGAATACATAAATACGAAAATAAAAAGTTTATTCGTGTACCATAACATCATAAACTCATGTATCAACCCCATGTACCACTCTGTAGGAAGCACTGGCCTCTCTAAGGATCTCTAAGGATGCTGCAGCTTTGGCCTTTATTGTACACTAGTGAATACTTCCGTTTTGGAAAGTATAGACTCATTTGTCTCTTTCTGTAAAACACTAACCTTGGCTTTTTTTGTTTGATTTGCATGGTAGCTATTCTTTACTTGATGCTTCAGAACCTGTATAGAGCCATTTTTTTACTGTTTTAGGTTGACTGTCCACTTCCACTTTATTTTTGATGTGTTCAGAATATCATGCACCCACACATCTTTGCATTTTACTAGGATAAGTAGCAAGCAGTTCAAAAAAAGAAGAACCTGAACCTTTCAAATGACCTTGATATCCTGCTATCTTTTGATCACAGTGTAGCTTTCTGGAATTCTCCAGGCCACGTGAGGGAGTGTATGTTCCCAATGTTCAAGATATAATTTTACACAAGAATTCTAGAGACAACATGTTCTGCATAGGGCATCAGAAACATCCAAATAAGTCAGAGTTCATTCCACTCTTCCTAAACATGTATTTGGCACTTCCTATTAAACTACCCTAAACCTCATCAAATAAATGTCAGTTTTAGAAGAAATCTTAGCAATAATCTTGTTCATTTGTATTGAGAATGCAAGTGAGACTTCCAAGATAAGGGTAGACTGGGCCTAGAATATTTTGGAATTTCTTCTGAAACCCATCATGGAACTTCTAGTTCAAATAGCAAGTTACCTTTTTACTCTCTAACAGATCCCATTTCTCCTGTCAGGGAAGACCACTCCACAGTTACCTGATACTTTATGCAGAAATCAGATTACTTTATGAAATAAGATTCTTTCTAGCGATGGAATTCTGGCTCCACAGAAATTAAATACATCTAAATGCACAGTTCCTTATCCATAAATGATAAGTAATCCCCATTTTTGTGTATAAGCATAGCATGCACACATACACATGGTGAAGGGAGAAAATAAATGGCTCCAAATATTTGGATGCTTTTTTACAGAAGTTAATATTAAAGGTGAAAATCCAAAGTATGGTTGGGAAGAAAAAGATTAGCAGCTGATCTGTTAACTATCCTTTTTAAGCTGGATAATTTCAAGGAGAGATTATGAAGAAGAATGAGAAGGAGAGTAGGAAGCAGGAGGAGGAGGAAGAAGAAGAGAAGAGGAAAGAGAAAGAGAGAAAGAAAGAAGAAAGAGAGAAAGAAGAAAGAGAAAGAGAAAAAAGAGAGAAAGGAAGAAAAGAAAGAAAAAGGAAGCAAAGGAGGAGGAGGAGGAATAAGAGAAAGAAGAGGAGGAGGAAGAAGAGGAGAAGGAGAAATAAGGGGAAAAAGGAGTTATCCTGGTCAAATGTGGAAAGATTCTATTCAAATTTCTGATGGTTTTTAGTGATTGAATGATAATAAGAGAGTCCTTATCAATAGAATTCTTTCAGCAGGATATACTTGATCAATTGGTGTGGTAAACAAACCTGAAAAGTATAGATTTCTGGGGCATGGCCTGCTAGAAAGTGTCAGTTTTGGGTATTTAATTATCAGAGTATAAAATGGATTTATTTCATGCTTAAAAGTTCCCTTTGGGTCAGTGATGAACGGTATGCATCACTTAGAAGCCCCACGTGTTATACATCAGGGCACATTCTGCTGTGATGCAAAAGGGCCCAAGATGCAACATTGGTGGTCTCAGACTTCTCATGCTTCATCTGCATATTGCATAAAAGCAGAATAGCTTTTTTGTATTATTAGTAAAGTTTGATACTGAATAAGATCTCTAATTCTTATGAGTCTGATTTGATAATTCAACCCTTTGTGCAATCTTTTTTTTTTTTTTTTTCTTGAGACCGAATTTCACTCTTGTTGCCCAGGCTGGAGTGCAATGGTGTGATCTCGGCTCACTGCAACATCTGCCTCCCAGGTTCAAGCGATTCTCCTACCTCAGCCTCCCGAGTAGCTGGGATTACAGGTGCTCACTACCACGCCCAGCTAATTTTGTATTTTTAGTAGAGGTGGGGTTTCACCATGTTGGTCAGGCTGGTCTCGAACTCCTGACCTCAGGTGATCCACCCACCTCGGCCTCCCAAAGTGCTGGGATTACAGGTGTGAGCCACTGCGCCCAGTCTCTTTGTGCAATCTTAATAGCAAATGTGGTAGAAGGCAAAGATGGTCACAAACTCTTGCCCTTCCTTGATTTCTTTGTCCCTTTTCCCCCACCATATCTCCTCTTCTACCTCTGGGCTCAGCCATGTGACTTGCCTGGGATGTTAGCCATTGTGACACAAGAGAGAACTGAAAAGCACTGGGCAATAGTGATTATTTTCTCTTGCTGCTGTTGGAACCCTGTGACATGTTAATGAAGCTGGACTAGCTGGTTGGAGGATGACAGTCCATATGGACAAGAGACAAGTACCTTAACTGAGGCCCCTCTAGACCACCAGCCCTGACAGCTGGTGGAGTCCCAAGGAAAAGGGGCTGACTGGTCAATGTGCTAGAAGCCAATACTATGACACCAGATTCTGAGAAAAGAAAAGCTTTTTATTGCAAGTTGACTAACAAGGAGATAGGAATCCAGCTCAAATCTGTCTTCTTGTGCTGGCTTGAAGTCTGTAATTTGACTAGAAAAGGTTTAGGGGGTGGATTCTGAGATTAGCAGGTGATTGGTGGAAGGAAAGAGGAGGCATGGAAAGTCCTTGGGTATGAGCAGTTATCTCTTCACGCTATCTCATGGGTTATGTGCAGATTCAGGGGGAGTTAGTATGAAACGTGGTGGAATTTCAGGCTGGGATGTCAGCAAGCTTGTTCTGCGCAGACTTCAGGGGGCTACATTGGTTCTAACTGATTTCAGCTAATTTTGTTCTCTTACAAGAGGAGGGAGTTTCAGCATTTCAGCAAGTTGTTTCTTTCTTTTTTTTTTTTTTTTTTTATCTTCCATCCTGTAAACTCAAGAATTTTTGTTAGTTACTGGTTTCTTTAACTCTTTGGGGCATGGTTTAAGTGGGACATGACAGATGTATGAGTGAGTCAGCCCAGCCCAACTGCTGCCCTACAGAAATCATGAGCTAAATAAATGGTTGCTTTAAGCTATTACATTTTGGGAGTGTTTTGTTACAAAGAAAAAGCCAACTGACATAGTATATTTAAAATCCACTGCGGCCAGATTCTAGCCTTCTTTTCACAACCCTCCCACTCCTCCTGCTTGTTCCTTCTCCTTCTATTTGGGATCAGGGCTCACAAACTGGTGGCCAAGGGTTGGCCAATGTGTCCCATGAAGAAATAATGTTCAGCCAAGATTCACTGCAAAGACCATACTTGTTGATTATGCTCAGTGTACGTCTGATTTTTTCAGGGCTCCTGCTATACTAACTGCTAAATATTTTCAGTATCAGCCCTGGTCCTGTGAACAAGTTTTGTTCTATTCACAAAGTATACATCAGAAGATTTTCCATGGAAATCTGGATTTATGGCTTGCCTAAAAAAGGGGATAGGGAAAGTCTGGGAATGTTGGACTAGGATTGGGCAGGAATGACCTGGAGCTGAGAATTGACTGCTCGTTGTCCAGACAGGGCTCGTGCTGCCAGTTCATCACTGTCCCATCATTCCTAGGTGTAGCATGCTTGTCTTGTTTCACCTATGCATGTTACCTGCCGGACCTTAGAGGAAGTTGGTTGTATGCATGACACATTGGCTAGCATTGGTTTGAGGGTGTAACCATGTACTGTCATGTTTTTACACATTTTGATCTCATTGCCTGGAATGTGCATCTACTTCTTGGACACTTTACTGAACCTCTGCAAATTCTTCAAAATTTAACTTAAATGCTTCCTGTTCTATGACATATTTCTCTCAATAAGGCTGGTTCACCTTGCTCTGTGTTCCATATGACTTTGCACATAATCTCTACTACAGCCTTAACATTTTATCCATCAGCATTGTTTAAAAACTGCCTACAACTATCATGTGACCTCCTTGAACACAGGACTACCCTCTTCCCCTACTTACCCCTTGAGTAGGGCATATGGCAGGGCCCTTAATACCTGTGATGGATTAAGGAATCAACTAACTAGACATTCTGGCTGAACGTCAGAGGATGATTTAATGCAATTTGCATTTTGTGTAAAACCAAACTTATGATTCTCTATGACACATCCTCTGAAGATTTCTTTATAATCAACAATGTTCTGCTTTGATTTTAAAGAGCTTCTTTTGGCTTCAGGACAAGCAGCGTATAAAGGAAATAAAAATTATTTAAAGTATAAGAAAATCTGAGTCAAGTATCTTTGAAGAAGTATGTTTAAAGGAACCAAGAGGCTGTTGGCACCAGAATGATCCTTAAAGCTCCCCCACATTCCTAATAAAAGAGAATCTGCATTGACCAATGGAATTAACTAGTTTTGTCAGGACAGGCTAGACTACACTTTGATAGCAATCCCCAGATCCAAGTGGCTTGACAGCAAACACACTGCTTTGCTACATGAACATCATAGTGGGCAGAGTGATCTATTCATCTTGGTCAGTCAGGGAACTGTGCCAATGGAGCCTCAATCTCAACTCATGCTTCCATGATCACTTGGGCAGAGCAAAGAGAACCTGTGGCCCATACACTGGCTTTTAAAAGTGTCACCTGGAAGGGACACATACCATTTTTGCTCCTATCTAGTTGGTAAAAGCAGAGCATATTGCCAGGCCTAACTTCAACAGGGCAAGGAACAGCAATTCTTCCACATGCCAGGAAAGAGACAAGTTGGAATATTTCTGAGCAAACAAGTACTTACCGAAATTTGTGATTTTACAAAGGACCTTCACTTTTCAAAATGTATCATCATCATCTACCTGCCAATGACCCCCCCCCAAGGTGGATTTAAAGTAGAATTTGACCTCCATCAGCTGGGTTCGGGTGCTTCTCTACAGTTGTTTCAGAATGCAAGACTCCTTTGTTTCAAACTGCCACAAGTAAACAGAAAATGAGAAGAAGAGACCAGACCCCCCCTCCAGATTATACCCACTCTCACAGACACAGAAGCAGTCCATGGCAGTATAGGGTGGAAAAGGTGGTGTTTGGGGGGATGTTGGGTGCTGTGGAGGCACAGAAGAGGGACACAAAACTGGACTTGGGGCAGATGTGCTGCATGAGTGGAATCAAGGAAGAGGTAGGGCTTGGGCAAGACCTTGAAGGGTTCATTGCAGTTTGCCCATTGGACAGGGGTAGAGAAGATACGAGGTCCCAGAGGAGAGGGATATGGATGAGGTCCTTAGGGTCATGACTCTGGTCAAGACACGATA
Source organism: Homo sapiens (assembly GCF_000001405.40). Classification (NCBI taxonomy): domain Eukaryota; kingdom Metazoa; phylum Chordata; class Mammalia; order Primates; family Hominidae; genus Homo; species Homo sapiens. The sequence continues at coordinate 135,243,068 of NC_000008.11, forward strand.
CCTGCCCTAGAAGGAAATTATTTACACACATGACCTTGAGCAAGCGCCTTCCTCTTTCTGATCTGTCTCCTGCTCTACAAAACAGAGGTTATAATCAAAATCCCATTTTTAAAAATAGAGCTCAACAATCTGATTCTTAATTTGCCAAGAGTATAAATTAGTAGAAATAGCTAAGAGTATTTCAAATAAGAAATACAATAAGATCAACTTGTCTTATCACAAGTAAAATCATCATATTCTAGAGATATAGGAATTAATTTTGCTCAAAACCTGGCATTATCCAAAGACTGGCCAAATCAATTAAAAGAACAAAAAAGAGAGTCCAGAATTCAATCTGTGGTATTTGAGAATTTGTGATGAGTTTCACTTCAAATCAATTAGAAAAGAAGTAAGAGTTTAAGAAATAGTTTTGACAATTTAATAACCATTGAAAAAGTTATCTTTTAAATTCACATTATATATAAGAATAATACACGGATTTATTAAACGTTTTAAAAACAAAATTTAGAAAGCATTATAATAAATATAGAAAAATAGTTTTCTTACCTTAAGTTGGAAACATTGTCCTACAGAAGGTTTAAAATTCTTGACACCATAAACAAAAGACTTGCATATTTGATTATAAAATTTTTAATATCTTTTTTGTGGGAGAAAACATAACAAATTCAAAGAAAAGTGACAGAGTAAGAAAAATATAGCAATAGATATATAATAAATGCTCAACAATCAGAATATACAAGAACTACTTGTGATCAATTATTAAAAATATTCATGAAAAAATAGGCATAGAATATAAGAGGACAATTAATCTGAGTTATGTAAAGGGCTAATAAATATGAAAAAATTCTCAATCCCACAAGATATCAAGGGCACATACATGGAAATCAAAAGATACAATTTTTATTAAGGTAAAAAATAAATAAAATTCTAGCTGTTTAAATCCATTGGTGCCTACATTGCTTAAAAATGGATATTCTCGTTAAGTGACAAGAAATTCAAACTGGTAGAAACATGGGCTATGAAGTCACACCACCTGGGATTGCATCCTGCCCTGTGTGACTTTAGGCAAGTTACTGAATCTCTCTGCTCTATTTTTCTCATCAATAACAGTGCCTATATTACAGAGTTATTTTGAAATTAAATATGGTAATCCATGGAAAATGCTGAGAATAGCACCTGGCCCATCGTGAGTGCTCAGTGATAATTAGCTTTTATTTTTCCACTGTCAGTGAGAGTATCAAAATTAGAAATGCATATGCAACTTTATTTATAGGAATCTGTCCTACAGAAATAACCACCCATGAGCATAAATTTAGATCTTCAGTAATAACCATTTCAATATTTGTAATGGTAAAATGTTGAAAACAACATAGATATTAATTAAAAGGAGAGGAGTCACATAAATTTTGCCTACCTCCTTTTTATAGTAAGTTGCATTTATTTTATGTAACAGTTTACAAAGAATGAGACAGACTCCTATTTATTAAGATAGAATAACCACTAAATATATATTATTATATAAAAAACAAAATAGACCGGGCATGGTGGCCCATGCTTATAATTACGGCACTTTGGGAGGCCGAGGTCTGAGGATTGCTCAAGTCCAAGAGTTCAAGACCTACCTGGGCAACATAGTGAGACTCTAGATCTCTGTACAAAAGTAAATAAATACGTAAAGAATTAGTTGGGAATGGTAGCAAATGCCTGTTGTCCCACCTACTTGGGAGGCTGAGATAAGAGGATCATTTGATTCCAGGAGGATGAGGCTGCAGTGAGCCCTGATTGAATCACTGCACTACAGCCTGGGCAACAGAGCAAGACCCTGCCTCAAACAGTAAAATAAAATAAATTAAAATAAATAAATTAATAAATCAGAGATAAATTTGAATAATACAATCTTTGGAAATCATTTCAAACATAATATTTGTAAATACATTGAATTTTTTAAAGAAAGAGTCACATCAGACTGTTAACAGTAGCTACTTTGGGGGAAGAGGATGTATTGGATGATGATGAAGGCAGATTTAAATTTTACCTTCACTAGTATTTGTTTTTAAAAAAAATTTTTTTATTTCAATAGGTTTTGGGGAACAGGTGGTGTTTGGTTACATGAATAAGTTCTTTAGTGGTGATTTCTGAGATTTTGGTGCACCCATCACCTGAGCAATGTACATTGTACCCAATATGTAGTCTTTTATCCTTCGCCACTCCCCACCCTTTCCCCTGAATCCCCGAAGTCCAATGTATCATTCTTATGCCTTGGTGTCTCATAGCTTAACTCCCACATATAAGTGAGAACATTTGATGTTTGATTTTCCATTCCTGACTTACTTCACTTAGAATAATAATCTCCAATTCCATCCAGGTTGCTGTGAATGCCATTGTTTTGTTCCTTTTTATGGCTGAGTAGAATTTCATGGTAGATATATATATCAGCTGGGTTCAGGTGCTTCTCCACAGTTGTTATATATATATCACATTTTTTTTATCCACTCATTGATTAATGGGCATTTAGGCTGGTTCCATATTTTTGCAATTGCAAACTGTGCTGTTATAAACGTGTGTGTGCCAGTATCTTTTTTGTATAATGACTTCTTTTCCTTTGGGTAGATACCTAGTAGTGGTATTGCTGGATCAAATGGTAGATCTACTTTCAGTTCTTTAAGGAATCTCCACATTGTTTTCCTTAGTGGTTGTATTAGTTTACATTCCCATCGGCAGTGTAAACGTGTTCTCTTTTCACTGCATCCATACTAACATCTATTATTTTTTGATTTTTTTGATGATGGCCATTCTTGCGGGAGTGAGGTGGTATTGCATTGTGGATTTGATTTCCATTTCCCTGATAATTAGTTGGTCATTTGTTTATCTTCTTTTGAGAATTGTCTATTGATGTTCTTAGTCACTTTTTGATTTTTTTTCCTTGATGATTTGTTTGAGTTCTTTATAGATTCTGGATATTAGTCCTTTGTTGGATGTATAGATTGTGAAGATTTTCTCCCACTCTGTGGATTGTCTGTTAACTCTGCTGATTATTTCTTTTACTGTGCAGAAGCTTTTTAGTTTAATTAAACTATTTACATTTGTTTTTGTTGCATTTTCTTTTGGGTTCTTGGTCATGAAGTCTTTGCCTAAGCCAGAGTCTAGAAGAGTTTTTCAGATGTTATCTTCTATAATCTTTATGTCTTCAGGTCTTAGATCTAAGTCTCTCATCCATCTTGAGTTGACTTTTGTACAAGGTGAGAGATGAGGATTCAATTTCATTCTTCTACATGTGGTTTGCCAATTATCCCAGCACCATTTGTTAAACAGGGTGTCCTTTCCCCACTTTATGCTTTTGTTTGCTTTGTTGAAAATCAGTTGGCTGTAAGTATTTGGCTTTATTTCTTGGTTCTCTGTTCTGTTCCATTGGTCTATGTACCTATTTTTATACTAGTACCATGCATTTCAGTGACTATGGCCTTAGAGTGTGGTTTGAAATCAGGTAATGTGACGCCTCCAGATTTCTTCTTTTTGCTTAGTCTTGCTTTGGCTATGCAGGATCTTTTTTCATTCTCTATGAATTTTAGGATTGTTTTTTCTAGTTCTGTGAAGAATGATGGTGGTATTTTGATGGGAATTGCACTGAATATGTAGATTGCTTTTGGCAGTATGGTCATTTTCACAATATTGATTCTACCTATCCACAAGCTTGGGATGTGTTTCCATTTCTTTTGTCATCTATGATTTCTTTCAGCAGTGTTTTGCAGTTTTCCTTATAGAGGTCTATTAGGTTAGGTTTGGTTAGGTTTATTCCCAAGTATTTTCTTTCTTTCTTTCTTTCTTTTTTTTTTTTTTGAAGCTATTGTGAAAGAGGTTGAGTTCTTGATTTGATTCTCAGCTTGGTTGCTGCTGGTGTATAGCAGAACTACTGATTTGTGTATATTAATTTTGTATCCTGAAACTGCTGAATTCGTTTACCAGTTCTAGGAGCCTTTTGGATGAGACTTTAGGGGTTTCTAGGTATATCATCCGCAAACAGTGACAGTTTGACTTCCTCTTTACTGATTTGGATGCCCTTTCTTTCTTTTGTCTGATTGCTTTGACTAAGGCTTCCCATACTTTGTTGAACAGAAGTGTTGAAAGTGGGTATCCTTGTTTTGTTCCAGTTTTCATGGGGAATGCTTTCAACTTTTCCCCATTCAGTATACTGTTGGCTGTGTGTTTGTCATAGATGGCTTTCATTACCTTAAGGTATGTCCCTTCAATGCTGATTTTGCTGAGAGTTTTAATCATAAAGGGATGCTGGATTTTGTCAAACACTTTTTCATCATCTGTTGAGATGGTCATGTGATTTCTGTTTTTAATTCTGTTTATGTGGTTTATCACATTTATTGACTTATGTATGTTAAACTATCCCTTCATTCCTTGTATGAAACCCACTTGATCATGGTGGATTCTCTTTTCGATATGCTGTTGGATTCAGTTCACTAGTATTTTTGTCTCTGTGTTCATCAGGGCTATTGGTCTATAGTTTTCTATTTTTGTTGTGTCCTTCCCTGGTTTTGGTATTAAGGTGATACTGGCTTCATAGAGTGATTTAGGGAGGATTCCCTCTTTCTCTATCTTTTGGAATTGTGTCAATAGGGTTGGTACCAATTCTTCTTTCAATGTCTGATAGAATTCAGCTGTGAATCCATCTGGTCCTGGACTTTTTTTGTTGGCAATTTTTAAATGCTGTTTCTGTCCTGCTGCTTGTTATTGGTCTGTTCAGAGATTCTATATCCTCCTGGTTTAATCTAGGAAGGTTGTATATTTCCAGGAATTTATCCATCTTTCCTAGGTTTTCTAGTTTATGCATGCAAAGGTGTTCATAGTAGCCTTGAATAATCTTTTGTATTTCTGTGGTATCCGTTGTCATATCTCCCTTTTCATTTCTAATTGAGCTTATTTGGATCTCCTCTCTTCTTTTCTTGGTTAATCTTACTAATGGTCTATCAATTTTATTTCTTTTCAAAGAACCATTTTTTATCTTTTGTATTATTGTTATTGTTTCAATTTCATTTAGTTCTGCTCTGATCTTTGTTATTTATTTTCTTCTGCTGGGTTTGGGTTTGGGTTTGGATTGTTCTTGTTTCTCCAGTTTCATGAAGTGTGACCTTACATTGTCTATTTGTGCTCTTTCAGACTTTTTGATATAGGCATTTAATGCTATGAACTTTCCTCTTAGCACCACTTTTGCTGTATCCCAGAAGTTTTGATAGGTTGTGTCACTATTATCTTTCAGTTCAAATAATTTTTTTAATTTTCATTTTGATTTCATTGTTGACCAAATGATCATTCAGGAGCAGGTTATTTAATTTCCAAGCGTGCATGGTTTTGAGGGTTCTTTTTGGAGTTGATTTCCAGTTTTATTCTGCTGTGGTCTGAGAGAGTACTTGATATAATTTCAATTTTCTTAAGTTTACTGAGACTTGTTTTGTGGCCTATCATATGGTCCATCTTGGAGAATGTTCCATGTGCTGATGAGTATGTATATTCTGCAGTTGTTGGGTAGAATGTTCTGTAAATATCTGTTAAGTCCATTTGTTGTAGGGTATGATTTAAGTCCATTTGTTTTGTTGTTGACTTTCTGTCTGGATGACCTGTCTAGTGCTGTCAGTGAAGTATCAAAGTCCCCTGCTGTTATTATGTTGCCATCTATCTCATTTCTTAGGTCTAGTAGCAATTGTTTTATAAATTTTGGAGCTCTAGTGTTAGTTGCATATATATTTACAATTGTGGTATTTTCCTGTTGGACTAGTCTTTTTATCATTATGTAATGTCTCTCTTTGTCTTTTTTAACTGCTGTGCTTTAAAGTTTGTTTTGCCTGATATAAGAATAGCTACTTCTGCTCACTTTTGATGTCCATTTGCATTCAATATCTTTTTTTACCCCTTTACCTTAAGTTTATGTGAATCCTTTTGTGTCAGGTAAGTCTCCTGAAGACAGCAGAAATTTGGTTGGTGAATTCTCATCCATTCTGCCATATCCATTTAAGTGGAGCATTTAGGCCATATACATTCAATGTTAATTTTGAAATGTGGGGTACTATTCTATTCATCATGTATTTGTTGTATATCTGAATACCTTGTTAATTTTCCATTGGGTTATTGTTATATAGGTCCTGTGAGATTTATGCTTTAAGAAGGTTCTAGGATTTCAAGGATTTGTTTTAAGATTTAGAGCTCCATTTAGCAGTTCTTGTAGTGCTGGCTTGGTAGTGGCAAATTCTCTCAGCATTTGTTTGTCTGGAAAAGACTATCTTTCCTTCATTTATGAAGCTTAGTTTTGCTGGATACAGAATTCTTGGCTGATCATTGTTTTGTTTAAGGAGGTTAAAAATAGCACCCAAATCCCTTCTAGTTTGTAAGGTTTTTTTTCTGAGAAATTGGCTGTTAATCTGATAGGTTTTCCTTTAGAGGTTACCTGATGCTTTTGCTTCATACCTCTTAAGATTCTTCCCTTTCTCTTGACTTTAGATAACCTGATGACTGGCCGGGCGCGTTGGCTCACGCCTGTAATCCCAGCACTTTGGGAGGCCGAGGCAGGCGGATCACGAGGTCAGGAGATCGAGACCAAGGTGAAACCCCATCTCTACTAAAAATACAAAAAGTTAGCCGGGCGTAGTGGCGGGCGCCTGTAGTCCCAGCTACTCGGGAGGCTGAGGCAGGAGAATGGCGTGAACCTGGGAGGCGGAGCTTGCAGTGAGCCGAGATCGCGCCACTGCACTCCAGCCTGGGTGACAGAGCGAGACTCCGTCTCAAAAAAAAAAAAAAAAAAAAAAAAGAAAAAGATAACCTGATGACTATGTGCCTCGGTGATGATCATTTTGTGATGAATTTCCCAGGTCAGGTGTTCTTTGAGCTTCTTGTATTTGTATGTCTAGATCTCTAGCATGGCTGGGGAAGTTTTCCTTGATCATTCCCTCAAGTATGTTTTCCAAACTTTTAGATTTATCTTCTTCCTCAGGAACATGTTTAATATCGTCCCAAACTTCTTGGAGGTGTTGTTTATTTTTTAAATTTTTTTCTTTGTCTTTGATGGATTCGGCTAATTAGAAAGCCTTGTCTTCAAGCTCTGAGGCTTTTTTTCTACTTGTTTGATTTTATTGCTAAGACTTTCCAGTGCATTTGGCATTTCTCTAAGTGTGTCCTTGATTTCCAGAAGTTGTGATTGCTTTTTATTTATGCTATCTATTTCACTGAAGAATTTTCCTTTTATATCCTGTGTTATGTTTTTTATTTATTTAAGCTGGACTTCACCTTTCCTGGTCTTTAATTCACTTAATAGTTGATCTTCTACATGGATGAAGCTGGAACCCATTATCCTCAGCAAACTAACACAGGAACAGAAAACCAAACACTGCATGTTCTCATTTATAAGTGGGAGCTGAACAATGAGAACACATGGACACAGGGAGGGAAATAACACACACTGGGGCCTGTCCAGGGGCTAGGGGGTGGGAGAGCATCAGGATAAATAGCTAATGCATTGAGGGGCTTAATACCTAGGTGATGGGTTGATAGGTACAGCAAACCACCATGGCAAACATTTACCTGTGTAACAAAACTGCACGTCCTGCACAGTATCCTGGAACTTAAAATAAAATTTTTTAAAAATCATCCTTCTGAACTACCTTTCTGGCAATTCAGAGAATTCATCTTGGCTTGGATCCATTGCTGATGAGCTGGTATGATTTTTCTAGGGTGTTAAAGAACTTTGTTTTGTCATATTACCAGATTTTTTTTTTTTTTTAGTTCCTTCTCATTTGGGTAGACTATGTCAGAGGGAAGACCTAGAATTCAAGGGCTGCTGTTCAGATTCTTTTGTCCTTGGAGTCCTCCCTTAGATGTGGTGTTCTCCCCCTTACCCTAGGAATGAGGCTTCCTGAGAGCCAAACTGTAGTGATAGTTTTTGCTCTTCTGGGTCTAGCCACCCAGTGGAGCTACTGGGCTCCAGGCTGGTATTGGGAAGTGTCTGCAAAGAGTCCTGTGATGTGATCTGTCTTCAAGTCTTGCAGCCGTGGATACTAGCACCTGCTCCAGTGGTGGTAGGAGAGGAGTAAAGTGGACTCTGTGAGGGTCCTTGGTTGTATTTTTGTTGAGTGTGCTGCTTTTGTGTTGGTTGGCCTCCAGCCATGAGGTGGCGCTTTCCAAGGCACATCAGTTGAGGTCCTATAGGGAGGATGCAAACTTGCCTCCGATACCTAGTTAAGTATTCAGGTTTCTCAGCCAGTGGGCAGGGCTGTAGAGCTCCCAGGAGATTATGACCTTTGTCTTTGGCTACCAGGGCAGGTAGAGAAAGACCACCAGATGCAGAGAAGGATAGGCATGTCTGAGCTTAGCTTCTCCTTGGACAGGGTTTGCTGCAGCTGCTTTAGGAGATGGGAATGTGGTTCCAAGTCCAGTGGAGTTATATTACCAGGGGAATTATGGCTGTCTCTGCTGACTTATACAGGTTGCCAGGAGAGTGGGGAGAAAGCTGGCAGTCACAGGTCTCACACCTCTCCCATGCAGCCTACAGTCCCAGAGGCTGGTCTCACTCCCACTGTGCCCCCATAACAGCACTGACTCTATTTCCAGGCAGCCAGTGACCAGGGCTGAGTCTATGAGTTTCTCCACTGAGAAAGCAAGCAGACTCACAGTTTTTTGGCATCTCAGGGAGACTGCAGCAGTGATCCAGTTCCTTCAAAGGGTCTGTGGATTCTCTCAGCTTTCCTGGTTTGTCCCTGTGGTAGTTCTTGGAGCAAAAGTTCATGCTGTGAATCTCCACATGCTGCTCTGTGCATCGGAGCGGGAGCTGCAAGCTAGTCCTGCCTCCTATTCACCATCTTAATCCTAGTATTTATATTTTTGTACAATATATATTTCTTTGGGCACTCAAAAAAATATTTTTGGCTGGGCGTGGTGGCTCACACCTATAATCTCAGCTCTTTGGGAGGCCAAGGCTGGCGAATCACCTGAGGTTGGGAGTTGGAGACCAGACTGGCTAACATGGTGAAACCCTGTCTCAACTAAAAATATAAAATTAGCTGGGCATGGTTGTGTAATCCACCTGTAATCCCAGCTACTCTGGAAGCTGAGGCAGGAGAATTGCTTGAACCCAGGAGGCAGAGGTTGCAATGAACTGAGATCGCACCATTGCACTGCAGCCTGGGCAACAGAGTGAGACTCTGTCTCCCTGCTCCCACCAAAAATAAATAAAAAAAACCCCAATATTTTAAAATTAAACAATGTGGATTGAGCCCTATATGCACCAACTAGACATGCTTCTAACTCAAAGATTCCAAGTCTCTACTTCTATCCTCCAGGCACTAGGGAGCTATGGATGGTTTTTGAGGAGTGATTGACCTGGTCACAGTCACAGGAATTTTTGAATAAACAGCTCTTTATTTTGTTGTTTTATTTTCCTCACCTACTCTTTCCAGTGTTTACATACTTTCTTCATTTTTCTTGCCAGCAATTGGCAGTTTTTCTTTAATTTTTTTCTTCACCAAGCCTCCAAGTTTATTTCTCTCTTAAGGTCTTTATTGTTTTCCTCTTTTCAGACAAAAATTAGTTGCTGAAGCTATTTCTTCTCTGCTGCTTGATGAGCCTCCAGAGACATTGCTTACAGCCAAAGAGCTTTATCTATGACTCCCCTAAGACAGTAATAGGTGGTGGGAAACAAGCCACAGGGATCAGGGGATGAGGCTTCTGGCCTTGTCTCAGCACTGGCCTGGGGACTCTCCCTCCCCAAGCCTCAGATTCCGTGCTAACAACAAGGCGAGGACAGTGCAGAGATCCCTGAAGACCCCATCCTGTCATGACCATCTATGACCCCAAGGCAATGAGTGAACACTGAAGTTCAAAAACATTGGTCATAGAGAAAGCACAGAGCCCTGCAGAACAGCTTGTGTCTCTCATATCAAGAGCTCAAAACTGCCAGCCCCCTGCTGCCCACACAGAGAGTTTCTCAGTCACTGGGCAATGGCTGGGCAGTGGTTTGTTCTATGGCAGAGACCACGAGAGAACTAACGCTGCTGCACTCACCCCAGCATGCAGCCACATCAGCATCACAGAGATCAAATGCCTCCTTTCCTTGATGGGAAAAAGGTTCTTACAGAGATGAAGGTCACGTCCCTTGCCCAAGGTCATGTGGCTGGGTTGGGGGTGGAGTGCCAGTGATACAAACAGGAGACAGGGAAATACTGGGTAGAAGAGGGCATTTACCCAACAAAGGCCCCTCCCTCAAGCCTGAAGACCTGCTGCCCTAAATGAGGACAGGCATTTCTGTTTTTGTGCCCAAAAAGTTGCTTTTGGCCTGCCATTATCCCCCTGCTGCCCCATATAAACCTGAGACCTTAGTGGGCACACACACAAGCGGCTGAACATTGAGACCAGCAGATCAGCAGACGAGTGGACCGGCACACCAGCAATGGTGGAAAGATGCAGTAGGGAAAGAAAGAAGAGGAGGGACTACTGGACAACAAGGGGTGTTCAGCTGGGGGCGGTCAGAGAACAGTCTGGTTGCTGGGTGACCCGACTCCAGGAGAAGACCACCTTCCCACTCCATCCCCCCTTCCAGCTCCCCATCTATCTTGCTGAGAGCCACCTCCACCACTCAATAAAACTTTGCACTCATCCCTCAAGCTCATGTATGATGCAATTCTTTCAGGACACTGGGCAAGAGCTCAGGATACAAAAGGCTGTCACACTGGCTCTCTGCCCTTGGAATAAGGCAGAGGGTCCGTTGAGCTGATTAACACACAAGCTGTCTGCAGATGGCAAACCTGAAAGAGCTTTGTAGCACACACCTACTTGGGCTTCAGGAGTCACAGGCACCCACCTCTTGATGTTGCGGTGGGGCAGGAGCCCAAAAGTACTCACCTCAGCCTCTGCACCTGCCTGTCTGCATGCTTCTCCTAGGGGTTTGAGCTGCAGGGCAAACAAGCAGGTGAGCCACACCCCTGCTACACATCCTGCGAGGGAAATCAGGGAACTCTCCCTTTTCACCAGTTCATTCAATAAGAAGCTCTAAGAAATACCACCCCAGTTCCCACTATCTCCCCACTTCTACCTCTCCAGGGAGAGTGGTCTCCACTGAATTGGCATTGAGGTTAAACAGATCTAAGTTTAAAGCTTTGGTATGTCACTGACTAGCTTTGTGATCTGATTTTCAAAAGGCTCATATCTTCACATGGGTTGTTCTCAATTTCAGATGTTCTACTCCTTCTTCTTTGCCTACATCCATCTTATTCTTATCCTTTAAAATCTCTATCAGGGATCTTCTCCCTGAAGCCCTCCTGCCTCCCCCAGTCAGGTTCACTCACCCCTCCTACCCTCTTGGTAAGCCCTAGATTTAATTTGTCTCTCCCACTGGATGATGATGCTTTTTCCTTCAGTCTCTCCCATGCGAGACTGTGAGCTCCAGGTAGAAGAGGGCCACACCTATATAGCTCCCGGCAATGGGCACAGAGGACTGTAAAATGTGAGACTTTCACAGCTCAATGAAAAGGGCTGTGAGAGCACAGAGAGGACTAGAATGTAACCATCGCAGGCTCCCTGTAGCTGTAAATTCCTTGTGGATGGCAGGTGCTCAGCACAATGCTCTGTACAGGTTGTTGCTCTCAAAATATGAAACAAAAAGCTCAGAGATAAGTTGTTTCTATTAGTCATTTATACCATAGTATGAAGTTGACTGCATTGCCTGCCTCTTAGGGATGCTAACTTTTAAGTTTCTCTCCTTGAAGAATTAAAAACTTGTTCAGGACCGTGCATCCAGAAGCAGCAGAGAGGAGAAGGGAGGGGAAAAGAGAGGAAAAACTAAAGCTAAAGGATGTCAGCTTCTCTGAAAAGACATTTAGCCCTCATGCCCATGCCTCAGGATGGCTTCTTTTAGTAACTCAGAAGTTTTATTTCCATGAGTTCTACCCCTCCTGTGACCCTCCAGAAGCATAAGATCTCAGCAAGGCCCTCTTCTGACGCTGATATCTCCATCCTGGGCCTGCCAGAGGCAGTTTGTTTAGTTCTTTACCTGCTGAGAGACACAGCCTTTATTTGGCAGGAAGTGTGAACAAACAGACCTGAGGCGATTTCTTTTCATCACCACCTACCTCCTAGAACAACTGTCCCTTCCTCCTTCCTTCCTTCTTTCTCCCTCAGAGAGCTTTAATGCCAAGAATACCAAATGGAGATCACAGTTCTGGGTGTGAGTCATGGTTTCACTACAGGCTAGCTCTGTGACATTCTGCCTCGGTTTCTTCATCTGTGAAATGGGACAAAGTCCTTGTCATCTCTTCCACTATGCAGTCAGTTCAGGTAAATGCATCAACGTCATGAATTCAGCGAAATGCATCACATCTTTTTTGATGGTAGGTGCCGCAGCTGCAGAAGTGCCTAAGACCAAGTTTGTGGGAAGGATTAAATGAGGCAGTGAGGAATAAGGACCAAAGTGTGGAATTATTTTCCAGAGGATACTTTGTCCATGTTCAGGACCTATGCTTTCCTGATCCATGGGGTCAGGTTCACTTCCTGGAGAGCACTGTGGTGCAAGGACGGTTGTGGCACGCGTGCCTCTTCGTCCACCAACCCATGGCAGAAATCACTGATCAACCCAACGTCATCTCAGGATTCTCCTCAATACAGGGCACCTGCAAGCCACTGACCATCAGCCGGAAGCTGAAACCTACATGCTATTACAGGAAAAAATAGCACAGCTTTGGAGTAAAACTAATGTGGTTTGAATCTGGTTCCTCTGAAACATTGAGCAAGTTTGACAGTCTCCTTAAATGAAAGTACTCATCCATATCTGTATAAAGAATATATTTCTGCCTAACTCCCAGGTTTCCTGTGATAATTAAACAAGACTAAATATCATGGAAGCGCATATACATAGTAGTACTCCTTTTCTTTCTTTCCTTTTCCCTCTTTCTTTCTTTCTTCTTTCTTTCTTTCTTTCTTCCTTCCTTCCTTCCTTTTTTTCCTTTTTTTTTGCACTACAGAGTCTTGCTTTGTTGCCCAGGCTGGAGTGCAATGGCATGACCTCGGCTCACTGCAACCTCCTCCTCCCAGGTTCAAGCAATTCTCCTGCCTCGGTCTCCCAAGTAGCTGGGATTATAGGCATGCACCACCACGCCTGGCTAATTTTCGTATTTTTAGTAGAGACAGGGTTTCGCCATGTTGGCCAGGCTGGTCTCAAACTCCTGACCTCGTGATCCGCCCGCCTCGGCCTCCCAAAGTGCTGGGTTACAGGCGTGAGCCACAGCGCCTGGCCGGTAGTACCCCTTTTCTACCCCTGCCCTTCCAATTCTAAACAGGTCTTTCCTCTGATTCTCGGTTTTTACCATGTGTAAAATATTATGCATAGTGCTGTTCTCACGAGGTTGTTTTGGAGTTTCAAAGTGCTGCCCCTTGCATATGACAACTCTCGATCATATTGAGGTAAGAAATTATAAGTCTTGGCTGGGTGTGGTGGCTCACAACTGTAATCCCAGCATTTTTGGAGGTGGGCAGATCACTTGATGTCAGGAGTTTGAGGTATTTTGTACTCAAAATACAAAAATTAGCCAGGCGTGGTGGCGTTCACCTGTAATTCCAGGTACTTGGGAGGCTGAGGCAGGAGATTCACTTGAACCTGGGAGGCAGAGGTTACAGAGAGCTGAGCTCACACCATTGCACTCCAACCTGGGCAACAGAGTGAGACTGTGACTCAAAAAATGAATAAATGAATACAAGTCCTGACTCTCACCCTCATCACTGTCCTCTGTGCACAACTAAACCAATGTGCCCCTAGCTGAAGTTCTAGCTTGCCTCAGTTTCCCTTCCATCCTCTCCCCAGTTTTGAGACTCAGTCAGCATAACTTGGGGAAGGGCCATTATTTCCAAGCAAATAAAAGAGTTAGATCTTGGTCCAGCGTGTGTGTATGTGTGTGTGTGTGTTTGTGTGTGTTGGGGTTGGGGAGGGTGGAGAGGGGAAAGATGAGTTAATTCATTCAGCAGCAGCCCTGACTACCTCCTCCTCCTAGTTTGCTCCATCCTGGAGGGTAGGGAAGTGGAGGCCAGAGCCCGAATGTTCCTTAGAACTCTTGGGAGTCTGGTTTTCCCTCAGCCCCTTTAGGACCTTTAGTACCTCAGGGAATAAATGTCCCCACTATGCATGCTCTTGTGAAGGAAGACAGCTGGTGTGTCTCAAAGGTTTCCCCAGCTATTTCCTCTTCCCCAGTGGATCCCACCAGGGCCTGATCAGGGCTCCTAGGACACAGAATTTAAGGGGGACCTCACTCCCAGCATCCTGCAAGTGCCCATCCTGCAATTAAGAGTGAGGGCCTCCTTAAATGTAGTCCTCAGTTCCTTGCCTGCCTCATCTAGCCTGGTCCTGAAAGTATAGAAAGAATTGAATAAAAGCATGAAATGTTAGATGGGAATGTTTGAAGGAGTGGGCTTTAGAGTTGGGCCTTCCAGGTTCAAATTCCAATACCACCACCACTTCAGTTATGGGACTTCCTGTAATTTAACTATAAATTTTTTTATCTGTAAATTGGAGATAATAATAGTACTACCTTCATACTCGTGCTGTGAGGATTACATTAGGGACTGCATTAGCATAACCGAGGAAGCATTAGTAAGAATAAAAGAACAATTTTTATTAGACTGTATAATACTGAAAATAATAGGGATCCTGGGGAAGTGAAAGAGAACATATACCTACCAGGTGGCTGGTCCTATGCTGGGTGCCTTATATATGTTTTTTCATGTTAAGCCTCAAAAATCTTCTCTATATCATGATGTTAAGAAATTAAGGCCACAAAGTTTCAGGAACTTGGCCCAAGACGTTCAATGGATATGAAAAGGTTGCAGTAGTTGAGCTCATGTCCCTGAAATTCCAAATTCTCTGCTCTTACCTTTTGGCCTAAAGCCATCTTAGTGTGGAAATCCATGCACTGGGTGCATGGTTCCTCAGCTGGCTCTTCATTAGGATCATCTGTGTGGCTTTATAAACATACACTTGCCAGAATTCCAGGCTTGGCTTAGAATCAACAATGAATCTGTGTTTTGAATAAGAAGCCCTGGGATGGGCATGAACTGTCAGGCTCGGGCACCATTGCAGGCTGAGTGACCTCTAAACTCTCTCTACCTCCAATTTTCTATGTAGAGCCTCATGAGAAAATGAGAGTGAAAATGATGATTAAACTGTAAGAATAAAGTGTCTTCCTAAGGAAAGGCTGGCACTTTCTAAGGACATATAATTAAAGCCCAATAGATTAAGATTCCTTTAAGAAATGAGTAATACAAAGATTAAGGCATATCTGATGTAGCTTCTTGAATGGCTGCTCAAAGATTTACAGGCAAAGGATAAATCAGCTCTTCTGAGAGAGAAGAAGATACATCTTATTGCTCACATCTGGCAGTGGAAGGTAAAGTGTGCAGAAAAGGAGAAGTGGCTGGCAATCTTCAAGCAAGGCAGCAGAAGTGCTTTTGCAAATATATTCTGGATGAAGAAAAAGAAAATCCCCGTCAAGTGAATGGTTTAGTTGTCAGTCATGAGTCAAGTGATTTGGCATGTCACATTTCTTTCTTGGGCAGGTTTTTTATCACACACAGAAAATGAGCAAAGGAACTTAGAGTAATTAGAAGGTAATGAAGTTGTCAGAATAAGCTATTGACCAAAGAGCAGACAAGGGAATAGATGAAAAATTTAAACGTTTCTAATTTAGCTGATCTGGAAGCTGCACATCCTTTGGCCATAGGGGAATTATCCTCAGTGCCTAATGAATGAGTTTTTCTGGGCAAAGCAGGGAGCATCCCAGAAGACAAAGGAAGAAGGAATTGGAATCAAAGTCCAAAATGTTAATGGTGATAGTAATAGAAATTATAATTAATCCCTTACATTTTTATCTGTCTTTGCAAAGCACTTGAACATATATTACCTCATTCAATTTGCACAGAAACCTAAGAGGGAAGAAACATCCAAGTATGTAAGTATGGAAACTTGAGGTCAGAGAGTGCAATCACTTACTTAAGGGTCGCACACTGGGAGGAGCCAAGATGGCCGAATAGGAACAGCTCCGGTCTACAGCTCCCAGCGTGAGCGACGCAGAAGACTGGTGATTTCTGCATTTCCATCTGAGGTACCGGGTTCATCTCACTAGGGAGTGCCAGACAGTGGGCGCAGGACAGTGGGTGTGCGCACCGTGCGCGAGCCGAAGCAGGGCGAGGCATTGCCTCACCTGGGAAGCGCAAGCGGTCAGGGAGTTCCCTTTCCGAGTCAAAGAAAGGGGTGATGGACGCACCTGGAAAATCGGGTCACTCCCACCCGACTATTGTGCTTTTCAGACCGGCTTAAAAAACGGCGCACCACGAGACTATATTCCCACACCTGGCTCGGAGGGGCCTATGCCCACGGAATCTCGCTGATCGCTAGCACAGCAGTCTGAGATCAAACTGCAAGGAGGCAGCGAGGCTGGGGGAGGGGCGCCAGCCATTGCCCAGGCTTGCTTAGGTAAACAAAGCAGCCGGGAAGCTCGAACTGGGTGGAGCCCACCACAGCTCAAGGAGGCCTGCCTGCCTCTTTAGGCTCCACCTCTGGGGGCAGGGCACAGACAAACAAAAAGACAGCAGTAACCTCTGCAGACTTAAATGTCCCTGTCTGACAGCTTTGAAGAGAGCAGTGGTTCTCCCAGCAGGCAGCTGGAGATCTGAGAACGGGCAGACTGCCTCCTCAAGTGGGTCCCTGACCCCTGACCCCCGAGCAGCCTAACTGGGAGGCACCCCCCAGCAGGGGCACACTGACACCTCACACGGCAGGGTATTCCAACAGACCTGCAGCTGAGGGTCCTGTTTGTTAGAAGGAAAACTAACAAACAGAAAGGACATCCATACCGAAAACCCATCTGTACATCACCATCATCAAAGACCAAAAGTAGATAAAACCACAAAGATGGGGAAAAAACAGAACAGAAAAACTGGAAACTCTAAAACGCAGAGCGCCTCTCCTCCTCCAAAGGAACGCAGTTCCTCACCAGCAACGGAACAAAGCTGGATGGAGAATGATTTTGACGAGCTGAGAGAAGAAGGCTTCAGACCATCAAATTACTCTGAGCTACGGGAGGACATTCAAACCAAAGGCAAAGAAGTTGAAAACTTTGAAAAAAATTTAGAAGAATGTATAACTAGAATAACCAATACAGAGAAGTGCTTAAAGGAGCTGATGGAGCGGAAAACCAAGGCTCGAGAACTACGTGAACAATGCAGAAGCCTCAGGAGCCGATGCGATCAACTGGAAGAAAGGGTATCAGCAATGGAAGATGAAATGAATGAAATGAAGCGAGAAGGGAAGTTTAGAGAAAAAAGAATAAAAAGAAATGAGCAAAGCCTCCAAGAAATATGGGTCTATGTGAAAAGACCAAATCTACGTCTGATTGGTGTACCTGAAAGTGATGCGGAGAATGGAACCAAGTTGGAAAACACTCTGCAGGATATTATCCAGGAGAACTTCCCCAATCTAGCAAGGCAGGCCAACGTTCAGATTCAGGAAATACAGAGAACGCCACAAAGATACTCCTCGAGAAGAGCAACTCCAAGACACATAATTGTCAGATTCACCAAAGTTGAAATGAAGGAAAAAATGTTAAGGGCAGCCAGAGAGAAAGGTCAGGTTACCCTCAAAGGGAAGCCCATCAGACTAACAGCGGATCTCTCGGCAGAAACCCTACAAGCCAGAAGAGAGTGGGGGCCAATATTCAACATTCTTAAAGAAAAGAATTTTCAACCCAGAATTTCATATCCAGCCAAACTAAGCTTCATAAGTGAAGGAGAAATAAAATACTTTACAGACAAGCAAATGCTGAGAGATTTTGTCACCACCAGGCCTGCCCTAAAAGAGCTCCTGAAGGAAGCGCTAAACGTGGAAAGGAACAACCGGTACCAGCCGCTGCAAAATCATGCCAAAATGTAAAGACCATCGAGGCTAGGAAGAAACTGCATCAACTAACGAGCAAAATCACCAGCTAACATCATAATGACATGATCAAATTCACACATAACAATATTAACTTTAAACGTAAATGGACTAAATTCTCCAATAAAAAGACACAGACTGGCAAGTTGGATAAAAAGTCAAGACCCATCAGTGTGCTGTATTCAGGAAACCCATCTCACGTGCAGAGACACACATAGGCTCAAAATAAAAGGATGGAGGAAGATCTACCAAGCAAATGGAAAACAAAAAAAGGCAGGGGTTGCAGTCCTAGTCTCTGATAAAACAGACTTTAAACCAACAAAGATCAAAAGAGACAAAGAAGGCCATTACATAATGGTAAAGGGATCAATTCAACAAGAGGAGCTAACTATCCTAAATATATATGCACCCAATACAGGAGCACCCAGATTCATACAGCAAGTCCTGAGTGACCTACAAAGAGACTTAGACTCCCACACATTAATAATGGGAGACTTTAACACCCAACTGTCAACATTAGGCAGATCAACGAGACAGAAAGTCAACAAGGATACCCAGGAATTGAACTCAGCTCTGCACCAAGTGGACCTAATAGACATCTACAGAACTCTCCACCCCAAATCAACAGAATATGCATTTTTTTCAGCACCACACCACACCTATTCCAAAATTGACCACATAGTTGGAAGTAAAGCTCTCCTCAGCAAATGTAAAAGAACAGAAATTATAACAAACTATCTCTCAGACCACAGTGCAATCAAACTAGAGCTCAAGATTAAGAATCTCACTCAAAGCCACTCAACTACATGGAAACTGAACAACCTGCTCCTGAATGACTACTGGGTACATAACAAAATGAAGGCAGAAATAAAGATGTTCTTTGAAACCAACGAGAACAAAGACACAACATACCAGAATCTCTGGGACGCATTCAAAGCAGTGTGTAGAGGGAAATTTATAGCACTAAATGCCCACAGGAGAAAGCAGGAAAGATAGAAAATTGACACCCTAACATCACAATTAAAAGAACTAGAAAAGCAAGAACAAACACATTCAAAAGCTAGCAGAAGGCAAGAAATAACCAAGATCAGAGCAGAACTGAAGGAAATAGAGACACAAAAAACCCTTCAAAAAATCAATGAATCCAGGAGCTGGTTTTTTGAAAGGATCAACAAAATTGATAGACCGCTAGCAAGACTAATAAAGAAAAAAAGAGAGAAGAATCAAATAGACACAATAAAAAATGATAAAGGGGATATCACCACCGATCCCACAGAAATACAAACTACCATCAGAGAATACTACAAACACCTCTACGCAAATAAACTAGAAAATCTAGAAGAAATGGATACATTCCTCGACACATACACTCTCCCAAGACTAAACCAGGAAGAAGTTGAATCTCTGAATAGACCAATAACAGGAGCTGAAATTGTGGCAATAATCAATAGTTTACCAACCAAAAAGAGTCCAGGACCAGATGGATTCACAGCCGAATTCTACCAGAGGTACAAGGAGGAACTGGTACCATTCCTTCTGAAACTATTCCAATCAATAGAAAAAGAGGGAATCCTCCCTAACTCATTTTATGAGGCCAGCATCATTCTGATACCAAAGCCGGGCAGAGACACAACCAAAAAAGAGAATTTTAGACCAATATCCTTGATGAACATTGATGCAAAAATCCTCAATAAAATACTGGCAAACCGAATCCAGCAGCACATCAAAAAGCTTATCCACCATGATCAAGTGGGCTTCATCCCTGGGATGCAAGGCTGGTTCAATATACGCAAATCAATAAATGTAATCCAGCATATAAACAGAGCCAGAGACAAAAACCACGATTATCTCAATAGATGCAGAAAAAGCCTTGGACAAAATTCAACAACACTTCATGCTAAAAACTCTCAATAAATTAGGTATTGATGGGACGTATTTCAAAATAATAAGAGCTATCTATGACAAACCCACAGCCAATATCATACTGAATGGGCAAAAACTGGAAGCATTCCCTTTGAAAACTGGCACAGGACAGGGATGCCCTCTCTCACCACTCCTATTCAACATAGTGTTGGAAGTTCTGGCCAGGGCAATCAGGCAGGAGAAGGAAATAAAGGGTATTCAATTAGGAAAAGAGGAAGTCAAATTGTCCCTGTTTGCAGACGACATGATTGTTTATCTAGAAAACCCCATCGTCTCAGCCCAAAATCTCCTTAAGCTGATAAGCAACCTCAGCAAAGTCTCAGGATACAAAATCAATGTACAAAAATCACAAGCATTCTTATACACCAACAACAGACAAACAGAGAGCCAAATCATGAGTGAACTCCCATTCACAATTGCTTCAAAGAGAAGAAAATACCTAGGAATCCAACTTACAAGGGATGTGAAGGACCTCTTCAAGGAGAACTACAAACCACTGCTCAAGGAAATCAAAGAGGATACAAACAAATGGAAGAACATTCCATGCTCATGGGTAGGAAGAATCAATATCGTGAAAATGGCCATACTGCCCAAGGTAATTTACAGATTCAATGACATCCCCATCAAGCTACCAATGACTTTCTTCACAGAATTGGAAAAAACTACTTTAAAGTTCATATGGAACCAAAAAAGAGCCCGCATCGCCAAGTCAATCCTAAGCCAAAAGAACAAAGCTGGAGGCATCACACTACCTGACTTCAAACTATACTACAAGGCTACAGTAACCAAAACAGCATGGTACTGGTACCAAAACAGAGAGATAGATCAATGGAACAGAACAGAGCCCTCAGAAATAACGCCGCATACCTACAACTATCTGATCTTTGACAAACCTGAGAAAAACAAGCAATGGGGAAAGGATTCCCTATTTAATAAATGGTGCTGGGAAAACTGGCTAGCCATATGTAGAAAGCTGAAACTGGATCCCTTCCTTACACCTTATACAAAAATCAATTCAAGATGGATTAAAGATTTAAACGTTAGACCTAAAACCATAAAAACCCTAGAAGAAAACCTAGGCATTACCATTCAGGACATAGGCGTGGGCAAGGACTTCATGTCCAAAACACCAAAAGCAATGGCAACAAAAGCCAAAATTGACAAATGGGATCTAATTAAACTAAAGAGCTTCTGCACAGCAAAAGAAACTACCATCAGAGTGAACAGGCAACCTACAACATGGGAGAAAATTTTCTCAACCTACTCATCTGACAAAGGGCTAATATCCAGAATCTACAATGAACTCAAACAAATTTACAAGAAAAAAACAAACAACCCCATCAAAAAGTGGGTGAAGGACATGAACAGACACTTCTCAAAAGAAGACATTTATGCAGCCAAAAAATACATGAAAAAATGCTCATCATCACTGGCCATCAGAGAAATGCAAATCAAAACCACTATGAGATATCATCTCACACCAGTTGGAATGGCAATCATTAAAAAGTCAGGAAACAACAGGTGCTGGAGAGGCTGTGGAGAAATAGGAACACTCTTACACTGTTGGTGGGACTGTAAACTAGTTCAACCATTGTGGAAGTCAGTGTGGCGATTCCTCAGGGATCTAGAACTAGAAATACCATTTGACCCAGCCATCCCATTACTGGGTATATACCCAAATGACTATAAATCATGCTGCTATAAAAACACATGCACACGTATGTTTATTGTGGCATTATTCACAATAGCAAAGACTTGGAACCAACCCAAATGTCCAACAATGATAGACTGGATTAAGAAAAGGTGGCACATATACACCATGGAATACTATGCAGCCATAAAAAATGATGAGTTCATGTCCTTTGTAGGGACATGGATGAAATTGGAAACCATCATTCTCAGTAAACTATCGCAAGAACAAAAAACCAAATACTGCATATTCTCACTCATAGGTGGGAATTGAACAATGAGATCACATGGACACAGGAAGGGGAATATCACACTCTGGGGACTGTGGTGGGGTGGGGGGAGGGGGGAGGGATAGCATTGGGAGATATACCTAATGCTAAATGATGAGTTAATGGGTGCAGCACACCAGCATGGCACATGTATACATATGTAACTAACCTGCACAATGTGCACATATACCCTAAAACTTAAAGTATAATAAAAAAAAAAAAAAAAAAAAAAAAAGGTCGCACATTACCCTCACTAGTGCAGGATTGAGACTTGAATTCTGGTCCTTCCAGCCCACAGCAAAGCCCTGTTAATTATACATTGACATGGGGAGCATTGAGGGTAATTAAAGAAATTGACAGACCGGTTAAATTAGATCCGTGCAATGAAAATTGCCAGACCCTGTTTCCTTTCTTCTTACATCCTTCCCTTCCTGCTTCCCTGGTCCCTTCTGCCCTCTCTTCATTATTCATTATTCATTATTTTAATCTAATGAAGTGGGTTCCCTGAAAAGAATCTGGGCTTCCTCTGTTTATTCTGGCTGGTGCTGCCAGTGGGGAAAAAGACCAAAAGATAATTATTTACTTAGCACAGTTTCTGTGTTTTGCCCATGATATGATTAGGCTTTGTGTTCCCACCCAAATCTCATCTTGAATTGTAATCCCCATAATCCCCACATGTCAAGACCAGGTGGAGATAATTGAATCGTGGGGGCAGTTTCCCCAATGCTGTTCCTGTGATAGTGAGTTCTCACAAGATCTGATGGTTTTATAAGGGACTCTTCCCCCTTCACTCAGCACTTCTCCTTCCTGCCGCCTTGTGAAGAAGGTGCCTTGCTTCCCCTTCACCTTCTGCCATAATTGCAAGCTTCCTAGGGCCTCCCCAGCCATGCTGGGGAGGTTAAGTCAATTAAACCTCTTTCCTTTATAAATTACCTAATCTTGGGCAGTTCTTTATAGCTTTATGAAAATGGAGTAATACAACTCACAAGGTCTCTCTTATTCAGTGCTCAAAATCACTCTGCAAGGTAGGGTGTAATTACCCCCTCTGTTGCGCATGCAAAAACTAGGACCCAGAAAGACTAGACAACTCACCCTAAAACTCCACTAGATAAGTTGTGCAGCTCCACCCAGTGTCTCCGTAATCAGTATTTACATTCTTTTTACTATTACTTCCATCTGCCAGGTCATGTTGGCTGGAGAACAACAGGCCACAGAGATGACAATTTAGCCATGAAGGTAAAGGCTGAGAGTGAATATGGCTCAACCTGCAAGTCTGCAAAGATCCTTCCAGTCATTGGCACATTGTCTCCCCAGGCTCAGCCTGTCCCATAAATGTGCGTCTCCAGAAATCTGTGCTCAACTCTGATCTGCTTGATCCACAGCCCTCCCCAATGATCTCTTCCATGTCATAGCTACAACTGCCCCCTTCTTATTGATAACTTCTCAACGTGTCTTTTTCACCAGACTTCTTTCCTGACCTAGAAATTTCCATATGCAACTGTCTGAGCAGCCCACCTGTCTGCTTCACATCCATGTCCTACTCGGCATATGTGAAGGTGACAAGATTACACCCCCTCTTTTGGGCTAAGTCAAACCCTAAGTCTTGACTCCTCCCTCTCCTTTACACTCCACACTGAATTACTCATCAAGGTTGGGGTAATCCTATTTCCCAAAGTTCTCTTGAATTCATGCTTTTCCTTCTGGTCTTAATGCCAGCCTCATGTCAGCCCCCCATTCTCTCTCACCTATAACAGTTCCAGTAGATTGATAGGTGGTCTTTTAGCATCTACTCTTTTCTCATCTCCAACCAACTTTTCATTGTAATGCTGGAATGATCTTTCTAAAAGGAATGAATATCTGGCTGTACCATGCCCCTTCTTGTGGTTCTCTTCAACTTCATGTTAAAATCCAAGCTATGCAGCATGTGATTAAAGGATATTTGTTACTTGTTTCTGATTTCCTTCCCTTTCTCATCTTCTATGTTTGCTATCTTCGAACTTCAGGCTCCAGAAAGCCCGAACTGCCTGCACCACCCAAGAATTCTAGCCTCTCTCATCTCTTGATGCCTCTGTGTGCTATTTCTTCTGCCTGTAGCACCCATCTATTTCTTGTCCTTCAGAAAAATTTCTATTTATTCATCGAGTCTCATCTCAAGTTCTAGCTCTTCTATGAAACATTTTCTTACTCATCCAGGAAAGCTTAAGTGCTATTTCCCCTCTATTTACCCTGAACCTTGTTACGCACCTGTGTCCTGGCTGTTGGCATGCTGGGTAGGAACATCTGTAGGAATGACCGTCTTCTCCATTTGACTGGGAACTCTTCAGGGAAAACACCAAATATCTACTTATTTTGGTATCTCCATAAGGGTCAGGAAAAAAAAGTAAACATTTCTTAAATAAATTTAAGTAATCATCCAGTCTGTAAACCTCTGTCTGACCCAAGCACACTTCAAAATATATAGGCATAATAAGTCTTCATTAGTCAATTACTAAAGTGTTTTTCCATTAGAGGGAATAAGCTTTATTTCTGATTTTCCTCTAAATTATTGCCAAATGAAATTCTTTCTCCTTCTTTTCTCTGTTCTTAAAATTGCTGCCCTTATAAATAAATTTGCACAGATATTTTGTGTATGGAAATGAAATTGATACTATACGCACCTATTGGAATGGCTCAAAATGATAATATCAAGGACTAGCAAGGATACAAAGCAACTGAAAATTTTATGCATTGCTTGTGGAATGCAAAATAGCAAGCATTTTGGAAAACAGTTTGGCAATTTTTTATAAATTAAACTTCACTTACAATACGACCCAGCAATCCTATTCCTATTTACCCAAGAAAAAGAAAGATGCATGTTTACAGAAAAGCTGTACACAAATATTTATGGCAGTTTTATCCATAATTACCAAAAACTAAAAATAAGTCAAATGTACTTCAACTAGTGAATGAATAAACAAACTATGGTGCATAGTTTGTGTACCATATGCATAAGTGCATAAGCAATGCAGTCATTCTCAGCAATAAAAAGAAACAAACTGCCTAACACATTGTATACACATGCAGCTCAGGGCAGACCATACATGTGGACGTACTTCGTGAGCAGTGAAGCACGTGAAGGTGCTTTATCATTTTTAGTCTGAGAATATTCTAACCTAGACAAAGAACTAAAACAGACTTATTTTTCTCCAATCACTGCCTAGACTTGTGCTTTGTTGAATTCCCCATCTTGCCCCTTGGCGGCATCCTAGGAAGACTCCATCACTCTCCTGCCACATCAGGAATAAAGTCCAGGCTGGCTAGTCCAATTGAAGCTGCCAATCTCCTTCCAAATGCTACCCTCGCTTCTTCCCTGACCTGCAGCTCCAAGCTTTTGTGTACCTTAGGGCCTTGGTGTGAGGAAGCTGGAGGGTGTGCACTTTTATTCCTCTTCTCTTTTCTCTTCTGTGTCCCCTCCTGTCATAGAAAAGGGATGGAGGAGAGGAAAACACCTCTATAATGGGCCAATTTTTGGTGTACTCCTTGAAGCCCTAACTCCCACAGAGATGGTCTGTGGAGGTGGAGCCTTCAGAGGATGATGGGATTAGTGTTCTTATAAAAAAGGAAGAGAGACCAAAGTGCTTTTTCTCTCTCTCTCTCTCTGTCTGTCTCTCTCGCCACACACATACACATGCTAAGAAAAAGCTATGCGAGGACACAGCGAGAAAACAGCCATCTACAATCCAGGAAGAGAGCCTGTACTTGGAACTGAACGCTGCTGAATTCTGGTCTTGGGCATTCCAGCCTTCAGAGCTGTGAGAAAATAAGTGTCTGTTGTTGAAGCCACCTCATCTATGGTATTTTGTTATGGCAGCCTGAGCTAAGACAGCCTCTAACCAGTGCTGCCAAGCCCCTTGCTTGGCTGTCACTGGCCTCTGCTTCTTCCAAAAAGGAGCTTCAGATATGCATTTTCAACAACTCTCTTTGCTTCCCTGTCATGAGGAATTGCGTGTAAGGAGTGGGGAGCTGCATCTGCAAGCTTCTGGCAGGAGGAGACATGTGAAGTAGAGCTACCACTGATGTGCATTAGATTAAAGCCACTGCCAACCAGCAGCCAATTGTAATGTGAGCTAGAAATTGTCTATTGTTGTGAGCTGCTGAGATGTAGGAGTCATTTGGCACCTCAGCAAACTAATCCGCTACTTGCCCAAGCAAATCAGCAGGTGACTACAAAAGCTGAGATCCAACCTTGGAATGTGATACCTAGGATGCACTATTTTGATTGGCCAGTCACCTGTAACTTCCATGAGAGATTCTCATGGAGTTGCTTTCTTTTGGCTTTGGGACTCGGAGACTCATCTCTTGCTATGTACACTGAATTCCAACTATGCTTCCCTGGGAAAATTCCCTTGATGTGCTAGTCTTCTATTTCTATCGGCTGGAGAGGGGATGGGAGGACAGGGGATGAAGCACAGCCAGCTCAGCTGTGTCTCAATAATTGTTGGAGGCATTGTCTCCTCATTGACCTTGCCATTATTTTTGGTTTTCTATAGATAGACTGTTCTCTCTCTCTCTCTCTCTCCATCCACCGCGCGCCCCCCATTCCCCGCCCCCCCGCCTCAGCATTGAGTTCTAGTACCCAGTTCCAGGATAACAGAAAACTTTCACTCGATAGTGTGATATTACTTCTATTAACACACACCCCAAGTGATAGTTGGGCAAGACAATCAAGCCATCTCTTCTCAGGTATAGGACTGCTAAGGCAGTCCTGCATTCTGAAAATATCACTCATTCACAAGATCATTTGCTCGTGCATTCATAACTTTAACAAATACATATAAAATGCCTACTGAACTTACACAGGTGATGCTTGAGAGACACCTGAGAATAATCTTTGTAAGGGCTTTATTTGTGCAGGAAATGGGCATGACAAAGGCATGGATGAGCATGAAGCCCACAGGGGGTTGCCAGAACTCAGTAGCACTGAAACATAAGAAGAGAGTTATGACTCATTCTGGTGCAAGTGAGAGAGACCCAGCTCCAATGACACCGAGAGCAGAGGGAAGTAATGTTTTGGCCCATGCAGTTGACAAGCTTGGGGATAAGTTGGTCCAGGTTCACAAACAGAGCTGCAAGAATCTGCCTCTGTCTGTGGCTCTTCTTTCTTTCCCGCTGGTCTCGCTTTCAAGCACTGTCTCTCCATGTTGTGGCTTCTAGCTGCACTCATCAGATTTTCTTAGGTTCAAGATAAGACTCAACTTCACTGGCAGAGTTTGTAGAATGAGCTCTAATTGGCTCTGGTTTGTGCACTTTGACATTTCTGAACCAATCTCTGCAGTCAGAGGGATGCACTATTCAGTTGGCCAGGACTGGGTCATCTGACTGCTCTGAAGGCACAAACAGAGTTGGTATCACCTAAATCACAGCGATTGAGAGTGGGGGAGGGTGGTCCTCTGAAAAGAATTTGGATATTTTTCAGAAGAAGGGAGAAAGACAACTAGACAAACAGACCACAATATCTACTTTAGAGAGCACCAGGGACTGGGAAAAGAGAAGGTTGGAGGGGTGGACAGGGGCCCATCGTGACAGAGGGTAAACTCTATCTTGATGGTAGGCAGGAGCCAGGAGCAGCCAATTTATGTTTTTGAAAAATCCCTTTGATGGCAAGAAAAGGATGACTTAGTTGGGTGATGGTGAGGGGTAAAGAGAAATTAGGAAGTCAGGGGCTCTTGGGATGTTCCTCTTTAGTTATGAGGCAAAGTCCCGGAGCTGGGAAGGACAGAAGGGATGTAAAATCCTTTTACGTGTAGAATATAATTGATGTGGAGGCTGGTCGCTTGTGGTGGATGAAGGCATGGGCCCATGTTTGCAGGCTCGGGGTCCCTGGGCTCTGCAGGCTGGGGTGACTCTGTGAGATCCCAGGGAAGCACTGGTTTCTCCCATGCTGGGCCTGCTGAGCTGCTAACAAGCAACGCTGAAGTAACACACAATCTACCTGCTCAGAGTCATGGTCATGTCAAATTTTGGGCAGTACATTCTGGGTGGAAGTCCCAGGGGAGCTTGTCAGCTTGTCATTTCAAAGCTCTAGAGAGGTTTGGTCACCCAGCCCCAGGAAAATGCAAGCAATTTTGATGTTAGCAAAGATCTTCTAAACAAACAGAGGCCAGTTTTCAGAGCAAGAAAAGGCAAAGCAAACCAAAGGCAATTAGTTTCACATACTGCAAATGTTACCCTGCTCCTTGGAGTTGCAAATCTCCTTCAAACTCTGTCCAAATTATGAAGTTTGACTTAGAAAATTGGAGGAAACGGCAAACACGTAATCCATTTATATTTTTTATTATTGAGAAAAGGAAATGTCAGAATTAATAAATGTATACTATAATCACACACTAGTGATACCAAGGTTTGGAGTCAGAGAATACTTCAATTTTAAGAGATTTTGAGTCAACAAATATTTATTGAGTTCCTACTGTATACCAGATACTATATAGATAATTTTGCAACTGGGCTATAATTCTCAAATTACAATTGACGGAATGGAAGCCCAGAGAAGGCCCATGACTTATTCAAGGTCAGAGAGGAATAAAATGCATGTTTACCCCACTTGGAGGGATCACATGAAGGTCAGGTGCAGGAATTAATGGTAAAACATTTTGTGAACTGCACTGGTTTGTAAAAATGGAGTTGGGTAGGCCGGGCGCGGTGGCTCATGCCTGTAATCCCAGCACTTTGGGAGGCCGAGGCGGGTGGATCACGACTCAGGAGATCGAGACCATCTTGGCTAACACGGTGAAACCCTGTCTTTACTAAAAATACAAAAAATTAGCCAGACGTGGTGGCGGGCACTTGTAGTCCCAGCTACTCGGGAGGCTGAGGCAGGAGAATGGCGTGAACCTGGGAGGTGGAGCTTGCAGTGAGCCGAGATCGCGCCACTGCACTCCAGCCTAGGTGACAGAGTGAGACTCCGTCTCAAAAAAAAAAAATGGATTTGGGTATTTTTTATTATTTTTATGGAAGTACTTGCTAACAGACCACTTTACCATGCACATCCGCTATGCAGGGAAATGCAGTAGAATGCTAGTTTGTCCCCATAGCCCCCTGAGCCCTGAGCTCACCTCTTTGAGATTCAAAACTCAAAGTGCAGTAATTACTTGGTAGAGAAGCTGATTCATTCTATCATGTTACTAAGCAAGACAGAAAGTAAAGAAATGAGGCTCAGAATCTGGAAGACCCAAGGAAATGAGCCTGAGTCCCCTCATGCCTCCTCCTGCACCCCTGGTTAGCTCTAAACCCTGCTGCTGACCAAATGAAGCATCAACCCTCACTTTGTCTGACAAGGTCTTGTTGATGGCCTGGCCAACTTACTCCAGAGCTCATCACTTGCTCACTCAGCAACAGTCACTTGCCTGGTTTTCTCTTCCTCGGACATGCCATGTTTATTGCCTTCTGGTGGTTTTTGACTTTGTTGCTCCTTTTGCCTGCATTGCAGTTCCCCTGAGTCTTCACCTGGCTCTTTCTTCTCTTTAGGTCTCAGATGGGGTGTTTAGAGAGGCTTTCCCAGCCTGCATGGTGACACCAGGCCCAGACTTAGCCGTCTCTAATCTATTTTTGTCTAATTGTGTTCATAGCACTTACTAAACTTTTCTTGTATATTTATTTGCATACTTGCTTATTGTATTTCATTCTCATCCCCTCCTACCCACATCTGAATTTAAAAGTCCTGAGAGCAGGGCAGAAGTTGGCCTCATGCAGGGCCACAGTGCACAGAACAGTAACTGCTATGCAGAAGACATCTGATATTTATTTTTTACAAAACTGCGCTTTATCACCAGAAAAAGATCCTGTAAAGTATTGCTGACTTTAAAAGCAAGGCAGGAGGAGACACTAGATGTGCTTGCATTGCAATAGAAACCCAATATCCAGTAACTACAGAATTCAAGAACCACGCCTTTGTGGAAACCTAAGGTCTGGAAATTTTCATGTCACCTTTTTTTGTTCCTATTTCTTGACACCCATCAAGGAAAGCCCAGCTCTTGTTGATTTCACAGTCATCATCCAGCCTCAGCAGGGTCCCTTCAAGATGTGTACTCTCCCTTCACCATGCACAGGGCCAGAAGCTGCCTGTGGTCCCACCTGTGGACCTGCCTGTGGATGGCTACTTGCTCCCAGGAGAAGCTCCGATGGGGTGCTGCCTTCCTAGAGGATGGAGGTGCGAGAGGGCACCTTGAGAGAAGGGCTGAGTGCCTCGAAGGACCTGAGCAGGACTCAGCTTGAACATGAAAGGCCCTGAGGAAGTGGAGGGTTCAGAGAGGCTGGGGAAAGCCAGGTATGCAACGTGGTCCAAATCTCCTGTTCCCTGAGTCTGGAAGCAGCTCCACCTGACACTTGTGCCCTGAGAGCACGGTCAGTTTCATTCCAACAAACTAAACCCAGGTTGTGGTGACTGAAATGGGGGACAGAAACAAAATACATCTAACAGAGGTGGTTTTGGAAATTGCCTTTGAGCCCCAAAGCCTCTCCTCCAAATGCTGTTCCTCTGATCTTGTCCTATACCTGACCTCAGCCTCTCGCACCCACCATCATCCTGTAGAACTTCACTCCCCCATGATCTTAATGTCATGCATTCTGGCATCTGACCACCGTCCGGTTCATTCCTACCTGTGCCCCAACCGCAGCGGTGCTCTGGCAATAGGAACTCTTGTGTTTAAAGCCATTCCCCACCCGATTAATGTCCTCTCCTCCCTCCTTTCCCCAGGGAAATTCCACAATCACTATAATCCCTTTTGCATAATTTTAAGTCTCCTTTTCTCTCTCTCTCTCTCTCTCTCTCTCTCTCTCTCCCCCCCCCCCCCCAATTGTATTCACTTGGAAAAACTCTAACTCTAGTAAAATTCAGCTGCCATTCTATTCCTCCCCAGCACCCAGTGTGGTCTGGCGGGAGACAAACCCACAGCCACATTGACTGGTCTCATTGAAATCTATGACCTCAAACCTTAGCACCTCAGGTGGCTTTTCACTGCTGCTGGGTAACTGCCCTAAACTTCCGGACTTTTCATTTCCCTTCTCCTAGGCAACCAGACTCGCCTTTTTGCCCGACAAGCCCCAGCACTTTCGCCCCACTCTTGGTTCCCAGTGGACAGCATTGCTCCCTACTTCACTCAGAATAGTGAGGTTAGAGAAAAAACAAAAGCTTCCATGCATCTCTTGCCACACCCCGGCACCCCAGCCCACACCCCAGTTCATATCCCAGCTGCCTCAACTGTCACTGCAACCTTACCCACCCACACATGGGCACCTGCACCCACCAGTCTGCCTTCCCACCGGAGCTGCTCCTGGACCCGTCACTCCTCACATTCTGTTTTTGCCATTCTGCTGTGATGTTCTCTACACAGACGGGGCCATCCCTGCAGACTGCTTTTCAGGGTCCCACCTTGGCTGGCTTCCTGGTACATCTAGCCAAAGGGAGGCAAAGGCAAGAGGTGGAAGGGCAGGGGAAGTGAGAAGTCAGGTGGATCCAGCTTTTCCCTGAACTTCCTGTGCTCCAGCCCACACTGCTCCATCTCCCAGTGGCTCTAATGGCTCCGGAGTCGCCCTAGCCCAGGGCATCCAGCATTTCTGCCCTCAATCCCCAAGTCTGGGGGTAGCAATGGCTTCTTCTCATCTCTGAGTTACCTCAGATCACTTGTTTGTCTTCTCACCTCACCCACCACCTGTGTAAATAATTCCCTGCATCAGCCATGCAAGATAAATAAGTTCTAGAGATCTACTTCACAACATCAGGCATATGATTGACAACACTGTATTGTACAGTTAGAAATTTGCTAAGCGGGTAGATCTTATATTGTGTTCTTACCACAAAAGGGAAAAACAAACAAAACAAAGAGGCATGGAGGAAATGTCTGGAGGTGATGGATAAGTTTATGGTGGTGTTGTGGTGACAGCTGCATGGTTGCGTACTCATCTCCAAGCACATCAAGTTGCATACATTAAATATCTATAGTTTTTGTGTGTCAACCATACCTTCCAAAAGTGGTTTAAAAATTCCTGCTGTTGCAAATATATAAACTCACCCCCTTTCTTGCTTAATCCCTGAATGATTCAATTCTTGGAAATAGAAGTGAGGTTTATCCTCTGAAGGTCTCATAAAAGTGTCTTACTAAGGCATATGATTAAGTTTATGATAACCTGAAGTTATTCTCGAGGAAGATCCTGCTTCTTAAATCAGGTAAAAATATGAGGAGTTGTGATATAAATTATCCCCTCCTCCCTGTTTTATCAAGTCATCATCGATGGCATTCATCTTTGTAATTCTCCCAGAGATGAGGTATTTGCTTCCATCCAGTGACAAATAATTGATCCTATTTTGACTATAGTCAGAAAACATCAGTCTAAGAATCACAGGATGGAGTGATGGAGTTGGGAATGGGCCCTCTCGCTAGTAATTATATGACCTGCTTACCGGGTCTTTTTGTCATGTCCGCCCAACCTTGGTCTCTGCTGGTCTAGAATTCTTTATTCCCAGGAGAGGACACTTCTCCCAGGGGACAAAACACTGGTTAGTTTAACCTGGAAGTTCACAGTGCTCTAGGTTAGTTGGGTCTCCTCTTTCCACTAAACCAACAGGCCAAGAAGGGGCTCACTATACTGGATGAATATAGTGAGCCCATAGTGATCCTGATTACCAAGGGGACTTTGGGTGTTTGTTACAAAATTGGAGAGGGGAGGGTTATGCCTTTTACCAGGGGATTCACTGGGGCATCTCTTAGAACTTTCATATCTAACAGTAAAAGTCAATGCAAAACTATAGCAACCGAATAAAGGAAGGCTTGCTGAAGACTCAGACATAATCCCCTACTCCCAGAAAATAAAAGAACAAAACAAATAAAAACCAAAATGCTGATTGAGGGCAAGAATGGTTGAGCTGAAAAAAGAAATTACAAGTATCAACCATAACCTCAGACAGACGCCTGAGTAGCTCTGCATATCTTTGTTTTATGTATAACAAGCAATGGATATGCTTTTCTTTTTAATTCCCCTACTATTTTGTTGAAGACAGTGGATGTTGCCTAACTTTACAACTTAGTTCCTAGGTCCCAGACCAGGAAGAGTCTGATCCAGACCTGGGGGAGATCCTGGTCTTGAGAAGGATGTGGTGACGATGGAACTTTGTGTCTCCCCTTGCTGGGGAGAAGGGGAGAATATTCTCTTTTTAATAACAGATCATGTTTCCACCTAACACGAGAGAACAAAGCTATCATCTGATGGCTGCAAACTGATAGAAATGAATGTAAAGGAGCAAAAGGAATAGATGTTCCCGGCCCTAAAACTGTTTGTTTGACATCAAGTCCCTTCCTTCCTTGCCCCTCTCTTGTGTGCTAAATGTTACTTTGGTGGCTTCCTAGTGAATCATACTCTCCCTCTGAATCTGGGCTGGCCCTTGGCTCACTTTAGCCTATAGATTGCAGTGGATGATATACCATGCAAATTATAGAAATGAGACTTAAGAAGACCTGGCATTTTTGTTTTCACCATGTTGGAATCCAACTGCCATGTGAAAGTCTATCTACCCTGAGAACTCCATGCTGTGAGAAAGTTCAAGCTAGCCACTGGGAGGGGCCTCATGGAGGAAAATCCAGGAACTCAGTGACAAGGAGAACCAAGGTCGCCAGACCAACAGTGCTAGCTGAGCTCCCAGCCAACATTCAGCAGCAATCCACCAGCCACATGAGTGAGCTGCCTCCGAGCTGGCTCCTCCAGGGGGCCCTGTGAGCCATCCTAGCTGAGGCCTGCTGAGGCACCAACAAGCAGTGGTAATGAAGCCCTACCCTAGTAGTAGAATAATGAGCAGACACAGCAGGTTTTATGTTTTTATAGCTTTTATTTTTTTTTACTTTTAGTTTCAGGGGTACATGGGCAGGTTGGTTCTATAGATAAATTGCACACCACAGGGGTTTGTGGTACATATTATTTCATCACTCAGGTAATAAGGATAATACCCAGTAGGTAGTTTTTTGATCCTCACCTTCCTCCTTCCCTCCACCTTCAAATAGGCTCCGGTGTCTATTGTTTCCTTTTCTGTGTCATCTGTACTCAATGTTTAGCTCCCACTTGTAAGTGAGGACATGCAGTATTTAGTTTTCTGTTCCTGCATTAGTTCACTTAGGATAATGGCTTCCAGCTCCAACTACATTGCTCCAAAGACCATGATCTCATCTTTTTAATGGCTATATAGTATCCCATGGTGTAATGTGGACCACATTTTCTTTATTCAGTCCACCACTGGTGGACATCTATGTTGATTCCATGTCTTTGCTATTGTGAACAGTGCTGATATGAACACATGTGTGCATATGTCTTTATTGTAGAATGATTTTTATTTTGGGAGTATATCCCCAGTAATGGGATTGCTGTGTCAAATGGTAGTTCTCTTTTAAGTTCTTTGAGATATCACCACACTGCTTTCCACAGTGGCTGAACTAATTTACATTCCCATCAGCAGTGTATGAGCATTCCCTTTTATCCACAGCCTCACTGGCAACAGGTTTTAAGCCACAGGATTGTGGGGTAGTTTGTTACACAGCCAGAGATAACTGGAATAACCATTATGCACCATCGGAGAAGGGCTTGGCCCTGCAGGCGTTGTTTCACCAGGCAGAGTTTGGCCAGTGGGAGCCTCTGGAAGGAGACTGACAGGCTAAAGGGAGAGAGGAGCCTCAAGGTGTGTTTCTGGCGAAGCTGCTGCTCTTCTGGTTCAAGCTGTTTCCAGAAAGACCCTCTGTGCTTCTGGTTTTGCAAGGCAATCCCAGCCCATTCCCCATTACGCTGCCTGTCCCCTTCATCCCTCCAGCCTGGGGTTGGGAGTGGCTTTTGCTGTTGTTCATCACAGTCCTGTTTTCCTCAATTCTTCCAACAGTTGTGTAATTAAATGCCCACATTAAATTCCCTCTATGAAAAATAAATAATTTCTGTTTTGCTGGTTAGATTCTGACTGATACATCTCCTGTTGCAATAAATAAGCCATCCCTGTTGTCTTCTACATCCTCATTTTTTTTCGATGCTCCCGATCTCCCATCAAAGTATAAACATGCTCTTACCCTGAAAGCTGGCCCCTCTGGCCTCTCTGATACATCTCTCCTCAATACTCTGCCTTGCCTTGTGGCCTTTGCACTGGCTGCTCTGTCCGCCAAGGAAGTTCTTCTCTCAGATGTGAGCAGGGCTAATTCTCTCACCTCCTCCAATCCTCTGTGCAGGCATCACCTTCTAATAAGATTTCATCAATCCCTACTTAAATGGCAGCCACTCTGTCCTTCCTCTGGCCCTCATAGTCCCCCTTATTCTGTTTCTTTATCTCTCCTTTTTTGCAGCGCTTATCATCTGTGAACATACAATGCAATTTTCTTATTTATCCTGTTTATTTTCTATTGTTTCTCTTCCCTGTTCTACATAAAGCTGATTTATCCCACGTGCCTTGAACAGGGCTGGCACATGGCGGATGTTCAGTAAACATTTGCTGAAGACATAGATGAATGTCCAAAGCAGAGAAAAGCTACACCTTTGTGGATGAAGCAGATGAAAGGGCTGACCGCCCAGGCTGCTCACTCTTCCCCTCTCCCTCAGTGATATTCTCTTTAGGACCTCATGAACATAGTTTAAAACACACAGCTGCAGAGTCCCTGAAAGCCCTGGATTATTTTGGCATATATATTTAGTGTGGGCTCACAACTTGTTGTCTATTATTTGTTACAAAGTTTGTTTTACAAACACATTCACTGAGTTTTAACAAGTGATACACCCCAAGATGGTCTGGGAGGGGGTTATCTAAATAAAAATACAGAAAAAATAGATTGTTTGCTGCAGAATTTCTCACAGCTTTTAATAAGTTCATGACTGTTATGAATTACCAAGAGGGACTTGGAATATTTCCCAAATGTATTTGACCACAGAACCCCTTTACTACGAAAGCTCTGGTGGGACACTTTGGGGAATACAGTTCTGTCTGCTGATATCAGCCATCCACTCATTACTATAATCATTTTTCATCACCATAAATATTTAACTCATATTCTTATCTTAATCACTAATACAGTTAGTAATTCTACATTAACATCAACCCTGCTGTTGTATGATCTTAATGATTAACTATTCATTTTAAATGATCGACTGTGGTTCACCCCTCAGTGCACAGTAATGAAATTCCAGTCCTAAGAAGAAGGTCAAGATGGTGGACAGGTAGAATGAGCTCTCTGGCGGAAAGTCAGACAAACTGGATCTGGTTCTGTCTTTATCACAGGTGTGTGACTTGGGGCAGGTAACAGAACACCTGTGCCTCAGTTTCTTGTTAGCAGAGTTGTCTTGAGTCAGTCTAGATGTTGACGCTAAGATTCCTCCCACATGTAGCAACAAGGAAAGTAAGCACATGTGTCTCTGTCCCTACCCAGATGAGCTCTGCTGGCATTACTTGGCGTAGACCTGCTGCTGTGTATTGTTCACTCTCTGTAGCAGGCACTGTTTTAATAGTCTCTGTCACAATGCCTACAAAAACCAGTGCTACAAATGCTTCAAATAAGAGTAATGAAGGAGAGAATGACTGGGGATACTTTACTCCATGAAGTTTATAACTTCAATGCTCTGTATAGAGCTACACCTCTACAAACTCTTCTCTCTTTCTCTATCTATCTATCTATCTATCTATCTATCTATCTATCTATCTATCTCTAATGTGTGCATTAGAACTGAAAAACATTATGTTGCAAGAGTTTAAATAAGTGTAAGAGACCAGGCAAGCTGAAGGAGTTTAGAGAAAGGGGAGATTATCTTTTCCCAAGGAAGGTTGTGGGGTCAGAGCTTGAGGGTGTTCTCTACTCAGAAAGAGTATTTCTATCTGTAATGAGAAGCAGGTCCCCAAAGGTTGAGTGTGAGTCAATAGCCCAGAGGTAGAATGTCAATTGGATCTGCTTGGTTGTTTAGAGGTTAGACTAGAAAAACTGTAAGAATATTTCCTTCTCCAAATGCTGCCTGGAGTCCCTGAGAAATCAGATGCTAACAAATCAGACACTTACTTTTTCAGTCCGGTCCCTTCATGTGGGACAATCAGTAGTTGAGTCCATCTTCCAAAGGAAAAGAAACAGAGCACTTGAAATAAAACAGTTCTACCTGCAATATTTCCAAGTCTTTGAGCCTGTTTGAATCCTACAGGTGACATATGAAATTCATCTAGAGATGAGTCTGACCATATGCACTTATGCACTTGTACTCATCTGGAAATTATAAAGATTGACTCCGAAATCAATCAAGTCTGAAGGTGAAGGAAAAAAGTCTCAAATAGAGAATTCCCTTTTCAAAAACCTGAGAGAAGCTCTGACAAAGAAAGATGTTACCCAAGATTGGAGATAGAATAGGCTGTCTTCTCGGAGTTCCAGGACTTGAGCAATCTGAACCCAGGTCCTTAAAACATGCTGTCAATTAAAGCCAAGGAAATCAATCTCAGAGTAATGGGCATCTGTAAGTTCCCAAATCTGAGCCCCATGCCAAATATGAATGGGAAAATAGTGCAAAACAAATCAAGGAGGGTCCTTTAGGCAGGACCTGGCCCTCCCACTAATTCTTCAAGTGATATTTGGCAAGTCTTTTCCACACACTGGGCTTCAGTTTCCCCACTTGTAAAATTAAAGGATTGGTACAAGATAGAATATGGTACATGCATAGAATAGATTCCAACATTTGTGCTCTTATAGCAAAGATGGGAATTGTCATTGGGTCAAAGCACTCTCTTCTACTAAACACAGATTCTGCCTCAGAACCCTCCTCAACATTGTGTTTGAAAACCTACCAGAGATCACCTGGGCATTTTTGGATCAATAATGTCAAAAATTCTTTCTGTGGTAAACATGCTTTTTAATTCTATGAAAACCAGGCTTTTTTAGGTCAAAGAATTTTGGCCATTCTAGCGTCTTCTCACTACGTTAGTACCACCTTCACAGGTTGCCTTCAAATGTGTAAATAGTTTAAATAATGGCTTAAAATTTCTACCCAGAATGTGCATGAACCATCATTTCAAAGTATTTGCACCTGAAAGCCACTCATAACCTGAAGTCCTTGATGCTGTGAGCAATCTTCCTGATAAAAAATCCATTAGAAAGACAAAGTCATAGGTGCTGGCGGGCATCTTAATGACTAAATCCCGACTGCTTTTACAACCAAAAATGTTTTTAATTGGACTTCCTTGGAGACCACCTCCTCTGTGGTGTCTTGAGGAATGTTCTTGCATGGTAACCTTGTGTGAAGGACACTTCACAACTTTGAGTGCTAATTATCCTCTGGAGGAAAGAGGAGAGGGATCCTAACCAGAAGCCAATTCCATAATCTAGTCAACTCTCCAGAGTTGGTCTTTTGTTATTTCAATTTCCTCAAGCTCCTTATTAGGAGGAACCTATGAACTCTTAACTGGGCCCCAGTTGAACAGAATGCTCAATTTTCAGTAAGCTTTTCAGAGCTCTCCTATCAAAGAGCAAGAGGCAAATGATGGCACAACAAGTTCATGTGAAGGAACTCAGAACAGCAAAAGATGCTTAGGGAAAAAAGAAAGTATGGCCTTACAACATTTGTTGTATTATTATGTAATTTTGTTTGTTTACTTTAGTTGCTTAAAACAGCAACTTGTTTTTGCTCATGCTTCTTCCGTGGCTCAGGAGTTCAGGCTGGGCTCAGCAGGGATGGTTCATTTGTGTTTCACATGGTATCAGCTCAGGCAGCACCACTGGGTTACAGGATCCAAGGTGGCCTCACTCACATGCAGTTGAAAGCCTTGCTTCATCTCTACCAAATCTCATTCTCTCCAGATGTTCTTTCATCAGCCAGGAATCTAGACTAAGCCTTTTACATGCAACTGGATTCTAAGAATACATATTATTTGCAAAGCTTTAATTTTTACTTTCCCTGAAATATTAGTCTTTTTGGGAACATCACGTTGTGGGCACCCATAACTTTGGTAAGGAAGAGGAGTTCTTGGTTCTTACTCCTGCCATTGGGATCTGCTTACTCTCACATCCCAGGCTACTTCTGGTTTGGAGATACAAAGTAACTAGGATGCTTAGACTGGGAAAACATTAGGAAGCTTTCAGTAATTGGCTTTCTTTGGTATAAGTTAGAGTAGAAGTCTCTGTGCCTCTCAGTGTGAGATTTCTCCAAACTTATCCCTAGTACGTAGCATTATGGAGTGTAAACCATTTGTCATCCTTCAAATCCACTGCCCACATGTACTGTGTCTGAGTTTATCTCATTACCCACCTGGCTGCAGACTTCAACAGCTGTTCCATTATCCCTAAAGAATCCACTTGTACCAAAGCATTAGTGAGCAATGTGGATTAATTGACAATCACAAAATGGAAAAAAATGTACATAGCACAACCCTCAGCAAAATTAAGAAGAAATATACATCCCATGTTAGACATTTCTCTTTTCTAATTCCCATCTCCTTCACAGAATCTCTGGGAGTTTTTTCCCTCTCCAATTTCCTTCCACTACACCCAGTCTCCCTGGATCCTTTCTCACCTCTGACAGATGTTACTAGGTCCTTCCAATTCATCTTGCCTCTATCATCTAGTGTGATTCAGCTCCTTCCTTTTAAATCTTGACCTTTATATTAAAACTTTTTTCTGTTTGAAGAGCTGAGCCTATAAAACCTCCAAGGTAGAACAGAGAGGAGCATTCTGAGCCAATTCTACCCAATTGTTCCACCGTCAGTATCACCTCCATCCTCACAACCAAGACAACAGCAAAAAGACGTGACTCTAGAAGCTTGTTCAGTGGCCTGGGCCTACTCATTTATTCATTTACTCAACAAATATTTACTGAGAGATCTTATCTATGTCAGACGCTGTGCTAGTCAGTAGCACAAGACTGAACAACACATGTCTACATGGATTTCACATTCTGGTGCATAGAAACTGGCACACATAAATAGAATGATTTATAAATGGACTTCAGTGTAGGAAAGAAATAGTGTTTTGATAGGAAATAGGAGAAACTTTTTTAGACAGGGTGGTTAAGAAGGACTTCCATGAGGATGGGGCAGTTAGGCTGAAATCTGAAGGATGAAGTGAAGCATTAAACTCTTTTCTTCATCCTGACATTTTCTTACTCTCCAGGAAAAATCCC
Source organism: Homo sapiens (assembly GCF_000001405.40). Lineage (NCBI taxonomy): Eukaryota > Metazoa > Chordata > Mammalia > Primates > Hominidae > Homo > Homo sapiens. The sequence continues at coordinate 135,283,040 of NC_000008.11, forward strand.
AAAGAATGTTCAGAAAAGGAGAACATCAGCATGAATGACTAAATTGGCAAAGAACTTGGCATGTTCCAGGGAGAGTGGAATACTGTGAGTAAGGGGAAAATGGCTCAGAGTGAGGCTGTAGAGGCAGGTTGAGTCCTTCTTGTGTGGGACTTAGAGGGCCAGGTATTCTTCCCAGGGTTTGGTTGGGAAGTAGAGCCACTGCAAGTATTAGGAAATAAGGGATTTAGTATAGGTGTTGCTCCTTACACACATGTGGGAGGCACTGGGAAGTGATGTATAGAAGCAGGGAGTTGAAGAATGACAGCAACAGTCACTGAAACTCCAGCAAGGTGGACAGGTTAGAGCTGGCAGAAAAACCCAAATTCAGAAGCATGTCAGGCGCCTAAAGTAAAACCATGAAGGAGCGCTCAGGATGGGTCTCTGGGAGCTGCTGTCTCTGGGTAGCAGTAGCATTTGTGGAACTGCTGTCTATGGAGTTGCAGCCAAGTGTCTGAGTTGTGGTCAGGAGCTAGGAGGGTGAGCCGGATGCAGTGGATTATGAACAAGTGGTGCCTAATGGCCTTCTCTGTGCCTGTTCATGGCCTTTTATTACCACAGCTACCTTCTGAGAGTTGAAACCCTGCTTTCCTTCCAACCAGCAAGTCCCCCTCTTGGTTAACTCTAAACCAGAACCACAAAGGAAATGGGATTTTGGGAAACAGAGCATCCAACCCCCGAGCTGAGGGTTTAGCTTTTATGCTCTTAGAAAGGAAAGTTCACTCACCTTTACCACTTCAGAGCCTATAATAGAAAACATCAGTCCCTTACCATCTACCTTAGCTTCCTTTTACTCCTCCAGCCACCATATTTTTTCTATATTTGATTATGACTAACAGAGTTATTAAGCATCAAATTCTTCAAGTCTCCCCTTTTCTGATAGACAACTGAGAGTATCACATATTCTTTTCTTGGGCATTTAAGTTCCTCCCTGAGTTAACAGATGTCAGTGCATGCCCCACCCCTTCACAGGCTTAAAGGTCTTGGGGCTGGAGGGAGGACAGGTTTTGTAGACTTGACTCAGGATGCCCACGTGGGTACTATCCACTGAATGGTAATCAGGGGCAAGTTACCTATATGTGCTCCCAACTCACCCACCTGTGAAAGGGTATGGCAAACCCTACCTCATAGAATTGTTAAGGAGATAAAATTAAATAATGCATTATAAGTGGACAGCTTGTATGCAACATGTTTTATTCACAGAAAGTGCTCAGTTAAGGTTAATTCACTTTTCTTTTCCTCCACCATGCTGCCTGGACTAACACACAACTTTGGGATTAATCCTTGCCCATTGACATTATTGATTCCTATTTCTCTTCATTGCACACCACCAATATTGCAGCCATTATTAAGCTACAAAGGCTAAACCAATTCTTTCATTTATCACCCTTTCTAATACTTCAACACTATAATTAGCTTTCTTAACTGTAAACAGGCATGGTAATAATGGTCCCTAACTCAGATTCCTTATTAGGAGTGAAGGAGATAATGTGTGGAAAGGTGTTAGAACACAGCTTGGCACATAGGAAAGACTCAATGAATGTGAGCTATTCTTGTTACCCCAATCATCATTACTATGTACATTCCTTTTCCAAAGAAGTTGGTCAAGTCCTCTGTGGTGTGGTGGGAGGAGCCAACATGGCACTGGACCCTAAAGTTTCCCCATCCTCATTAAATGAGTGAGATCCTGGCTGGGCATGGTGGCTCACACCTGTAATCTCAGCACTTTGGGAGGCTGAGGTGGGCAGATCACCTGAGGTCAGGAGTTTGAGACCAGCCTGGCCAACATGGTGAAACCCCATCTCTACTAAAAATACAAAATTATCCAGGTGTGGTGGCATGTGCCTGTAATTCCAGTTAGTTGAGAGGCTGAGGCAGGAGAATCACTTGAACCCAAAAGGTAGAGGTTGCAGTGAGCCAAGATCATGCCATTGCACTCCAGCCTGGGCAAAAAAGAGCAAAACTCCACCTCAAAGAAGAAAAAAAAAAGAGTGAGATCCTGAGACAAAGGTCAAGGAAAGGCCTTGGTTGTCCACCTTAGGAGAGCTCTAAGCCTGCGGGCATCCCCAAGAGGTCATGAAGTGAACTTTGTTCTACTTCCCTCTGATTTGAAACTCTGGAGCCTTGTTGCCCAGGACAAATGGGCAATTTTAAGCTCCTTGAATGACTTTTTGCAGGAGGTCACTGTCCTTTTGTAAAAAGTCCAGATTTGTTAGCTGAAGGGACAGACCCATTTTGTCCCTTTCTAGGATCTTCAACATAATTATTTTTCTAAGTGCTTATATATTATTTCAATAAAAACAATAATGTCTAACATTTATTGAGCACTTAATGTATACTTGCCCTTATGTTGAATGCATAAGATCCACTATTTATCTCCGCACTGACCAATGAAGTAGAAGTTATTATATCAATTTTATAGAGGATAAGACTGATATACACATATATGCACACACACACATATATAAACACATACAGGCATATATACATGTATATACACACATATATAGAGATGTACATATATATAAACATATATTATATATATATACAACTGTTTGTGTATATATATATATAAACATTGTTCTAGTGGTGGCTACTTGGCAGTCTGAAATAATCCAGAACCCTTCCTGCTACTACATACAACATACAAATAGAAATGTTGGATAAAATGTTATAATTTAAAAGACAAAAAACGCATACACATAGCTTGGTTTTCAAGTAAAGAAAATCAGCAAGTACCAGAAACAAAGAAGGAATTGAAAGTTCAAGTGTTAAATATAAAATCTTAGTGTGGCCACTGAAGGGTAGGGAGTAGTATTGGACTCAGAAAAATGCCCAAATGTTTTTGGGCCTAGATTTCAATCTCATGTTGACATAGAAGATATTGTCTGAAGTCTATGATAGGAGGAAAGTTGGAACCCAGACTGCATAAAGCTGGAACTGTAAAAAACAACAACAAAAAAAAAACAAACAAACATAAAAACAAGCCTGAATTCTTGGTGAACATAGAATTAGAAGCTGGGTGTGGTGGCTCATGCCTATAATCCCAGCCCTTCAGGAGGGTGAGGTGGAAGGATCACATGAGCCCAGGAGTTCGAGACCAGCTTGGGCAACATAGTGAGACCCCTTTTCTACAAAAAATTTAAAAAATTTACCAGGCATAGTGGTACACACCTGTAGTCTCAGCTACTCGGACAGCTGAGTCAGGAGGATCACTTGAGCCTAGGAGTTTGAGGCTGCAGTGAGCTACAATTGAGCCACTGCACTCCAGCCTGGGGAACAGGGTGTGACTTTGCCTTAATAATAATAATAAGAAGAAGAAGAATTAAATCAATTTAAAAAAAGAAAAATAAACAATTTTAAAGAGAGTAGACTTAGGAAAACTCTAACCACCAACCTTGGATATTTATTAAAAAAAAAAAAAAAACAAAAAAACAACGCTTCTCTCCATCCAGGATTCTATGGAAAATAAAAACCCTAACCATTCATTGCAATTGGGTTTGGAAACTGAACTACACAGTGTGAATAGTTCAGAAATCTCAACCTACCAAATTAATATAAAAAATAATTTCTGGTTTATGGTACCTTTGGAGCCAAAACAAAGTGCTCAAAAACACAAATTTACTCTCCAAAATGCATGAATGTCCCACAAAGCAGAAAAATTAGCTCTTACTAAATATGTATTAACAATAAAAATGTACAAAACATATGAGGAAGTGACTCAGCACAGGGAGTTTTAATGATCACAATCATTAGGTGAACCAATGCTCCCAAGAAGTTGAGACAATATAACTGTCCAAAGGGATGATAAAATAATAACTTTTAAAAATTATTAAACAAGTAAACTGTAGGGGACAATTAGATATTTTTAAAAGACCAGATTACTTTGAAAGATTGGGAAGTTAAATGACTAGATATTAAAAACTGTTCCTGAAATTCCATATCCAATGGACTGATTGACTGTCAGACTAGACACAGCTGAAGAGATAATACAAGAACTTGAAGGTCAGTCTGAAGAATGCCACACAGAGAATCAAGACATGAAACATACGAAGGAAGCATAAGGAAATCTAGTGCATAGGATAAGAAAATCCATTGTTTCACTGGTAGGATTTGTAGAAGTAGAAAATAAAGAGATCAAGTAAAGGTGATATTTACTAACACAACTATGAACTTTCCAGAGTGAATAAGATGTAAGTTCTTAGAACATAAGCCCTGAGTAAGAAGGGTTAGATGAATCTTTTCAAGGCAAAATAACTAATAAGCAGTGGAGTCTGATTCATATAGACTCAATGTGAATGCAAAGTTTTGAATTTTAACCAGCATTCCTGAAGTGCAAGCAAATCTTCGGTATCTTCCTTGAGAGCTCAAATTGTGACTAACTCATAGCACCCTTAGTTTTGTAACAAGAGTCATTTTCTATCTGGCTCAAATCCAATTACAATCATGAAGCTGCTGAGCCAACATTTTCTAAATGTGTGGTTTTGTAGTTGTTGTTGTTAAATTTGTCCCATAAGATGTTCTTTTGAGGGTGGTGAAAAGTAGGAGTGGGGAGAGTTCTCTGATCAAATAAATTTGGAAAACAACTATATATGGTGTATCTTTTTGTAGAGGCATAGGAAATATTAGTATATTAAACTTTCTGATATGTCTGGAACAAAGACATCTGTTTGACTCCAGAACCCATTTCTCCCTAAATACCAAAAACTATTGACTTTCGGAAGACTGTGTGTCACAGCCCTGTACAATATCACAAATAATTATTCAACTCTGTTTGAATATTTTAATTTTTAGGTAATTCACTACTGGCTAAGGTAGGCCTCTCTGCTTTTAGATAGCTTTTATTGAAAGTTTTTTTTTTTAAATATTGAGGGAACGTGTTTCATCTTCTACCCATTGGTACTAATCATACCTTGTAAGATTACAAAGAAAATGTCTTAACCTGATTAATTTATGTTGCAGTGACAAATGACCACTAAATTTCAGTGATTTACAACAAACTTTTCTCTTTTTTGCTCAGGTATGTATCAACTCCAGGTGAGTAGAAGCTCTGCTCTTTGATCATCTTTATTTCAGGACACATACTGAAGAAGCACCCTCTGTCTTGGTTTTGTGGCCAAGGAGAAAATGGATAGAGGAACCACACATGGTTATCAAAGCTTAATTGTGGCAATCACTATGTTCTCTCACATTTCCTTGGTCAAAACAAGTCATACGGCCCAGGCGATTATCAGAGGACGGGAAGGTATGGGCCTTCCGAGGACAGGACGGCCGATATTTAAGAACTACCATACAGTCAATCACATAGTCAAATCTCTGTGTTAGAAACATTAGAAGACTGCTGCCATGTGCTCCACAGCCTTGTTTTCCCCAGCTTCTCCCATTTTCAGTTCTTTTTCTATTCTTTTATGACATGATATTGAGCCTCTTGGGATCTTTCTTCCTTGGAATATGCTCCAGTTAATGTGAATATTAATAACCATAATGACTGCTGGTGAATATGTCTGTGGCTATGCTTTGTCCTTTACTGGCATCATCTCTTATAACCCTCACAACAGTCCTGGGGATAAGTGTTATTATTCCCATTGTACAAGTGTTCAGATAGGTACACAGAGGCTCAGCGAACTATATTAATTTAACCAAAGTCACACAGCTGGCACACAGCAGAGGCTGTCTGAAAGTTCGGCTTTATAGGCTGTCTATAAAGCTCAGCTCCTAACCTCCAAAGCAGGCACTGTCTCTCTGTGTAGCTCTGTTCCCTGGATATGTAGGAGATGCCTGAGATGAGTTGATGCCTTTCTCCTTTTAAGAGCATATGCTGTGGGATGTAAATGTTCAAAAGTAAGAAGAAATTCTGTGATACAACAATTGAATCAAGAATAAGAATATGTTGGCACATCTTTCAGAAATGCAGTGTCCTCCGAGCACCTGGAGGCCCTCTATGCATTTAATGTACATTAAAACTGTACACTCTGAGTGCAGTCATCAACAGAGCAATTTATGGACATGATCTGGATCACAGATGTAAAAAACATTTTGTTTTATATATAAACTGATATTTTACAAGTGACCAACTCGAGCCCTGTGTTAAGGAGGATCTGGAGGCATAATCCAGTGGCATATCCCACAAGCAATGTCTGATAAAAAGAAGGAAGAAGGAAGCTATGCTTCTATATACCAAGCATTTGTCATCCCTGTCCTAGGGAAAGCCACCTCTATGATCCAGAGAATAGATCTTCTTGGAGAAACACTGGACCGATATTTAATTTTATAAAAAGAAGGAGAAAGCTAATATTATTTTAGCACCTACCACTGAGCATACACTTCATTTCACTTACTTCTCACAACACAGTGCAAATGAGTACAGTGCTCCCATTTTCCAGTCAAGAAGACGAAGGCTCAGAGCTGCCAGCTAACTCTTTCTGAGACCCACAGTGAGTAAATGGCAGAAACAGGACTCAGTCTTAGATCTGATGGACTCTCGATGCTACACTACGGCACGCCACCTTCTGAAATCCTCAGAGCTCAATAAAAAGTCCCACTGTTCTATGAATTTGTTTTGCCCAGTTTCAAGATATTTAACACTGTTCTGTTCTTGCCTTTCCTCCTTCTCACTGGCTGAAGTCTCACTCTTCTCAAAACACAAATGGCTATGAGGCAAGGCACTTTGTTGGACCAGATCGTGCCTCCTAAAGGTGGCAAGTTTGCATCACGACTTTACATAAATGCTCTTGGCACTGACAGCGGGAGGCAGGCAGGAGTGCGGCTCTGCCATGTGACAAATATAGAGCTGCTGTCCTTAAAGCTCTAACAAGAGACTAACCCTCAAGGGAGACGCCATGCAATAAATAATTTTTGCCATAACACATTTCTTTCTTTGCATAAATTTAACACCCTGCTCTCTGTACAATATGTGATCTTCCTGCTAACTCCCCATAGACAGAAATAGCTCTGGTAAGATGTGATAAAAGACAAGTGGCAGAAAGGAAGGGAGACATGACACATTGGAGAACTTGACTTTAGTGTCGGCTTCTCTACAATGAATATTATCTTTTGCATTCTTCATGGTTAACAATATACAAAGAAGGACTGCAGTGGGGCAGATCATTAGTCTGATGGGATCCCCATTGCATCAAATGAACTGTTTTTGGACTGTAAGATGCTGATTCCCTGTTTGCTCTGCCAGATGTTACCTGGCTTCCAGCCTTTCTTCTCTTCCCCATAGCAACGGTCACCAGACCACTTCCTTCACCCTAAACATGAAGGTAGCCCAGACACCAGCCTGCAGAGTCAATCCTGCCTCCAATAAAAGGGTTCTGAGAAATTCTAGCAAAACTCAGATATTTATCTAGCAGATCTCTGGTTTTGTGGCTCAGCTCAGGTTGTTGTGGAATTTTGAATGGGGATATGCAAATATACTTGGGGTCCTTCTTTCTGGAAATCAGAGCACTAACACAAAATTCTGCCTTAGATGTTTCCAATCTACCTAAATAATTTGTCTCATATTTTACATCCCCCCAAAAGGGCCTTTTGGCACCTGGAAAATCTTTAATTTGGGGGTAGTATCCTGTGTTCCCTTTGATCTAGAAAGCCTGCAGAATCATGGTGCTCCAATCTCAAGGGAGGAAGCACACTGTTTAGGAAGTCCTCATTCCTGCAGATAGAGGATGCCCTGACTAGGTAAGGGTGCCTGGTCAATACTCCTTTATTGCCAGAATTCTGAGAGCAGCACCTTTTCTCTTGCATTGTCTTTCTCCCATCTCATGTCATTCTGTTGGGAATGCTAATCACAGTCACACATCCTCTGCACCTCCAAGCATCAGTGTGACCATGTGAGCACAACCCCACCTCTGGAATCAGACAAGCATTTCACAGGACTAAAGTGAGGATAATCAAGTCACATGCTCAGAACTGGCCAGAGTTTTTCAGTTTCAAGTGACAAAATCTCCAACCCCCAAAATAGAACACATAGGCCTATGTAAACTGAAAACCAAGAGTAGATTTACTTCCAAAAGAGTCAAATCAAGGACTTTGAGGATGTGGTCAGGTATGGGTCTCTCTCCATGGACTCCTTGTCCTTTCCTTCACCCCCATATCCAGGTCTCTGCATTTGTCCGCGTTCTTCACTGTCATGTGGCTCCTCCCGATGTGATAGCAAAGATGCCCGTGGACAAACCAGGCTTGGGTCCATCATGTTGGCAATCTGGAGGAAGCCGAGCACTTTTTCTCCAACTGACTCAGTCCCAGGACTGGCTCTCATTTGCCCAGCTTGTGCAGGTGAGCCTATGACTAATCCCAGGTGTGATGGGTAACATTAGGTGCCAGCTTTGCAGAGTGAGGGATGCCTCATTGGCTGGTGGAGCATTGTTCTGGGTATGTCTGTGAGGGTGTTTCCAAAGGAGATTGACATGTGAGTCAGTGGACTGAAAGAGGAAAACCTGCCCTTAGTGTAGGTGGGCACCATCTAATCAGCTGCCTGCATGGGGCATGGCTAGAACAAAGCAGCCAGAAGAAAGGGAACATTCAGCTTGCAGAGTCTCCTCTTTGTCCCCAGTTGGAGGCTTTTTCTCCTCCTGTCTGTGGACATCAGACTCCAGGTTCTTTGGTCTTTGGATTCTGGGACTTGCTCCAGAAGCCTTTTGGGAGCTCTCGTCTTCACCGTCAGATTGGTGGCTGCACTATTGGCCTCCCTTGTTTTGAGGCATTCAGACTTGGACTAAGCCACACTACTGGATTTTCTCATTCCCCGGCTTGCAGATGGCCCACTGTGGGGCTTCACCTGTGTAACCATATGAGCCGGTTCTCCCCAGTAAACTCCATTTTATATGTACATATATCCTACTGGTTATGTCTCTCTGGAGAATCCTCATACACCAACCAAATAGCTTAAGCCACCTTTAGATGGAATTCTGTCATATGCAACTGTGAGAGATGGACTAATAGGTTCCTTTCTGAGGGGTCATTGACTTAGACCTTGGCATATCAAGAACCCATAGAAAGGAGATTAAGGCTAACGGAAGACATACCAGAGCATAAACCCATGTGAATTTGGGGAGATGATAAAAAGACAGAACTCAACCCCAGCTCACCTCTCTCATCTCTTTAGAAAAAGTCACTCCTGCCTAATATTGCATTAGTGGGAAGTTCTGTCAACCGCTGCACCTGGTATGGTGCATTCCTCCCTGTGGTGGTCAAATGGGCTTGGAGTTTAAACATTTTGTAGAAGTTTACACATGAGCACTGAGACTGATACTACATTGATTTCTACCACAATGCTAGTTGGCATCAAAAGTCAAAAAAGCCTCCTTATGGCTGAGTATGGTGGCTCACACCTGTAATCCCAGAACTTTGGGAGGTCAAGGCAGGGTGATCACTTGAGCCCAGGAGTTTAAGACAAGCCTGGGCAAGATAGCAAGACTCAGTCTCTACAAAAAGGTAAAAAATAAAAATTAGCTGGGTGTGATGGCACATGCTTACAGTACCTGGGCAGTGAGGTCCCATCTCTAAAAAAAAATCTCCTGGTTACTCTCAATGATTCAAGAAACATGAAAGATATGACATGAGAACAGTAATAACTAGGCTTCTGCTGCATTCCTATGACCTAGGCTTCCATTCTTATCACTCAGTCCCAGTCTAGGTCATTTGGTCCAATGTTTCAGTTATAGTTTTGGTTCCTGGCCTGATACATAAGTCCCCCTAGGACTTTGTTCCCCTAGAGATTGAAGCTGTATCCTTGAACCCCCAGCCAGTGCTGGAGAGCTACTGTGTGCTGGCATTCTTGCAGGATGACCATAGTCTGCCATATCGGTGAAAGTCATCGAGTCCCAAGCTCAGTTACTAAACATATCCACCGATACCACCCCTGAATCAACATGCCCAGAATTAATTGCATGCACCAAATCTCTTCTTCCCAATCTGCTCTTTCTCCAGTGCTCTCAGTTTTAGTAGATAGCATCACGATTTCTCCATTTTCCCAATCCAGAAATTCAGAGGCCATGCCTGAGTCTGTTTTTGCTTACCCCCACCCCATATCTAATCACCCAGTCCTACTGATTCTACTTCTGATAATTATTGTGATCTGATTCTCTCTGTATCTACTGCTATCTCCTTGGCCCAAGCCACCAGCATCTTTCATCCCAACGGCAGAGTTACCAGTTTACATTCTTGCCTTGCTCTCGCCAATTTTTCTCATAGCAGGCAGAGTGATCTTTTCAAAATACAAGGTCAATCCCACACATGCTGTCCTCCAATTGCTCCTCTTTATCTCAGTCCCTATTCATCCTGTAGATCTTAGATTAAATACAACTGCGACAGGTCAATTTTCCAAGACAACTTTTATAGCATCCTACATCTAGTCTTCATAATGTTTATCACAACTTGAATATACCAATTATTTGTGTTACCATTTTATGTCTATTCTCCCAGGTAGATTAAATTCTATAAATGGTAAATACTGTGTCTAGTTTTCTCCCCATTTCTCCAGAACCAAGTTCCCCATATAGTTAATGCTCAGTAAATATTTAATGAATAAGTTTATAAACAAATGTCACAGCGCATTCAAGCAGTGTCTAAGCAGAGGCCAAATAGTCATCATTCTGAAATGCTGCAAAGAGAAACTTCTGCTGTGAAGTTTGGACTAGATAATTCTTAAAGCTCTAAGTATTACTTTGATTCCCTTTTAGAATCTCATTGTCCTAATGTTAAATATATATCATCAGTGCTCAATGTTACAGCTTCAAACATAGAAGATACAAGAAGTAAATGCTGAGATTTCGCTATTTGTTAACCTATCATGGTAGGTACCATTTGTTGTTACAGTGTGTTCATTGTCTCATCTCATTTCCATTTTTAAGCCCTTTCTCCCAAATATGGGAGAGAGGGACAAAATTCTATTGACCTGATTTATCATCATCATAAACATTTAAGCCAACCAATCCAATAAATTAGGGGATGGTTTTAGACCTTACGAAAGGATTCACCAAAGGGGTTCCTTGAAACAGTAGGTTCTCTGATGGCACTTAAAATTGGATTTGATTTACAAAAATTTGATTTGCACATAACTATTCAGGAACATATTGATTGCTTTAAGTGAGGTACACTGGGACATAACTACCTTTAATCTTTTATAACAAAGGCAGCAATTGAAATTGCTTTTGCTAAGCAATTTTTGAAATTGAGGGTTCGATCTCTCTGCTGGCTTTTTCTCACTCAGAAGATTCCCTGTCTCCCAACACACTTTCCTTCTCCTAATTAAATGAGGTAACCATTTTGCATTATTTGTAGACTGCAGTGGCTGACAGAATCGTACTCGCGTCTTAGGGCTACTGAAAAAGCGGCCCTAGGGGCTTAATTTCATTTGCCTCCCTCTTTGTTAATACAGACACTTCTTATTCTCATTTCTTGGAAGCATTTTAGAGAGAATTGGTTTGTTGGTTATTAAAAAATGGTCAATTACCACGGTATTAGATGGACCCATATTCCCCAACCACAATGTCACTTTCATCCCATGAAAAAGTTTGTCCTTTGTGTGCATGTCTGTGTGTTTGCTTTATTTAGCTTGTGCTGTAGAGTGCCTAATAAGGAATCCTGACACTAGTTTGCACCATCTCCAGATTGAATTTCTTTATAGATCAGCCTTAGTAATTCATTTCCCAACTGGTTCTGATCAATACAGCTTGACTTGGCTTAAGGTTAGAGAAACTAGCACAACTGTGGCGTGCATAGGGTGCCTAAAAGCACCTCCTTCATAAAGGGTCTCTTTGATGGTGACCTGTCAAACTCATCCACGGCCTCTTAGTGGAGTCAGGGCCTGAGCTCTACTCAAGCCCCAAAGCTGTCATTGTCTTGTTCTCTTTGATTCTGTGAATCCAGAGGCCAGAGAGGCTTCTACGAAAACAGCATGGTGTGAGGGCAAAATCAGTAATGGCACATCAGGGTATGTGAGCCCCTGGCCCAGTTGTACTAAGAACTGACTATTGAGCTTCAGTGAGTGGCTCACGTCCTGAGATTCTGTTTCAGCATCCATAGACTAAGGCAGCCAGACCTGTTGATATCTAAAACTCCACTGAGCTCTGAAGTACTAAGATTCTGTGTAGAGGCAGAAAGTCCTGCTGTATTTTTAAGTATTTTCCTCAATTTTCAACAGCGTACTCTGAAATGACCACCTTTTGGGTAAAGGGAAGGAAAATCATTGTTTCTAGATCATGGAAAACTGCTTTCCCTCTGCCATAAGGATCCCAAACCAGACTTTCATACTTCCCAGCTGTGTGGTCTTGGCCAAGGCACGTGATCTCTTCTAGGTTCTGTTTCTTATTCGTAAAATGGTGACACATAGTTCTTCCTTTTACCCATTGAGGGGTGAGGATCAAATGAGGTCACAGATGATGTGAGAAGCACTTTGGAAGCAAAGCAGAATGCATAAAAGAGACTGTTTAATCAGGTGGCCATTGCATTTCCAGAGAACGGAGGCATGAACAACCCTCTGGAGTTTTATAAATCTGGCTTCCTCCTACTCTGTGCCCTCCCACCCTCCCCACTGTGGCTGTAGTTCTTGCTGGGCCAGAAATCATGGCTTGTTTACAACCTATTTGAATGCAGAGACTCATTAATGCAGGCAATGACACCCATCCTTGGGGACTACTGCAGAGATTCAGCCAAATAAACTCAGCCATCCTGTTCACCCCACCTGGACAAAAGCCGTAATACCTACTTGGTCAACCAACCAGCCAGCCAGTCAATGCTCTGTCTAACACACTGCAAGTACAGGGCTCACAAATGCTCCAGGGCAGAATCAACCTTGAGGATGAGCTGACCTCATATCCTTTTAAGTCAATAGTGACATTCATAGACTATTCAGTGATGTTCTAACAAGAGGCATGTCTATACATTTTTTTTCCTAAAATATTACTCATTTTTTTCTTAAATGGCACATCTGTAGACCCTCGGATCTGGAAATATAACTACATTCAACAATCATTTTTTAAAACTATTTATAATGTCCTGCATCCTTACTACAAGTTTCATATTAGACATGTTACACAAATGTTCTCACTTAATATATTCTTTGCAACATCTCTGTAAAACAGATATTCACTTAACAACATTACTTGAATGAATGAACACATTAAAAAATTAATATGGTTAAATAATGAACACTTGTTGAATGCTTTCTACATGCTAGGCATTTTGTTAAGCAGTGGAGATATAGAAATGAGCAAAATAGGCAAGGCAGCCATTATCACTGAGCTTATGGTCTAAGTATTATAATCTCCATTTGTAAATAAACAAGTTGAGAACACAGAAGATGAATTAACTTGCCCAAGGTATTCAGTAAGACAATGTTAGGTCAAGGGATCAAAAGTTAGCCTGGCTCTGGCCACAATGAAATGACTGATACAAATTTCTCTTCCTGACCCAAACAGTGATGAACCTATACAAATTGTGTAAAGCAAATGTTTTCAGGCATTGGATGTCAAGCAGCACAGGACTATCAACCTGAAGGAAAGAGAATCACACAAGATGAGCCTCATATTTATCCTGGCTTTCCGCTTCGGAGCACTCTCTCAACTTCAACACAGAGAAGTGAAACCCAAGTGAAAGAGTATTGCTAAACCAAGGAGGCAGACCTCATGTTTGTTCAAGAGTACCCAAGAGATAGGATCTGTAAGAGGCACACAGGTGAGACATATGTTTGGGGTTTCCCGTTGCATGCGCGCCAGGGCAAGACTACACAAAGCCTAACAGAGAGCAGCTGCTGAGAGCTGAAAACTGAAGGGAAGTTGCTGAGGTCATGGAGAGCTGTGACACATTGGAGGTTCAGCTCAGACAGAGTAGATACCTCACTGAGCACCTCAAGTATTCAGCTGAGACCTCAAGGACCAACTTCAGAAGGGCCAAACTATAGGAATAAGGACCCAGCCCTCGATTGAGGATCAATCCTTAGGATAAGGGCAAAATGAAGACAAAACCAGGCTTCAACAAATTAGAAAACCAGTTTTACAAAGGAAAGATTTGAAAATTCTAAAGTTGAAAATTATAATAATTAAATGTGTGTAATGACTTAACAGCATGTTAGAGATAACAAAAGAAAGGATTAATAAGCTTGAGATAAAATCAATAGAAATAATCTAACCTGAAGAATAAATGGGAGGAAAGCTTGAAAACAGGAAAAGCGCCTCATTGGCACACGGGATAATATCAAATGCCTAGCTTATGCATAACTGAAGCCTCCAAAGGAGACAATATGCAGGAAAAATATTTCAAGACAATTTCCAGACCGTCCCAAATTTTATAAAAATATCAGCTTATAGATCTAAGAATCTCAGCAAACATAAAGCAAGGTAAATACAAAGAAACCCTGTAGTAGAAGATGATATAACAGTACTGATTTTAAAGACAACAAAGAGCTGACAAAAAATATTATAAGCATATTTTTAGTAATAAATTCAACAACTTAGATAAAATTGAGATACGGACAAATTCTTTGAAAGGCATAATGTAACAAAAGTCACACAAGTCCTTTAAAAATTGAAAATTTATTCTAAAATGTATATGGAAAAGCAAAGGACCTGAAAAACAAAATAGTCTTGGAAAAGGAAAATTTGGAAAACTCATACTGTCTTATTTCTAGATTTACTGTAAAGCTACAGCAATAAATGCAGTGTAGTATTGGCATAAGGACAGACAATTAAATCAATAGAACAGAATGAGGGAATCTACAAATAAATCCAGACATTTGGATCAATTGATTTTTTTAAAAAATTATGCTAGCAATTTAACAGGGTAAGAAAATTCCTTTCAAGAAATAGAGGGAAAAGAGACATTCTAACACTTTCCTAATCAAACATGAAAATCAATTTAAGATGGATCATGGACATATATGCAAAAACCAGTCCTATTAATCTTCTTTAAGAGAAGGAAGAATATTTTCAAGCTCTAGATAGAAAGATTTCTTAGAAACTCTACAAAAATAACCCAAAAGAAAAAAACTGATAAGTTGAACTTCATTAAAATTGAAGACTCTTAGACACACACACACACACACACACACACACACACACAAACACACACACACACTTCTGTTGATAAAATGAAAGGGCAAATCATAGACTTGGAGGAATTATTCACAGGACCTATATCTTACAAAAGACTAATATTAATAATATAAAATAATATCTGCAAATTAACGATTTAAAAAATGATGTCAGCTGGGCACGGTGGCTCATGCCTGCAATCCCAGCACTTTGGGAGGCCAAGGTGGGTGGATTACCTGAGGTCAGGAGTTTGAGACCAGCCTGGCCAACATGGAGAAACACTGTCTTTACTAAAAATACAAAATTAGCCAGGTGTGGTGGTGCATGCCTGTAATGCCTGTAATCCCAGCTACTCGGGAGGCAGAGGCAGGAGAATGGCTTGAACCCAGGAGGCGGAGGTTGCAGTGAGCCGAGATCGTGCCATTGCACTCCAGCCTGGGCGACAAGAGAGAGACTCCGTCTCAAAAAAAAAAAATGATGTCATAAAAATAGGCCAATGACTTGAGTAGACACTTCATAAAAGATATATGAATGGGCAATGAGGTTGCAGAAAAAGCTCACTATTTTTAGTCATTAGGAAAATGTAAATTAAAGTCACAATAAAATACTACCACATACCTACTAGAATGGCTAAAATTAAAAACAAAAGAAGAAAGAAAATGTGGGCTAGAATGAGAAACAATGGAAACCCTCACACATGCAGTGGAGATGTAATGACAGACTTTGGAAAACTCTGGAATTTCTCACAAAGTTAAATGTACATCAGTCCTACAACTTAGCAATTCCACTCCTAAGTATTTACCCAAGATAAATGAAAAGACATTTCTATGAAAAGTCTTGTCTTAGAATGTTTATAAAGCTAAATTTAATATCTCTAACCTAGAAACAGCCCAAATGTCTACCAATAGGAGAATGTATACGCATGTAATATGTTAATTCAATGAACTGCTAATTAGCAATAAATGCTATGAAGTACTGATATCCACAGCAACATGAATGAATCTTAAGAACATTGTACTGAGTGAAGTAGCTAGACAGAGCACATACTCCATGGTTCATTTATATGAAGTTCAAGGACAGGCAAAACTAATCTATGGTGATTGAAATTAGAACACTGGTTGCCTTTAGGGCAGTGAGGATTAAATGAGAAGAACCGTGAGACAACTTTCTAGGATGATTAAAACATCCTTTATTTTTACTGGTATTTTTTAGAGGGGGGTATGTATTTGACACAACTCATTAAAAAATACCTTTTAAAATCTGTTTTCTTATGTATAAATTTGTCTCAGTTAAGATAACCCAGTCTGTTTGACTCCAAGGACCACATTTGTTCTACCACGCTATGCTGAATATGAGGCAAAAGTTAACACCTGGAAATTTTGCTATCCTGAAATGAGGCAGTGCATTGTGGAGAAAAAAAGAATGGACTCTTCTATTAAATGAACGTAAGTGAGCAAGCTGTTTATAAACTATAAAAGTGACAAATATGTATAATTATATTTAAATGTTATCATTACAAATTGTTAAGGCAGTATTGCACCCTACGGGCTTTGGAAACCGTGACCATTTGCATTCATTATCGATCATTGCATAAAAATAATCACAAAACTAAGTGGCTTGAAACACCAGATTTTATTCTTTCATTATCTGTGGTCAGGAGTTTGGGAGTGCAAACAGTCGAGCTGTCTGCCAGGGCTGCAGTCATCTGAAGGCTGGAAGGTCTTCTTCCAAGTTTGCCCCATGGTTGTTGACCTGTCTCCGTCCTTCACTGGATGTCTACAGGAGGCCTTAGCCCTCTCCACAGACTGCCATGAGTCCATGCGACATGGCAGCTGGCTTCCCCCAAAGCAAGTAGCCCAAGAGAAAGCACAAAACCAAAATGGAAGCTGCAGTGTCTTTTATACTTTTATACTCTAATCTTGGCAGTGACATGCCATCACTTCTGCAGTATTGTGCTGGCCACAGAGCCCTCCCCTGGTGCAAGTGGCAGGAGGGTGTTCCAGCATCACTATTTCAAGAGAAGCAGGGACCAGACTATCCTGCCCAGATAGTCTGCCTAAGCACTCTTACAGTCTGCCTGTAAATCTGACTTTTGAAAATGGCACCTTCTAATTTAGGCACCTGAATCTAATAAGTTCAATAATCAACCTACATTTCGTAACTTCTCCCATCACTCTTATATGTTCCTCGTGTGTTTAGTATCTTTTTCCCTTTCCTTTCCCATTAGACTGTGAGCTCTGTTAAAGAAACTCTGTGCTTTAATCTTCTTTAAAATTTTCACGGGCACTGTTTGAAGTTCACATTGATTTTCACGTAGCCAGGGCTCAAGCTGTGCTTGCTGGTTACAAACATTTTACAAAGCAGAACACCCAGAAAGTAAAGGTAACTGTCATAACGTATATCAATCAGTTATTTCCCCAATAATAGTGTATAAGAAACCACCTCCAAACTTAAATCCATATAACAACCACTTATTCTCTTGCTCATGGGTCTGCAGGTCAATTGAGAATGGGTTGATCTTGGCTGGACAGCTCCACTTCAGGGTCAGGGTCAGCTGGGCTGGGTTTCTTGCGGCAAGTTAGACTCAGGTCTATGCCACCTGGGTTCATTCTGGAACTCAAGCTGAGGGGCAGTGTCCATTCTGAGGAAGCTCCTCTCAGGTAATAGCAAAAGCACAAGAGGGACAATATAACCAGGCAATGCATGTCAAGTTTTCTTGCTTTGTGAATACTACCATCCCATTAGCCAAAGCAGGTAACATGGGTGAGCCTAAAGTCAGGAGCAGGGAAATACACCGTTTCTAGCGGGGGGAACTTTAAAGTCACATAAGAAAGGACATGAGCAAAGGAATAAAAATTGTGGCCAACAAATCTACTATGTACTGGCACAAAGTTACTAGAGCCATCTAAGAACTAAGTGTTGCTGAGAATATTTGACTTTCTGGAAATAGTTGAGTATTCTTTTCCTTTTAGAACTGAGAAACACTTGAGAAGTAAGTTAAACCTGAAAATCAACATGAGAGTGCTATGATACGTAGCATAGATTTTAGCAATCCTACTGTCCCCCACTTACTGGTTGGGGACCCTGTCACAGTTCTTTTAACTTCTGAGTGTTTTTTTGTCCAAAGTAAAGGCAAGATAAAAATCTATGCAGGTTGTGAAAATTAACATAAATTAACATATTACATATTGGTACTAGATGTTCTCAATGTCTGTTTCCCCATCTATCTTGCTGGAGAGGCAGGGAGGGTGGAGGGAGCTTTAATTTTCCAGCAAACTTGGGAGCCTTGGACTCAGTCAGGGAAGGACTCAGCTTTCTTGAAATGAAAAAAAGGTAATGACAGAGACTCTATACCACATTCACCCTCATGTTGCTTAAAGACAAAAGCATAATCAACCGTCATTTATCTAGTGCACTGAAATACTACGTTATTGCCATAGAGACATAATTATGAGTAATTAAATGGAAGTGTTTTCTAAAATCTTTTTGAATTAAAGTCTAAATATCTACCTTTTCACTCAATTCATATAAGCATAAGTTAAACACTGCAGCACATATCTTGTTTTGCTCCAAATCAAATCAGTGAGTTATTTGTGGCAATCTTATCAGAAGCAAGTGAATGAAATCCTCTCCAGCCTTATTGTGAAGGTACAGCTTCCACTCTCCCTTAGGAGTAGAATCTGGCTTACCAAATGAAATCCTCTCCAGCCTTATTGTGAAGGTACAGCTTCCACTCTTCCTTAGGAGTAGAATCTGGCTTACCAAAGCAAACTTCAGTATAACGTTGTTTTTTTTCTACATCTCTATAAAGGTCTGCGAGCAGGTCAGTAGCTTTTGAGAAAGCTCTTCCAACAACACTGGAATAAATTGGGGCTCTCTTTGCTAGAAAATCCCATAGAGGAATCCTTCAAGATTTGAAAGAGACCTGTGAGCTCTCATCACTTCTGACTCTGTTCCTCACATGCTAGAATCAGTCCCCACCAAGCCAAAGTACATTCTGCACCCAAAACACATTTCAAATCCATCTGCACAACCCCATCAGCAGCAACTTGGGTTACAACTATAGCCTTTTTTTTGGAGTTAAGAGTCCTACTCTGTTGCCAGGCTGGAGTGCAGTGGCATGATCTCGGCTCACTGCAACCTCCGCCTCCCAGGTTCACTAGGTTCAAGCAATTCTCATGGCTCAGCCTCTCAAGTAGCTGGGATTACAGATATGCATCACAATGCCCAGCTAACTTTTTTGTATTTTTAGTAGAGACAGGCTTTCACCATGTTGCCCAGGCTGGTCTTGAACTCCTGACCTCAAGTGATCTGCCTCAGCCTCCCAAGGTGCTGGGATTTCAGGCATGAGCCACCATGCCCAGCCTATAGCCTCTTAAATGCTCTCTCTGCATCTACTCTCATTATCATCCCAATTCATTTTCACATTGCAACTACAGTGGTTTTTTACAAACCCAGAACCACATCACATGTCTCGCTGAAAAGCCTTCCAATGATTTATCATTGTAGTTAAGACAAAAACTCAAAATTGTTAAGGGGTCATCAGGGGTCCACTTGGGCCTGTTTGCTCTCCTGCTTGTCTGTATATACCTCAATCTCATCTCTAGTTACTTAACCCCACTGTACTGAACTTTCTCCCAGCTCTTTAATATTCTAGTTCTTTCCTTCTCGGGATCTTTGCATAGTTGTTCCCTCAGTCTGAACCACCCTTTCCCCTACCCTTTACATGTCTGGTTCCCCCTTATCATTCATCTTAATTTAAATTTCACCTCCACAAAGTGGTCTTCCTTGATTCCAATAGATCTCATCATTCACTGCTACCACCCCATTCATTTCCTTTAGTATTTACCCTAATTTGTTATTGTAAATAGATTTATGATTTGACTTGTTTGGTGTCTGACTCATCCATTGGATGTGCGGTCCAGAATGACAGGAGTAAAATCTGTTTGTCCACCATATCATAACAGTGCACAGCCCTGTGTTTGGCCCTGGAAGATCTCCAGTAATTATTTCTTAAATACATGGATGGATGAATAAATGAATAAATAAATGCATGAGTAAGTGAAGGAGGCTAAGTCATCAATATTTACATGAATATCCAAAATATCTTCAAACTCCCATCAGATGGCTCTCCCTGGGGCATTGCCTGTAGAACGAGGAGTCTGCTCTGAAGTCAGGCATTGTCTCTGGGAGGACAAAGCAAAGCTTGGAAATAAGAGAGCCTGGATTCTCCTGGTCTTTGATCTGTTTCCAATTTCCCACATGACCCTCAGCAAATTTCAGAGTCCTTCTGAACCTTAGCTTCCTTGTAGTTAAAATGAGGGTTTGCAACCAACTCAGGGATACTTAACCACAAGGGCCATGACCCCTATGGATGTCCATCTTATCTTATCGTGGGGTAGTTAGCTTTCAAATTTTAAAATGTTTTTTACTCCAAAAAAGGTTAAGAAACATTGGTTTAGGTTAACTTTAAAGTCTCATATGCCTCTGATAATCTGTGTTTGTATAAAAGGAAGGCCCATGTACTGGTCAAGGTTAGATATGCTTGCATGTAACAGAGACCCCAAATGACAGTATCTTAAACAAGTTGTCTGTGCTGTTTGCATGTCCATCTCCTTTCCAGATGGTGAGCCTCAGAGGGCACAGGTTGTGTCTGTTTATCTCCATAGACTCAGACTCCAGCAGGGCCTGGCACAATAGCAGTTTCAATAATTGCTTGGCAAATGAGTGAATGAGCAGGTGTTAGTCGGAGGAAGGGGAGCAGCTCTTCTAAGCAGAGGAAACAACATCAGGAAAGATATGGGAGGTGGGGTAAATTCATCTCTGTTGGAGGCCAGTGTGCTTACTGGGGCAGAGGAAATGAAGGCGGCTGGTCAAGAAGACCAGCACTCAAATGTACTTCCTCAAATGCCCTTCTAAGCCCCCCATCAGGTATAATGCTAATAGCTGACGCCTTTCTTATATGGTGCCTATTACCATTTCTAACCATACAATTGAGAATTAGTGCATGGAGATTAAGAGTGCAGGCCCACTTCCTGGGCACAGATCTTGGCTCTGACACTTCCTAGCTGTGTGACCTCTGGCAAATCACTTAAACTCTCTATAAGGTAGTTTTCTCATCTGGAACATGAAAATAAAAGTGTCTATTTCATAGACTTGTTGGAAGGCCAAAATGAAAAAAATCACTTAAAGTGATTAGAATAGTGTCTTGATCATTAGTGCTTAGTAAATGTTAGCTATTGTTAGGTAGATTGTTAGATAGATAATATACAGATAGATTATATTTAGATGGAGACAGATGATAGGTAGATGAATAATCTGTGAGAGTAGTTGATTAAGGTATATCTACCATACTACAATATAAGAAAGGGCAAGAACACATGTTACTATTACGGAGGCAGCCTAGAAAAGTGTCTGGAATGGAGAAGGTGCTTAATAAATGTAGACTGAAAGCTACATTTACCGAATGCGAAGATGTGACTGGAAAGGTAGGAGAATGACATGGGATCTTATAAGCTGTCCTAAGAAGCCTGAACTTTTCCCTGAGAGCTGGTCCAGGTTCCTGAAGGAACATGAAATGATCTAATTTGCAGTAGCACAGAGACTGGACTGGAGGGTCACAGGTGGGGAGGCCTGGAGACCAGCCACTCCAGCTGAGAGAACAATCCAGGCCCTAGTCGATGAGAGTCTGGATTGAGGAAGAGGCAGCACAGAAGGAAAGAAAAGAGTTTTACGTTCTCTGACTTTATGCAAGTTGTCTCACTCAATCTTAGTTTCCTTATTGGGAGAGCAGAGCTGAGAACACTATACTCACAGGGTTTTTGTGGGAAATATATAAAATATAGGAAGAGTGATTCACATATACTTGGTGCAGTAGACAATCAGCATGTTACTCCACTTCCCTCACCGTTTTCCATCACTAAACACATTCCTCCCCCAAAACACACACGGTTAACTTTCTTTTCATTGGTCAATAATCAGGGAAATAGAACCTAATCTTCTAATCAGATACTCTTAAGAATGAAACAAACCTTTAAGATCAATTAGTCCTACTCAGAGATGTTTAGAAATGGAAGAGATCCTAGATCATAATTTCTCCATACACAGATAGACACAAAGGATCAGAAAGCAAAGGTGATTTTCCCAACATTGCACAGCTTATAGGCATTAGAGCTGGTCAGATTTATACCCAACTGTTGATTCCACAACCACCATTTCCTTCACCTTATCTGAAAGGTTGACCAATGTGTGGTGTGATGTGAGTGTTAACATGCAGGAGTATTTATTAACTATGTTCACAAACACCAATGTCAGTTAGCTTAAGGTAAAAAAGAAACCCTGGAACAATAATATCTATGATGTATAACATAAAAATGGTGTTCCAGGGACCGAGACACTTTCTTTGTTTACATTCCTTCGTTTCATCTTCATTACTATTCCTATTTTACAGATTTAAAAAAGCAAGTCTCAGAGAAGTAAATAATTGCTCCTAAGTGATATAATTAGGGCTCAAACATGTTAATACATTAAACAAGCTGCATTAAGTAGCTTGTATTGGAGCACTTATTGTTTGCTAAATACTCTGCTAGATACTAGATCAGTCCAACTGCAAACTGAGCTCTGTCTTTATTCCAAATCAGTGCTCACTCATGCAAAGCCCCAGTTGAAAACACATGTATTGCACTCGTGGGCTAATTTTTCTCTAGGATTCTGATTTTTCGGTATTAATTATTATTTCCAAATATATTTTCATTGTTTTCAACTATATTTTAAATATCTTTATTTCCTTCCTCTAACATGTCAAATTCAGTCTGTTTAACCCAGTGGATGTTTAATTGAGTCATAACTATGTAAACACAATATAATAGAATGGATTATATGTAAATGTCAAATAAAACAGAATCCTTTCCCAGAAGGAGCTGACAGTTTCACAGTTTTATACTAGGTGGTATAAGGATTCAGTAGATGTACTAGACTGTGGGGTGGAGGGAGGAGAACAAGACATTTAATGAAGGCCTATCTTGTACCAGATACTGTTGATTGGTGCTTCCCATATATTATCATGTAAACCCTCATAAGAGTCACTTCTGGTGGAAAACAGAAGAACATTGAGGACTCAGAGAGGCTGACTAACCTACCCAAGCTCACACTGCATGTGCTAGTGAGTGACAGAGGAGGGGTTCTGCCCCCAGCCTGACCCCCAAACCTACACCCTATTCATTAGGTCACACTATCCCTAGGAAGCAACCAAATAGTGGAAGAGGAGGAAGCCATAATTCTGAGTGGGAAGCTGTATCTCCTTTAACTGTTTTTTCACTCCCATGTTTAAAATCTAGGCATACAATGTTAAAATGGTAAGGGGATTTAGAGATTATCTGGTTCTAAGAAGGCAAGTAGGTATGTGTGCATGGCCAGTGGGAAAGGTAATTCCAACCTAACAGCTAACTAATCTTACCTTCCAATTTATCAGATGAGAAGTCCAGAGCCCAGAGAGGTAATGTCTTTGTGTATGTTGAAGACCATGAATTAATCCCAGGCACATTGATTTCTGTCCCATCCCTGCAGCTGTTGATGCAGTGTGAGTTGCTGGCATAAGGATGGCTTTGTTTAAGCTCAGGTGGCTGGAAAGGGGAAGGATAGGAATGGCTGAAGTATAAAAAAAGCCTTGGAGAAAATAGTTGAGATGGATCTGCACTTCCAGAACCAGAGGAAGAACTCAGAATGGAGACATATCCAGAGGTTAGAAGAGAATGGTCAAAAAACAGATAAGAAGACCCAGGTACTGGCAAAAAAGAGGGCAGTCCTAAGACCTTGGAAACAGCCAAGAGTAGTGAGACAAAACCATGAGAAGAAGTGGGGCTTGAAATCAATAATGAGGCCATGTCACAGGAGGCAGATCAGTCCCAGAGCTAAGAGGAAAACAAATATTAACTGGACACCATGCTGGTTATTTTTGGATGCGCTAATTTATTTAATTTCCACAAATGCATTGTGGGCTAGGTATTCTAATCACTGATATGTATATGGAGAAACTGAGGCTTAGAAAGGTAAATAACTTGTCACACAAGTGAAACTGAAATCCTGATCTTTTATTTCTAGCAAACTGATCTTTTCACTGGCCTAAGGATTCTCAATTCTGGGTGAAGTTTTCCCTCCCAGGTGTGTTTAGCAAGCTTTGGGGATATTTTGCAACTGATGTTTCTACTGGCATATTGTGGGTAGAAGCCAGGGATGCTGCTCAACATCCTACAAAGCACAGGGCAACCCCTACTAACAGAGAATCAGCCAGCCCCAAATGACAACCACGTTGTGGTTGAGAAGCCTCGGTCTACACTGCTGGTGTCAAAAACAATATATTTTGAAGCAAGTGTTTTGTATTTGAAAGTATGCATTCACTCACTAGTCACACATGTATTGAGTGCTACTACTTCTAGGCACTGTTTTAGACTCTGGTAATACAGAATTGAACCATTAAAATTTTGTCACCTTGGAATTGATATTCTAATTAATATACCATCAATAAATACATCAGCCAATAATAACACCAGCAGGTAGGTAGGCAGTATACAAACCATAGAACTGAAGGAGCTTATCTAATGACAGTGGCAAAAACATTCTAATGGAGGAAGAGAAATAACAGAGTTCTGAGCCCTTAACATTCAGAGATTGGAAAGAGGAACAGCATCCAGCAATGGGGCTGGAGAGGAACAGCCATGGGATAAGAGGAGAACCAAGAGGTGAGTTTCCAAGAAACCCAATGAAATGAGTGTTTCAAAACAAAGAGAGCAATCCTCTGAGTCAGGAGATGTGGATGCAACTTCTGGCCTCACCACTCCCCTCCAGGGAAATGGATCACTAGCTTCCAGGAACTCGGTTTATCTCCCAGTGGATTAATTTGTTCTTGTAAAAATAGGACTCCTGAAGTTTGCTGTGAGAATAAAATCAGTGAATGAATATGGAATATCTTTGTAAATTGCTTTATGAATAAAAGAGATCATCATTATGCCCTCCAGAAAGCCTGTGTGTCCAGATTTTGGTTTCATGGTTTGTTTATTTTACTGAAACCATAACGAAGTGAAGCTATTGATGGGAACAAAGGGAGACGTTTTCTGATATGGCGTAGCTTACAACGTGCATCAGAAACAACCTGATAAAGGAGTGCAGGGACGATTTTTTTTCCAAATTTGTTAAGAATGCTTTGGCTAAATATTTTTGCGTAATTTATTTTTAATAAGTTTACTTAATAAGCCATTTGCTTGGCATTAGAGTAGAGCCAGTGCAATCTATAATCACACTCCATCATCATATAGGGAGAGTATTTGAAGGCATTTCCCCAAAGAATATTTTGGGCTTTGGAAAAGGGAAAATAAAGAAGTAAGTGCTGGTTGAGCAGCCAAAAATACTTACTAAGGTAATCACTTGTCCTTTAAATCTGGAGCAACCTTAAATAGAGATCCTCAGTTTTTAAAAATAACAGGTGTTTACATTGCATTTACCATGCACCAGACACTGTTGTAAGCACTTTACACAAAAAATGCATTTAATCTTCACAACAACCCTATGAGGTAGATACCACTGTGATCATTTTACAGATTAGAAAACTGAAATTGAGAAACTAACAGAGGTCACTTCGCTACTAAAGGCCAGAGCTGGGCACGCACCCAGAGCATCCAGAGTCTGTGCTTGTAACCACACTTTCACATCCCTTCGACTGTAGAGATAAGCTAACAAACACGAAGAGGCATAGGGACTTAGCCAGGCTTGCTCGCTAGTTAGTGATGGAGCAAGGGCAAGTTTGCAGTTTCTTTGTCTCATTAGTCAAGATGATCAAATAGCCACTTTTTTGGCAAATAAAGATTCTAGCATTTTTAAGGAGATGTATGAAGACAAGTGTAAATAGTGAGAAAGAGGAGGATGGCAACTGAACAGCCACTACTCATAACTACTGGAAGCTGCAAAACACTGTCCCAACAAGGCCTGACTGATGCTCTTCTGTTCGCACCATCCATAGGCCACCAGCTCTGGTGGGCAAAACAGCCTGGATGGCCTATCCCTTGGGGATATCGTCAGTATGGTTTTGATGTTTTCAAAGGCTAAGTACCCATGAGAAGCAAAAGTCTCTGCCTCTGGCAATTCTGCAGAATTAGAATTCCTCAAGTACAGCTTCTCTGGCCATCCTGGGGAAATCAGTGACCAAATCAGCCAGATAAGTGTGACTCCCTCTGGAATCCATACAGGCTACAAAAGAATTAACAAGGCCAAATTAAGGGTTGTCAGAACTTGGGAAAGTCAAGCTATTTTCCACCCAGGAGCAATCAGTTAAGACCATAGAAATCTGGACAAATAACTAGAAAGCACATCTCAGGGAACACTTTCAGTCCAGTGAGCAATACAGAATGATTGTCCAGCTAAGCCTTGTCCATCCCGATTACCTCCAATCCTATTATTGGCAGGTCTCTGTGGAACCATCTACTCAATATCATCTCACCACAAGGTGCTACCCTGGATCTGCCTGAGGAGTTAATCCTCTTTCCTTTCTCTGCTTCCTCACTTCTCCCACTCTGTCCAGGAGAACTTCAAAACAAATTCTTCAAAGAGCCACATACTTCATTTCTGATCAATTCTGGTTTATTATAAACAAAGAGGGATATATATATATTATATATTATTATATTATATGTATTATATTATATATTATAAACAAAGAGGAAGATATATATTATTAGCACATATATATATATATTTATTTATTTATCCTTAGCATATATGTATGCTAAGGCTGATGGGAAAATACAGGAAAGGGTAGAATTGTTTCTGTATCTTTGACATTGAAAACCTGTTTTTCCTGATTGATCTTGGAGCTTACGTTTTTCACTAATCAAGGAGAGAGGGCTTTTTAATACATTTGTTGTTTGTGTTTAACAATAGAACAAAGAACATCAGCAGATTCCCCTGCTTAATAAAACAAAACAAAATTTTTCCCTATCATTGAACATTTATCAAAATATACAGATGGATGGATGGTGAGTGTAGGGATATACATAACGGAGCTTGAGGTTTACCAAGGCATTGAAGTCTGGTACTGAGTCAGAGAAAAAAAAACTATTAGAATATCACTAAACTACAGTTATTTTTAGTTATCTTGAGTGTCTACTATGTGTCAGGGATGGTGTCTGAGGCTTTACAGGACTCTTAATAACCCCCAGAAATTGGTACTATTATTGTACTCTCTTATCAATAAGAAAATATAAACTCAAAGATTGGGTAACACCAAAATTACAAAGCAAGTAATTGGCAGAGCCAGAATTTAATCTTAGTTTATATCTACCACACCTCTCCCAGCACAGGCTCTTATCCGTAAAGTCCTACTGTCTTCTACCAAATGATAATTGGTATTTATTTTGCTGAAATACAATAGATCTCATCCATCATGTAATCAGAGCCCTTGGTTCAATGGAGAAAATAACCATGAAACTCACACTCATGAAACCTTATATTCATATCCCAGTTGTGACATTGATAAGGTTCAGGACCTTGGACAAGCCATACCTTTTTGAGATTTGATTCTTCACGAAGTAAAGAAATGGAACTGCAATCTCTCTAAGATTTATAAACATTTGTACTGAATCAGATCTCATGCACCACTTCCACTGTCCTTGGCTACATGCCTCTTGGGCCATACTGTAGTTCCGAGGGTCAACTGGTCACTGAGAGCACAGACCCCAACCCCTGCTTTGGCCATTCCCACACA
The DNA here is from genome assembly GCF_000001405.40 of Homo sapiens. Taxonomy (NCBI): domain Eukaryota; kingdom Metazoa; phylum Chordata; class Mammalia; order Primates; family Hominidae; genus Homo; species Homo sapiens. Next base: position 135,310,859 of record NC_000008.11, read on the forward strand.
GCCAGTCTGATCAGTTGCACTCATGGGGTTTTGGTTCCTTCCATCATTTCTACACTGGATGAAATGACACCATCCCTTAGGATGAGGGATCTGTCATTTTGAACAGTCACTAAAGAAGCCAGGTGCTACAACTCAGAAGGGCAGGTTAGTTAGCTTCTAGGGCTTTCATCCAGTAACAGGGTTGGGAGGCATATTTGTGAGTTATACAGTCATCCAACGAATGAGAAATCCTCACTCCTTTGCCTCTAGGAGCTTTCAGTCTAGTAAGAAATTATAAAAGCAGAACTTACCAAAAGCCATGACAAATATAGCCTTATATTAAACTTAAATAGTTTGTGCTAACCTGTTTTATATTTTCTGGGACAGTTTTTTAAATTATCCATTCACTAGTACTGTGGGAATTCTAACCCAGTAGGAGGTTGTTGCATTGGACCCTATTAACTCCAATAGGGATGGCACCAGGTTCAGGAGGGTGAAGAAGAGACCTAGAGTCAGCATATAGACAGGGTTTTACTAGTAGGAAACGGACATGCGAAGAAGTCCAGTGGTGGTGAGCTGGGCAGGAGAACCACACCTGCTTGCAAAAAACATGCAGTTTATATAGCATTTTCACTTAGCACCTTTCCCCTAACAACCTCCATCTAGCAACATTCATTTAACCCAAAACAAAGGGCCTCAATCCCGTGTACTGCCCAGGTTCCATGGGAGGGTCCAGGGTCTCAGATGTTACTCACAGATAAACATTGGATATACGAGTTGGCTACTCCTGGATTGCCTAGCTCTGAACTCCAAAGACACATTCAGGTGCATCTGCCATACAGGGTCATTCTCAGGTTATGCTCAAGTCAAGTTATTGCTGTGAAGTCCATCTGCCATACAGAGGTAAAAGACAGAGGAAGCCTAGCTAATAAATTATCCCTGTATCCTCCTTGTAATAAGCTGCTCCACAGTGGGACTTCTCCTACAAAGCCCATTGTATTAGTTCATTTTACATTGCTATAAAGAAATACCTGAGACTGGATATTTTATAAGAGAAAGAGGTTTAATTGACTCACAGTTATGCATTGCTGAGTAGGCCTCATGAAACTTACAATCATGGCAGAAAGCAAAGGAGAATCAAACATGTCTTATATGGTGGCAGGTGAGAGAGAAGAATGAAGGAGGAACTTCCAAACTCTTATAAAACCGCCAGTCTCATGAGAACTCACTGACTATCATGAAAACAGCCTGAGTGAAACCACCCCCATGATCAAATTACCTCCCTCCCTCGACACATGGGGATTACAATTCAAGATGAGACTTGGGCAGAAAAACAGAGCCAAACCATATCATTTCAAAACTAATCATGCCTTCTCAACAGTCCCCCAAAGTCTTAACTCATTTCAGCATTAACTCAAAAGTCCACAGTCCAAAGTCTCATCTGAGACAAGACAAGTCCCTTCCACCTAGCAGCCTGTAAAATTAAAAGCAAGTTGGTTACTTCCAAGATACAATGGGGGTACAGGCATTGGATAAATTCTGCTATTCAAAATGGGATAAATTAGTTCAAAACAAAGATCCCATGCAAGTCTAAAATCCAGCAAGGTGGTCATTAAATCTTGAAGCTCTGAAATGATCTTCTTTGACTCCATGTCTCACATCCAGGGCATGCTGATGCAAGCAGTGGACTCCTACAACCCTGCGCAGCTCCTTCTCAGGCTGGCATTGAGTGCCTGTGGCTTTCCTAGGCACACAGTGTAAACTGTCAGTGGATCTACCATTCTGGGATCTGGAAGACAGTGGACCTCTTCTCACAGCTTCACTAGGCAGTGCCCCAGTGGGGACTCTATGTGGGAGTTACAACCCCACATTTCCTGTCTGCATTGCCCTAGTAGAGATTCTTCATGAGGGCTCTGCCCCTGCAGCAGACTTCCTCCTGGACATCTAGGCATTTTCATACATCTTCTGAAATCTAGACAGAGGCTCCCAAAGCTCACCTCTTGTCTTCTGTGCATCCACAGGCCCAACATCACTTGCAAGCTGCTAAGGCTTGGGGCTTACACCCTCTGAAGCAATGGCCTGAGCTGTACCATGGCCCCTTTTAGCCATGGCTGGAGGTGGAGCATATGGGATGCAGGACATCAAGTTCTGAGACTGCACAAAGCAGGGGGACCCTGGGCCTGGCCCACAAAATCATTTTTCTCTCCTAGGCCTCCAGACCTGTGATGAGAGGGGCTGATGTGAAGATCTCTGATGTGCCCTGGGGATATTTTCCCCATTGTCTTGGTGGTTAACATTAGGCTCCTCATTACTTATGCAAATTTCTGCAGCTAGCCTGAATTTCTTTTTGGAAAATGTTTTTTTCTTTTTTACCACATGGTCAGGCTGTAATTTTTCCAAACTTTTACGTTCTGCTTCAACTTTAAACATAAGTTCCAATTTCAGATAAACTCTATCATGTTCAAAGTTCCACAGATCTCTAAGGCAGGGGCAAAATGCCACTAGTCTCTTTACTAAATCATAGCAAAAGTTACCTTTAATCCAGTTCCCAAAAGGTTCTTTATCTCCATCTGAGGCCACCTCAGCCTGGACTTCATTGTCCTTGTTACCATCAGCATTTTGGTCAAAACCATTCAACAAGTCTCTAGGAAGTTCCAAACTTTCCCACATCTTCCTTTCTTCTTCTGAGCCCTCCAAACTGTTCCAACCACTGCCATTACCCAGTTCCAAACTCACCTCCACATTTTCAGATTATTTTTATAGCAGTATCCCACTCTCAGTACCAATGTAATGTATTAGTTTGTTTTCATGCTGCAGTAAAGAGATACCTGAGACTGAGTAATTTATAAAGAAAAAAGGATTAATTGACTCACAGTTCTGCATGACTGAGGAGGCCTCAGGAAACTTACAATTATGGTGGAAGGTGAAGGAGAAACAAGCACATCTTACAGGCAGCAGGTGAGAGAGAAGAATGAAGGAGGAACTTCCATACACTTATAAAACCATTAGATCTCATGAGAACTCACTCACCATCATGAGAACGCATGGGGAAAAATGTGCCCATGATCCAATCACCCCATCCTTCAATACATGGGGATTACAATTCGAGATGAGATTTGGGTGGGAACACAGAGCCAAACCATATCACTCATCATCTCAAGATAACCAACAAGTGGAGCAGATCCCCTGCTAAGCAACCTGCTGCACCTCCTTGCAGATCATTAAATGCAATGGTCATTATGCTACTGCATGCTTTGCATTGCTTCTGTCCTTCTTTCTACCTTTCTGTCCTTGTCTTCAGCATTAGTGCCCTGAGTGTGCAACTTCCAAATATAAAGCATTAATACTTAATCCTCATCTGTGGCAGTTTTTTTCCAGGGAACTCAAGAGCAGATAACAGTCATTGATACTATGTTTATATTTGAATTCAGTGTCCGTCTGGTTATAACTACCCTACTTCTCACTCCCAGTCTGACAGAAATCTTCGGTAAACTCATCCTTCCTTCCACAGTGTGGCTCCATGGGAAGAAAAAAGCTCAGTAGTTGGAACATTTTGGTGATACCCCTCATATCTGTCAGAGCTCCTTTGAAATATTCTAGTACCAGTGAATTGGAAAATGGCCCTAGAATACACAAAACAGGTCAGTGCAAATTATATAAGTTTAATATAAGGTTATACACATCATGTTTTGTTTTGTTTTATTTGAGACAAGGTATCTCTTTGTTGTCCAGGCTGGAGTGCAGTGGTACAATTATGGCTCACTGCAGCCTCGACCTCCTGGGCTCAAGTGATCCTTCCACCTCAGCCTCCTGAGTAGCTGGGACCTCAGGCATGCACCACCATGCCCAGCTAATTTTTGTATTATTTGTAGAGATGGGGTTTCTCCATGTTTCTCAGGCTGGCATATCATGGTTTATTGTGAGTTCTACTTTATTAATTTCCCACCAGGCTCAAAGCTCCTTGAGAGAATGAACTGTGGATGACTGTGTAGCCTACAAATATTCTCCTCCACCACCGCATACTAGATGAAAGCCCAGTGGCCATGTCTATATCATATAACCCTAAGTCCCAGCCACAGCTTTTTGATCCCAGAGAGAAGATCCAACCCTCTCTCCTGTGAATTTTAAGGTTAGAACAGAAAGAACAAAACTAAAAGGACATTCAAAAATTCTCTCTTTACCAATAACTAATGCAAAGTGTGATTGTATAAAACCACTACAAGAGCCATGTGGCAAGACAAGGTCAATGATGTAGAATAATCAGCTGTTCTCCTAGCAGCTGAATGTCTGCAGACAAGACACAGTCATGGTCCCCAGTGAGATCAACAAATATTAATTGAAAGGACAAAGAAGTGAATGAATGAATTGGTGATGGCTTCTATGACATTCTGTTAGAGGCAACTTGCCATGTCCCCTCTGGTTCTCACTCAAAGTCTACTTGAGGAATCTGAACTGTTCCTCAGACCCTGAGGGTGAAGGTCTCCCTCTAGCCAGTCCTTGACCTGGGTGAGACCCTAACTGGCCCTAAAACATGTGGACAGCTCTCAAAATGCACAAGTGAGCTTAGACTCCTTGGTCTTGCATGGTAGTTTCCTAAAGATTTGTCTCCCCTCTCTCTTGCACCCGCCTCCCACCTAATTTCCCACTCCCGTTACACTTGTCATCTTCCCCAACCCAATAAATGACAAGTGCCTGATCATCTGTGGTTAGATATTACCTTAAATTGGATTCAGTGCCTGTCTAATGCTCATTCATTCATTCAGTAAATATTTATTGAACATCTACTATGTTCCAGGCCACTGCAGATAGAACAGGGAACAAAAAAATAAAAATTATTTTCCTTTTGGGACTTGCATTCTAGTGTGGGAAGACAGGAAACAAACAAATAACCATAACAGTTATGAAGAGAAATGAGGCCAGGTAGGTAGAGCTGGTGAGTCATACCCATTCATTCAATAGAGTTGTGAGCACTGACTGCACAGGGACTCAGAAGGAAACGGGAACACATCTGGACTTCAAGAGGCTCAGAGGCTGGGAGGAGCAGAGACCAAGGGCTGCAGGAGATGTTTGTGCCAGTTTAAGTAAAGGTGAAAGAAGGGAGTGGTCCCTTCTACTGAGGGGAAGGGGATGGCAAAAGAAGCTAAGGAGGTCTTTGAGAAGCAAGGGGTACTTAACCTGAGCCTTGAATTCATTCTCTGAGCAAACAAAGAGGAGGCCTATCTTCCAGTTTGAAGGATATTCTACTTCATAGCCTTGCCACCCAAAGTGTGGTCTGCAGACCAGCTATATCAGCATCACCTGGGAGCTTATTAGAAATTAAGACTCTCAGGCTGACCCTAGGCCCACTGAGTCAGAATCTTTATTTAAATCAGATGCCCAGGTGACGCCTATGCAAACTAAACCTTGAGAAGCCCTTTCTCAACTAGTGGCTTTCAAATTTTGTGGTACATTAGAATTGCCTGGGTTGGGGAAAGGGCAGAATTTTAAAAATCCTGATGCCTAGGCTACAGCCCCTACCAATTACACCAGAATATCTGAGATTGGAAACAGACACAATTAAATTAAAAACTCCTCCTGGGGTGAAAGCCCTGCCTGATAAAATTTCTTTCTCACCTCAACCTATGTGCATTGTCCTCAGTAAATACTCAAGGGTCACACAAAGGGACTACTTTGTGAAACAAGAGATCTTAACTCTCACTTGACAAATAGGGCTACATTGGTCATAAACCCCCAGAATGCTTAATCAGAGAAAGAAGAATTTCCAACTGGTAAGTGGGGGAGGATGCGAAAATTTTCACCGAGTGTGAAATGGATTTCCCTGCCTGATGACAAGCTGGCAGATCCGGCCTCCTGCAGATGGCTGGGCTGCTGCAGACACAGTGTCGCATATCTGACACATATGTGTTGGGCTTAGTGTTCCTTCCTGCGCCAGAGCAGACGGATTTGGGAAGAGAGGACAGCGGTCTTTGGCGGGAAGGAGAGCACGCTGTCCCAAGTCCTCATCAACAACAGGCTCTGTTCTTGAGGAGCAGCCAAAACACGCATTTCTCACCAAAACTGAGTCATACTGAAAAAGCAAGAAGTGGAGCCAAGATGTAAACTTTTCTCAAGAACTTTCTTCCCAGATCTGCATTGGGTACCACTTGCCTATGTATATCTTTTGAGCCATTCCTCCTCAAACTCTCCTCTCCCAACCCTAAATCTATAGGAAGTGACCAGAGCTAAAAGCATGGGGGAGTGGAATGCTCTTGACTGGAGCATCTGAGACTTTGATGTGAATCTTGGATCTGGCAGTACTTGCCATTACACCTTTAAAAAGTGATGCGAATCTCTGAATCTCTTTCCTTGGAATGCTGTAAAATATAATTGTCCTCATCATTTATACTTTCTGTTCTTTCTCCTGTCCCTTTTACCTCACTGTTATCAAGGTTGGGGGCCAGAGATCTACTGGCTCTTCCAAGAATACGACGATTTAAAGGCAAAGTCAGAGGCCATGAATTTCAGAATGCTGGATGGGTTCAGCCATGAGTCAGTCTATCTCCAACTCTCTAGTTGCTGGTTTCTGTATTCTTACTCTATGCTAGTTAGCTCATCCACTCTCATGGGTCCATCTATGTCTTCATCCCAGTGGCTCACACATCTGTGTCTCTGGTCCCAGGCTTAAGCTCCTGATTCAGGCTATCCAATTGCCTCAAATTCAAATGTCCCAAACTAAACACTGTGGTGTCTCTGTTACACACACACACACACACACACACACACACACACACACACAGACAGACATCCATGCAAGCAGAGTCACGCTCAGCAGAACTTGGGCTTCCTCCAGCATACCCTTTCAGAGAAAGTCACCACTATTCACCCAGTTACTTGTCAAAACTTGTCTCTCACCCTTGATTCCCTTCCCTTTCTCCCTACAACAAATGGATTACCAGCCCTTATGGATGCCACAGCAGAAATGTCCCTCCATTCCTGTGCATTCTCCTGTCATGATCCTAACCCAGACCACTGTCCTTTACCATCCAGAGCACTACCCCAGTCTCCCAGGACTGTCCCAGGCTTGAGTCCCTTCCATCCACTGTTCTCACAGGAGTAGAGTAATAGATCTGGAATGCAAATCTGATTACGACCTTCCTTTCCTAGAGACATTCCTATGGCTTTCCACTGTTCCTAGGATCAAGCCCAAGCTTCTCAGCCTGCCTTCAGGAAAGACCCTTCAGGAACAATAGCAGGAGCCTTTGAAGCCTCAGCTCTCACTACCCCTCCTCACACAGGCTGCTCTCAGCATAGTAAACGTCTTTCTGTTTCTCAAATGCTCTGCATACCCTTTCTCATCTCTAAATGTGGATGCATTTTCCTTTCTCTCAATGCTTTTTCTCCCAGCTAATTTTTCCTGTCTTTCAGGCCTTGGATTTAGTTCTGCTTTGTACAGGAAGTCTATCCACACAGAAACTGGACTGGGTGCCCTGTTAATTTTTCTCATATGCTTCTGTGTCTTGCCTGTCACAGAGCTTAACTGACTGCTACTGTTTACTGACCAGAGCCTGGACATGATAGTAATCTCCATGAGAAGAGGAGGCTTGTCTGTAGGGTAATAGCTCTGTTCTCAGCACCAGAACAGACACTTATCAAATATTTATTAAATGACTGAAAGTCCCCTCCTGATCTCTCAATAACACATGAGGACAAAGTCTCATCAACCCTTAGTAGTCTGCAAATCCCACTGCAGCTCAGCTAAGACTCTCATCTTTTAATCAAGCTCCTATCACAAGACACTCCCCAAATATTTTTCTGTCTTGAGTTTGGCCTGTTTTCTACCCAAGAAGCATCTTTCTGCTTCCATATCTCTTTGATCTTTTCTCTTTCTCAGTTAAAATCTTTCTGTAGATAACCATTGTCTTCAGGATAAAATATAACCACTTCAACATAGCAAACAGACCCCTCTGAGACCGGACCCACAGAGTCATCACCTCAGCTTCATGTTCATCAGTTTCTACCTTCTTCACATCTCATTTTTAGGTTCCCAAATACTTCAGGGCTGCAGGGCTTTCTTATGCTTTTAAAAATATGGCTCTTTCTGCCTGCAGTCGCCTCTGCCTTTCCTTGTTTTCTCTGTCCTGTCTTGTAAACACCACATTGTCTTCAAAGATTTATCTCACCTATTTATAAAAGTATTTAGTGGCCATCTACTAAATGCCAGGGCCTGTACCCAGCAACAGGAGCACGTTGTTGTACGAGACTAACATAGGCATTACCCCTGATAATTTGGAATCTCCTGGGGGAAAACCAGAGGCTTGTGGTTGCCTTCCTAAATGTTACCTTTTCTGCTACCTCTTCCCCTACTTTATGCCCTGCTGTGCTTGTTCACACTTCTATTCTTGTCTCTGTTTACTTGGCTTATGTAAACAAAACCATACAGATCATGCAGGAAAGGGACCATGCCTGATTCATCTTACAGCCCCCACACTGAGCTCAACGTGGTCGATATTGAATAAATGTTTGTGAGATGAATAAATAAGAAGTTAATAATTTCTTAGTTTTTGCCAGTAATTGAGGCTCTGATGAGACACAAAATTGGTTAATGTGATGAATAAGATGGCATAAAAATGTTGTTCCTCAGAAGAGGGATGGTTCAAGTTGGGCATTCCAGTGGTAATAGCTCTATAGCCAAGGGATAGCAGAAAGGCATTACTCAGTGAAAATGAAGGTTGTGACTATGACAGAATGGAGGCCCCTCCATCGAAATCTGTATTTTCCTACTGGACTGTCAATCTGTGTTCCATCCCCATCTCTTGCATATATTAAGATGGGCTTGGTTGTTGTGAGTTCAGAGCAACACCTTCAGTTTTCATAACCTAATCATGATTTAGCAACCTTGAAATATTAAGATTCGATATACCTTTGCCACATGACCTATCAATATTTTGGCAGTGTTGTGCTAATGGGAAGCTGAATCTAACTTCAGTGTGTATTACTAAGGAAATGGACTAATATAATATAGTGGATACATGCTTCAAAATTATAATCAGTAGTAAGCAATGAACTTGATGGGCTTACAATAACATGGATGGTCTTAAGAACACAGTAGAGAAGTAGTCAGTTTAATAAAAGGAAAAACAAGATTTACAACACAATAACATTTATATACTTAAAATATACACACTCAAAATGCTATACATTTTTCACAAGGATACAAGCATAATTAAGGAACATGTATCACACATTAAGGTGGGTAACTAACCGTTCAAGGGGAATGAAGAGATTGAGGAACAAGAGGAAAAACAAACTGGAATGGAATCTTAAACTGAATGATGATGTCAATGTAATGTGAACTAATATGTTACCTGTCCCTAAGGCTTAATTTTAAACATTATTGCAAGTGTATGGGATTTTGACCCACTATCAATGTGATATAAAGTAGCCTCATACTCTAGATGTTTGTTGAGCTGATCCCTCTGCCCTTCCCTCTATGCTAGCCACAGTCCCAGATTGTTGAAGGGCACAATTATTCTTGGCTTAGACCCAACCTAGAAAAGAAGGTGAATTAAATGTAAAATCTTGCAAGGCTCTATCAGAAGATATAGCATAGATTTTAAAAAGGAGTAAAATCCCCTAGTCCTAGAGGACCAAAGCTTTTAAGCCTGAAATGAGTTACTGTCTCCTCAGGAGCATCTAACCAGATCCCTCACGATAAAACCTTCTGAGGCACTGTGGAGCTCTCCTCGGTGCTGAAAAAGAAGTCCCTCTGGCGTCTTTCCTGCCATAGATCCTGGTTTTGCTGGCAGAGACCTTCCTGTCTGACCCTACTCTGTGACGGCTGTTAACCACAAGTGTTTACTAAAGGCAGAGGTTGTATCTTAGAAAGAAATAGGTGGTCAACTTAGTTTTTATATATGACTATAATTGAAAAAATTATGCTAATGATTCTCTGTCTGGCTCAGCCTACTGCCTACCCCTGTTGTCTAAGTCTTTGTCTCTGAGTCAAGCCTTGTGTAACTTGGGTATGTAACAATGTAATGATACCTTGTACATACATGTTTCCCATGTTAGAATACCTGTGTCTCTTGGGAAAAGAGAAGTGAGAAAATTACAAAAATTGGGCTGAAAGAAAAAAGGTTTAGGGAGTACATAATTTACCTCATTTCAGCTTTTCCTAATAAATGTCCTGAATGAGTTTCTAAATAAATAAATTATTAATCTTCTATCTAGAATATCTTTCTCTTTCCTACCCTAAAGGAAATTCACCTAAATGCTCCTACTATACTTTATCTTGGAACTTTTTTCCAAACAATAAAACAAGTATGGGCAGGTACTCTTAAAAACAGAATTCTGGGTCAATAAAATGTGGTCCAATTTAAACAAAGAGCACTCTAGAAAAGCAAAAAGTTCTGGTCTGAGAGCACATATCATATAGGATAGCACAGTACCTGAATTCTTATTAGAATAACACAGAAAGGCAGATAATAAACATATATTGAATATGTACCACAGTTTATCCTTAGAAGAACTATAAAAAATAGGTATTTTACTCACATTTTCTAGGTTACAAAACCAAAGTTCAGGAGATTCAGTAGGTTTCACACAGTGAAACAAAACTAATAAACAGAACAAGGATTTAAACCCAAGCCTAGTTGATTCTAAAGGCCCTTTACTTTCCTTTATAATGATAAAATGATTCCTAGTTATTAAGCACTAGCAAGGTTGGCCATGATACTAAATATTTATATGTATCACCTCATTCATTTCTGCCAAAAGCACTAGAAGGTAGACATTGTTATTATTTACATGACACTAAAAAATTTAAGGAAGAGGCCAATCAAGCTCTTGTCTAAGGTTACACAGTTGATGAGTGGTAGAGATTGGATTCAAATAAGTTCTAGTTTTATCCAAAACCTCTGCTCTTACCATTCCTCAATAGTTCTTTAACCAACCTCAAAATAGATAACTCTAAAGTTCTTTCATCTTGAAATTGTCTTGATTTTTTTTCACTGTAAGCACGATCCTAGGACTGAATGCCTATCTTTATAGACTCTGCTCCAGAAATTCATTCGTGTTTTGTCATTAGTGGATCAATGCCTTAATAACATTTACCTAGGTGTCTTGGAATTGAATCAGAGGACACTATTGGAGTTTTTCATCTTAAACTCCTTTCCCATAAGTATGCCTGCAGGTGACCACAGAAGAGACCATGAGGAAAAAGTGGAAGCTGTGATTTCCACCGGTATTGGTGGGGGATGGAGAGAGAGTGACAGGTACATCATTTGATTGTTATAACCTGTAAGCTGCAAATAATAATATCTGGCAAACTACTAGCTTTTAAAGTAATTTCCATCCTGTGGAAAATTGAGGAATAAATATTAAAGATGATGTCTCTGAGCATCTTTCCCCCTGGAGGTCACTGACCATGGAAATGATATGGTTGGCTGAATATTTAGATGAGACAGGGTACCCTACTCAAGTGGCAGAGGATTGATCCAAGACTCCATTTATTCCCACAAGCCTTTCCTTGTCCTAACTTCCTTCAGGGACATGAGGATACTTTAGGGAATGATCTCATACAGAGGCAAAGAAAGTGATTTCCTGACTGATGTGATTTACCCCCTAACTTTCCCCACAGTTGCTCCATGAAACCTAAAATGTTGTCATTAGAGGCACCACTTTAGTTGGAAAGACAGCACTGTAAAGTGAAAAGATCATGTTATGTCATTAAATGTTCTTTGCAAATATGACATTTAATAAATGCATAATATTCCATTGAATATTTGTATTATTGAAAATTAAGGTTATTTCCATTTTCTACTGCTTTAATGCTGCACTAATTTAATACTTTTATATATACATCTCTATAAAAATCTATTATTTACTTAGAAGCGTATTCTAAGAGTAGATTACTCGGTCAAAAGTTCTAAAGCTGGTGGAGATGTGCATTGTTAAAAATTTTTGAGTAACTTTTTTCCAACCTCTACAATTTTCAAACTTTTCAAATACTTTGCATATGGGTTGCTGTTAAACCAAGTCCTCCCTACCCCCTACTTGTACCATTGGTTTTTTGTGCCTGTGTTCATTTAGCACATCGGGTTACCCTTATTACCCTTGTTAAATGCACTCTTACCAGTGTGAGCCCATCACCATAATTGCCCTTTAGAGTTTTGCTATGGCCTCAAACATATGATCTCCCCCTCCCAACATTGGGTCAAAACTAAGTATGTCTTCTAAGCCTCTAGCTGGATCATAGTTGAGGCACACCACATGAAGCCTCTTTCTAGGTGGAAATGAATCCATTAATAGAGCACAAATGTTCACCCAGCTCCACATCTATATCAGTACGTTGTGAGTAACAGACTGTCCATAAGGGTGCCCTTGAAAATCATTTCTGACAGCCCCTTGCACATCATTTCAGTGACGGCATCAGTAATGGAAAATTACCTGACACAGGGTTGCATTGGCTCCTGGGAATTACTATTTCTTTTATGTACATTACCACCACTTCCTCCCGCATGTACACATACAAATCTGCAGAATACTATGTCATAGCATGTTTCTGGGCAGGAAGTGATGTCCACTCAGAGGGTATGATAGTTAAACTCAAGACATGAATAACAAGGAGGGTCAGTCACAGGAACATTGCGGGGAGAGCGACATCAAGGTTGAAAACTCGCAGTCTCCCAGGACCAGGGCAGAGGACACTGCAGGACAGCGAGTGGTGGGTTTGACAGAATGGAAAACAAGGCCTGAAAGCTGTGGCAAGAGGAGCCGAGAGAGATACCATCTGGCCAGAGCTGACAAAGAAGTAGAGTGGAAGCAGCAAGCAGTGGGTGGATGCTGTTTTTATGACATTTTCTTCAAGTGGTTTTGAGTTCTGTTCTAAGATTTTGTTCTCCTTCAATCCAGAAACAAATCAGAATTTGTTTTTCTATTACTGATGATGTTACATGTCATCTATTTGTTTATTCCTTTTTAGTTTATGCCAGAAGGATTCTTTCCAACTCCAAACATGGGGGAGTATTTGTGTGTACATGCACGTGTTCTTTAAGAACATGTGTATGCCACCCAAGGTCTGGCGGAAGAAGATTTGCAAGTCAATGTTGAAGCATTACAGGAGACCAGAGCTGTCCCTGGCACCTCTCTGTGAAATGGAAGCGTCAAGTGGGGCTTTGCCAAATTTGGCCAAAGTGCCTCCTATTACTAATGAACAAGAGTTTTGGAGTCAGGAGACAAGGGTTCAAATCCTAGCTCAGTCACTGTGACCTTGACCAGCTTACTTCACCTCTGCCTCAACTATCAAACAAAAATTCTCTGGAAGAGTCTAATAAACCCACTCCTATGCCACCCTAGTCAATAGAAGTATACTGTCTGCTATAGCAGAAATTTGAGTCATTGTTCTAAAACTCTCCTTCCACTCATATCCCACCCCTATTTTCATCCTGATGAGACCTACTTGAGTCCTTCCCCCTAGTTCTGAGCTCTGGATTTCCTACCCTGTACTGGATGATGCTCTGTCCACCCCCAGGCTCCACTATCTTCTTGGTTCTTCTAGGCAGATGCACCAATTCTTAGGAGCTAGGGTGTAGGCACCCCTCTGGCAGAATGCAGCAGGACAAAGGAGCCCTGGCTGTGTGCTAGCTATCACTTGAGCAGAAGTCCAGACTGTGTATGCCAGAAAGTTTTCATATGCTTCCTGGACTCTTTCTGTGTCTTTATCTCTTGCTCAACTTACTATTTATTGGAGGTTTGGAAGATTCCACTGTGGCTCAGCTGTGCTCTGAGCACAGAAGTGGAGTTCTAGCCAGGCATAAACTAGAGCATTGAAGACAGGACAGCAGTGCCTTGGGACTGGTGGTGGAGCAATATTTACTCCCATTCTTTGAGTTCTACTTTAGGCATTTCTCTGACCCACCCTAAGCCTCAACCTCCACCTCCACCTTGAGGAAACTCAGGAGAGAAAGCCAAGGATCCAATGAGTGAGATGGGGTGAGGCCACTGAGTTTCTTGGCAGCCTCAGGACACCCACATTTTCTGCAAATCTATGTGATTAATTCAGAAGAGTACCTGACTCTCTGCCCCTGTGGTGGGAAGGCCTGAAGGTTGGGCTGGACAAGTTAAATTTGGTGGGAGTGGAAGGAGTAGGAAACTCAGTTTGTCATAGCCACAGATTCCAAACCCACCTGTTCATTTATAGACCTGATATTTTTATCTTCATTTCTCTGACTCTTGCATGTCACCTCCTGATCTATTCCAAATTTGAAGGATATACAGGTGTTGTCTGTCATCCTTCTTAAAGTTCCGCATGTTAAAGATTTGTGTGGAAGCTTCAGAGATAGTCATTGGAATTGTCATTTGGAGCCCCAAATAGTGCAGAGAGACACCGTTTCTAGCACAACCAAGTTGGAGGCTTTGGTGCTTCAGAAAACCTTGGTCTTACAGGATTTTCACCTGTGGTTTGCAGCATTTTCTACTATGGCTTTTTGTGTGACTGTTAAATGACAGCAGCCAAAGACTATTGGTGAACCTTGATCCTGGAGTCTTGCTGGCTGATTCTGACTAGAAGAGTACCACTGAGGCAAACATCAACTTATAGGAACAGGAGTCTTTCAGGCTCAGGGAAGGCCTAGCTCAGTGCAGGCAGAGCTTCAGTTTATGGGCTTTTTAGTCTGCAGTGGGAGGAAATATATATATGGTTCTTTTACCATATTTCTTAGCAAGAACTCTAAGCCAGGACTTAAAATTGGAAAAGCTACAAAATTCCACATGGATGACAGAGGCACTAATAGATGAGGATTAGACCTTAAAATGGAAATGCTGAGGCTAAATGAATCAGCTGCCCCACGCATGTTCTGCGAATCAGTTGCACCCTCACACGGATACGTTAGTCCAGGCTGTGATTTAGATTTCAGAGTCCCAGATTGTTGCTCCACCCACTAACCAGTGATGGATTCATCTGTGCCAAAAGGAGGAGCAGAGCCCCGTAGGGCATAGGGTTAATGTCAATGTCTCAGGTTGAGTTAGAAGACAATGTAATAACAATTTCACAAAGCTGATAGACAATAAAGATACTAAAAAGTTCTGTGTATAGGAACCTTTCCTTCTAAAATCATAGAATAATTCAACTGTTTGATAATAAACACCAGATTTATTGTCAAGCAGGAAAGAAAAATGAGGTTGATCATTTTTCTTTATTGTCAAGCAGGAAAGAAAAATGAGGGTGATGAAAACCCAGGGAAAATGCAGGTGATTTTTGCAGTGTTTGAGATCTGGGTCAAGTCTAGATAGCCAAGAAGGTTAAGTCCCAGAGGACAAGCTGGACAGGTGTGAAAGGAGGCAAAGATGTACCTAGGCCCAACATTCTTAAAGATGGAGCCAATGGGAAATAAGTGGTTTTGTTGTTACTAGGTCATAGAAAGCAGTAGGAACCAAATAAATCTAATAAAAAGAGAGTCAAGAACTGAGAGAGAAAACCAGAGTGACTCTTAGAAAAGGACTCTAGGTCCAATAAAGTGTTTAGAATATAATTCCCGAAGTTCCAGGTACAGACCACAGTTGGGGAAATTTCTTGGACTCCAGGATAGCCATGCCAAGTGGTTACACAGGTCTGAGAGGGGTAAACTGAGGCAGCTGGCACTATTAAGTAAGCTCAGGTGGAAATGGTGTAGAGAAATGTGCCCTGAGGGTGAAAATCAAAATAATTTATGGAATTGGGACCTAGGGAAGAGGTCGTCATGATAGGAATACTGGAAAGTGATCAAAAATTACTTCAAGGCGTAGGCCACCTGTTGGCCTGATGGAGGACCCTTTTTTAGAAGGGATGCAAAATTCAGGAGGGTGCATCTGGTCAAGAGTTGTTCGAACTATGGATGATTCTGGAAGGCCCAGCTCTCCTTGACTTCATTGTTTTTGCTGTGCTGTACTCACAGGAGAAAATGTAGACGATGCTTGAAAACCAAATTCCCTTGTCAGTAAGACAGCCAATGAAAAGAAAAAGGAAAGGAAGAATTTCAGCCAAGAAGGCATAAAAGGAAAGGAATCCATTTAAGATTAAATATGTTAAAAGTTCAGCCAATCAATTTTGAAGCGAGTTTAGAAACAAGGAGAAAGTGGACCATCAGAGGCACATGCCATAACTGCAGGGAATGCATGAGAGAGGGCATATTTAGCTGCTACTGAAGTCATACCAATTACCCAGACCTGAACAATTACAGAGCTAGGGAAAAGCAAAGCTCTGGGCATGAGGCCATGGCAGAGGCACCAAAACTCCCCAGGCCTGTAGGTTCAGAACTTCAGAAGCCTAACCTGCATCTCCAGCTGAGGAATCTGCTAAGGATGCTTCTGCAGCTGCAACCAAAGGATGTCACAGTGGAGGCAGGGGTGCAGCCACTGCAGCTCAAGCCTGGACAGAGCTCACACTCCTCGTGGCAGAGTGGGACAAGGTTATCCCAGAACTAACAAGAGGGATGAAAATGAAGAGTCTGAAAGCAAAGCAGCATGAGAAAGTAGAGAGTCTTAGGAGGTGGCCTGCAAAAGAAAACACACCACGGGAGTATCTCAACTTTACAAGCAGACAGAAATATCTCAGGTGCCACCTTCCAAGAGCAGAGGCAGTGTGTATAGGGGGGGTACAGTTAACACAGCCCCAAAGTTAACCTCCTAATGGGAGAGTTATTTGCTCACAGCTAAGGAATCTGGATAACTGGCTTAGACTTGTCAATATCCAGAAACCAAGTATTTCTTCACTTTCCCTAAGATATCCCTGAGATTTTCTTCTGGTCTTTGACAACAGAGATAATATAGTCTAGATTAGGAACAAGGCCCTGGGAATATCACTTTTCTAGGGATAACTAGTACAGGAGTTAGGATTTTCTAAATTGATTGTGGGGTGGAGGTTGGGAACAGTTGGGGGAGATTGGCACTGTGATGTTGTTGTTTTAACTATTTAGACTTCTTAAATGGTAAGACACATTTAAGAAGATAGTCAGGTTTCAATGAACGTGGTGGACTATATGGGCGTATACCCATTCTAGTGAAAAGTTGCCGAGGAGCAAGCCCAGGTAGGCTGGTGCCAGAGTGTTCAGGTGTCCAAGTCACCTCCCTTGCAGGGTCTTTATGTCACCATTTAATCTCAGTGCAGAACATCTGGGGGTTTCCATTGGACAAGATGCTGGAGTGAATAACAGAGAGTAAATATTTTTGCCTAGAGTTCAGGGAACCTCACTTTGGGTATTCTGTGGAAAAGGTTAAACTTCTACCAGCAGTCCCAGGAGGAAGAAGAAAGAAGAATTTGGGGGAACCTATAAAGATGGGGACAGTGCTTTCAGATCTCCTCCTCCAAATGTGAGAGCTGCAGCCCTGTCTGATCATCTCACTGGATCTGGAGGACAAGGAGTCTTCAGTAACTGTTCGAGGGAAAAGCATTCCCCTTTTGGATCAAACATGCACTTCCAGCTGCTCTCCAGGTACTTAGTTTTCTGCCCAAGACAGAAGAGAGATTTATCTAATTGGGGAGACTGAGTGGAGGCAACGGGCATCTTGTTCCTCTGTTGGGGAACCCTGCCAGGTCAAATGCTGCTCTTGCAATTTGAGATTTTCAAGTTCAGTTCAAAGGGAGATAGATTAAGAAGCCCAGGTATGTTCACACAGCTAATGTCCATTCTTCAATCCTGCTTTTCCATAATAAAACTTTATTTTTAAATCTCTCAATTTGCCAACTGTTGTGAACTGAAGTGATGTTATGGATTCTGCCATCTCAGACCTCAACAGTAACTTAGTGAGTATCAGAGATAATATCAGAGATTGTGGAGGGACCTCAGGAAAAGTGGAACTCTGCGGATGAGCTAGTGCTGCTTGCCTCACGTGCTTCCACACCCCAAGACTACTTTCCTCCTTCCAGTACTCCAGACCCTCTGTGATCTGATATGCTGAGAGACATTCCCCGTACACAGAATGATATCCCATGATAATTTATCAATATGTCAGGTACAAGGCTACATGCTTTGTTTGTGCCATCCTACATGAATCCTGTGAGGAGGTTCTATTTTTATCCCCATTTTATAGACAAAGAAACTGGCTCAGAAAAGTCACATGACTTGTCCATGGTTAGGATAATAGCAGGCAGCAGAGTTGAAGATTCAGCCCTGGCACTGTCTGACACAGAGCTTATGCCACTCCATTCTAGGGCCTTTCCTGACACTTCATAGAGGCAAGGATGAGGTCTATACCCTAACCTCCAAAGTAACTTCCACAGGACTTTCAACCAATATTGAAAAGGTGGCAGTGAAATTAAAAACAATGAAGAAACTCCCATGTTGTCCAGGGCATGGGCAAACAGGAGCTCATATATACTACTGTAGGCATTTAAGCACAATCTTTACAGAACTCAATTTATTGATGAGTAGGAATTTGTTCTAGGAAAATAATTATAGCAGTACACAAAGATATATGTGCAATGCAGTTCTCTAAAACATTATTTGTAACAGTTAAAAAATGCTTTAAACAACCTAAATATCCATCTCCAGGAGGACTGGTTAAATGCATTAGAGTAAATGTATCTGATGCACTGCACTGTGACCATTTACAATGATAATATAGATCTATATGTATTGACTCGGAAATATGTTAACTGAAAATGGCAAGTAACACAACAGTATGCATAATAGCATCTCGCTTCTCCAAAAAAACAAAAAAGTGTAAGTGAGTCCACATAAAAAAGACTAAGGACCCAGAAATCAAATCTCAGCAGTGAGGTAGTCTGCTCAGTGGTAATGAAGGAGGGCTGTAGCCAGGGGACCTAGATCCCTCTCAGTTCTTGCTCGTGACCATGGACAAGTTCCTGAACCCTCTCAGCCTCAGTCTCCTCATCTGAAAAGTGGAGATTGCTGTTGCTGTTCTTATCTTTTGCTGTTGACTTAAAGATTAGATGAGATGGTGCATGTCAAGTCTCAGCATAGACTATGGCACATTCTAGATACTTAGCACATGGCAGCAGTCTTGATATTTATGGGGGTACCTGTTCTAGTTATCTAGTGTGGTATAAGTAAATCCCCCAAAACTAAGTGGCTTCAAGCGATAACCACTTCGTTACGTCTCACAAAGTCAATGGGTCCCAAATTTGGGCAGGGCTTGGCTGATTCTTTGCTCTCTGTAGCATTGCTGGGGTTATTTAGAAGTGCTTGGTTGGTGGATGTGCTGGTTGGAGCACCCAGTGTCATTTCACTCCCGAGTCTGACACCTTGGTGTGGATGGCTGGAAGCCTGGGCTCAGCTGAAACTCTTGATTGGAGTACCGATCTTTGGCCTCTCTAGTATGATGGCCTCAGGGTAAATGGACCTTTTACATGGGGCTGGCTTCCCTTAAAAATACCGTTGTTGTCATCTTTGGAAAATATAATCTGCCACAGAACCTATATCTTACATCTCAGTGTTTTGCAGATATAAAATATACACATCAATAATATAAAGTATATCTCTATAGACAGAGCTTTAGGAATAACTTTATATAACTGAACACAAATAGAGACACGTATAAAGATAAGTATACATTCTGTAGCAGAATTGCCTTGGCTGAGGAGGCAGGCCTGTTGCATGTGAAGTCTGAAATGTTTGTGCAGAAAAGCGATGGAAAGAAGAAGGAGACGCTCGCTTGTATATATAGCGTAGGTTTTGCCCTTTACAATAAAATGATGTATTTCACTTTGCTTCCCCTGTTGCTATGGTATCTGTCACCTTATTTATAACTGTGTCTGTTCGGTTGCATCCATATACTTGAGAAGCTTCTCTGCTCTAAGAAAGAACCACAGCAAGCATGGGGGGTGCACTGGGGTGGGGCGGGGGGTGTGGTCAGGATGCTCTTGCTTATGCTGTTTCTCTGCTCTCCCTGAGTTGCCTCTCCAGTTCCCCACAGCCCTTAGGCAGAGGGGTCTTGCATGCATCCTGCACTCCCCACAACTGGTCATGCATGTCAGAATTGAGGTCTGCCCTGAGCTCTCTGTTACATTGCTAGCTGTGTGACATTGGGCAAGTTACTCAGTCTCTCTGAGCCTCCCTCTTCTCTTCTGTCTTCCCTTGGTAAAACAAGAAGCCTTTAGCAAAACTTACTAAGGCCTCTTTCCAATCTACCACCCTACATGGTTCTCTCAATTTCTGGAGAAACCTGATCCCTTTCCACTTGATGGCCTTCGCCTACCTGCCCTCCTCTGCCTGTTAGACTCTTCTTCTGCTCCTCATCATCCTTAATGTCACTTCTTCTGAGGAGCCTTCCCTGATCTGCCCATCTGTCGCAGATGTACTCAGTGCTCCACCTTTAGGCTCCCATTTCCTTAGATCAGATTCTTGGCAGTCTTTGGCACACTGGCTTCCTGCGTGTATTCACTTTCAACAGCCGGCGCCGGAACCTCTTCAGCCTCAGTCTGCTCTCTGGTTCCCAGAAGCCACCTTGTCTGAATGCAAGGGCTTGGGGATGTTTGTTCCCAGGGCTGAAGGGTGCAGAAGTGTACCTGCTTCAGCACCCTCATTCAATCAGGAAAACTCTGCCCTATCCTATGTCCAGAGCTCCCCTGTTGATTGACAAGGATTTGGCTTGCATTCACTCACTTACTCGTTTCCTTCCCTTCTCCATTACACCCACCATCCCACTTCCCCACTCACCAGGTTGCCCTGAGAAGACTTCATAACACAGGGCTGTCACTCATAAGCTCTTCTCAGGGTCACCTTCTGGGAAACCCATCGTGAATCACTCTCTGAACTAGCTGAACTAGGTCCCTCTGCAGTGCTGCCTAACTCTGCATCCTTTTTGTTTCCAGGACGCCAGGCACATAGCCCAATCCATATGCATTTTTTTAACTTTATAAATCTCTCTCAGCCCCTCTAGGCTGTGTGTTTTGTGAAGGCAGAGGCTATTTTTATCATGTGTACTATTTTGTGACATGATGTAGTTTTTGGAACAGGAAATGTATGCAACAAATGTGTTAAATGAAAAAATTAAAGAATAATAGAACGATTATCTTTTTATGATGACCACCTGGGCACCTTCATCTTTGTTCTCCTTGCTGCCTAAGATATCCTCCCTACCATGCTTCCATCTAAATTCTTTTACTAATTACAACCAGTAAATAGATGCTTGGAAAATGTCCAATGCCACTATTAATTTACAAAAGCAAATTAACATTAAACCAAACATATAAAGAACTCTTATAGCTCAATACGAAAAGGACAACCCAATTAAAAATGGGTAAAGGACATAGGTTGACATTTCTCCAAAGACATACAAATGGCCCATAACTCTATGAGAATATGCTCAGCATGACAGTCATCAGGACATGCAAACAAGACCAGGCCTGTAAAGAAGACTGCTGGGATGTGGGTGCATAGGATGTTCTACTCTGTGCTTCCAAATTTTCTGTAATGTTGATATATTCATTTTATACTTTTAAAAATATCCTGTAACTTCTCAAAGCTCAGTGCCAGTCCCAACTTCCATTTGACACCCATCCAGAATAATCCCCCATGCTACATTGTTCTCTCACTTTTCCAAATTTTTAGGTGATTTATGGCTTATATGACATGATCTGGCTTGTAGTTAAGAATAATGATATTGATACCTATCATTTATTGAGTGCCTTCCAGAAGTCAGACACTTGATATAGAATATCTTACTCAATCTTCTCAATACCCTAAGTATGTAGGTACTTTTATACTCCATTTCTGGATGAAGCAATAAAAGATGAGAGAAGTAAAGTAACTCATCCGAGGCCATACATCTGTTAACAGTGGAGCTCTGACACGTTCCTGGGCTCCCTGGACCCTTCCTCTTTAGCAGCCCACCAGTGGCAGCTCCAGCGTTTCTACAGGACAGACAGTAACAGACACCTTTGGCGCCTGTCCACATGCTATTAGTGCTTGTCTTCCCCACTGGAAACTTTTTGTTCCAAGGGGGTGGGACTCTCTGGCTGAGGGATTCCTCTGGACTCAGAGCATGGCCCCGCTATGCAGAGGGTGGGCCAGAAGTATGGAGGGTGAAGAATTCCAGGAGAGGCCCTCGACCCGAGTGAATTGGAGTTGGTGGATAAGTACCCCAGCTTCCTCGCCCCTTGGGTAGAATACACCAGAGACATGTTCTGCCTAGTCTCCCAGAAGTCCCCATGGGATTGGGCTTCAGTTGCCCACAGCAGTGCCCTGCTCGCGGATGCACCATGTGTTAGCTTCCTTCTCTTTCTTTGGGCCCCTCCCCATGACTGCTTCCTTGTATTCACTTCCAAAAAGAAAAAAAAAAAAACACCTACTTGTGTCCACATATCCTTGTGTCCAGGTCTGTCTAGGGGAACTCAACTTAGACAAGGGCCGTGAGGAGGGACTTACATCTGGAAGGAAAGTGGGTCTAGGAGCCTTGCCCTGATGCAACTTTTTTTTTTTTTTTTTGAGATGGAGTCTCTCTCTGTTGCCCAGGCTGAAATGCAGTGGCACGATCTCGGCTCACTGCAACCTCTACCTCCTGGGTTCAACAATTCTCCTGCCCCAGCCTCCCAAATAGCTGGGATTATAGGCATGTGCCACCACACCCAGCTAATTTTTGTATTTTTAGAAGAGACAGGGTTTCACCTTGTTGGCCAGGATGGTCTCTGTCTCTTGACCTTATGATCTGCCCATCTCGGCCTCCCAAAGTGTTGAGATTACAGGCATGAGCCACCAGGTCCAGCTGCAATGTTTACTTAGTTTTAAATGTTATTATTGGGGGTGGCCTCAGGGGAAGGCTAGTAAAGATTGTGGGTGAGGGGCAAGGCAGCCATAAATCTCTCCTGATTATCTGCTGCAAACCAGCCTCAGATACTCACACTATGAGCACCTGCTGTTGTCGCCTGCCCCTCAGCACCTGGCACAGTTCTGACCACCTAGGAGTTATTAAGCACTTGTTTACGGGTTTCACATGCCGACCTTATTTTGCTGAACTGCTGGCTACTTTTAGGATAAGAAAGAAGACTGCAAGTTGAGAAATCACATCTCCAAGACTCAAAGGGTCCTGTCATGTGGAAATGCAGATCTGCTCTCCCAGCAAGCCTGGTTGGGCATCCTCAATCTTCTGCTTCCAAGCTGTGTGACCTCGGGTAAGTCACTTGGCATCTCTGAGCCTCAGTCCCCAATTGTGTGATGGGAACATAACAGTGCCTAAGTGAGGGAGTGAGTCTGGGGACTGAAGGGGAAATTGGCATGAAGGGAGTGCTCAGGATTGGTGTTCACAAGTAAAGTCTGCTGCTGTGGGTTGCTGGAGTATTCTGCAGCTCTGCCTGCTCTGCCCTGGAGCAGACTCTTGATCCTGAACCCCAGACTTGCGACAGGGGCCTGTACTTCAAGTAACCTCTCACATCCGCTTCAGCCCAGCTGAGCTCCCCTGGAGCCCACTGGTGTCTGATGCCTCCTTGGGGCCAATCTCTCTAGGGATGCACTTGTCTCCTCTCAGCAGCTGTCCTCCTAGGGTGTGTGCTAGACCTCGGCTGATAATTGGGCTGCTCCAAGATGAAATAATAGTAATAGTAATAATGATTACTATTATTATGTATAAGCTACTCTGTATTGGGTATTGTACATCTATTCTCTCTGGTTCCCTAATTATTATCACTATTTTACAGATGCATCCAAAGGCAACGAGTGAGCAAGGGGCTGAGCCTACACTGGAGCCTGAGGTCTTCCCAGACCCAGAACTTCACTGCCTCATGGACTCATGGAGCACATCATCAAGTCAGATGTAGCTCCAAGAAGCCCTTTGTCATAAAATTTCAGAAATTGTCAGTTCATCCCGGGTCCACCCTGCATGCTTTCTGTGTTGTGACCCCAGGTATGCGCACAGGCTTAGGAGAGGTAGGTGAGGCCCTTTGTGCTTTGGAGAAGCCCAGGACCAGAGCGGGTGTGCAGCTTCACAAACAAAATGCTTCCCAGTACCAATTGCTCATATTGGGCAAATGAGGTCTGAAAACGAATATAAACCAGCCTACCCATGTCCTGAATTGCAGCCTTGTCTAGGCACTGCCTCCTGGCTAATTGCTTTTCTTAATAGTAGACAATAAAGCTGTAAAATCCATCAGCAGCTCAGGGTCCTGCTGGGCTCCCTATGCCCTGCAGCCTCTTAGGCAAGCCCCAGCACCTTGTGCAGATAACAGAAGGCATGGGATGCCGTGGGCCAGTGTGGAGAAGGTGTCCCCAAACCCTACCCTTTAAAGGTGGGGGTCCCCTCATTGGAAGGCTCCAGATATGGGATAAGAGGGGATTGGATGGATACCCAGAAAGAGGCTGAGCCCCAGGCAGACTGGGACTGGAACACTGGTCATCATCATTCACAAGCTGTGACACCTGGTTTGCCTCACCTGTTCTTCCATCCTCATCATACAATGGGGATAGTACAAGTGCTGCTGTGCATCTTCCTGAGGATCCTGTCTGAAAATCTGAGAATATCAGGTACAGGACCCAGCACAGTGCCTGGTACATGGAAAAGTTTGGGGCTCCCTGTCCTTCCCTAGCAATAAGCCCTAATTTTGCCTTCAGGCCTAGAATGAGGACTTCTAAAAGGATGAAGAGGGGAGGTTGAGCCAAGATGGCCGAACAGGAACAGCTCCGGTCTACAGCTCCCAGCGTGAGCACTGCAGAAGATGGGTGATTTCTGCATTTCCATCTGAGGTACCGGGTTCATCTCACTAGGGAGTGCCAGACAGTGGGTGCAGGACAGTGGGTGCAGCACACCGTGCGCAAGCTGAAGCAGGGTGAGGCATTGCCTCACTTGGGAAGTGCAAGGGGTCAGGGAGTTCCCTTTCCTAGTCAAAGAAAGAGGTGACAGAGAGCACCTGGAAAATCAGGTCACTCCCACCCTAATACTGCGCTTTTCTGACAGGCTTAAAAAACGGTGCACCATGAGATTATATCCCGCACCTGGCTCGGAGGGTCCTACGCCCACGGAGTCTCGCTGATTGCTAGCACAGCAGTCTGAGATCAAACTGCAAGGTGGCAGCAAGGCTGGGGGAGGGGCGCCCGACACTGCCCAGGCTTGCTTAGGTAAACAAAGCAGCCGGGAAGCTCCAACTGGGTGGAGCCCACCACAGCTCAAGGAGGCCTGCCTGCCTCTGTAGGCTCCACCTCCGGGGGCAGTGCACAGACAAACAAAAAGACAGCAGTAACCTCTGCAGACTTAAATGTCCCAGTCTGACAGCTTTGAAGAGAGCAGTGGTTCTCCCAGCATGCAGCTGGAGATCTGAGAACAGGTAGACTGCCTCCTCAAGTGGGTCCCAGACTCCTGACCCCCGAGCAGCCTAACTGGGAGGCACCCCCCAGTAGGGGCAGACTGACACCTCACACGATCAGGTACTCCTCTGAGACAAAACTTCCAGAGGAACGATCAGACAGCAGCATTCACGGTTCACAAAAATCCGCTGTTCTGCAGCCACCGCTGCTGTTACCCAGGCAAACAGGGTCTGGAGTAGACCTCTAGCAAACTCCAACAGACCTTCAGCTGAGGGTCCTGTCTGTTAGAAGGAAAACTAACAAACAGAAAGGACAGCCACACCAAAAACTCATCTGTACATCACCATCATCAAAGACCAAAAGTAGATAAAACCACAAAGATGGGGAAAACACAGAGCAGAAAAACTGGAAACTCTAAAAAGCAGAGTGCCTCTCCTCCTCCAAAGGAACACAGTTCCTCACCAGCAACGGAACAAAGCTGGACGGAGAATGACTTTGACAAGTTGAGAGAAGAAGGCTTCAGACGATCATACTACTCCGAGCTACAGGAGGAAATTCAAACCAAAGGCAAAGAAGTTAAAAACTTTGAAAAACATTTAGACGAATGTATAACTAGAATAACCAATACAGAGAAGTGCTTAAAGGAGCTGGTGGAGCTGAAAGCCAAGGCTCGAGAACTACGTGAAGAATGCAGAAGCCTCAGGAGCCAATGCGATCAACTGGAAGAAAGGGTATCAGTGATGGAAGATGAAATGAATGAAATGAAGCGAGAAGGGAAGTTTAGAGAAAAAAGAATAAAAAGAAACAAACAAAGCCTCCAAGAAATATGGGACTATGTGAAAAGACCAAATCTACGTCTGATTGGTGTACCAGAAAGTGACGGGGAGAATGGAACCAAGGTGGGAAACACTCTGCAGGATATTATCCAGGAGAACTTCCCCAATCTAGCAAGGCAGGCCAACATTCAGATTCAGGAAATACAGAGAACGCCACAAAGATACTCCTCGAGAAGAGCAACTCCAAGACACATAATTGTCAGATTCACCAAATTTGAAGGAAAAAATGTTAAGAGCAGCCAGAGAGAAAGGTCGGGTTACCCACAAAGGGAAGCCCATCCGACTAACAGCAGATCTCTCAGCAGAAACTCTACAAGCCAGAAGAGAGTGGAGCCAATATTCAACATTCTTAAAGAAAAGAATTTTGACCCAGAATTTCATATCCAGCCAAACTAAGCTTCATAAGTGAAGGAGAAATAAAATACTTTACAGACAAGCAAATGCTGAGAGATTTTGTCACCACCAGGCCTGCCCTAAAAGAGCTCCTGAAGGAAGCACTAAACGTGGAAAGGAACAACCGGTATCAGCCACTGCAAAATCATGCCAAGTTGTAAGGACCATCAAGGCTAGGAAGAAACTGCATCAACTAACGAGCAAAATCACCAGCTAACATCATAATGACAGGATCAAATTCACACATAACATTATTAACTTTAAATGTAAATGGACTAAATGCTCCAATTAAAAGACACAGACTGGCAAATTGGATAAAGAGTCAAGACCCATCAGTGTGCTGTATTCAGGAAACCCATCTCATGTGCAGAGACACACATGGGCTCAAAATAAAAGAGTGGAGGAAGATCTACCAAGCAAATGGAAAACAAAAAAAGGCAGGGGTTGCAATTCTAGTCTCTGATAAAACAGACTTTAAACCAACAAAGATCAAAAGAGACAAGACCATTACATAATGGTAAAGGGATCAATTCAACAAGAAGAGCTAACTATCCTAAATAGATATGCACCCAATACAGGGGCACCCAGATTCATAAAGCAAGTCCTGAGTGACCTACAAAGAGACTTAGACTCCCACACAATAATAATGGGAGACTTTAACACCCAACTGTCAACATTAGACAGATCAACGAGACAGAAAGTCAACAAGGATACCCAGGAATTGAACTCAGCTCTGCACCAAGCGGACCTAATAGACATCTACAGAACTCTCCACCCCAAATCAACAGAATATACATATTTTTCGGCACCACACCACACCTATTCCAAAATTGACCACATAGTTGGAAGTAAAGCTCTCCTCAGCAAATGTAAAAGAAAAGAAATTATAACAAACTGTCTCTCAGACCACAGCGCAATCAAACTAGAACTTCAGGGTTAAGAAACTCACTCAAAACCACTCAACTACATGGAAACTGAACAACCTGCTCCTGAATGACTACTGGGTACATAACAAAATGAAGGCAGAAATAAAGATGTTCTTTGAAACCAATGAGAACAAAGACACAACATACCAGAATCTCTGGGACACATTCAAAGCAGTGTGTAGAGGGAAATTTATAGCACTAAATGCCCACAAGAGAAAGCAGGAAAGATCCAAAATTGACACCCTAACATCACAATTAAAAGAACTAGAAAAGCAAGAGCAAACACATTCAAAAGTTAGCAGAAGGCCAGAAATAACTAAAACCAGAGCAGAACTGAAGGAAATAGAGACACAAAAAACCCTTCAAAAAATTAATGAATCCAGGAGCTGGTTTTTTGAAAGGATCAACAAAATTGATAGACCACTAGCAAGACTAATAAAGAAGAAAAGAGAGAAGAATCAAATAGATGCAATAAAAAAATGATAAAGGGGATATCACCACCAATCCCACAGAAATACAAGCTACCATCAGAGAATACTACAAACACCTCTACGCAAATAAACTAGAAAATCTAGAAGAAATGGATAAATTCCTTGACACATACACTCTCCCAAGACTAAACCAGGAAGAAGTTGAATCTCTGAGTAGACCAATAACAGGTTCTGAAATTGTGGTAATAGTCAATAGCTTACCAATCAAAAAGAGTCCAGGCCCAGATGGATTCATAGCCGAATTCTACCAGAGGTACAAGGAGGAACTGGTACCATTCCTTCTGAAACTATTCCAATCAATAGAAAGAGAAGGAATCCTCCCTAACTCATTTTATGAGGCCAGCATCATCCTGATACCAAAGCTGGGCAGACACACAACCCAAAAAGAGAATTTTAGACCAATATCCTTGATGAACATTGATGCAAAAATCCTCAATAAAATACTGTCAAACCGAATCCAGCAGCACATCAAAAAGCTTATCCACCATGATCAAGTGGGCTTCATCCCTGGGTTGCAAGGCTGATTCAATACATGCAAATCAATAAATGTAATCCAGCATAGAAACAGAACCAAAGACAAAAACCACATGATTATCTCAATAGATGTAGAAAAGGCCTTTGACAAAATTCAACAACCCTTCATGCTAAAAACTCTCAATAAGTTAGGTATTGATGGGACGTATCTCAAAATAATAAGAGCTATTTATGACAAACCCACAACCAATATCATACTGAATGGGCAAAAACTGGAAGCACTCCCTTTGAAAACTGGCACAAGACAGGGATGCCCTCTCTCACCACTCCTATTCAACATAGTGTTGGAAGTTCTGGCCAGGACAATCAGGCAGGAGAAGGAAATAAAGGGTATTCAATTAGGAAAAGAGGAAGTCAAATTGTCCCTATTTGCAGATGACATGATTGTATATCTAGAAAACCCCATCGTCTCAGCCCAAAATCTCCTTAAGCTGATAAGCAACCTCAGCAAAGTCTCAGGATACAAAATCAATGTACAAAAATCACAAACATTCTTATACACCAATAACAGACAAACAGAGAGCCAAATAATGAGTGAAATCCCATTCACAATTGCTTCAAAGAGAAGAAAATACCTAGGAATCCACCTTACAAGGGATGTGAAGGACCTCTTCAAGGAGAACTACAAACCACTGCTCAATGAAATAAAAGAGGATACAAACAAATGGAAGAACATTCCATGCTCATGGGTAGGAAGAATCAATATCGTGAAAATGGCCATACTGCCCAAGGTAATTTATAGATTCAATGCCATTGCCATCAAGCTACCAGTGACTTTCTTCCCAGAATTGGAAAAAACTACTTTAAAGCTCATATGGAACCAAAAAAGAGCCTGCATCACCAAGTCAATCCTAAGCCAAAGAACAAAGCTGGAGGCATCACGCTACCTGACTTCAAACTATCCTACAAGGCTACAGTAATCAAAACAGCATGGTACTGGTACCAAAACAGAGATATAGACCAATGGAACAGAACAGAGCCCTCAGAAATAATGCCGCATATCTACAACTATCTGATCTTTGACAAACCTGAGAAAAACAAGCAATGGGGAAAGGATTCCCTATTTAATAAATGGTGCTGGGAAAACTGGCTAGCCATATGTAGAAAGCTGAAACTGGATCCCTTCCTTACACCTTATACAAAAATTAATTCAAGATGGATTAAAGACTTAAACGTTAGACCTAAAACCATAAAAACCCTAGAAGAAAACCTAGGCATTACCATTCAGGACATAGGCATGGGCAAGGACTTCATGTCTAAAACACCAAAAGCAATGGCAACAAAAGCCAAAATTGACAAATGGGATCTAATTAAACTAAAGAGCTTCTGCACAGCAAAAGAAACCACCATCAGAGTGAACAGGCAACCTACAAAATGGGAGAAAATTTTCGCAACCTACTCATCTGACAAAGGGCTAATATCCAGAATCTACAATGAACTCAAACAAATTTTCAAGAAAAAAACAAACAACCCCATCAAAAAGTGGGCAAAGGACATGAACAGACACTTCTCAAAAGAAGACATTTATGCAGCCAAAAAACACATGAAAAAATGCTCACCATCACTGGCCATCAGAGAAATGCAAATCAAAACCACAATGATACACCATCTCACACCAGTTAGAATGGCAATCATTAAAAAGTCAGGAAACAACAAGTGCTAGAGAGGATGTGGAGAAATAGGAACACTTTTACACTGTTGGTGGGACTGTAAACTAGTTCAACCCTTGTGGAAGACAGTGTGGCAATTCCTCAGGGATCTAGAACTAGAAATACCATTTGACCCAGCCATCCCATTACTGGGTATATACCCAAAGGACTATAAATCATGCTGCTATAAAGACACATGCACACGTATGTTTATTGCGGCACTATTCACAGTAGCAAAGACTTGGAACCAACCCAAATGTCCAACAATGATAGACTGGATTAAGAAAATGTGGCACATATACACCAGGGAATACTATGCAGCCATAAAAAATGATGAGTTCATGTCCTTTGTAGGGACATGGATGAAATTGGAAATCATCATTCTCAGTAAACTATTACAAGAACAAAAAACCAAACACCGCATGTTCTCACTCATAGGTGGGAATTGAACAATGAGAACACATGGACACAGGAAGGGGAACATCACACTCTGGGGACTGTTGTGGGTTGGGGGGAGGGGGGAGGGATAGCATTAGGAGATATACCTAATGCTAAATGACGAGTTAATGGGTGCAGCACACCAGCATGGCACATGTATACATATGTAACTAACCTGCACATTGTGCACATGTACCCTAAAACTTAAAGTATAATTATAATAAAATAAAATAAAAAATAAAATAAAAATAAAAGGATGAAGAGATGGAACTAGAGTTGGTAGGGGAGAGCATCACAAAGCAGAACCATGGGCTGGACTTTCTGGAGAACTCCTTCTTCCCCCTCATCAGTTTCTCCATCAGGAAGCGAGACCCCTG
The DNA here is from genome assembly GCF_000001405.40 of Homo sapiens. Lineage (NCBI taxonomy): Eukaryota > Metazoa > Chordata > Mammalia > Primates > Hominidae > Homo > Homo sapiens. The sequence goes on from NC_000008.11 coordinate 135,341,690, forward strand.
GGACCAGGAGGGCCCATAGCCCTGCCATTGAATGTGGCAGGGATAGGACAGTGATGGAGGCCAATGCTCTGTGCCACCTTGAGAGAGAGCAGGACTGAGGAGGGGAGGGGCCAGGAGGGGATGGAGGAAGTAGAACGGGGCTGAGCTGTGGTGCCACAGAAGGAAGCCAGGAACCTAGGGGCCAGGAATCTTGGGGAACCTAGGTGCTTGACAGTGCCAGGTTCCCCAAAACAGAGACCCTTCCAGACAGGACCACCAGACCCTGGTGCCTCCCACCCAAGGGGATTGGGACTCCTTCTCCTGCAGCTAGGAAGCATTTTTTCACGGATATGAACAAGGGAAGGACAAACAGCCTCACTGGCTCAGAATTCCTTGTGGGCTATCAGGGAGGGGATGAACCCAGGAACCCCCTGCTCTCAGGACTGTCTCCAGCCACTCTCTCCTTCTTTGCCTGCAAATTTCCCTGCCTTTCCCGATCTGTTTGTAACTGGCTGTTGCCAGCTTCATCATTTATCGATACGCTCAGAACAGTTCCTGGAGCCCTTGGGAGGCAAAGTACTCCAGAGCCTTGTCAGATCAATACACAAGGGTGAGAAATTGTTGGAGGATTATAAGTAGTGGTTTACCCTGAACTCTGCCTACTGCAAAAGGAAAGGCCAAAAGGGAAATAGTTTACTTTCACTCCTGTATGGCTTTGCCATTTCAAAAGACAACATGAGTTGCTTCTAGCCCATGAGTGGCCCTCGCCTTTCCAACTGTAGACACCTCTTCTAATGGAAAAATTGCACAGATACGGGGTTCCCACCCCTGCTAATTAAAGAGTAGCTATTGATCCTGGAAGAGTCACTTATCCTCTCCAAAGATCAGGTGCTGCTTCCATAAGACTTTGATTGTATTAATAACTAAATTACATGGAGGATAGCATTTTATTTATTTTTATTTTACTTTAAATTCTGAGATACATGTGCAGAACACGCAGGTTTGTTACATAGGCATACATGTGCCTTGGTGGTTTGCTGTATATATCAACCCATCATCTAGGTTTTAAGCCCCCCATGCATTAGGTATTTGTCCTAATACTCTCCCTCCCCTTGCTCCCCACCCCCTGACAGGCCCCGGTGTGCATTGTTTCCCTCTCTGTGTCCATGTGTTCTCAGTGTTCAACTCCCACTTCTGAGTAAGAACATGCGGTGTTTGGTTGTCTGTTCCTGTGTTAGTTTGCTGAGAATGATAGCTTCCAGCTTCATCCATGTCCCTGCAAAGGACATGATCTCATTCTTTTTTAGTATTTCATAGTATTCCATGATGTGTATGTGCCACATTTTCTTTATCCAGTCGATGATAGCATTTTAGATCTATTTAGATGTTAATTCCTCCTCTGATTTTTCTCTTATGCTCACTGTGAACTTTCTGCTTGTCCAGAAACTTTAATCCCCTAATTATTAGTAATGCCTTTGTTTTCTAAGCTTCCATCTGGAGAAGAATTAACAATATCATTGAGAAATATTTGATGAATAAATACATAAATGAATGCCTTCACCAGTTAATCATAACCTATAAAATTGATGATGGGAATCCAGAAGTGGACTAGAAAGCTTCCTTAAAGTTTCAGCACTGCTATGTGCCTGGAGAAACCTTGGCCTTAAATGGAGAGGAGGATGAACATGAAGCCCAGAAGGACAATTTTTAATCTCAAGGTAAGCTAAACAGAGAGAGACCTTTCAGAACACAGACAGAGATGGTGGATGAGAAACGGGGTGGGAACAGAGAAAAGGAGTTGGGGGAAAAAGGGGAAAGCTGGTGTAAAAGGAAACCAAAGAGCCCAAAGCTAAGGTCCCACACTCAGAGGGGCTGAAGGTGGTTACCAGGGGTGGGTTAGGCCATGAGAGTGAATTGAAGGGAGGATAATATAGCATCAACTATCTGCATCTGTAATGGTGGTCCAAGCTTTGATCCCATCATCTGACCTGCTGCGGTGGGACCCTAGGGGGAAAGCATTGATGTCTCAAGTCCTTTTTGGAATAAGCTGCTATGGAAAATATTAAAATAAAAGTAATAAACAACAAAGGAGATAGAAGCTCTGATTCTGTAAGGTTGAAATCCATCATCTGAGCCATGGTAGGCTGTCCTCGGCAGTCCCTGCCTACCCTGTTTACTAGATGACAGTAAAGCTCTTAGGCAGAGCTAGGGCCTTCTGTCTGTCAGCAGGTGTCAGGCACCAACAGTGTGAGCACTAGTCCATCCCAGTGAGGAAAACAGGAATGGAAAGCCTGGCCCAGCCCTCACAGGACTTCTGGCCTAACACAGCATCAAACACAGCATGACAGAACAATCCAGAGAGTGTGGGCACAAAGAAATGCTGTAGGAGTCTCACTCAACAAACATACCAACTATTTTAGGATTCTGTGCCTGTGCAGAGAATCTCTGCTGCTGTGCTCTCCCTCCTCTACCAGTGGACAGAGGCTACTCACCCTTCATGTTCAGGTAGCAGAGCCTCCCTCCAGGAACACGCTGTACCCACTCCCCCTGATGGAGTAATGTAGTTGCGGTCTTGACCCTCTACCATGGGGGCTTCCTGAGGACAGAAACTGGAGCACATGTGGCTAAATAGTTGTTGGATGAGGCCGGGCATGGTGGCTCATACCTGTAATCCCAGCACTTTGGGAGGCCGAGGCAGGCAAATCACGAGGTCAGGAGATCGAGACCATCCTGGCTAACACGGTGAAACCCATCTCTACTAAAAATACAAAAATTAGCCTGGTGTGGTGGTGGGCGCCTGTAGTCCCAGCTACTCGGGAGGCTGAGGCAGGAGAATGGCATGAACCCGGGAGGCAGAGCTTGCAGTGAGCCGAGATTGCGCCACTGCACTCCAGCCTGGGCGACAGAGCGAGGCTCCATCTCAAAAATAAAATAAAATAAATAAAATAAAATAAAATAAAATAGTTGTTGGATGAATGAATAACTGATGGGTTTCGGAGCCAGCAGTTACTAGCCATGAAATGCTCAATGTGGTTGGCCTCTCCTAGTCTGAGCATCCTCATCTATAAAGTAAGAAAGTGGGTAGAATTTATGATTTTTTAACCCTTGCCCCACCAATCACAAAACTTTATCCAGATTTGCTTTTGCTGTGGCTTGTACTGCCCTCCCAAATTATGTTAACTTCATAAATGTAAAGTTATGTGATAATATTTAGTATGATTTTATAAACTATAAATTCCACCCCCCGACCCTACCATCCTTCACCTCTTGAGAATCATTGGTCACTCATGGCTCCATCCTCTCAATCTGAGGGTGTCTCCAGTTCTCAGGGGTGATTTTCACCAGTTTCCTTGTTCAATACAAGTTCATTAAGCATCTATTATGTGCTCTGTGTTGGGATAGTCTGTGAGCAGAGTGTCTCTGCTTTCATGGAGCTTACCAGCCAGCAAAGAAGGTAAGCAATGAGCAGGCAGTGAGGAAATGGTTCCACAGCTGTGGCTGTGATGAAACCAACATAGATTGAAAGCTTATGTGAAGCCAGGCACTGTGCCAAGGCCCCTATGTGCAGCATTTCATTGCAACCTCACAAGAGCTGTGCAAAAGCAAGTGCTACCATCATTTCTTGTCTTATTATTGTTCAAAGTGAGACTCAGAAGGGTCAGGCCATCCGTGTAAGGAAACAGCTAATCAGTGGTGGTCTTGCAGTTGGACCTGGGATTGAACACGTGTGGTCTGTCTTCTGCCTATGTTCTTAACACCTAGACCAGATTGAGTCCTATGTTAGAGAAGTCCAAGAAGCTACGGGAGCCAGAGCAAAAGCAAAAGCCTTTCAACAGCATGTACAATGCCCCAAGGCACAAGAGCAAAGTCTATGTGAGGAAATTCACTACCACTACAGTGGCAGAGGGGGTCAAGTGCAAGGAGGAGAAAGGCCAGATACTGGACAGGCAGCTCTTCTCTGCTCCTCCTCCTGGGTTTGGGGATCCTCAAGCCCCAGGTAGAGATAAATCTTTTCTGGTCAGGCACAGTGAGTTGGGCCCAGACCCATCCTAACTAATTGCCTAGAAGTGCTGTTTTCTTTTTACCTCCTGCCTTCTGGTCCCAAGACCACTCTTAGCTTAGCAGTTTTCCTCTTTTTTTTTTTTATTTTTTATTAACCAGACCTGACAGGCACAAGGATGGAGCCACTACTTGTTTCCATAATCGTTTGACGAGCACATAATGAGAATCGCTTATCAGATAAATATGCTGCAATTAGCTTGGAACCACAATGCCATCTGTGTTTTTTTAACACCCAAATGTGGTTGAAGTTGATGGCAGGAGCTCTTCTGAAGATGCAGAGACAGGCAGAATGACACCTGAGGGGGATCCCAGGAAATGACATGGCCAGGTGTTAGAGACAGAAGTCTGAAGAGTCTGGGCCCTTTCCTGGTGACTCAGGGCTGTAGGGTCAACTCTGGCTGGGGATCTGAAAGGAAACTGTCACTTCTTAAGGTTCTGAGCTCTGGAGGAGAGAGAGGTGGGCTGAATACAGCTGTTCCTTTCTTTCATCACTTCGCTAATTGGGTCATGAAGGGAATGAGTCTTTCCTCATGGAGAACACAGTGTATTGTTCATAGCAGTCAACGAATAAATATCTTCAAGATTGAACTGCATAAAGGTTTCTGTTAAGTCTAGACTGACTCTCTAGAAGTCTTGGGCAAGATGCCTGAGCTCAGAGAGTTCCTCCAAGTTTATCACCTGGAGGTGAGTGGTGGGAAGGATCCATGTATCAGAAGTAAAACAGATCCAAATTTGGAGAAGCATAGTTTTGTTAGGTTTGCTTTTGAACAGTTAACTATGAAATGGGATTGTAAGGTTTCTTAGCATCCCTGGGCAAAATTGTGGAGCTGATTAAGTTCGTCCATCAAGGCACCTGCTCCTCTTATCTTCATCTCTCCTTTCTCTCTTTTTGAGCTCCCAAGGCAATTCCTGGAAAGCTAGTTAACACTGGTCCAAAATGCCAGCCTCTGTTAGGGCTGACGTTTGGCTGCATGATATAAGAACCCAGCCAGGGTGACATAACCAAATGAGCATCTGAAGAGAAGTATATCCTACTAGACAGCAGAGAAATAAAATTAAAGCAACAAGAATCTATTTTTCTCACTTAGAAGACTAGTAAGGAGCTAATATTTGTGAGACTGTGGAGAAAAAAGAACTTTTATACATCACTGGCAGTGACGCAAACTAGGAAACCACATAGGAAAGCAGAAAGATGATATCTGGTGATGTTGAAATAAGCCTGCTCCACTGTCCTGCAACTCCAGTGCTAGCAGTGCCCTGGGGAAACACCACAGGTGTGCCCAAGCTGTCATGCCCAGGATGGGAAAGCCAGCATTGTCTGTAACAAGTGAAAAAGAATGAAAGTCAGGGGAGAGAAGGAAGAAAATAGGAAGAAAAGGGAGGGGAGGGGAGGAAGGAGAGGGGAGGGGAGGGAAGACTAAGGAAAGAAAAGAAACCTATTTATTTATCAATAGAGAAATGAATAAATTGTGAATACAGTTGTAAAATGCAATACCTAGCCATTAATGAACTAGACATACATCTATCAACATGATATCGAATGAGAAAAGCAAATCGCAAGATCCGTAAGTATAAAACCATAAAAATATATATGTAAATATTTTAACATATACAAAACTATTATTGCTTCCAGAACCACACATACATAGTAAAAACATGAAGCTATGGTTCAATAGGAGGGGTACAAGTTTTAGAACCTGATTACCACCAGGGATGAGAGCTGGACGGAGGGGCTTCCATTTTACTTATGTTTATTTATTTTACCTTTTAGTAGTATATGAAGAAAATATCTGATTGGAGAATTTTTATCATTTGCTGTACTTTTTAGTGTAATTTTATAATTTAGGCAATTAAAGATGAGCAGATGCTTGCATGTGTGGCTGTCAGAGCCTGGGTAGTGAGAGGACCCAGTGAAACCACTGGCCCTCAGCTGGCTAGGACAGGAGGTCTCCACCCTTTTCTAAGGAGTGAGGTTTGGCCTCTCCTCCTGGTTCACCATATCTAATTTTCTTGGGTTTCATCTTTGAGATTTAAAACATAATCAGCACCTCCACGTCAAACCCCAGATATTTCTGGCCATCTCTTAATAGATCTAAGATTGCCTCTGGCTTTTAAGGATATTATTTTATTTACTTTTACATACCAGGTAGACCGGATTCTTAGCCAGGACCTTAAAAGGCTATATACAAACAAAATGAGGAAGTGCAACAGAGGCGTTCTATAGCAATTTTGTGGAAGATAAAAGAGAAAACAAAGGCAAGTTTTTATGCAAGTATCTGGTCCCCTAAACCTATTCTACCTTTAAATGAAGTCAAATAGGGGCAAGGAGGAAGAGAGTCCTAAATACTTCCTGCCTATCTGCACAGCTTAATTTATTCTGTTTGAACACTAAACTTTCATAAGCCTAGTATCCTCAGGACAGCTGATCTCATCTTGCAGATAAACTGATTCACATTAATATTGATAATAACAACTATGGGTAGGGTCCTTCCCACTTGCCAGGCACTGTGCTAGGCATTATGTACATTGTCCCATTTAATCTCCACTACTGCCATAGGGGAAGGGATGCATGTGCTTGTTCTTACTGTATGTCTGCAAAGAGGTGAAGAGATGTGTCCAAGGGCACATGACTGGTAAGTGGCAGAGCTGGAACTCAACACAACAGCATAGCTTTGTGTGTTTGTGTGTTCATACATTCCTTATTGAATAGTGCCTGTTTATGCCATTCATACACTGTAACAAATCGTATCTGTGGTCCTTTGCACTCCCTCTGCTCCACACTGCCTACCTACCATCCTCACTGGGATGTCTAATACACATGTTGAATTTAATATGGGTTCCAGGAGTGTTTTCTTTCACAAACTGTTTCTCCCCAAGTCTCCTGTTTCAGTAAATGGCATCAGCATCCACCCAACAACAAAAACTTAGAAGATGCCTCAGGTTTTCTCTGTTTCTCAAGCTCCTTCCCATCCATCAGCAAGTCCTGATGTCTTTACCTCCAAATAATGATACGGATCTGGCCACTCACTGCCCCACTACTAGATCCCATTCCAAGCCACCATTGCCTCTTCCTCAGAGGACAGCAACACCCTCCAAGCTGGTCTCCCTGCTTCCATCCCTCCCTACCGCAACCCCTCCAACCCACTCCTCCAGAGCAGTCAGTGATTTAAGTGAAATTACTCATTGTACCCCGATTTCTACTCCCCAGTGGCTTCTTACTGAGGAGACTACATAGTAAGTATTGGCTTACCCAGCCCTATACACAGCCAGCTTTGCAGGTGTGCAACCTGTATAGCCATGCTCAGAAGGGCCCCTTGGTTTAATGCTCTGCTGTCACTGTCCTGGAATTCTTAAAAATATTTGAACAAAGGGGCCTGCATTTTCATTTTGCACTGGGCACTATGAATCATGTAGCTGGGTCTGTCTACACACTAGTGTGAAAGTTGGCATTTTTTTCACTCTCTATCTAGCTCCATCTGGTCCAGTGACACTGGTCTTCTTGCTGTTCTTCAAACACACCAGGCTTATGCCCTCAGCAGGGCCTTTTTCCTTGCTATTGTTTCATCCCAAAATGTTATTCCTCAAGGTGTGTGTATAGTTCCCTTCTTCCCATCATTCAGGAATTGGCCCAAGGGCCACTGCCTCAGAGAGGACTTCTCTGATCACCCCAGTGAAGAAAGCCCATTTGTATGCCCAGTTACTCTATCCCACTACCCTGTCCTACTTAATGCATAGTAATTACAACTATCTGAAATTGCCATATTTATTGTTTTACATAATTCTTATCTGTCTTCTACTAGAAGCAAGTAGGCTCAAGGGCTTGGTAATTTTAACCAGCACTGAGTAGGCACTTGGTGAATATTGGGGAGCGAAGAGGGAGGAGAATGGAATGGACCAGCCCAGGCCATTCTGACTCCAGAACCCTCACTCTTGTCCCTTTAGGAGATGTAGAATCTCCTAAGGAACCCTGCTTGCTCACCGCAAACTGGTTCTAGCTTCTGGAGATACAGCATCAGAGTAACAATTTCTGCATTTTGCAGGTCTTCGCCAGAACACAAATAAAAAACCCTGCCCTTTCAATGATCCTACTGGGCATTGCACTGTCTTCAGCCCACCTGACTACAAAATTCTACCTGTAGTCATTCTTGTAGCCATAGCTCATTCCTTATGTAACAATGTGCCGGGATGAGTAACATTTCCCATAGATGCTACAATCCATATGGGTCCCATCAAAAGTTATTAAACCACTAGGAGAACTCCCATTATGCAACACTTTCCCCATTGAATGTGTGTTCTGATTCCTCTCACAAAACTGGCAGATGATGAAGCTTACTGATATCCTGGGCAATTCAGCTTGCTTTTCAATAACTATTCAGAGCGTAGCCAAGGCATAGAACACAGAGTCCAGTAAATGCTTGCTTTGTAAATAAATTAATGACCACCCGCTATATGTCAGGCGCTATGTTACGTATGGGAAGCATATATTAATGGAACATGGAAAGAGCCAGAATCGAAGTGAGAATTACATTTGGCAGGAGCACAAGAAAGGACTGATCCATTCTTCCATGAGCAATGTGAATTGGGTCTAAAGGATGTCTAGTTTGTGCCAAGCAGAAGGGCAGACATCCCTGGTAGCAGAAAGGTGCATGTAAAAATCTGAGACCTCAAACTACCCAAGAATCTCTGCAGGCATTTTCACAAGCCCCTGCAGTTAGTAGCAATTAGAATCATCCCCAGTGTACAGATGAGAACACTGAGACTCAAAGAAGTCAAATAACCTGCTCAAGGCCATGGAACAGAGCCTGGTTTGCCATCTTTTCAACAAGGTTTTCTCAGGTCTTTTCCATCTTCTGGAATAGATCTGCACTTGTTCCTTGCCCTTTCAGGTCTCTGTTTGGACATCCAGAGCTTATAGTGAAATGAGCTGAGTTAGAGCGGATGCTACAGCAGAGAGACTCAACAGCCAGAGTTGTGGAAATGATTCATCTAAATAGTCTGCATCTTTAATTGGAATTTATTGAGGAGTTTAAAATCCTGGTTTGAGCCCTGGTCCTGGCACTAGTTTGCAGAGTAGTCTTACACATACTAATTGCCTGCTGAGCTCGTTTTCTCATATGAAAAATGGGCTTACTCCCATAACAGAGTTAATCCAATGAATTAATAGTATACTCCATGTGATGGTATTCTGTGTGCTCTAAAGAGCTGTATACATGTTGAATTTATTATTGTATTTTATTATTATATATCATAGTATATATTATGTTATAATATGCTAATGTCATATTATATGTATCATTAATAAAAATATTTTCACAAGGAAAATATATTTTAATAGCGGTTGCTTGGGACAAAATACCATAGCTTAGAGGAGTTCTTCAAACTTCAGGTCACAGTCCAATCACAGGTCCTGAAAACAAGGTGGCATTTTTTTTTAATGTAAGCGAATACAGTTCCTCATACATAATGAATTGTGACATAAAATTTAGCACTGCTGAAGGCTCTTGATCATAAAACTCTTAAAATCTCTACAATCAGAAGAAAAACCTAGCAATGTTAGAGACCAGTGATTAAAACGGACCTTGGAGATGGTCAAATCCCACCACCTCAGTGACTAGATAGAAACCTGAAGCCCAGAGAGAGAGGGCATGATTTGATCAAGGTCTTACAGCTGTGAAATGACAGAGGCAGCTCTCAAAGCCTGGCCTCTGGGATAAGGCACTAAACCAGAAAAAGACGAGCTTAGAAATGAGAGCTCTTGCCTTCTAGGAAATGTATTCGAGTATTTAATATTTATTGAACAGCTACTCTGTGCCTAGACCCATGCCTAACTTCAAGGAGTTGCCTATTTTTTAATGAAAGTTAGAAAAATATTAACAAAAATAGTACACTGAAAAATAAAAACTATTGCTGTTTGAAATAATTCAAGGAAGGAAGTAAACAAAGGAAGAGATAAAGAAGAGTGGGGTCGAGTCTACTTGAAGGTGGTCAGGGAAACCTTTATCAACAAGTGACGCCAAAGTCGAAAGCTGACGGGTGGTGTCTCTGAGCTTGTCTTGGTCTTTTCTTCGTGATCACAGGATGGCTGCTGCCTGTGGGGTATCGTGCTCTGTTCAAGTCAGGAAGAAGGGGTAGAGGAGGGACAAAGGCGATGCCGTGTGCTTATTTATTTTTAATGAGAAAACAATTATTACCGGAGGAGAAATTTCTGATTTTTTTTAGATTAATACGTGTGACCTGGCTTTGCCCAGCTGCGATGGATGATGAGAAAGCAAGGATCTCATTTCAGCTGATCACATTGCTTCCAAACGAGAGTGGGCTTTGATCATCAAAGAAGAAAAAGATGATGTATAATGGGTAGGTGGCTAACAGTGATTGCTACACATATCATTCTATTACCTATTCCTGTGCATTTCTTCATGGAATTCCTTCTACTCAGCACATGGCTTTTTTTATCTAATGAAAGAAATTAGCACATGGCAACCCTGTTTTCCCTTCCCTCGCCCTTCTTCCTGACTCACACAGAGCACGGCGCCTCACATTACAGCAGCCATCCTGTGGCCATAAAGGAAAGACCAAGATATGCTCAGAGACTTTCATTCTGATATTGACAAGCAGCTGAACCAATACGAGCAATAGGCAACTTCCAGATGTCTCTTTATATAACAGAAACAAGGTATATACTTGTGTAAGCCACTGTGTCCAGCTTTCTCTTACTTTTAGCCAAACAGAATCCCAACTGACCTGTGGCAGAGTGAGAAGCGACTTTGCACACCATGCAGAACACCCATGAGTTGCCTTCCTTATGTGATGTGCCTTCACTTACCTGTGCACCTTGGAGAAGGAGGGCTCCACATCTCCCTGGAATTCATTTCTGCACTGTCACTCAGGTGTCCAATGTGAAGTCAGAGCCACCACAGAACCACAGTCTCCAGGAACAATGTGATGCCTGCTGCCCTGCCCGCCTGCCTGGCTGAGAGCCACTGACCTCTGATCTTAATCATCCTGCCCTGTGTGATGTTGGACTCCTCCACAGCTTTTAATCTCAAACCCGTAAGTCTGGAAACGCCCCCCGAGTCTGTTGTCTCCCATGTCTCATTCCTCATCTACCTTAACTTCCCCAGTCTTGGTTTCCAGCTGCCTTTAAGAAGGACCCTGGAATGATATGACCATGTCTGATCGTATTTTAATCTATACCCTGTAAGATAGTGAACTTTGTTTTTCTAATAAGCATCACATTTCCTGATTCATAATTGATTATACATTATTAGCCCCAGCTTTTTGTTGGCCTGATTGTTTCATAAATTGCAGGCTCCCACTTTAAATTAATGCTGATTAGGACTTTTCCAGGTGCATTATCTTACCCTTATCTATATTAAATCTCATCTCATTTGCTTCCAAAAGCTCCCATTCTTCTCTGTTCTTTTAGTCTCTCTGATGTTTGTTGTTGTTTGGAATTTGGTAGCATCTGAAATGTAATCAATTTTCCTTCTTTCTAAATCATAAATGAGCTTAGAATAAATGTCTCTAACATGTATAGGAGAAGAACCAGGATTTATTGCCTACTGACTAGGTATCTCAGCTGAGATTCCCCCAAAATGCACACTAAGGTGAGGATTTGGCACATGATGTTTATGTGGAAGGTCAGTGAGGGGATGGAGGAAAGGAAGCAAAGAGTATGTAATTGAGGGGGTTATTGAGACTAGCTTCTGGGGCTCAGCCTACAGAAGACCCTCTGAGAGACTTCATAAAGTATTCCTCATGGATTCCTGCTCACCGTGACTTGATGGTTACTTGTGGTGGGGTGTAACATGGTTACCTCTTTGGCATTTACAACTGAGCTTCAGCCTAGCAAGCTGCTGTAACCAGAAAATGCTTTCAGGCAGAGATGGACACGGATGTTAGAGTAGGAAGGCTCATCCACAGGGCTGTGGTGATCTCAGTGCTAAGGATATATAAGCAGCTGCTACAGTTCACCCTTTGCACCACTCAGATCCACTCTTGCCACCCATTAAGAACACTTTGTCTTCCCACTGGCTCTGCAAGGAATACTGGATATTCCTTATCTCCCTCCTCTACCATTCATTCGGGATTGTCCTCTGCGTTGGCTGGTACTTCTGCTGGTATAAGTTGTTTTTCCAGTGGGGAACTGAGAGTTTCATCATTGAGGATTAGGAGCTCTTGACAGTATGACAATGTGGCAACGTCCTTGTCACATCATGGCTGATGCACTCCCCATTTACAGTTTGACCACCGGGCATGGAAGCACCAAGAAACACGCCAGTGAATCTGTTGAACTCCACACTTACTCCTCTCTGCCCCTATTGCAACCAGAAGCCCCAGCTCTTCCTGATAATCAGTCATTTACCTTTGCAAGTACAGGAACTCTCTGTTTTTATTTTTATTTTTTCTTTCTGGTCCACCAGCACGAAGAGTCCAACATAACCAGGAAACAACGATAACCTTAGGTTTAATAGGATTCTTCATGTGTTACTTGGAAGAAACATCCTTGTCCTAGGAAATATGACCTTTAGTCCATCAGGGCAAACAGTTGTGGGTTTGGGAGGTAAAAAATTTTCCAAAGAGATTTACAGGGAGTGATGGTGACAGGCCAACATGACTGATGCTCTTCATGTCCACTCCATGGGTCTATCCACATGCGTCTTCCCTAGACTTCCTGGCCTTCAATCCTCCAATCATATGTCTTTAGATTTCATCCAACCAGTGACGCTATTCACCCCTGTGTATAGCCTTTCCTCAGACCAGTTCTACCTCCACACAAAGCGGAGGCATGCTGAAATGTCCCCTCCCCACCTTCACGGACACTCCTGAGTGGGACTGAGTGTGGCAGGAGACTGTGGTCAGCATACTAGCAAATCTAGGTGGCCCACCGAATAATTAGGACTGGGATTTTCCTACTCCTTTACTGGTCATAGGAAGCCCCATAGGACAGCACAGGTGTGAGTGGTGGGAGAGATTCTGTTGCAACAGAGGATCTGGGTCAGCTGTTCGTGCAATTTATCTGTGCTCCAGACCTGCCTGAGCTTGACCAGCATGGGCCATTTTCATCACAGGATGATTGTTGCACACCTGCCCACCTTCATGACCTGGTAGATCTGACAATACCCAGCTTCTGCTGAGCAGCTCCAACTGCAGGGTTATTTGATGTTCCGTGATCAGATATTCAGTCTTTACTGAGATCCAGTAACATAGCAGGATCTGCTTTTTGAAGAGTGTATAATTCTCTATGATAGAAACACATCTTTGATCCAGAAACCTAGATGTCTACTCTGAGATTACCCTGTTGAGTTTGTCAGACTCCCTTCACAGTGTCCTTATTTACCTTGGATGGGTCAGGTATCATAAGATCTGCCATATTACGTGGCTTCATGGCAGAGAAACTTACTGTAGTCTGAACCTGTTGCAGAGCCCTCTCTTTCTTTTGGCCCTAATCAAAACTGGCAGACTTCCAAGGCATCCAATAAACTGTTGGAGCAGTATTCCCAAACATGGTCCATGCAGCTTCGAAATTCAAAGAGGCCCACTAAATACTGTGCCCATCTTTTATTTGTAAGAAGCTCAAGGTGCAATAACTTGACCTGTGGTTTGGAGGGCATGTCCAGATATGCCCCAGATGATTAGACACCTAATTTCACTAATGTGGCATTCACCAGACTCCCCATGAGTTTATCTTCCATCCTTTAACAGTGTCAGGGGTGCAGAAAATGATACCCTAAAGTATGGCACTATGACATGCTAAATACTTTGAACTGAAGGCTATTGGGAGGGCCTCAGGCACAAGGTTTCTCTGATCTTCCAACCCTCCTTTCTTTCTTCCATACCCTTTTTTTTTCCCAAGGGGAATCATAGAAACCAGAATTCCTCCTGTCCCCCAATGCAAGCCATATAGCCTAGAAGCTTACCCTCTGAGCTACCTCCCTGAAAATGGCTCATATGATCCTCATTATAGGGGGTCCTGCCTCATACCCAGGGTGATATGGCTTGGCTCTGTCCCCACCCAAATCTCATCTTGAATTGTAGCTCCCATAATTCCCATGTGTTGTGGGAGGGACGTGGTGGGAGATAATGGAATCATGGGGGCAGTTTCCCTCATATTATTCTCATCATAGTGAGTAAGTCTCATGAGATCTGATGGTTTTATAAATGGGGGATTCCCTGAACAAGCTCTGTTATTCTCTCTTGTCTGCTACCATGTAAGATGTGCATTTCACCTTCCACCATGATTGTGAGGCCTCCCCAGCCACGTGGAACTGTGAGTCCATTAAGCCTCTTTTTCTTTACAAATTACACAGCCTCAGATATGTCTTTATCAGCAGCATGAAAACAGACTAATACACAGGGGGAAGGAATGCTACACAAAGAGACCAAAAAGAATCTAAACAAACAGGCCTTGCTAGGCTCTCCTCCCAAATGCATTAACATTAGATCAGACCCTTCTTATCCAATCATGTTTCTCCACAACTGTCCACTTCTTTCTTAAGATTTAGCATAAAAATACATCATTTTTCCATGGCTCTTTTGGTCTTCACTTCTGGAGGCTCCTGTGTCACACAAAACTTTGTTAAATAAATTTGCAATGCTTTTCTGTTGCCACACTATCTTTTGTTATAGGATTGTCAGGCATGACCCTTGTGAGGAAAAGGTATTATCTCTCTGCCCCTACAACAGGCATGTGAGTTTTGGTGAAGACATAGCAATCTCTGGCATGTACATGTATACATATACATATGTGTATATATATCTAATTGTTTAGATTTGTCCAACAGTTCATCCTAAGCTTTGACAAAGGGAAGCAGGAGCAGAAAAGGGAAGAATGAGGATTGTCCTTCTCTTCCGTACAAGCACATTTCACTTCAGTTTACCCAGAGTTACAATAACATCTGAGTGGTCAATATTATGGATTCACTGAGGTAAGAATCCATTCACTGAAATCCAGAAATTATGTGGAACTGTACAGACTAAACAGACTTCAGCACAATTAATGCTGTTAGTAGATTCACCAATATTCCAGTTATTTGCCAATTCCATATAGGCATAATAGTATAAAGAATTAAAAGAAACAACAAAAATTAGAAATTGAGGATGACATATGTATTAATATCATAAAGGAGTCAGAGGGAACTTTCTAAGCAAGTTTTAAGCCACTCGGTTTGTGGTGCTTTGTTACAGCAGCCCCAGAAATTATAAGGAAGGAAAAGAATGTGCATAGACCACAGAAGAATTAAATTATTTTGCATGTCAAGAGAGTATAAATCAAAGCCAAAAGACAAATGATAGATTGGGGGAAATATTTACAACTCCTATGATAGATAAAGGTTAATAGAGAGAGCTCTTACAAATTAACAAGAAAAATGCCAACAACTCAAAGGAAAAAAAAATGGGCCAAGGTTAGGAATGGTTAATTCAAAGCAGAGATTATCCAAAATGCCAATAGACATAACAGCTCCTGGATAGAAACTGATTCATTTCAATATAAAGCCTCCTCTTCTGCACATTGGAGAATAATTTCATGCCGAATAGAATGGAAATAAAGTGGCTAAGCCACTTGGAATAGGGACAAAAGGGGTGCAAATGTGAGCTCTCTCTGATTTGAGCTCAGTGGGGCAAAACAGAGCTCCCAAGTTAAGCTACCTGGGAGACTTCCAGGCACCAAGAAGTTGCTGGAAGGACTTAGGAAGGCACAGAAAAGCTGTGATCCATGATTCCCATTTTGGTAAGTAAGTACCCACTTACTTATATGCAGACTCCATCAAGTCTGGAGAATGGAAAAGAGCCAGATCTATATTTGAGCCCATCACTGACATTTACTAGCTAAATGGCCTTGGCAAGTGTTATGGATTGAATTGAGTCCCCAAAAAAGATGCAGTGAAGTCTGAACTCCCAGTACTTTAGAGTGCCACTTTATTTGGAAATAGGGTCATTGCAGATATAATTAGTTAAATCAAGATGAGGTAATAATGGAGTAGGGCGGGGCTTTAACCTATGTGACTAGTGGCCTTACAAGAAATGAAGAAGAAACATGGAGACACATAAGAAAAAGTTGGCCATAGACAGCAGAGGTGGGAGTTGGAGGGATGCATCTAAACATCTAAGGAATCGCAGGGATTGCTGGCAAACTCTGGAAACAGGAAGAGGCAGGGAGGGATTCTTTTCCCTTACAGGTTTCAGAGGGAGCACAGCTCTCCTAACACTTTGATTTCAGACTTCTCACCTTCAGAACCGTGAGCCAATAAATTCCTGGGTTGTTGTTGTTGTTGTTTGGTTTGTTTTGTTTTGTTTTACAATTCCAATCCTTATTTATCAGAAAATAAAAGCTCTCTCAAGGGTACAAAATAAAATGCAGCTGAGCATGATATACAGACAAGATTTTCCATTTTTACATACAGCAGTTTTTTCCTTGGGACCAGAGCATTTCAGAGAGGTGTCTTTCTTATTGTGGTCTCTAAGGTATATTTGCGTAACCGAAGATCTGGCCATGGGTGCATCCCTCTAGTCCCTAAAAGGCAGAGTCTTTCTGTTGTTTTAAGCCACCCAGTTTGTAGTGCTTTGTTACAGCAGCCCCTGGAAACTAATACAGCAAGTGCTGTGAAGGTAGATGCCGTGTTAGGTACAAGTGCCTCCCACATAGTAGCCTCCCCCAAATCTGCGTCTTCTTCAAGTGTTCATGTGTTCAAAAGGAAGATACAATGCTGACCTTCTATTTTCTATTAACATGTATATAGAATACATTTTAGAAATTAAAAGTGCTAGAGTGCAGTTGGGTGCGGTGGCTCATGCCTGTAATCCCAGCACTTTGGGAGTCCAAGGTGGGCAGATGACCTGAGGTCAGGAGTTCGAGATCAGCCTGGACAACATGGTGAAACACTGTCTCTACTAAAAATACAAAATTAGCTGGGTGTGGTGGCACATGTCTGTAATCCCAGCTACTTAGGAGGCTCAGGCAGGAGAATCACTTGAAAATGGGAGGCGGAGTTTGCAGTGAGCTGAGATCGCACCATTGCACTCCAGCCTAGGTGACAAGAGCAAAACTCCATCTTGAGAGAAAAAAAGTGCTAGAGTGATGATTCCCAAATTGAATTTTAAAATAAGGAATTTTAGTCCTGTCTTTCTTCTTCGGGATCCAGGATGTCACATCTTATTTCAAAGGGCCCAGGAGATCTGATGTGCAGTCACATTTTGGGAATCACTGTGAGGAGGTAGAGGCTATATAGACATCTGAGGAGTACCAGTAACAGTGGGATAGACCACACAGCAAGAAGTAGCAGGTTACCTTAGAAATAATACTAGATTTGGAGTCAAAAGACCTGGGTTCAAGTCCCAGTTCTTCCATTTCCTGGCTGTGTTTCATTAAGTAAGACATTTTCATTAGTTTCCAATGTCTGTTGTAACAAATTAGCACAAATTCAGTGGCTTAACAGAACATACATTTTATTTCTTGTATTTCTAGAGGTCAGAAGTGTGAAACCATTTACTGGGCTGAGATCAAGATGTCAGCAGGGTTGCTCACCTTCTCAAGGCCAGGGAAGAATCTGTTTCTTTGCTTTTTCCAGCTCTAGAACCTCATTCCTTACATTCCTTGGCTCTTGGCCCCGTCTTCTACCTTCTAAGTTGTCAGTGTACCATCTTGCTTCAGTTGTTCCATTGGCAGCTTCTTCTGTGGTCACATTTTCTTCTGATTCTGTCTTATAAGAACACTTATTATTACATTTAGGACCCGCCCAAATAATCCAGGATAATCTCCCCATCTCAAAATCTGTAATTACATTTTCAAAGTCCCATTTGCCATGTATGGTAACAATCAGAGGCTCCAGGGATTAGACCTGGATTTCACTGGGCCTACTACAACCTGAACCTCTCTGAGCTTCAGTTTCCTTAAAACTGGGATAATGACGCTTACCTGTTAGGATTGCTGGTATGAGTACATCGAGTGATACATTTGAAAGCATCTAGCACAGGGTGCGGAAAATAGAAGCTGAACAGTATATACTAGTTAGCCTCTGGGAATCTTCTTGCATGGCATGTAGGTAGGGGTTGTGTGAACACACACCCTTGGTAAATCCCCTTGCCATGATGCTCCTTTCATAACTTGTACATCCCCACCTGCTTCAGCTAGGGAAAGATGCTCTTGGTTTAAGAATAGCATTCAATTTCCAACACACACCCAATAGGACTATGTGACAAACCAGATTCTTCTTTCTCTGAGTCTTGTGTGAAACGGATCTTGCAGTTTTATTTTATCAAATAGAAATTGCTTTATCTTTTATTGCTCTTTCAACCTTTAGGGAAACATAGTGCTATTTTTTTTAATTCTCAAAACCTTTTAAGATGAATCTGCCAGAAGATACCCATGGCTTCAAATAACTCTCCAACACCAGGCCCCTTTCTTTTAACAGTTCCTATTTTTCTCTTTTTCTCTCTGTCATAAATCTTCATTCCCTTTGTTTATTCCTGATTCATTCAGGTAGACACACTTTTCATACTGCATTCTTGAACCAGAGTTGTGTTGTTAACCTGTTTTAATTAGATCCCTGCTTAGAAATTTTAGAAGGCACATAAAATCCCATTTTTTTTTCCTTTTAAAATTTTATTTTTCTTGCTTTCAGCTGGGATTGCAGCAAATACTCTCTATCTATCAAGGTTGACAGGTCAATTGTGAGAACCTTTCCACCAAGTCTCTGTAAAAATACCATGTGTGAAGACTTTCAAAGAGAATTCCTCAAAACTCAAATCAGCTTGATGCACTGGCTAATGCAGCTGGTAGTGCAGAAGGGGAAAAGGAAGATGCAGCCACAGGGGCCTATGCTTGATCGTTCAGTGAAGCTGTGTTCCGCGGTTGTTCTGCAGTTTCCTAACTAACCGTGTGACCTTGGGCAAGTAACTTAGCCTTTCATTTTCTCAGGTTCCACATCAATAAATGCAGGTAAATTCACTTTCCACAATGTTGTTGTGAAACTTAAACTAAGTAATAGATGTAGAGTACCTGGCACAATTCCAGAGATGCACATGTATGCACATATCTCTCTCTGTGTCATCTGTCCATCTCTTCATCCATCTATCTATCTGCCTATCTATCTATCCATCCAACCATTTACCCATCTATCTAACTACCTACCTGCCCATCCATCCATCCATCCATCCATCCATCCATCCATCCATCCATCCATCCACCTACTTGCCCATCCATCCATCCATCCATCCATCCACCCACCCACCTACCTGCTTATCCATCCATCTATCCCTCTACCTACCTGCCTATACACTATCCATCCATTCATCCATCCATCCATCCATCCATCCATCTATTCGTTTACCTATTTATACAGATAGATAGATGTAGATATAATATAAACAGCTATGGCTATAGACATAAATGTAGATAAATGTTTTCTTCCACCATAGAAATAGGTAAATCATTTAAAGACATATTAATGTACTCATCAATCACTCATTTACTCATTCATTCTCTAAACATTTATTGAGCCTTCATTGTGATCTAGGCTGATGCTCAGGGATGTAAACAGGGCTACAATTTTGGCTTTTCTTTTCTGGCAAGCACTGCTAGTTGCCCACTGTAGCAGATGCTGTTAGTGCCACACCCATATCTCATCCCACTTATCTTTCTTGTTCATGTCAGCCTCACTTCCAACTGCCAGCATCTGCATCTCTTTTCCAGAGGGATTTTCCTTGCTCCTGGAACCCATTTTGCTGCTGGCATGGCAGGAAAAGCACCAGGGAATTGGCATGCCTCTGGGAGTTGTTGTCAACCAATGACTGACAAGAGCTGGTGTATCAATGCCCCAGCTCCCTCAGCACTTGCGTGAGATAACTACTCTGAGGTGCGATGTTTAACAGGACTTCCAGAGTTCTCCAGAGGGATAACTGCATTATGCATAGTGGTAGATGAATAGATAACACAACCTGTATTGCCTGTCTTTCCTTCCCTGTCTCTCTTCCCTACTTCCCTACTATTGATTTGTTAGCAATCAAATTCTGCCCCAAGGTTGGTGCCTGGCTACCTTCCACTAGTTGACCCCTGGCGATTAAGCTTCAGCCGTTCAGATGATGCCAATGTGCTAGGAGAAAAAGAGTCACAGAATGAAAGGAACCTGGGTGCCTGAATGACCTGGGGGCAAAGGCTGCCTGTATCCATGGGCTGCTCATCTCAGAACTGCTATGTGAGAGAGAAACAGAGGTATAGTTCTTTAAGACATATGCCATCAGGTCTGTTTGATACAGCAGCTGATGCTTTTAACTTAATTAGTACATCCTCTAGGAGATTTCAGTCTAGATGGGGAGAAAAAAGATGATGATATAAATTGTGCTCAATAAATGCTAAAATAATAGTGTGTATAGGTTTTCAGAAAAGCTTATGTTTCTTTCTTTCACACATTATCTCAGATAATCATCCTGTAGCTCTATGGGGTGGGTGATTAGCTCCATTTCACAAATGTCTACTTTCTAAGCCCCTGAGAAACAGAAATTCTTTCTGTCCTTGAATGTGCCATTTCCTTTTGTTTCTAGGCCTTCTATCTGGCCTGACCTTCTGTGACTACTGTTAACTCCACCCCCTGTGCAGCCTCTAGCTGACCACATGGATCCTCAGGTCTCAGTATATTTGAACATCTTAAAGAGTCTTTGCTGATCCCAGGAGAGGTCAGCTTTCCTGATTCGGGATTCACAGAGCAGTTTGGTGACATTCATCACGCTTGTCTTACCTGTTTGACGAATTGCATCTGTCTTGCTCACTGTTTCTTATAGAAAATTTTTTTATTAATTGAGCTCAGAGAGGCAAAGAGATTTAATCAAGTTACAAGAGGTAACTTAGAACACTGCCTGGCACACAGGGAGATTGTTAGCTACTATTATATTTGTTGGTATCATCAAAGCAACACTGCTAGAACAGAGCAGGGCCAGAACTCAAATTTCATTTCTCTCCTCCTATTGATTCCCAGACTGAGCAGGAGGAAACCCTCCATTCTGCTTCTCTCATCTCCCTCTCCTGACACTGGTCATATCTGCCTCTCAAGGATGCTGTATGTGTCTGTGTCTTAATTCCTCTGTTAAATGTGAGCTCAGAACAGGGGCTGTGTCTTATTTGTCTTTCTATCCCAGGACAGGTGTTCAGTAAATGTATGTGGAAGGATGAGAGAGGGGAAAGAAATTAGTGGAAATGGAGGAAAAGAAGCAGAGGGAGGTGTTAATGATTGGACATTGGTTCCCGAGGTGCCATTTCTCCAAGTTAATGAAAGTTCTCCATATAGGATTTTCAAGTCCTTTCCCACTTTAATTCAACAAACTGCAGTGTTGCTGACAGCATGGCAGAGTGAAAAAGGGAAGACTTTGGAGCTAACAGGCCTGGGTTCAAATCTTAGCTATTCTACTTCCAGCTGTGTGACCTCAACCTCTCTATGCCTCAATCCTCACATAGTGAAATGAATAACCATAATGTAATTATGGTAGCTAGATGACGTATTTTTGTAAAACACGTAGCTTGGAGCCTGGAACACAGGATGTACTCAATAAATGGTCATAATTAGTACTTTAGTACTTTTTTGAGCCCCCACTATATGAGTGGCACCATAAGGGCTGTAGCATGAACAGGGCTGAGACCCTGGGAGAGCAGGCAAGTGGCAGGTTTGTGCCACATTGCAGTCGTATCCATTTCTTGTGGCTGCTGTAACAAGTGACCACACACTCAGAGCCTTAAAACCACTCAAACTTGGCTGGGCACAGTGGCTCAAGCCTGTAATCCCAGCACTTTGGGAGGCCGAGGCAGGTGGATCACGATGTCAGGAGTTCAAAACCAGCCTGGCCAACATGGTGAAACCCCATCTCTACTAAAAATACAAAAACTATCTGGGTGTGGTGGCACACACCTGTAATCCCAGCTACTCAGGAGGCTGAGGCAGGAGAATTGCTTGAGCCCCAGAGATGGAGGTTGCAGTGAGCCAAGATCATGCCACTGCACTCCAGCCTGGCCGACAAAGCAAGACTCTGTCTCAAAAACAAAACAAAACAAAAACACTCAAACATGGAGGTTGGAAGTCTGACGTAAGCCTAACTGGGCTAAAATCAGGGTGTCAGCAGAGTTGAGTTCCTTTCCAGAGGCTCTAGGGGACAATCCTTTTCCCTGCCTATTCCAGCTTCTAGAGGGAACCCAAATCCCACAGTTAAGCCCAGCAACCCTGCTGCAGCTCTCTATGCCCTTCTAGTGCAGCCGCACCCTCTCCTATTCTCCTGTCCTGCCTCTCTCTGCTACTTTTCAGGACTCTCATGGCTACATTGAACCTGCTCTGATAATCTAGGATAATTTCTCTATTTAAAGGCAGGCTGATTAGTAACCTTAATTCTATCTAGAACCTTAATTCTCTGTTGCCATGTAAGGTATAATAACATACTCGCATGTTCTAGAGATTAGGATGTGGACATCTTTGAAAGCCTTTTTTTTTTTTTTCATACTAGCATATTACAGTGGTTAAAAGTACTAGCTCTGGAGTAACATGGACATTGGTTCTGATTCCAACACTGTCACTTGCCAGCTCTGTGACATACCGCATCAGCAGTCACTTTAACACTAATAAGTTTACAGTCTTCATTTATCGAATGAATCCAATAACAACCAGCACTGAGTTATTATTAGAAACAAATTAGATAATGCCCAGTATCAGGTTTTGCTGTATGACAAACCACACACAATTGAATGGTTTAAAACAACATCCATTTATTTATTTCTCAATCATGCCAGACAGTTCTTTTACCTCAAGGTTGTTAATAGGATTACATGAAATAATGTAAGTCATATAATATAAGACTGCAAAAAGTAAATTCTGCATTGTATAGACTGTAGCTATTGAGATGATAACAGAATGAGCCCTAGACGAAGAGTCTGGTCTCTGACACTTATAAGCAGTGTGACCTGGGGCAAATTATCTCAGCGCTCTGTGTCTTAGTTGTCTCATAAGTTGAGTGTGAATGAGAAAGGGATACCTGTCTCACAGGGGTGGGAGACTTAAAAGAGGCAGTGTAAGCAAATGGCAACATGATACCAAAGCTTCCATGGTTATAAGGAGAGGCCCAGAGTGGGTGTCAGGAGGCCTGTGTTGGATGCTCTGTCTGCCATAATAAGCTGGTTCACCCTGGGGAAAGCCCTTCTTTTAGAGCCTCAGGGGCCTCTAACAAAACAAGAGATTTGGACTCAGTTGTCTCTAACTGAACCCGAGATACTCCTCCCATGGAGTTGGCCACACTGTAACCTGCAATGAGAGTGCCTTTGGTCCCATCCCATCTCCGTCCTCTTCCCAATTCTCAAGGATGAGATGCTATAGTCCTTCTTTGGCAGGGTGACCAACTTGTCTCTCTCTGCCCAGGGCTTTCCTGGTTTTAGTAATGAAAAGTCCTGTATCCTGGGAAACCCCTAGTTCCCAGGCTCCTGGAGTCTGAGGGCATGGAGAGCAAGCAGTCCCCTTGGAGATGCCCGTCCAATTCTGAATCAATGAGGGAAGACTGAGGGAGACATGAGGCCGGAGTCTGTTCAATGGCGTATGACCCAGGCTGATTCTGAACTTCATAAGGAACACAGTGAGGAGACTACTGGGCTGAGTCAGCCAGGACCATCCTACTTAGAAGCAACTTCCTGAGACACAGTGCTATGCTCTGTAAAAAGCCCAAAGTTGGAGTCAGCCAGACCCACGCCCAGGTTAAAAGGGTATTTGTGTGACCCCAGAAGAATCACAAAACCTCTCTATAGATCAGGAATAATGACTTGCCTCTGCCTGCCTTTGTTGGAGGTTGATATATGAGGATCACATGCACAGGAAAATGCTTTGCAAACTGCAAAGAATGCAGAAATGATAATACTGACTTATTTTTTAGATAACTCAGGAAACATGTTTAAGTGGGAGTTGGGTGAGAGGTTTCAGGGCTGTTTGTTTGTTACACTATCGACTTTAGTTTAGAAAACATAAACTAAGACACATAAGATCAAACAGGAGACAGTAGAAGCCTGGTGACAAGAGAGATCCTAATCTCAGAGAGAGGAAAAAATCTAAATCCAAATGAGAAACAAATTCCAGTTAACGAAAAGGCTGCCAGTTATTTACTCAGGCTGTCAATGTAGCTTATCCAAGAACCAGGGCCAGATACGCCTTAGAACAAGGGTACAGGCATTGCGGTGAAACACACTTAAAAACACCTTTGCTATTTATTTACATGGCCAATAAGCAGCAGAGAAATCGATTTTACTCTAACCTGCAAGGGCTCACTGATGTTATCCTATAGTATTCACAGAGGGAAATCTGAACAGGCCGTTGGAGATCACCCAGGGCAGGTGTGTGCTGCCATTACCCCATCCTGTGCCATACACAGGACATTTCTGGCCTGCATTGTCTAGACTGAGCCCCAGAATCCTTCTTAACATACCCAAGCTTTCATTTTTTCACATAAGCAAACAGGCCCAGCAAGCTTGTATGACTTAATCAAGCATTGTTTTCTCTCATGTAAGCTATGAGAAGAAAAGGATCAAAGGAAAACATTAAAAATAACACAATATAGATTGATTATACTCTACAGTTAGTTTAATTAAAACAATTCTGTCAGAAAAGCATTAACTTTCCATCGCTGTTAATAAATATACAAATTTACATTTATGTGACCTAGTTTAATCAGACTACATTCCATTTTCCCTTCTGCTCGCTTTACTCACCATCATTCAATGCATGCAATTGTGTGGTTACTCTAGAGAATTTGTATTTTGACAGCTGTCTATGAGTTCATTACCTTGAGATATCAGACTTGGCTCTACGGTCATCCTCTTCAAAGTCGGCGACTGTAAACTGCATGGCTTGTGAGCAACTTTGTACAAATGGCTTCTATATTAGTTAGCTCAGGCTGCCAAAACAAAGTCCTACAGACAGAGGTGACCTAAACAACCGAAATTTATTTTCTCACCATCTTAGAGGCCAGAAGTTTGTGACCCACATGTCAGCAGGGTAGGTTTTCTCAGAAGTGTTTCTGCTTAGTTTGTAGGTGGCCATCAGTTCCCTGTGTCTTCAGGTGACCTTTACCCTATGCTTACCTGTGTCCAAGTCTCCCCTTCTTATAAGAACAGCAGTCATATCGGGTTAGCACCCACCCATATAGCCACACTTTGGCTTAATTGCCTTTTTAGAGACTCTATCTCTAGATAAGGTCACATTCTAGGTACCGGAGGTAAAGATCTCAATGCGTGAATTAAGGATGGGGGCAGAATTCCACCTGGAGCAGCTTCTTTTCCATCTGGGCTTCATCTCTGGGTTTCTAGACCTAGAGCAGGCGTCATCCGCTTCTTGCTTGCAGCCTCGTGCTCTCTGCCTGTTGGCGCCTCTGTGACATGACCTAGAGATACATATATCCAGTGGCCAACCCCTGCCTTTGGAGCTATAGGAAACAATGGGAAAGTGCCTGTAGAGAAATCTCTTCCTTCCCACTGCAGTAGACCATTCCAAGACACAGTGTCCAGGCACATCCCACACAGCCAAGAATCCTGCTGCATATTTTTGGGAAACTACAACTACCTCAGTAATGGGCCACTTTGTACCTTCCTATCTTCCTTCCCTACCTCTCTGCCCTCTTTCCTGCTGTATTGACTGTGTGTTTCTAATGCTTTGAAATCTGCGGTTTTACTGACCCTGGAGAGGCTGCCCCTCCCAGGACTTCTCAATTCTTAGAGGAAGCAAGTGACTCACCTGCAAGGGGGCCTTTCCCATGCAAACCTTCCAATCCAGAGCCCACACCCAACACCCCTTCTAATGAGTTCTTACCATTCAGGCTGTTATTCATTCACCTTGCCCTAATTACCCTAGGGCCCGGTACCAGACCACTAGAGAGCCCCTACACTCCAGAGCCTGCTGAAATTATTCAAACCAGCCAATCTTAAACCTGTTTACCTTGCTTCACTTATTCCATTCCTTCTCACAGAACCTACAACAAAGGCATTTGTCCCCCAACCTTCCCCCACCACCAACTTCCTGACCAACCCTGCTGCTTCCCTGTGTGGCCCTATGTGGCATGGCCTGTACCCTCCTCTTGGGACCTGTAACAATCTTTTCAATGACAGTCATTTTCTGATCTGTTGGCCTCACTATACCCGAATAATAATCAAACCTACACTGTAAAACAACTACTTCTTACTATCCTAGGATTTTATCTCCAAGTAAATATTAACACACCAGATGTGCCTCAGGCTCTATTTTTCTAGGATGACTGGGCTAAGGTATTACCCATAGGGAAAAAAGACATAGCTTCATTGCTGGCCCGCGAAGTTCCAGCCAATGTACTCAGACCATCGTTTATTTAATTTCATTTGAAGTAATCCAAAGTAATTTACAAGTCAAAAAGAAATCGTTTTATAGGTGTCATTGCCTATTGCCTTTCTCCAGAAAGATCAAGCAATGTAAAACTCATGTTTCTTTCTATCCCTGACAACATTTGTTTGCTGTTGTTTATTCAATAGAAGTTCACTAGAAAATTAGAAGTGGCTTTTATTTAATGTTACTTTAATTGCTATGAAACTATGCATTTTACACAAGCATTTTTCATTGTTGTTTTACTACAAAGAAATACATTGGGTATAAACTTCCAGCCTCGGATCTGGTGGCACAGCAGACTTACAGGACTTACCTAGCTGTTGTAGTGGAGTCAGCACTGAGAACTTACTGACCCCGGAGAGACTGCCCCTCCCAGGACTTCTCAATTCCTAAAGGAAGCAAGTGACTTACCTTCAAGGGGGCCTTTCCCATGCAAACCATCCAGTCCAGAGCCCACATCCACCACCTCTTCTAATGAGTTCTTACAATTTGGCTGAGAACTGGTCTCAGTCAAAAAAGAGTTAACTTTCCATCACTCTTTATAAACATACTATCTCCACTAGAGATAGTGGAGGCCCAAATTCCTGACCTTCTTGGAAGGGGATATATCAGGCTGCGAGACCCTCTGATTTGGAGGCTGTACACCCAGCTACCAGGCCTTTTGGTGTGGCAAAGCTGCTGCAATCTTACCACTTCTCCTCCTGAGCTGCATCTCTAGACCAGGGTCTCCTTTAACCATGCTGACTTTACGCACAACCTGGGACGTCAATCCAACTGGGGGCCTTTGAACTTCCCCTTTAGAAAAATAATGCTTGTTGGTAAAGCACTTTGAGATTCTTCCAAGAAACCCAGATTCTTGAGACAAGGTGTTATTATTTAGTTGATGAGAAACAAATACCCACCTAATAACCATAATTATATTGTCAAAACTGTTTAAAATATTCACCCTGCTGAGATGACAGTGATGTCAGGGAGTTTTGTGACTAGTAAACTGGAACATTATCATGAAATTAAAAAAGAAAAGTTACATTACAAAGTAATTCATTGGAATGATTTGATATTTCAAGGATAACCACCAAGCAATTTCAGGAACATGTAATTATTTTTTCACTTGCTATTTTGTGGTGCATTACTCAGTAGC
Source organism: Homo sapiens (assembly GCF_000001405.40). Lineage (NCBI taxonomy): Eukaryota > Metazoa > Chordata > Mammalia > Primates > Hominidae > Homo > Homo sapiens. The sequence continues at coordinate 135,369,233 of NC_000008.11, forward strand.
TGTGTGGTTGACTGTGCCTTATAAAATAGAAGAATAAGAAACAACAAGTCATTAACAGCTCATAGTCTAGGTGGGAATACAGCTTGGATTTTCTTGAGCTTCTCCTCCTTTTGGAACTAGGAAACACATGTGGTGACAGCATTCTGTAATCTCTCATACCAGAAGCCCATGGAACATGGCCGCATATAGCCAGGCTCAGTAGATGCTGACGTGCTAGTGGTGTCCTCATTATTTGGTGTATTCGCTAGTCTCTGTGCTGTTGCACATGCTATTTTTGTTGCTGAAATCCCACTTTTCCCTCTGACAAACACTTAATTACTTGATACTCTTCCAAGCTTTATGCCATCTGCAAATTTAATTTCTATCATCCATGTCTTCATCAAAGTCAGCCTTGGTACAGTCACTTCAATTCTCTTTCTGTCTATACTGTCAACACCTCCCTGCTGTCCAAGGATTAACAATCCAAGGAAAATCTCCTCTGCAAAGCCTTCTCTGACTTTCCGGGGTTGATTTAGATATTCCTTCCATGGTATATCACTGTACCATATACACACTCCCATTTTAGATTTACCGCATTGAATAGAAATGGTCTATTCCCCTACCATATAGCAAGTTCCTTGAGGGAAGTGGTTGCCTGCCTTCCTGCCTGACTGCCATGAGCAGAAATTGACTAAGCCCCCATATGGGTTGGGCACTGTGCTAGGCACTGGAGATACAGTGGAGATAAAACTAGATATGCCTCCTGCCCTCAGGGAGCTTCTGATTTCATGACATTTTATTTGACATTGCAGTCTGAGCTTCTGGAACAAAGCCTTTTTAATAAATGTTCAAGGAACAAATGACAAAAAGATGAAAGAAAGGAAGATGGAGGGAGGAGAGGAAGAGGGAAGAGCTTAGAAGGATCTTCACAGGAAGGATATCAGTAGAATATGAAATGTGACTTCACATTCTGAAGAAGAATGGCCATATAGAAGACCATCTCTACTTCAGTTGCTCAGGTGGCAGAATGTAGAAGACCATCTCTACTCCAGTTGCTCAGGTGGCAGAACTAGGGCCAAGAGCTGGAAGTTACAGGGGAACAGAATAACCGTGTCAAATACCAAGGGACATAGAAAGAAGAAGCTAAAGTGTGTCTTCTCAGAGCTGCTATAAATGCCAGAAGATTGCCTAGCCCAATGCCTCTACATGGTAGGTTTTTGTAGAAAGGAAAATATGGATAAAAGAAAAGAACAGGTCTCCTACCTAAAATGAGACCACTTTTGTGAAACTGCTCAAGGCTGACTGGAATAACTTAGCTCCACTAGGGTGAGCAAAAGTGGTTCTATGGCCATGGATCCAAGGTCAACAAAGAATATGACACAGTCATTGTCATCCTTTGTTCCAGACCACTCCTGCATCCACAGAGCAGTGTTAGAGTTGTGTCTTCTGGTGGGAGAGTTCCATTGCAGCAGGATCACTTTAGGCAATGTAATGGAGTAAGTGAACCAACATGGTCACTAAACTACATTGGAGGGTGAATGCACAGACGGATAGATTCTTATGGACAATATAGGCATTCATTGACATTGAGGGTAAGCCTTAAAGAAAAATCTCAGCCACCTCTGAGAAGCCCACCGTGGTATCCCACACAAAATCTTCATTGCGTTTCCTTTACCTCACTTTGATTATAACCAGTGTTATATTTTTAAATATAGAATAATGCAATTCTAGTTCTGATATCTTAAAACATAGAATAATTTTTGATATTATTATTTTCCCCATAATTCACACAAAAATAACAAATCTCATCATTTTTTTTCAGAACATCTCTGCAAAGCAGGACAAGGGTATGCAAACAACTCCAAATTACAACTGCCTACATATGATCAGACAACTTGACCCTGTGCACATGACATTTGTCCCCAACTCCAAACCCAAAACCTCAGACTTCCCAAGGAGAGACCTGGTAGCCATTGGAATAGACTAAAGGCAGACATGGAGGAGGAATTAGGGGTTAGTGAAAACCCAGGGGGGTAGTGACAGTATAGTTAGAAAGAGAATAGAAGTTACTGTACCCGGGGTGACTTTGATGAAGACTTGGATGATAGAAATTATATTTGCAGATGGCATAAAGCTTGGAAGAGTATCAAGTAATTTGAGTGACAAAATTGACATTCTAGGAGAGTGGGTGGCCTGGCATACAATCAAGATATAACAGAGTAATGGATAAAGGAAGAAGAGAATATTCAACTGAAGCAAGGAGAAGAGAGGCTAAGCCCAGCTAGCTGTGATAGGTTTAGACAAGAGTGCAGATCACTTCAAAGTCCAGGCAGGGCACACAGTAAGTTTCTAGAGATTGCATATCTAGTACCAGAACAGGGCCCTTTGTAAATCTGCTCTCTGCTCCTAGGTCTCCTCTTTCCTGACTGTTTACCTGAACTTGAGGCCCTCAGGTACCTTATTGCATTATGACACTGGCAATGTACAATAATAATAGTCATTGTCATTTACATAATCTCATTTAATCCCCTCTACGACCTTGAGAAGAAAGTCTTTTAACCTTAATTTTCGTGTTAGAAAGCCAAGTTCAAGAATATTTAAATGACTTGGCCAAGGTCATACAGCTTGGAATTGATGAAGAACATCATTTTCAAGTCATGGGCCAAATATAACAATATGAACTCAATTGAGGCAAATGTAAGGTCTTAATTGGGAGCCCCACAATTATGTAAGCCCAGGGGAGATATGACTTAGCAAAAGTACATGGGGAGACAACTCTAGGTTATAGTTTATTGCATGTTTAATCAGGAGGGAAATCAACTCAACTGGCAAAGGCATGTGTGTGATCTCAGGCTGCACTGATAGATGTTCTCTCTATTGTCAAGGTGGATGACATGACTGACTATACTGAAATCACAAGTGTCTTACAAGTACAACAGTTGACTAAAAAGTAAAAAGACTAAAAGAGATCGTCAAGTCAACAGTGGGAACTTGCTGACTTTGAGGCTGGACCTCCTTCCACAACCGGTGCCCTGGTTCCCAGATTGTGGGAGAATACGGCAGGGTGCACCAGCATTAAACAAGTCCACTGTCCAGATACCTGTCTGTTGATTAAGATACCCTGAGTTGTTCCTTTTACAGTTAGATTTGTATTATCATGTAAACTTGTCTTTTCAGAAACGTTCTGATTCTAGTTCAGACAGAGCAGTAATCCTGTTACACATTTTGCCCATCTCAACTTCAACACACGTGCCGTATGGCTCTGCAATGGGCTATATTGTGTCTCTCCAAAATTCCTGTGTTGAAATCCTAACCCCTAGTGCCTCAGATTGTAATTGTATTTGGAGATAAGGTCTTTTAAGAGGTAATTAAGGTTAAATGAGGGCATATGGATGGACCCTAAGCCAATATGACTGGTGTCCTTATAAGAAGAGGAAATTTGGACACAGTGACACACAGAGGAAAGGCCATGTGAGGACATGGGGGGAAGATGGTCAGCCCCAAGCCCAGGAGAGATGAACCAGAAGAAACCAAGCAAACCAATACTTTGATCTTAGAATTCTAGCCCCCAGAACTGTGATAACATAAATTTCTCTGGTTTAAGCCGCCTAGTCTGTAGTGTTCTGTTATGGTAGCCCTGGGAGACTATTATAGGCTCCAACACTGCAGAACATGCTTAGTCATCTAGCATAAGTAGTTCTCCTGTTATCGACTTCATCGGAAATCCCTCAGTAATTGATTTTTATTAATGACTTCATTTGAAAATACCACGACTTCCTGCCAAGGGCTGTACTGGGAATCAGATATGACCAACTCCCAAGAGAAATGCAGTTCCTAGAAAATGAAAGGAGGTATTGTGTTCTGCTTTGGTCTGCTCAGATCCTGCTTGTCTCATAATATTTCTTTCTTATGCTCAAAAATTTATATGAATGTGTCTATTCATCTGCCCCATTAGACCATGAGCAGCTTCAGGGTAGCTGTTCTCTTAGCCATTGTTGTAAGGTAAGTGCTATTCTCCTTGCCTATGCAAGTGCACACACACACACATGCACACACACACACCCCACAACATACAGAGTTTCTGGTTCAATGAACATTAGTTGGGTAGATGAATAAAGCCCAACAAGGAAATTCCTGAGAATAATTCTATTTTCCGTGATCTTCCTCATGTAGAGAAAATACAAAGGCCAAGATCCACAAATCCACTTGTAATTTAGGCCTCTGAACAGGAAGCACGCTTTCTCATTATAACTTAATCAATTGGTCTCTATTTATCTGTCACTATGATTGGTTCAGAAAGCATCAGTCTCCCTAAGAATCCATGAGCTCTGTGTAAACTTTTAGGATGGAGTTCCTGAAAAGCTAAAGAAGGCAGCTGAGCTCAGGTCAGACTTTGATGGGTGGTGGCCTCTGCTCAGATATCATCTCTGCCTCAGGCCTCAACAAACCAGACTCTCCCTTTTCTATTTCTTTTGTGGCCATAATTACCATGATCTTCCTGGGCTGGACACCAAAGGCAGGCACTTCCTCCAGCTCAGTTCAGAGAGCGCCTGTATGCACATCTGTGCCAGCTTAAAACCCTCAAAGGTTCTCTGTGGTCTCTAACAAGTAGTTTTTCAAAAATGTCTGAGAAAATGAAACCATGCTTCACACTATTGTTTCACGATTTTGGTGACAATTCAGAACTTATCTTGCAATTTTCAACAGTGTTAAAGGAAGATATGTTATTTTAATGTCTGTGGAATAAGGAAGGTAAAACTTTGTTAAAAGGCCACATTCCTTCTGATGTCTCACAAGCATGACCTGGCTCCTACTTTCTGTCTCTCAGCCTCACTGGCCCCTTTTTCCTACTAGTCTCAAAACTCTGAAGGCAGCTAGACACTTGTGTATCCCATGGCATTGCACACTGTCTCCTCCCCCTGGAACTCTCTTCCTTGGTCAATCCTGCTTATTTCCCAAGGCACAGTCCTCATCACCCAAGAGAAGCTGCCCTAGTTTCCCTGCCAGCATCTTGATTGTGCCCCTGTGATGGAATTTGGGCTAGTCTTTGTTTTGGAGCCTTTCTCCCATTAGAGACAGACAGTGGCTCTCCCAAACCTGCACCTCCATGCCCAAGACAGTATCAGAGACAAGGTGGGTGTTCATGGATGTTTGGTGTAGGAAGGAATGAGAGCCAGAGAGAATAGGAAACACATTGGAGAGGGAACTCCCAACTCACACTCCTTGAACCATGCAGCTCCACCTGCCTCTTAAGTCTTCTGAGGCCTCTGGGGAGTCCCTAATCCATTTTATATCTTACAATTGTGATGGGTCCATGACAGAGTCTTGAGGCATCTGCCTAATTCACTTACGTTAACTCAGTTTGCTTTCCTGGGCTCGCTCCCCTCACCAGGCTGTTGTGCTTGGTGTTTGTTCACCAAGTCTATCAGCAATGTTGGAAATTTAATCGAGATGTATGAACTAAAAGAGAATGTACAGTATTGGCACATGTGTATGTTGGGGTCAGAGCTAGAGACATCAATCTTGCCTGAAAACTTGTCAACAAGGTGAAATAGCCGGATGCCTTATTCTCACAATTTTGTAATTCTCTTTGAACAATAACAACAAATGCACCATCCAGAAAACAGTTTTTTGTTCTAATAGATGTCACCTCCAACTACAACTGTCTACATTAAATGTTCTAGGTACCCTCTAACTCTTCTTGCTCAGGCCTGATTTAGGCCCAAACAATGGGACTTGGGAAAATAGAAAGAGGGAGATGAAAGCAAAGTTCTTAATGGAACCAAGAATGACAAAATAGTGAAATAGAAAGCACCATTTATCATATGAAAAAAGGATACATCATAGCTGCATACTTCATGTACTCAGTAAGGCTACATATGGTCTTATCTTTAACTCTTATTCCCAGAGACTCCACTGTTGGGACTCCTTTCAACATGAACAGCTTCTAAAAGGGACAGTAAACATAGTAGATAAGGAGACATAGTTTAGAGTCAGAAACGACTTTGGATGAGGGACTTAAACACACTGAACTTCAGTTTTCTCTTCTGCTAATTTTGGTCAATAATAGTATTTATATCTTTCCATGGGAATCAAAAAGGACCATTCAGGAAAAAACACTAATCAAAGTATCTGATACCTAGTAAGCACATTATGATTAGAATATACAAGTCTGAAATACAAAACATGCAATGTAACAATGGCATTTAGTAGGAGAAAAATCAACAGTGCCATATGGTTCTCAGTAATGATGAAACTCTGTCTAGTAAAATTTTTGAAAATAGACTTTCTGGAAGAAAAGCAGAAAATGCAGGGTTCTGTGGACACACAGACCTGGGTTTGAGTCCCAGACACTCTACATTTTATTTTGTAAACTTTTTCCTATCTTTATACTCAGTCTTTAAAGTGGGTTTAATAAAACCCTCCTTATGGAGTTAATGTGAGAATAAAAGTATAACATGCAGCAAGTGTCAGGGTTAGAGCCTGGCATGTGTTCAGTAAAGGGCAGTCATGATTATTAACATGAATCCTGTTGGGTTTCCACCAAAGGTACAATAAGAAGAGCACACCGTACTAAAAGAGGAATCCTGAGTTGAGCCCTGGTTCTTTTACCAGGAGGGGTTGGATATGTATTCTTTTAGAGGCCTCTGTTTCCTCATCTGAAAAATGAAGTCAACTATATCATTTAGCTTATTGCTGCATAGTTACCTCCAAATTTAGTGGCTTAACACAAGTTATTTATCTAGCATGTGTTGCTGTGGATCAGCAATTTAGGCTGGGCTGAGTTGCGTGGTTCTTCTGGCCTGGGCCAGGCTTCTTCATGTGTCTGTGGTCAGCTTCAGGCTGGTGAAGCAGCTCTGTCTTTCTTCCAGCTGGAGCTCTCCCCCTGTGTCTTCTATCATCCAGCAGGCTAGCCCGGGCTGGTTCACAGGGCAGTGGTAGGTTCCAAGAAAGCAAGAAGCAACACATGTGGCCTCTTGAGGTTTAGACTTGGAATGGTCAAAGATCACGTTATATTAGCCACAGTAAGTCATGAAACCAACCAGATCCAAGGATTGAGAAAACAAACTCCATTTTTGATTATTGGAAGAGCTATATAAAGTCACATTGCAAACAAAGTGTGTGGATACAGAAATGTCATAACTTCGGGTAATCAGTGTAACCCGCCACATCTCCCCTCACTCCTGTGACTCAGAAATATCTCCTTCTTTCAGTTCCCTTAGCTTTTACCTTAATTCAAACCCTTACCACTTTTAATGTGGTCAATAGTAATAGCCATCTATGTGGTCTCCCTCTCTCATAAAATGTACCCCTTTGATCTACACTTTTACAATATATAGCAAATCATGACACAGTACTACATCAAAATTGTAATGACTTAGAGATGGAACCCACATTGCTTCCTGTGGCATTCAGGGTCCTTCACTGTCTTCTTTTCCATTCATGTTTTCAATCAATTTCACACACCCTCATATCCTGCATTGCAGCTCACCTGTGGCTTCTAATCACCCCTCAGGTAAGCTGAGATGAATACCTTCAGATCATCTGCCCATAACCCCTTTCCTAGGAAGTGGCCCACCTATTCCAGCAGGGATTATAAGAAGAACTGTGTTGATGCAACTTGGACCAAGCCCTCTGGCCGCAGCTGATGTGTTCAAAGATAAACATATATATCAAGACAGCCCAATGAGAGTCAGAGTCCCTTCCTTGAAATTTTTGGAATTTGGCCCATAGGAATAATTAAGTGAGTCTGTAGTTTAGGCTGTAAATTGAGGGCCACTCTTACCATTGGCGACTTTTGTTCAACCTATCCTGGAGCAGTTTCCCTGGCTTGGTTAGTAAACCATAATATTTTGGATTTTGTGAGACAATTTTTTCCCCCCTTATCTAACTTTACTTTTTCCCTTTGGTCACTTGTAATCAGAAGAGTACTGAGTGGTACCAAGATCCTGTATTTTTGCCCTCTATGCCTTTTTTTTTTTTTTTTTTTTTTTTTTTTTGAGACAGGGTCTCACTGTGTCACCCAGGCTGGAGTGCAATGGTGTGATCTTGGCTCACTGCAATCTCCACCTCCTGGTTTCAAGTGATTCTCATGCCTCAGCCTCCCGAGTAGCTGGGATTACAGGCATGCACCACCATGCCCCGCTAATTTTTGTATTTTTAGTAGAGATGAGGTTTTGCCATGTTGGCCAGGCTGGTCTTGAACTCCTGGCCTCATGTGATCTACCTGCCTGGGCCTCCTGAAATGCTGTTTAATATGAGAATTAAAGAAATAACACACAGAAAGTGTTACAGGTGTGAGCTACTGCTCCCGACCCCTCTATGCCTAAAGAGGCTGCCTTCTCCCACCCTCCTGGTCTCACTCACTCTTCAGGGTCTGGTGTGGATGGCAGCTCCTCCATGACAACTCCCTGCTTTCCTAGCACAGCTGCACCATTGCTCCCTCTGCGAGACACCAGAACACTGCTGCTTCTGCTAGGGAGCTTCCCATTGTCTGGGTATAGAGTCTTAGCTGTGTCTTTCTCTTCATTCAATTATGTCACCCATTTATTACTTATTATACATCTTAGCTTAAGTTCCCACAGAAGGGAGAACCAAGACAAGGACCCTGTTCAGGTAAATTTTTGGAAGGCAATCAGGCGGGAGGAAACACAGGAGTGAGAAAGGAGGAAAACCTGACATAGGATGTGTGGATGTGGGCACCACTGTGGGAAATAGATTGGATCTGTCTGCGGCCCCCAGGGGAGCAGGCAGACTACCTCTAGGAATTGTACCCCCGAGGTGGAGTGGGAGAAATGCTTATCTAGGTGCATCTATATCCTGTTTGTGCCTTTGTGCCTGTCAGTGAGTTTTTTCCAATATGCACAGCACCAGAGAAATCCTGAAGTAGCAAATGGAAGAAATGCTGTGCATTCTTGGGATGCGAGTTATCAGTCTGAAGTGAGTAGAAGCTTGCAGGAAACTGTACACTGCCATCAAAGCTGAAAGGAGAGGCTGAGAGGATGTGGGTCAAGTCCTGAGCACTGTCTGGTACGGCCCATCTCATACAGCACTCAGATCAGTTTGTTTACTACGTTAAATCCAGTCCATGACTGAGCCTGCAAGGTGACAGTCAGCTACGATCTTAGGAAAAGTCTTTGTACACCAACCTTAGTTGAACAAGCTAAAGGCCCCACTGCCAGTGCTGGGTCTGAAGCCATAACTGATTTCTATTTTCTCCCCCATCTGCCACACATTACAGGCACACTTTCAAATTCACCATTTCTGTTGCATGATGGGTGGCTACTACTCCTGCTTACCTTAAGGCTTTCTGAATTTGACAATCCTGCCTCCTGATGGGCAGCTCCACTCACATGGTCACTTAAGTACTGTGGTTAGTTCTCAACCTCTAATAGGTCCTAGTAACACATGAGGAACTGCTTTTTTAAATGGCAAATAGTTTCCTGACATAGGAGGCATGGTCTTGCTCAAGAACCTTAGTGGTCTGAGCTATGATTCTTGAACTGGGGCTTCCAAGAGACTTCAAATTATATACCCTGGAAATGTCTAGTGCCATTGAGTCTGCTGGATCACATGGCCTAATAAGAAATCTTACTCAATAGCCTGGAACTGTTACACCACTTGAAACTAGGAGCCTCGGAGCCAGGCATGGCACTCCTCACAAGTGCGGTCACTGCTGCCTCCCAGTTTCAATGAGGGCTCCATAGGCTGGGTTTTGCTCTTAGTGGTTGTAATACAAGATGAACATATTGCCTTACCTTAGAAGGGATGTGCTGGAATACCGCAGACCACTGACACCCAGAAAACTTCACCGATATGGCAGACCCCTGAAACTTGGTAGGTTTACCTCCCACCATCTGGCGATCATGCATCCTGTCAGGGGATCCAGGTGAGTTGCTCATTACTGCTCACCAAGCTTAATATGATTGCATCAATATAGAGAACTCTTGTGATGTTCTAAGGACTGCCAAGATGATAGAGGTCCATACAGAATATATTATGATAAACTCCTTTTGATCCTCCTTAGAGATGAGCCTTGAAAAAAATGCATGACACATTGATAGCCACATACCAAGTACCACAGCTGTTGTTTCAGGAAAGGATACCATATCTTATACAGTAGTTTCAACTGGAGTTACCCTTGGTTAAATTTACTATCTCTTGGCATACAATCCATCTGCTTTCTTTCCAGAGATCTTACTAGTGGATTGAATGTGAGATACATGGTAGGGAAGATCATCTCTGCATCCTTTATGTTTTGATGGTAATATTAACACTGTAAATCACTCAGAATTTGACATTGCTTCTGATTTATTCTTGTAGACATGTAAGGGTTATGATTTCATGAACTTCCTCTTGGAGAGAAGTTTCAGGGGGTTCCACTTCTGGGGGAAAATCTTAAGAGCATTCACTTCACCATTCCTATCTTAATGGCTCTTATTACACAGGTCAGGGGATGAGTGCCTGAGTTATTCCATCTGCAAGGGATCTCCATCCCAATTATACACTTGGAAGCCAGGAAATAACCAAGAGGGTAGGCATGCACACCCACTGCACACCGTGGAACAGACTCAGACCAAGGCTCCTTCACTGCTTAGCCTTCATGAGCCTCCCATTTGGCTGGGGCAGGAAGGGTATGATGGTATTTCAGGTCTCCAGGTATGAGTGTCAACTCATAACACCAGCCCTCAAAAATATGTGGTATTTCCCTTCCCGCAAGTTTCCAGTTACTCCAGTACAAGTTCCTTTGCAGAAGGATCAGGGAAATATTAGTTGAATATACTTGTGATGATGTTGCAAGTATATATGTGTGTTCTGAACCTATGAACTGGCTTAGATCTGGAAACTAGGTGAGGAAATTTCATTTTTCCATTGTGCTTGACAGCTTTAGATTTCTTCTGTTTATATGAATCAAGCAACAACTCATTGGCTGCCAATCTGTCTTGCTACTAGGAACCCCTTGATCTATTAGCCATTGCCTTATGTCCCTAAGAGTCAGCGCACACTAGTTGTCCTCTGCTCTCACTGCTCATGACAGCAATGATGAGTATTTTGCCTCTGATGTTTAAGTGCTGCCATCTGCTATTCCAGAATCGGAACATCCCCGTTAACACTAGGCAGCCTCATTCCATAACAGCATTTTCTATGGCAAAACCCCAACCTAGAGGGTAGGCACCACTGAGATCCTCAACAAAACCAGCGCCCTGCTACTTTTCTTATTGTCTAAATGAAAAGGTTGTCCTCTGGACTCTAAAGGAATATTGTCAGGGAGTGATTTCTCTGTTCTTATAGAATAACCCATTCTAACACCCCTGCTCTGTGAGCCTTTTGACCTCTTTCTCAATATTCTCTACCCATTTACTATAGCCCATCATGTTGTTCAAACTTCACAAAGCCATTAGCACAGTGTATGAGGGCCAGCTTTAAGTATCTTTGCCAGGATATTTAAACCCTGAGGCATAGGAGAATATTCACATTTCAATAAATTTTTCCCCATCCAGACCTAAATTCTGCCTTCTCTGAACCAATTCTGTTTGTTTTCTCCAGATTTCTGCCAAGTGATATATTGGCTAACTCCTGTCATATTTTTTTTTGCATTCATGCTATTTCCTTCTAGTCTAACACTGAATTCCTCAAGTTATTAACCTGGAGCCATGATGAGAGGCTGCTGGATATTGAAGAGAGCAACCATAATTTTGTGAGGCACCTGCCTCAGGTGTAATGTTTTCAGGTCTCTCGAAAGAAAGAAAGAGAGGGAGAGAGAAAGGAAGGAGAGAGAAAAAAGAAAGAAAGAAAGAAAGAAAGAAAGAAAGAAAGAAAGAAAGAAAGAAAGAAAGAAAGAAACAAAGAAAGAAAGAAAGAAAGAAAGAGAAAAAGAAAAGAGAAGAGAAAAGAAAAGGAAAAAGAAAAGAAAAGAAAAGAAAAAAAGAAAAGAGATTCGCTCTTCTTACAAGAGAGAAATCTGGGCTTCTTCCAGCCCAGGGGTTTTATGGGAATCAAGAGGTTAAAGGTCCTTGGATTCTCCACCCAATTTAAGTCTTGGGGTCTGAAATTAACATAGAAGACCTATTGATGCTATGAACTGAGTTTTATCTGCAGATCATCATCTTTATAATGAAACCCAGGTCTAATTTTTAGTGCAATATTTTCTACAACTGCAAGAGATAAGGGTCCCTTACAATAGAGTACAGAGACTTTCTAGTTTTCATTGTGAGCTTTGAATTGATAGGTAGCTGTCCTGAACCTGTTATTTTTTTTTCTTCAAGGCTACTAACACAGTTAAAACAAAAACAAAAACAAAAACAAAACAAAACAAAAAACAACAAAACCCACGGTAACTACCAGCCCATGGAATTACCATTCTTCATTGGCTTTCACGTAATCCACAACCTTGCCTTCCACCTGTGCCTCTTTCTGATCCACTACCAGTGCGGGTCTTCAATATTATGGTGATACTGCACACCAGTGGTTATCATCACCCCACCTACTGCTGGAACTTTCATCTCACCAATGAGTTTTCCAGTTCCAGAACCCTATCTTGAGAGACTGCTTCTAGGACCATTCCTGGTACCAACTCTTTTAGTTTGAGCTTCCTCCGGAAACCAGGGCCTGAGAAAAGGACATGTGAGCTGGTGGTTTAGTTGAGATTGAATCCGAGGGAGCAGGAGTGAAGAGCCAGTGAGAGGAAGGGAAGGAGGAAGAGCCAAGGCAGGGTGGGTCAGTGGGGTGACTGCTATGGACAAATGGGGCCCATCCTTCCTGAGCACTGCAGAAGAGTGTCCAGAATGCCTCTGAGCATTTTCTTCCCAAAAACAAACCAGAAGAAGCAGGATCCCCCCATGTTCTAGAGGTGCCCCTGTGGGCACTAACCCCTATATGTTTCCAGGTTGCTCATGGGCCTTGCTGAGGAGAAGTCTACCAGTATCGAGGAATCAGGGTGGACCAGAAAGATGTATGATGTGAGCTTGGTAGGAGAAATAGCAGCATGAGGGGATTTCAAGCCTGCATGGCATTGTTCACCCTATTAAGGTCTCAGACAAGAGAGGATTCTAGCCAGGGCATGAAGGGATATGATGCATTATATGTGGTAAATAATTTTCTTTATTGCTTTATTTTTAACTTTTATTTTAGGTCAGGGGTACATGTGCAGGTTTGTTATATAGGTAAATGTGAGTTGCAAGGATTTGTTGTACAGATTATTTTGTCATCTAGGTACTAAGCCTGGTACCCAACAGTTATTTTTCTGATCTCCTCCTTCCCACCCTCCACCCTCTGATAGGCCCCAGTGCGTTTTGTTGCCCTCTGTGTGTCCATGTGTTCTCATCATTTAGCTCCTACTATTAAGTGAGAACATGTGGTATTTGGTTTTCTGTTCATGTGTTAGTCGGCTAAGTATGATGGCCTCCAGCTCCATCCATGTCTCTGCAAAAAAACATGATCTTTTCTTTTTTATGACTGCATAGTATTCCATAGCTTATATGGACCACATTTTCTTTATTCAGTCCACCAATGATGGGCATTTAGGCTAATTTTACTTTTTTTTTTTTTTTGCTGTTGTGAATAGTACTGCAATGAACATATACATGCATGCGTCTTTATGGTAGAACAATTTCTATTCCTTTGGGTGTATACCCACTAATGGGTTTGCTGGGCTGAATGGTAGTTCCCTTTTCAGCTCTTTGAGGAATTGCCACAGTGCTTCCCACAATGACTGAACTAATTTGCACTCCCACTAGTAAGGTATAACCATTCCCCTTTCTCCACAACCTTGCAAGCATCTGTTACTTTTTGACTTTTTAATAATAGCCATTTTGACTGGTGTTCGATGGTATCTCATTGTGGATTTGATTTGCATTTCTCTAATGATCAGTGATGTTGGGCTTTTTGGGGTATGCTTGTTGGTTGCATGTATGTCTTCTTTTGAAAAGTGTCTGTTCATGTTCTTTGCCTACTTTTTAATGGAGTTGTTCTCGTAAATGTGTTTAAGTCCTAAGAGATGCTACATATGAGAACTTTGTCTGATGCATAGTTTTCACAAATTTTCTCCCATTATGTAGTTGTCTGTTTCCTCTTTGATAGTTCCCTTTGCTATGCAGAAGCTCTTAAGTTTAATTAGATCCTATTTGTCAATTTTTGCTTTTGTTTTGACTTTATTGTGTTGTGATTTTGTTGTGAATGGTAGACTGAATAAAGAAAATGTGGTACACGTACACCATGGAATATTACACAGTCATAAAAAAGGAATAAGATCATGTCCTTTGCAGTCTTCATCATTAAATCTTTGTCAGTTCCTTTGTCCAGAGTTCCTATGTCCAGAATGGTATTGCCTACCTGTGTCCAGAATGGTAGTGCCTAGGTTGTCTTCCAGAGTTTTTATAGTTTTGGGTTTTAAGTGTTTATCCATCCTGAATTGATTTTTGTATATGGTGTAAGGAAGGGCTCTAGTTTCAATCTTCTGCATATGGCTAGTCAGTTATCCCAGCACCATTTATTTAATAGGGAGTCCTTTCCTCATTGCTTGCTTTTGTCAGCTTTGTCAAGGATAAGATGATTATAGGTGCGTGTCCTAATTTCTGGGTTCTCATTTCTGTTCCATTGGTCTATGTGCCTGTTTTTGTACCAGTATCATGCTGTTTTGTTTACTGTAGCCCTGTAGTATATTGTGCAGTTGGGTAACATGATGTCTCATTTTTTTGTTCTTGTTTTTGCTTAGGATTGCCCGGGCTATTTGGGCTTTTTTTTTTTTTTTTTTTTTTTTGGTTCCACATAAAGTTTTAAAAAATTTTTTCTGGTTCTGTGAAGAATGTCATTGGTAGTTTGATAGGAATAGCATTGAATCTATAAATTGCTTTGGGCAGTATGACCATTTTAATTATATTGGTTCTTCCTATCCATGAACATGGAATGTATTTTCATTCATTTATGTCATCTCTGATTTCTTTGAGCAGTGTTTTGTCATTCTCATTGTAGAGATCGTTCACCTCCCTGGTTGAAAGTATTCCTAGGTATTTTATGCTTCTTTGGTAATTGTGCATGAGATTGCATTGCTGATTTGGTTCTCAATTTGGCTGCTATTGTTGTCTAGGAATGCTAGTAATTTTTGTACATTGATTTTTTATCCTGAAATTTGCTGAAGTTGTTTATCAGCTGAAGGAGGTTTTGGGCCAATACTATGGGGTTTTCTAGATATAGAATCATTTTGTCTGCAAACAGGGATAGTTTGACTTCCTGCCTTCTTATTTGGATCTCTTTTATTTCTTTCCCTTGCCTGACTGTGGCACATAATTGTGGATTGACTCAAATGTTTGAACCAAAATATTCCCTTCCAGTTCTATAAATTTGATTTGTCTTACCCTGAGTTGGTACAACAACAACAACAACAACAAAAACAGGTGTTGAGTGAAAATGTCTTTCAATCAAGTATGTGGTGGCAAATTTCTAAAAACATCTGGATGCTTAGTAAAATTTATATTCGGTTTGCTCTTCTGTTCACACATACACACATACATACACATGGAGAGAGAAAAGAGGGGGAAAAGCATACAGAGAGAGAGAGAGGAAGCCGTAGACTCTGAGCATCAGAAACAAAGGGGAAAGTGCAGCCTCCTCCTGATCTCATCCTACTTCTCATGCTTGAACTCACATCTATAGGCCAGTGCTTGGGAGGAGGTTCCATTTTGCAGAGACTATGATATAGGGGTAGGGACAAGAGGCATCTATATATTGAGCTTTGACTAAATCATTATCCTAAGGAATTCTCTCATTTCAAAGCTTTGGTAAATTATTTTTTACCAGAAGTGAACAATTGAATCCACCTTTGGAGCAGACCATTCTTTGTTGTAGGAAAACTACCTTGCAGATGGGAAAAGAGGAGCATTGCCCCTCAAACTTGCCCTTCCTTGCTGCTCATAGCTATGTGTACATAGAGCAAAGGTCCCCTCTCAAGTGAAGAGTTTGAGATGCTCTGGATCCTAGCAGCTAACTAAATCTGTATGAAAAGGCACTTGTATCAAGGGCAGAGCTGAATGTCTACAATGTGTGTTTCCTGGAGAGAATGTTCTTCTCTATATGGCTTTTAGAATTGAATTTTCTAATTTGTTCCTAGTGGGGTGTGTCTGTCTGTGTGTAATCTTTTCACCATGGACATAAGGAACTGAGCCCCTGAAGATGCAGGAATAGCACGAGTGCCTGACCAGCATCTCCAGGTATAGCAGAATCTGCAATTTACCCATATTAGGTTGCCAATGCCCTATATATGGTAAAATAGAGTCAGGCAATTCCAAGATGAAGATCACCAGCTAGGAGCCTTGTACTGCTTTGGGACAATCGGATTCTGATGGGACTATTCTGCTGGAAGACGCAGCACAAGGCCAACCCACATGAGGAGGGGGATGCAGGGCTTCCAAGTGGCAGTGAGCTTTCTCTGGAAAGAGGAAATCTGAAAACAGGGGAGATGTGTCTGTGGGCAGATCTTACAGCAGGAAAAAGAGAGAACTTGACCCCATGGAGAGACAGAGATGTTCTCAATGTCTCACAGATAATGTGGGGAAAAGCCTGACTTCTGCTTAGTGAGATGGCCCAGGAGTGGTCATAAGGCACTAAATACAGGACCAGCCCCTGGGGAGAGGCTCTGACAGCAGAATATGAAAGTGGCTTTATCCTGTGTAAGTGCCTCTGAATTGCAATTCCTTTGTGTTATGCTCAAGCCTGCAGGCAGGTTCTGCTAAACCTCTCAGAACCACAGACTTGGGATGGTGGCAGAAAGAACATCCTCCCTTCTCCCCAAGAGGCACTGACCAAGCAATGAGGGTGCGTCTGGAACTGCAGTGTCCTATAGAGATGAGCAATGAGGGTGCATCATCCAGAACTGCAGTGTCCTATAGAGGCGAGAAATGAGGGTGCTTCCGGAACTGCAGTGTCCTATAGAGCAGAGCAATGAGCGTGAGTCCGGAACTGCAGTGTCCTACAGAAAGGAGCAATGAAGGTGCGTCCGGAACTGCGGTGTCCTATAGAAACAAGCAATGAGGGTGCTTCCGGAACTGCAGTGTCCTACAGAGATGAGCAATGAGGGTGAGTCCGGAACTGCAGTGTCCTATAGAGACGAGCAATGAGGCTGCGTCTGGAACCGCAGTGTCCTATAGAGATGAGCAATGAGGGTGCATCTGGAACTGTAGTGTCCTACAGAGACGAGCAATAAGGGTGCTTCCAGAACTGCAGTGTCCTATAGAGATGAGCAATGAGGGTGCATCTGGAACTGCAGTGTCCTATAGAGATGAGCAATGAGGGTGCTTCCGGAACTGCAGTGTCCTACAGAGAGGAGCAATGAGGGTGCTTTCAGAACTGCAGTGTCCTATAGAGATGAGCATTGAGGGTGCTTCTGGAACTGCAGTGTCCTATAGAGACGAGCAATGAGGGTCCTTCCAGAACTGCAGTGTCCTATAGAGACGAGCATTGAGGGTGTGTCTGGAACTGCAGTGTCCTATAGAGATGAGCAATGAGGGTGCATCCGGAACTGCAGTGTCCTATAGAGATGCCATCACAACACCAGTGAGTGAGAGATGCTCACCCCAGCTGGGAATGAGATAGAGCTACAGCGGGAAAACACCCAGGAACCCTCAGACATACAGGAGGGAAGGACTCTGAAAAAAAAAGGGATAGGGCAGGAAGGAATTCCTCCATCCTCCAGTGGGGCCACAGGAGCTGCAGGGTTTGGATTTTCTTCTTTTCCCTTCGAAGTATGTAATAGTCCAACTCAATTTATTACCTGGCTGATCTCTCCTTTTAAGTCACCTGAAACACAGAAAGCCAAAAAATTCCTCCAGAGCTATCTGATGTGTGCTGTTACCATCTTTAGGTTGAAAAAGGAATAATGAAACCCATATCTTCAGAAACTTAAGTCGTATTTTTCACCCTTTCCATCTCCCTTTACCCTATTTAATAGAGAAATTGAATCTGAGCTGAGATTTTAATTAAAAATCTCATAATAACATACAAAATCCAGAAGATAAGGAAATTGAATTTTAAATATGGATTTTCTTTCTTTTCTCTTCCTTTCCACATTTCCTGTTGTTTGGCATGTACAAAGTTTACTAGAACAAAAGGAGACAGAAAAACTTTTGGCATAAAAATGAACGATGCTGCAGAAGGTTTATTTTGGTGTTGGGAATCTCATTACCTTTAATTCAGCAACCCAGACCCAGTCCAAGGGCTGGGCACCCCCTCCTAAACCTGGGAGTTTGGAGACCCCCAGACCACTCACAGCTTGCTAAATAAATGACAGTCCATGCCAGAAGTTGAATACCTCAGAGGGTCGGGGAGGGTAGGGGTGTGACACGGGGGTTAAATGGACTAAAGTCTTTAATAGAGGGGGAAAGAAAGAGATTCCAGGAAAGAGAAGCTCTTCTGACAAGTAAGAATTTTCCTCCATTCACCTTATATCTGACAGACTAATAGTAACATTGTTTAATTATGGGATATACAACCCCTTTCTTTCATGATAGGGAGTTTAAGACTGCAGTTGCAGAAGAATAAAAATAAATCTCCCATAATCCCAGCACTTTGGGAGGCCAAGGCAGGAAGATTGCTTGGAGCCAGGACTTTGAGACCAGCCTGGGCAATAAATGGAGACCCTCTCTCTCTCAAGAAAATAAATAATAATTAAAAGTGGCCAAGCATGGTAGCATGTGCCTGTAGCTCCAGCTACTTGGGAGGCGAAGGAGAGAGGATCACTTAAGCCCAGGAGTTTGAGGCTGCAGTGAGCTATGATCATGCCACTGTGCTTGTTCCAGCCTTGGTGACAGAGCAAGATACCATATCTTAAAAAAAATTTAAATGTTTAACGTTTATGAATGATGCTTATTACTTTGGTTACACAAAAATTTTTAAAAAGCAAAAATGGCACTGTATTTCAGTTTCATAGAAAATTCCAATATATATATTACCAAATTATTGATGAATAAAAGACTCTTAGTCCCTTATTTTACATACGTAGTTCAATAATTACTTCAGGTATCTGGGACGAGAAGCCTTAGAAGTTGAGAACACTGACCCCCTGTTGACATTTTCTGGTGTTGTCATAAGCCAATTCATGGAGGGTATCATCACAAGATTTTAAAATCTACAGTGGCAATCCCTGATATAAAGAACCATCTGGAATGACAAGGGTAGTATAAAAGAAAAACATTATTCAATAACACTTGTTAAAGCATGGTAAGGTAGACTTTATTCAGGACCATCGCCATTAATATAGGGGCCACCGCAGTGGAATCTTGCAGTGAGGGATCTTGCAGTGGCTCAACTCTGAATACAGCATAAGCAAGTGGGAATTTATAGCAAAGGAACACTGTAGGGGCCAGTGGATAAAAAATTACTAAAAGGAAACATTGGGGTACAGGGATTCTGGCTAAACTGGATTCTTACTGAAGACAGGTCAGAGTTTTCAGGTATCACCTGGGGGATAGAGGAGGAGAAGGAACCTGATCAGATATTGAGGATGATCACATATTAAGGACTGGGGTTGGGGTGGCAGATTCTTGCTAAATTAAACAGGGTTCTCTGTTAAAATTTGATTTTACGAGGAAGTGAACAGATAGGCCTAGAAGATTCAAAAGCCTGACTAATGTTTGGCCAAAGAATCTTTATCAGTAGGTTAGCGTTTCCATGGGGGATTGAGAGGAAACAATGATAAGAAAAGCTGATATTTTAAAGCTTGATATTGTGAATTCAGAAGGACATGTTGGTGTGTGTTTGCTTAAACACAACCTCATTATGAAAATAATTTGAGGAAGTCCTTACACATAACACAGCAAGACAGAGAATAAAAATACATTTTAAAAACTGAGGCAAAGAGAAAATATGCTATAAGAAGAAGACGAAAACAAAATTTTAAAAAGTCATCAAGCAGAAAAGCATGCTGTGAAATTCTACACGATTATTCCAGTTGGGCCACAAACTTACTTCTTAGCAGGATGCCCTAATTTTGGGAAGGCACATAGGCCAGGCTTAAAATTAGCTTTTGGGTTCATTTCCATGCAATGGGTAAAGCTAGATGAAAACTTTATTCATTTGAGGAGCGATCTGTCCCTGGGAGAAAGAGCCACGTATGTTTTTCCTTAAAATTTTTTTTAAACTTTAGTTTTTATTTGATCTGGGAGAGATCCATGAAAAAACTTCTAAGCCAGTTTGATGTATTGTAGATGGAGGATTCATCACTCATTCAACAATGATGTGTTGAGTACCTATTATTTCCCAAGATCTGGGTCAGGTGCTGGTGATAAAGGAACAAATAGCCAAGCTCACTACCCACATCAAGCTAGGGGAGCCAGAGAAGCAAAAGGCTGATGACTCAGCAGGGGTATTTCCCTACAGTCTGGTATGGGTGTGCAGAGTTGGGGCACCCTATAATGTGGAGAGGGGGATGTCTCCCTGCAGTGTGGTGTGAGTGTGCAGAGTTAGGATACCCTATACTGTGGGGAGGGATGGCAGGGAAAGGGCAGTTCCAAAGAGGTAGAAACTGACATTCCTTTGGCCTCTGTGGATTTATTTCATTCACTCATTCTTTATTCATTCATTCAACAACACTAGAGAGTGACAGAGCCACAATTCCCTGAATCTCTCGGTCAACTGACACATCTTGGCACTTCATGCCTTTTTAACTGTCTCACGTCCTCATTCCTACTACACCTGCAATCACAGAGAAGTTGGTAGTCTTACATATTTCCATTCTAACAGTGATTTTTATTATATAATTTTTACTCCTCTAACAAAAGCAATTTTGCATCTGTCCCACTATCTGCTATTGTGGTATTACCATATACCATAAAGGGAAAAATGTCAGATTGGAAACTGTCCTGGTACCTGGGAGAAGAGAATCTTCATTCAGGCCTTCCCTGAGATATTTTTACTTGTGTGACCTTGAGCAAGTCAGCTGGCCAGCCTCTCTGAGCCTCAACATCTCACCTGTCAAATGGGGATTAAACAGTACCTGCCTCACAGAATGAGAATTAAATGAAATAATGGATACAGAATGCTTAGTATCCAGAGAGTGTTTGAGAAATGTGTTTCTTCTTAGGCTAGAAAGAGTCTTGGAGAAATGTTCCCGTAATCAATTCTGTTTCTCAACAAACATTCATTTTCACTGTATGTCAAGCAGAGCAAAGAGAATAAGAAGAAATATATAATCCTGCCTATTGGAGATGTGTCTAAATGTCCACTGGTTCAATTTCACCCGCCTCTGTGCTCATACAATTCCAGGGCCTCATTCCCAACTCCTACGTGAAAATTGTTTCTCATGTAAAAGATATATTTTTTTCCCAAACCAGTCTGCCAGACACATTCATTACCCAGTATAATAGTAAGTCTCCAACTACGGCCCACAGTGATCACCACCTCTTAATAATTTTGCCCTTGTGTAAATCCCCTTCAAAATTAAAGCTGAGCTTGCATTGTGACTCGGTTTGACCATTAGAATGCGGTGGAAGTGATGCTGTCTTACTTCCCATGCTGGGCATTACAATACCCCCAGTTTCCCTCTTATCTCCTAGAATATTCTCTCCTGAAACCCAGCCACTATGCTGTGAGAAGCCCAAGCCACATGCAAGGCCACATGGAAGGGAACCTAGGCCCTCCAATCATCAGCCCCCACTGAGCTCCCGGCTGACAGCCACATGCTCTGCTAAACATGTGAGTTGGCTGTCTTGGATATTCTAGCCTGGTTGAGCCCTCTTGTGATGGCAGCCCCAGCTGGCACCATGAAGAAGGACCATCCTGTTGAGTTCAGTCACACCACGGAATGTAGAGAGATAATGAAATGGTTGTTTTAAGCCTCCTTGTTTTGGGGTGGTTACATCACACTAGATCACTGAAATAACTAGAGTTTGCCATGTTCTTTGTCTCCCACTTGTCCTTGTATAATGCTGGCAAAGACATCCAGAGAAGTCCCATTGACCCTCCTAAGGACTTGAATGTCCATAGCAAGGGTTGGGTGCTGAGGGTCCCAACCCTTCCAATGTTCTGCTTTCTGTGCAGAAGTAGAGGAAATGCTACTGCCTTTGACATTGGGGCTCCATGGTAATTCTGCATCAGCCCAGAGTCTCACAAAGTCAGTCTTATTCAGAGACTGCTTTCAACTATCTCTCCAACAGGACCCAAAATTAGTCCAAGGGGATTGTAGTGGGTGCTGTCTGTGCCCTGCTGAATGCGTTGTGGCACATAAGGCAACTTCCAACTGCCAATATGTGGGCAGATGGATTTTTCTAGGACTTTGGGAGGCTGTTCTTCCCAGTGCTTATTGGGGTTTGGTGCATAAATATCCCAGTTCCCTCTCCCCTAGAGTAAAATAATGCAGAAGCATATGTTCTATATCATTTTCCAGAGCTTGCCTATGAGATTAAGCTCCAGTGCCTGCTATGGTATTTGGCTTTAAAATTCACCCTTTAGTGGCTTACTTCTCTGTGGAAACTCAAAGAAAGTCCTTCATGAAGACAGATGCCATTCTGTTTCTGTCTAAACCTTCTCCACACCTTAGCACACATAAATTGACTTAACTTTAAATAAGCTAATAGATACTTATCTAAAGATACTTACCAACTCAGTAAATTCAGTAACTGAATTCCAATTTCTTCATTTGTATAATGGATGCCTAAAGATATTTACCAGCTCAATAAAGCCTCTGTGTTTTGGGGTGGTTACATAACAATAGATCATTGAAATAACTAGAGTTTATTAACAGCTATTATGCAAGCTATTCTGAGGTTACTTGTAAGCCTCCGTTAAAGCCCCTAACACTCTCTCCACCATGTACCAGGTGTTCAAGGAGAGGACTGTACAGAGATTGAGTACTTACTATAGTACTAATGCATTGTAAGCATTATACATACATTAAGTCATTATCTTTACAACAGCCCTCCCAGGTAGATTTTTTTTTTTTTTTTTTTGAGACAGGGTCTTGCCTTGGCACCCAGGCTGCGGTGCAGTGCCACAATCATGGCTCACTGCAGCCTTGACCTCCCAGGCTCAGGCAATTCTCCCAACTAGCCTCCCAAGTAGCTGGGACTACAGGCACATGCCACTATGCCCAGCTAAATATCGTATTGTTTTTGTAGAGATGGGTTTTTGCCATGTTGACCAGGCTGATCTTGGACACCTGGGCTCAAGTGGGCTGCTTGCTTTGGCCTCCAAAGTGCTGGGATTACAGGTGTAAGCCATTGCACCTGGATTAGGGTAGCTATTGTTATCATCTCCGTTCCATAGATGAAGAAAAGGAGGCTATGAGAGGTGATGTATCACCCCACGGCCACACAGCCAGAGGTACATTTGGGATTTGAACCCAGGTTATATGACTCCAGAGCCCACCCAGGTAAGCACAGTGCCATGCTACTTCTTACCATGGTATAACTATTAGCTATTAAAAGAAATAAATTGACCCTAGGTTTTAAATGCACTTTAGATGCAGTCAAAATATTAAAATTCAAAAGTAAAAGGACAAACCTACTGTTTTGTTAAGTTGATCTATTATTTAGCTATCTAGCTATGTAAACTCATCCCAGAAATGACTTAGATTCTTTTCTGAGTAAGCCCAAAAGCCAAGGATAGAAAGTATGGAATGACAAACCTTGGGTCATTATATAGAAAAGCTTTCTAATGGTCAAAAATGTTCAACAATAAGACAAACTGCTTGAGCAATTTCTGGATCCTTAAGAGCATTCAAGCTGATGTTACAATCACTTCTCCTGATGTTGTGCAGGGGTTTTGTGCATCCAATCGTGGTTAAACTAGGAGACATTTAAGGCCGTTCCCTGAGATTCAACAAATCAAATTAGTTGGTGCTTATTACTTTAGAGTAGGAAAGTGTTTATTGCGTGTTTTCGTGAGACACTACCATCTTTAATGTGGATCTTATTTTTCTGCACATCTTCCTTCCATCCTGCCTTCCTTGCATGATTGTTACAAATAAGAAATGCTGCCTATGATAGGCAAGTGTGGTGGGGCTAGCAGAGGGCCGCTGTTAGGACGCAAGATGGATGCTCAGTTCTATGTATTCACCGCATAGTGCCTGATGCTGTGCTAAACCTTTGATGAATGATACCTTTTTCTTTCTCCCAAGAGCCCCCGAGGTAGGATTCTTATCCCTATGAGGTAAGAGCATTGAGGCCGAGAGAGGTGCCCAAAGTCAGGTTAATGGTGGTGCCACATCTGTCTGATTTCAGAGCCCTTTCTCCTCCCTCTAGGAAGCCTCTCTCCACAGAGAACGGTTAGGCAGCATGAATTGATTGTTATCCACTGCTCACCACGACGCTGCACCTATTCTAAAATAATCTCTCCTGAGTTTTGCTAAGAACAACAGGAGTGACTTAATTGAAAGGAAGGGCATTTTGAGGTTAGAGAAGGTTGTCATTTTGTTCTTTGATTGTCAGCTCCTAAAACATACACACAATTAGTGAACTCACTAAAAGCATTGCTTCTCAGATTTTTTTCCTTGATCCCACTGAAATTGTGATTGTTTTACAATAACTGCTACTGTGACACAAATTACCTTTAGCAAACATCACACATGCTTAATACTTTCACCAGGTGGAGGGGCTGCCTGTAGAACACCCCAGCCAGGGGGAGGTTGCCAGTCACAGCATGGGCTTCAAAAGTGAAGCAAACTCTTTACCTTTGAGCATCAAGTACAGACTTACCCAGGTGAGCTTCTCTTGAAATCAAACTTATGGATGGACATGCAACTTAAAAATATTAGCTGGACAGGTTTTTTAAAGTTTTTTGTTTGTTTGTTTCATTTTTGTGAGGTTGTTTTTGGTTTTGTTTTGTTTTGTTTGTTTGTGTTTTGCCAAAGAGGTCTTTGCTTTGTAAATGATTTTGCTTCATGTTCTTCAAATTGCAGCCCTGCAAAACAGTGCAAAACCTCTAGACTGAGATGTAGCAATACTAGTTGCCAAAGCTAACCTTGTGCAAGTCATTTCACTGATTTGGACCTCATTTCTGAAGGAAAAAGGGGAGGAGGGGAGAAGAGGAAGACAAGTGAAGAAGAGAGAGGAGTAAAGGAAGATGGAGATGAGGATATGATGGGGAGGAAGACGAAAAAGAAAGAGAAGGACAAGGAAGAGGAGAGAAAGAAGTGGAAGGTAAAAGGAAAAAAACATCAAGGGATTGACTATACACCTCAGGCCATCCTGGATCCAGAGGTCTGTGATTCTCTAATAGCATACAAGATTTATTTCCTGTATCTGATTGACACACACAGTTTTAGGTGCCACATCTGTCATTGAACACAGGATCATGCAAATGAGCCACATGGTAATACGGCCATCAACCTCAAAACTTGCTCCCATGTGGACCACAGCAGATCTGTAATATCTGACCTAGAATTGTGGTAGCTAGAAACAGTTGCATCGTATGTAAAACCAATGTAAAAACCTCCCATTGCAAGGGCATCAGGCTTTGCCATGCGCTTTGCTGTGGCCAGTGGGACATAGGTGCAAGTGATGTCAACCACTTCTTTCAGAACCTCCTGTGCCTTAGCACCTGCTCCTTTCCTGTTGCCCAGGAATGACTGTCCCTTCATTCTGGTCCCAGAGCAAAGACGTAAGTAAGAGAGCAGCAGACAGAACAAGGTCTGAACTGACCCAGAAGGGACAGACTTCAGGAGTGAGAAACAAACCTTATTGTTGTAAGCCACTCTGAGTGGGGCTTGTTTGTTTCTACAGACTTATTGTGTTATTCCAGGAACTACTAGTCACAGGGAAACTGAGGGCTAGGGGCAAGTGTGGAGAAATCACACGCTGTAAGAAGTGGCAGGATCCAACACTCCTCCAAACTCACTTCAATTGATGCCCAGCTTAGAGCTTCTGACTCCCACTGAGCTAGTTCCTGCCTGCATATTCTTGCTCTAGGTGTCTCTCTCTCTCTCTCTTTCTCTCTCTCTCCCTCCCTCCCTCCCTCTCTCTCTCTCTCTCTTTCTCTCTCTCTTTTTCTAAATAAGCTTGCCCAGCCTCCCCTTAGTTTCTGATCCTGCCAGCAGGGAGAAGCCAAACCGCACTTTCTCCCAGTGGCTCTGTTCTCAGTTCTAGACCTCTAAAGAATATAGGGGAGAACTTTCAGGTTGAAATGTGAACTCCTCTGTGGCACAAAGGACTTGCCTGAGCGTTGTGCTGAGAGACTCAACTAAATTCCAGGCTGGCTTCCACATACACTAAACCTAAACCGTGTCTTAAAGGTTTTGATTTAAACCTAGGTTTCTTGGCCATGCCAAGTCTTTAACTCAAGAAAATGCAAAGCAGCCAAACCACAAGATGTATGTGGTCCCAAAGCACATTGCCATACCATTTCCAGTATTTTTTCCACTTACCCTCCTTCTACAATCTTCTATTTACCCATAGCCTCAAATCCCTTTTTGGTTTCCCCCCCGGCTTTTTTTTTTTTTCTTTGAGACAGAGTCTCACTCTGTCGCCCATGTTGGAGTGCAGTGGCATGATCTCGGCTCACTGCAACCTCCGCCTCTGGGGTTCAGGTGATTCTCCTGCCTCAGCCTCCTGAGTAGCTGGGATTACAGGCAACTGCCACCACGCCCGGCGAATTTTTGTATTTTTAGTAGAGATGGGGTTTCACCATTTTGGCCAGGCTGGCCTCGAACTCCTGACCTCAGGTGATCCACCCACCTCAGCCTCCAAAGTGCTGGGATTACAGGCATGAGCCACCATACCTGGCTGATTCCCCCTTTTCTACTTCCCATAGCTCCTTTTTGTTCTCCCTTTACAAAGCTCAGCCACCTTTGTCTTAGTTGGAGTTGAGCTCAGTTTATAGTAGTCTGTCTCTCCTACTGCAGTCATTTAAAGAAAACCTGTCTTTCCACCTTCAACAGGTGTCCAGTGTGTTTCTCTTTGACATCAAAGACCCCTGATGGGTACCCCCATCGAGTATCTTCCATTTCTAGGAACTCACACTGGAAGTTTCCATTTCTTCTCTGAAAGTATCTTGTTTCTATCAATATACACCACCACCTGGCATGTGAACTCCTTCATAAACCGGTCCCTCTGCTGGCCTTCCTGACTCATTCCAACTGCCTGCCTTTGCATCTGGCATGTTGTCTGCCTATGGGACCCCTGTAGATGTGCAGCATCTAGCCTAGCCTTGGAATCAAGGGTGTTAACCTGGGGAAGGAAACAACCAAGCTGAGCATTAACACCTGACAAGGAACTAACTGTGGAGTAGGTCAATGCAAGGAGATGCATGTATCCCAGGCAGAAGCAACAGCTGGAGGAAGATCGGGAGGCAAGAAAACAATGCCTGCAAGCAGGAAAATGTTAAGACATTTTAAGAGAGGCCAGGGAGGAAATGAGACTGCAGGGTTGAGCTAGGCCAGAGCCACAGGAGGTCTTTAAGCAGGGAAAAGTCAAATGAGAGGTTTGGAAAGATCAAAGGGCACTGGGGAGGGAAACATTCATCTTATTTACTTCTCACTACCCAGCACTTAGCAGAGTTCTTTTCCAGTTATTCCTTAGCTTATTAGCAAATGTCTGAACACTAACATTTAACCACGGGCTTAGTCCATGCCTCATACTTTGCTAGGTGCTCCATGAACACCTCATTTTATGTTCAAAACGAGCCTAAGGGAGAGGCATTGTACTTATCTTCATTCCACAGAGGAAAAGCTAATGCATAACTTGGTCCCCTAATCTATACGAGGTTGAAGAGTAAGAAAGTAGTAAAGCTGGGGTCAGACTACCTGGGGTCCAGTTTAAAGCACGCACAGTCTCAAACACTGTTAGGAGCCTAGTGTTCTCCACGCTCCCTGATAAAAGTCACCTGGGGGCTTTGTTAAATTTACAGACCAGGAGGTCTCAGCTGGGTTCCCAGCAGTCTGCCACTTTGTACTAGTCTGTTAGTTATTGCAAGAGAATAACAAGACTTGCAAGAATCCAGGTGATTGTTGTTTACAGGGAAGTTTGGAAAACATCGGGTAATAATATTTGTTGAAGTGAACCACCTGGATGAGAAATGACAGCGCAGAAAAGGATTGAGGAGATGTGTGAGTCCTGGCAGAGGGCAAGAGGAGAGCAGAGGGAAATTCGGCCCTCTCTGAGTGTCGATGCAACCTCCCAGACCCCTCCAGGATCTAAGGCAGGCAAGAGCCATCACGCCCAAGTCATCACCGCAAACATCCAGAACCTCAGAAAGATGCAATAAGACCTGGGTACCTCTCAGCAGCAAGGAACCTTCTGAGATCCTTCTCTGGTGTCACACCCCGTGTAAGCTGAGCCAGTTCTGCTGAGGATGCACTCCTAAGTTCTTCCTGGCGCAATCAAGCTCACCACCCACAGCTATTAGGGGTGTTTCTCACATCTGGCCCGACCTTCTCCTTAAGGCAGCCCCATACTTCCCCCAGTGTATCATCCCTGGACATCAAAAAGGACCCTGAGGTTGCTGGGAATTGGCTTACTTCCAACCCAACCTCCATCCCCCACCCCACGTGTGCTAGCAGCCTATCCTGTAGTAACTACCACCTACATAGCAATCATCTGCATCTCCTCACTGAACACATGGCTCTCTGATGGCAGGAGCTGGATCTTCTAGCTTTCTCTTCCCAGCCACTAGTACATTTCATACTAAGCTTTCAATTGGCATGTGCGGCATGAATTCATGCAATGAATGAACGCAACCTACCCAGGTAGATAAAATTAAGTGTATCAAAGACCTAGAGCAGGAGTTGGCAAACTTGTACTGTGAGCAGCCAAATAGCAAATATTTTAGGCTTTGCCAGCCATATGGTCTCTGTCACAACCATTCAATTCTTCTGTTGTAATATGAAAGCAGCTGTAAATGATACACAGATGAATGGGTGTGTCAGGGTTCCAACAATATTTACAAAACAGGCTGTGGGTTGGATCTGGTCCAAGGGCCATAGTTTGCCAACCCACTGGCTTAACAATTGTCTTGTTAATTTGAACAAATTACCAACTTGTATGTTTTTTTGCAGTGTCCATCAGTTATTTTACTGAATTTATCAGATCTATAAGAATTACTGGATAGAGGATTAAATTATCTCTAAAACAGACACAAGGACCATCCACTTCTACCTCTTAATTCAGCTTATGACACTCCTGCCTAAGAGAAAGTTGTATCGCTCTATGCTTAACCAACATTGAGACTTGCGCCTTTCTCGCAGATTCGGCCTTGGTTCACCGTTGCAGCTCTTAGCTTTCCTCTCGACTCAGAAAAAAAACTTAGCCCAAGGCCTCAGCTCCAAGAACCAAATCCCCTTTTCAACTCTAGCCCAGGCCCAGCCTACTCTCCATCACCATCAAAGGGGAGCTCAGGTGAATGTTGTCAAGAGGGGCAGACAGCAAATCTAAAGCACGGGTAGGGTGCCTGACACTGAAGGCACTCTGTTAATTTTCCCTTCTCTCCTTCTTTCTCCCACTCTCAGCGGGAGGAACTTGCCACCTGCTGAGAAGATGGGCTGACTGGAGAGCAGCGGTGGTTGTTAGGCAAGGGCTCTTGGCATCCCTGGGAGAGTGACAAGAAATGTAACAAGCTCCAGATCGCACCTCCTTGTCCAACTGTTCCCACCAGATTGGCTTCTCACTTTGAAAGATTCCCCAGGCAGGTGGCTCAGGACAAAGAGACACCTCTGCGTTTTACTGCAATCAGCTTCGGTCCTCGTCCTGCATTCTCATCTAACACTTGACACTTCACACATTTTTCCTAGAGCCCTTTGACCTATTCCAGTGTTTCCCAGATCCAGACCAGTGCAGATCTGTGATGTTTCCACCAGTCCAAGGCGAAATGAAGGAAATAAAAGTGGCTGAAGAGCCCTTTCCTGTTGCCTTCTCCATTTAGTATATTCAATTCTAATTCTTGTCCTTCCGAGGACTTGTCAGAACCTTTAATTATATATTTATATTAATAGCCGTCTCCCTAGCAGTCTGTATTCTTCATGAAGAAAAGACCATGTTTGTTTTCCATTCTGAATGTCCAGTGTGAAGTGTGATTTTCACAATATATCCCAGCTGGCATGGAATGCCAGGTCCCGATGATGGGGCATCACCATCGTGGTCAGCACGCTGTACCGGTGGGTTCCAGCTGACTGTCAGCCCTGCCCAAAGCCAGGCATTGTGCTTGCTGTATACTAAGTTGCAGCAAAGTAAAGTATTTATTTATATCAAATATCAGCATCTTGGGGATGAATGTGGAAAGTTTTTCATAAAGCTAAGTTTAGTCAATTTAAATAACTTTAAGACAATGTTCTTTCCACTTTCTGATGTGAAAATACTTTTCCTTTTAAAAATGATGGTAGTAAGTTATTCTTTTAATATCCTATTTAGTAGAATAAAATTATTGGCAAACGATGTTGGTCCTAAAATCATTTTGATTCATTAGAAGTTCATCAAATCAAGGATTCAGGGAGCTTCTGCCTGACAATAGCTTTCATTATCATTATTATTAAGCTACAATTCACGTACCATATATTCAAAGAGTTGCACAACCATCACCATTATTTAAATCTGGAACATTTACATCACCCCAGAAGAAACCTGGTACTATTAGCGGTCAGTCCTGATTTCTACCCCAACCCCTTCTCCTGACAACCACTAGTCTGTTTTCTGTCTCTTTAGATTTGTTTATTCTGGATATTTTATATAAATTGAATTATGTACTACGTGACCTTTGTGTCTGGATTCCTTCAATTAGCAATATAAGTTTAAGGATCATTCATGTTGTATCATGTACCAGTACTTTATTCCTTTTTACGGCTGGAAAATATTCCCTTCGTATGGATATATCACATTTGTTTATCAGTTGGGTTGTTTCAACTTTTTGGCTATTATGAATAATATTCTTGTGAACATTTATGCACAAGTTTTTATTAGAAGACCTGTTCTAAATTCTTTTGAATATATACCTAGAAATAGAATTGTTAAGTTATGTGGTAACTGTATACTTAACGATTTGAAGAACTACCAAACTGTTTTCCAAAGGGTGTGCCCCATTTGACATTCCCACTAGCAGTTAGGGAGTTCTAATTTCCCTACATTCTCAATAGTACTTGTTATTCTGCCTATTTAGCCATCCTAGTGGGTGTGGTGTGCTATCGCTGTGGTTTTGATTTACATTTCCCTAGTGGCTGCTGATGTTAAGCATCTTTTCACATGCTTGTTGACCATCTGTATGTTTTCTTTGAAAAAAAAAAGTCTACTTAAATCATTTGCCCATTTTTAAACTGGGCTATTTGTCTTTGAGTTGTTGAGTTGTAAGAGTACTTTATGTATTCTGGATATTAGTCCCTTACCAAATATGTGATTTGCAAATATCTTATTCCTTCCTCTGGTTTATTTTTTAACCTTCTTGATGGTGTCCTTTGCACAAAAGCTTTTATGAAAACTAATTTACTGATTTTTTTCTTTTTTCACTGTGCTTTTGGTACCATATCTAAAAACCATTGCTAATCTAAGATCACAAAGATTTGCACCTATGTCTTCATCTAAAAGCTTTATAGTTTTAGTCTTACATTTTGATCTGTGATTCATATTCAGTCTATAATCCATTTTGAGTTAATTTTTATATACGATGTGAGGTAGGAATTAAAATTTATTATTTTGTATAAAGATATTTAGTTATCCCTGCATCATTCGTTTTTTGAAAAGGCTATCATTTCCCCTATTGAATTATCTTGGTGTTCTTGTCAAAAATTAATTGACCATAGATATGTAGGCTTATTGACATACTCTCAATTCTATCCCATTGATCTGTGTCTATCCTCATGCTAGGAAGGACCACACAGTATTAACTACTATAGATTCATGGTAAGTTTTAAAGTCAGAAAGTGTAAGTCCTTCAACTTTGTTTCTTTTCAAGATTGTTTTGGCTATTCTGGGAACATTGCATATCTTTGTGAATTTTAGGGTCAGCTCATCAATTTCTGAGATAATGATTTAGGCCATGATCTGTAGCAGTGTGTGAGGTAGCCTGACCAGAAGCCTGAGCTTGTCCCAATGCCAGCTCATCTCTGGGAAAAATACAGGCAGGCTGGGGAAGCCTTAGCGAATGGAACCCCACATGGATAACATGGGGCTCCTAGTCTTGAATTCCACTTTTTACAGAGCTTCTGATCCTTACATTTCCAGGGTTTTTACCTTTCCTGTGTCTTTGACCAAGGGAAAAATACCAGTGATTGTTAAAGAACTTTGCTACCATGGATGCCCAGAGCACACCGTGGTTGCCTATCATGGTTCTCATTGTGCTATTATCATTGGTTAGTCTTTTTCTCTTTTGGGAAACATGGCAGAGATAGAAACAAAGCCCTTTGTGGTGGTCATGACTCTTCTTCCCAAACTATGTTCTTCTCTGGGCTCTGGTAAATAGAAGTCACTCTGAACATATGGTTGCATCCTCCCAAGGTCCCTGGATGCTTGTCTTCCTTCCAGGAGAATGCAAGACAGTTATGGAGAGGCTGGGGGTAGGGATGGGGGGATCACAAATTCACAGAACATCAGCATTCAAAGATATCCTAAAAACTGGCCAGCTTGGTATTATAAATTGGGACAACTTAGACAGCCATTAACAATCTCTAATAAAGCATATGCATAAGCAATTCCTAGACATCCACTTGTTAGTATACTTTCTGGAAAAATGCTCCAATATAGACATAGAAGACACACACACAGAAGTTTATGGCTACAGGTTTTGTGAGAACACACACATGAGAAGCTCCCTAACTGTTCTTCTATAAGGAAATATATCAGTGCCTTGTGGTCTTGTAGTGCAATGGAATAGTACACAGAAGATAAAACAAATGCACTGATATGCAAGTCAAGGCACAGGTATATTGATGATGTACTGTTGAGAGAAAAATAGCAGGTTACAGAAAAACACAAAAGAGGCTGTGCTGCTCACTTAGTTAGCTCAGCCTGCCCTAACAAAATACCATAGACTGGGTGACTTACATGGTAGAGATTTACTTTTTTCATGATTCAGGAAGCTGGAAGTGTGAGTTCAGGGTGCCAACATGGTCAGGTTCTGGTGAGGGCTGCCTTCCAGGCTTGCAGACAGCTGCCTTCTCACTGTGGGCTTACTTGGTCTTTCCTCAGTGTGTGTACACAGAGAGAGAGAGAGATATCAAAGTCTCTGGTGTCTCTTCTTATCAAGGCACTGATCCCATTCATGAGGTTTCCACCCTCATGACCCAATCACCTCACAAAGGCCCCACCTCCTAATGCCATCACGTTGGGAATTTGGGCTTCAACACATGAATTTGGAGGGAAAACATGAAATCCATAACAATTGCCGATTCTTGCCCCCCCACTAGGCAGAATGGAACCATGTGGGACTAAGGCACAGAGAAGGTCATTAGCTTACCTATGGCCCCCAGCCAGCCTTCTCAGCCCAGCCCAGTGCCTTCTCTGCCATGCCATGTTGGTCTTCGCAGCCACATCCATTCCTGTCTGCCTCCATGATTACACTTATAAGAATCTGTGCTATTATCATTACTTTCTTCCATATGCCACCCTCTACTCTCCCCACCCCAATTCTACTTGCCTTGGATTCCACCAGGACTTCTTTTACTCTTCACCTCCTCTCCTATCCTCAGCAAGGAGACTTTCTTTGTCCTTGGATTGCCTTTGAGTCCTTGTGTCTTCTCCCAAGAGCTGTTTGCCCACATGTATTTATTTAGTCCACCAATGTGTGTTGAACACCTACTACATGCCAGATCCTCTGCCAGCTCTGGGCATTCATAAATAAGATGTGGTCTCAGCTCTAACAGTGTTTGAGGTTTAGTGGCAAATAGATGTAAAACCCTTCCTATATGCCAGACATTGCTATAAGTGCTTTCCAGAAGCAAATTCAATTAATACATTATCAGTCTCATTTTATAGATAAAGCAACCAAGGCAAAGAAGTTTAGGTAAGCTCCTCGAGGTCACACAGCTACAAGTGGTACAGCCAAGATTTGAACACATGGAAGGTAGTGCCAGGGTCTAGCCATGAAGAAAATCGTCATGTAAGCAAACAAAGAAAGATCAGTGCGATGAAGACTGTGAGACCCACAGCTCAGCAGACTATGGGAACCCAAAGAGGAAGAATGTTCAGGGAAGACTGCCTGGAGGAAGGGACCTTTGAGCTGAGTCATGAGGATGGTTAGAACTTAGCCAGGTGAATTAGACACGTGTTTTCCAGACAAAAGAAAAACCACATGAAAATGTCACGGGATCCCTGAGGTGTTGCTCTTCCAGCTGGAAGCTTCTGTGGCCAGTGGTGCCTTTGCCCAAGTTTTGCTCAGGCCTGTTGGGCTTGAGCCTGGCAGGCCCTGCTCAGCTTGTGCTACCACCCCAGATTCCACACATGCCAAGGACACAGAGTGGCAAGGGATGCATGAGCAAGCGAATGCAGGGTCCAGCTACTGTGCACAGCCAGGTATACTGGCTGCTGTGGTGTGGCGGGCAGCTCCAGGCACCAACACAGGAGCTGGCTCCATGCAAGGCTGTGGCTGGACCAGGTTTACCAAAAATGGCTTATACTTCAGGCTCCAGGGAATTTGGTGGCACCCAAAAGCTTGAAGACATCAGGAACTGCAGAGCCCCAAAGCAGGTGTCACAGCTCTGGCTTGGGGAGACCCTAGGTCTAGGTTCCCAAAAGGACCACAGCTCTTCTCTCCTTCTTGTTGCCTGCAACGTGGTGAGTAGGGAGGCATGTTTCAGCCCTATTTGTGTTATAGCTCTTTCAGTCCTGCCATTTGGCAGGTCCTAATTTTTTTTTTTTTTTTTTTTTTTTTTTTTTTTTTTTTGAGACGGAGTCTTGCTCTGTCGCCCAGGCTGGAGTGCAGTGGCAGGATCTCGGCTCACTGCAAGCTCCGCCTCCCGGGTTCACGCCATTCTCCTGCCTCAGCCTCCCAAGTAGCTGGGACTACAGGCGCCCGCCACTACGCCCGACTAATTTTTTGTATTTTTAGTAGAGATGGGGTTTCACCGTTTTAGCCGGGATGGTCTCGATCTCCTGACCTCGTGATCCGCCCGCCTCGGCCTCCCAAAGTGCTGGGATTACAGGCGTGAGCCTCCGCGCCCGGCCCAGGTCCTAATTTCTTGTCCCACATCCAGGAAGAATGAGGTACATGGACAATTGGAGGGTGGGCAAGGTGCAGAGATGCTTTATTGAGTGATGGAACAGCTCTCAGGAGACCTGAAGTGGGTAGCTCTTTTCCACAGGCAGGTCATCCAGTGGAGCCTGCAGCCCTCGACAGAGAGGAGACCTGGAGTAGGTAGCTTCTATCCACAGGCAGGTCATCCTGACTTCTCTGTAGCCCTCAGCAGAGAGGAGACCTGGAGTGGGTAGCTCCTACCTGCTGGCAGGTCATCCTGATGAGTGTACAGCTCTCAGCAGGGGGCAACCCACCATGGGTAGCTCCTCTCCACAGGTTGTCCTGTCATCTATCCAAAGCTGGCTGAGTCCAGGGCTTTTGTGGGCTTCAGAAGGGAGGACGTGCATGTTGATTGGTCCATGAGCAGCCATAGGCAGGCAGGAAAATAGCACCATCAGTTCCCACTCCAGTCGCGGAACTGACAACCCAGCCCCCAGGCTTCAGGCCATCCCTGGCTTGAAAGTGGGGCTTCACTGGGGACCCACTCCTTTCTGCCCAGAAGCCCGTCTGCCTCCTGCCACCATCAACCTGCTGCCCATGGAGCCCAGGCTGTTCGTACAGAGAGGCACCTGCAGGCCTGCACTGAACTGCCCTCAGCCCCACTCAGCCTCCCTCCCATGCTCATCAGTGCCAAAGTCCAGAGGGGGCTGAGACAGCAGGGGGCAGGCATGTCAGCACTGCCCTGAGCACACACACACCCAACTGGGTCATGACAGTGCCTGGGCTTGGCCTCAACTTTGCTCCAAAATTAGAACAGGCACCAGAGCGGAGAGAGGCCAGGCGGTGATAGCAGGCACTTACAAGCTTGCTGGGGGAGGTGGGGTTCCTGGGCCCCTGAGAGCACAGGGATGCCTGGGTCTGCAGCTGCAGCTAGGAGCATGCAGCTGCACCTGGTAGGGTAGGGCTCTTGACCCTTCAACTTGGAAGAGGGTGTGGCTCTCACCTGTTCCAGGCTTCCACCAGCTCCATGGAGTGTGCAGCCCTGGCCATGCAGGAACTGGAGTTCCTGCTGCAACTGGAGTCTTCATGGAGGCCACTCCAGACAGGCTGCCACCACCATCACAAAGAACCAGAGCGCCAAGGAGTAAGCATGTCGGCATCCTGTGAGATGTTTGGTAAGGCAAGACCAGAAGGATTGAGAGAAGAAACTGGTGGAGGGCAGGCAGAAACCCAACATGCCGTTGGTCCATTTCATATCCTTGCCCTTTCTTTTTAAGGCAACATAATGTAGCTTAATGGCTAAGTGCCCAGGTTTTGAATCCAGAGATTGCTTGGGTTCAGATCTCAGCTCTAAAGCTTCTTAGCTGTATGAATTTGGAGCTCATCATGTCTCATTTCCTCATCTGTAAAATGAGAATAATGTTGTGCCTGCCTCACAGGATTGAGGTAAGAATTTAATAAGTTTATTCACATAAGTTAATGCACTGTCTTACAGCAGTGTTTTGGACCTGGTACGTGTTCTTTATCGTCATCCTCATCATCTTTATTTGTTCATTTATTTTTGGAGCACACTTATTGTGTTACAGGATCATGCAATTGGAGGATGGAGCTCTGGGGGTAAGTCTTTAAGCTCATGCTTTCAGCTATTCTTGCCAGAAAGTGAACTCAAGGCTAGTGAGGGGGGATATGCTTCCAGCTTGTCACTTGGAGTAATGCGAAATGTCCCTACATGTCCCTTCCTGATGACAGCAGGCAAGGCCACTACTGAAAGACAAGGACTTCTATTAACAAGAAGCACAAAGGAGCTCAGCATATTAACATTTGACTTTGCAGAAGGAAAGACAAGGGCATTGAGTGGGTCTCAGAAGCAGATACGACCTCAGAGGACCCTAGTGGGATCACAGCCAGTAGAGAGATGCTCTCCAGGGGCCTCTGGCAGCAGGCGACCCTGAAGCCCACAGAAAAGACCCCAATGGTAATGATCACAACATTATTATTATTACTGTTTTTGACACTTCAGTCCTAACTTACATACCTAGGATGTTTTACATTCAATTAGCACTTATGTCTATTAGTTTATTTGAACATCACCATACCCGTGCAATTGAGCCGAAGCTGGTCTTATTTTTCCTATTTTACTGATTTGTAAATAGAGGGCCAGTTAAGTGAGGTGCTTAGTGGCAAACCTGGAATCCTAATCAAGACTCTCCACCTCTCAGGTCAAAGACTATTTTACTATAAATATATCCGTCCTCCTCACTGATTGTTCCTGAAGAACCAGGCTAGTTTGGGGCCAACTTAAAGAGGAGAATTCACCATCCATGCCATTGACATGAGCTGGCAGTGGCATGGCTGCTGCAGCCTGAGCACTCTCTCCTTGAGATGCTGTAGGGAACAAGAAGTCCTACACACCACCCACAGGAGGCTGCACTAGGTCAAGGGTTCCCAGACTTTGGAATCTGATGGATCAGTACAGTTTCAAAGAATATTCGTAAGGTTCCCAATTTTGTGTTTTGTAAAGTAAGAACACACACAAAAAAACAAATACTAAGAAAAACTCGACCATATAATATCCCAAAGAAAGAATATGTCAGCATTTCCTCCAAATGCCCCATAAAGGAGAAATAATTCAATGTGAGATAAAGGATATTCCCTGCAAGATAGCAAAGTGAGGACCTTACACTGACACACATCCCATTCAGGGCTGCTGTGTATGTTTGTACAGGTTGTGCAGTGCACAACTCCAGTGTTGGGGGTGCCATTCACTAGAATTGTCCCTATTTTGCCTTTTTTTTCTCATTTTCCCATAGACCAGCAGAAACTCTTTTTTTTTTTTTTTTTTTTTTTTGAGAGATGGAGTCTCAATCTGTCGCCCAGGCGGGAGTGCAGTGGTGTGATCTCATCACTGCAACCTCCGCCTCCTGGGTTCAAGCAATTCTCATGCCTCAGCCTCCTGAGTAGTTGGGACTACAGGTGCATGCTGCCATGCCTGGCTAATTTCTTTCGTATCTTAGTAGAGACGGGGTTTCACCGTGTTGCCCAGGCTGGTCTCAAACTCCTGAGCTCTGGCAATCCGCCCAACTTGGCCTCCCAAAGTGCTAGGATTACAGGTGTGAGCCACCAAGCCCAGCCTGGAAATTCTTTTTAAGAGGTAAACTGGCAGGTTGGAATACCTTCTATGATGTCAATTCTGTAATCTGCTGTGCTCCAAGGGAATATAGAAACCATCTGGTCCAGAAACTTCAAGGTGTGCTTCAAGAATCACAAGGGAATCTACCAGGTCTTTTCAAGGGCCACTTACTCTAAGCAGAGCACTAGTCCTTTTTGTCCGATAGCCTTACGTGCAAGCATTTGTTGAAGAAAGCATTTTGCAATAACACATTATTATTAACTAAAGTCCACATTTCACTTGATTTCCTTAGTTTTTACTTAATAACCTTTTTATCTTCCAGCATCCCCTCCACATCCTACCCCAGCCACATTTTAGTTGTCATGTCTCTTTATGCTCCTCTTGGCAGGACAGCTTCTTAGACTTTCCCTGTTTGCAATGACCATGACAGTTTTGAAGAGTACTGGTCAGGCATTTTGTCCTTCAACTGGGATTTGTCTGATATTTTCCTCAGGATTAGGCTGGTATTACGGGTTTTGAGGAAGAAGACTACAGAGGTAAACTGCCGTTTTCATCATATGTCAGGGGTATATACTATCAACATGACATCACTGTTAATGTTGACCTTGATCACCTTGCTAAGGTAGTATTTGCCAGCTTTTTCCACTCTGGTCACTCTTTTTCTACACTTTCTTATTATGCTGTTTGAAAGAAAGTCACTATGTATAGTCTACACTTCAGAAGTGGGGTGTTATGCTCCACTTCCTTGAGGGCGGAATATCAATATAAATTACTTAGAATTCTCCTGCACTGAAGGTTTTTCTATTCTCCCCCCATTTATTTATTTAATCATTTATTTTTATCAGTATGGACTCATGAATATTTACTTTATACTTTGGGTTATAATCCAGTAGTTTCTTCCTCCCTCCCTCTCTCTTTTCCTCCCTTCCTTCCTCCCCTCCTTCCTTTGCTTAAATTCTTCCAGCTTTGGTCACTGGGAGCTCTTTCAGTGGGTTCCTGTGTCCCTTTGATAGATCCTCATCATTATGAACTCTTTTTTAAGACTTTCTTGCTTTTTGTCATTACAAAGTTTATTTCGTATATTCACTGCCCAGTTGTGAATCAGCTGTTTCTCCAAGGAGCTCTGATTCCTTTTATTGGAGAATGGTATTAGCAACCAAGATCTGGGCACTAGGTATGCTGTTGCTACCAGAGTGTTATTGCTTCTAGATCCTCTCAACTGACAAAAGAAGGAATATATGTGTATACACATGGATATACATATATATGTATATATAATATATATGTATATGTGTAGGTATACTGACCAATCTATATATACATATCCATAAATATTTCTAATATAACCACCTGTATCTATATTAAACTAAACGTGAGTTCATACGGATGTCTCCAACTCTAATTCATCACTGCATCATTCTAGCATTCCGCTCTATTAATCTGTAACCTCCCACATCAACAGTGAGAAACTTGACTCCCTCTGCTCACCAGTCATTTACTTAATTGTTACATTCCAGTATTCATGATGGTGGTATCAGAATTGTTGACCTGTAACCTCATAGGAAGCAACTTTATCAACTAGAATACAATGTTTATGTGTAGTTTTTTTGCCTTTGGTCTTAACAGATTCCACTCATTTTTAAAACATATTAGGTCACTAACTTTTTTCCCTGTCTCCTTCAGTGAGGTTGTCTCATATATTTGTGATACAGTTAGACTGTTTTGACACAGTCTTCATTCCATCCTGTCATCTACTGACCTCCTGTTACTTGCATATATTAACATTCACTTTTTGTGTGTTAAGTTCTACGCGTTTTGACAAATGCATAGTATCATGTATTCATCATTAACATATCATACAGAATAGTTCCACTACCCTAAAAAAAACTGTCTGCTTTACCTATGCAACTCTCGCTTTTCCCTACCTTCCAAAACCTCAGGCAATCACTGATTCTTTAGCCTTCTCTGTAGATTTTCCTTTCCCAGAATGTCATGTAATTGGAATCATAGAGTATATAGCCTTTCGAGCTGGCTTCATTCACAATATACATTTAAGCTTCCTCCATGTCGTTCATGCCTTGATGGTCTATTTCTTTTTATTACTAAATAATATTCCATTGTATGGCTGTATCACAGTTTGCTTATTCATTAACAAATGTTCTATTGAAGAACAAGTCGACTGTTTCTAGCTTTTGTCAATCATGAATAAAGCTGCTACAAACTTTCATGTGGAGGTTTTTAATGTGGACATATGTTTCCAGATCAATTGGGTTATTTACCTAGGAGCACGATTGCTAGATCAAACGATAAGACTGGTCTTCACTTTGTAAGAAACTGCCACAGTGGCTGTATCATTTTATATTCTCACTGGCAATGAATGAGCCTTCTTGGTGCTCCACACATTTGCCAGCAATTGGTATTGCCAGAGTTTTTGGATTTTAAATAGATGTGTAGAGCTCTCCATTGTTTGAATGTGTAATTCTCCAATGGCCGAAGATGTTAAGCATCTTTTCATATGCTTCATTGCCATTTGTGTATCTTTTTTGATGAGGTGTATGTTTAGATCTTTTGCTTACTTTTTATTGTGGCAAAATATATGTAACATAAAATTACAATTTTAATCATTTTAAGTGTACAGTTCACTAGCATTAAGTACATTCATAAAATTATGCAACCATCACCAACATCCATCTCTAGTACTTTTTTTAATCTTCTAAAACTAAAATTCTATACTCATTTCACAATAACTCCCCATGCTTTCCTCACCATAGCATCTAGTAACCGTGATTCTTCTTTCTCTATGAATTTGACTACTCTATGAACTTCATATAAGTGGAATAATAAAATAATCTGTCACTCTGTGTCTGGCTTATTTCACTTAGCATATTGTCTTCAAAGTTCATGTTGTAGCACATGTCAGAATTTTCTTCGTTTTAAAGGCTTAATAATATTTAGTTATATGCATAGAGCACATTTTGCTTATTCACTCATTGTTCATGAACACTTGGGTTGCTTCTACATATTGGCTGTTGCAAATAATGCTACTATGAACCTAGGTATACGAATACCTCTTTGAGTGCCTGCTTTTAAATATTTTGAGTATATACCTAGAAGTGGAATTGCTGGATGATATGGTAATTCTAAATTTAATATTTTCAAGGAAGCATCATCCTGATTTCCATAGTGGCTGTAGCATTTTATATTCTCACCAATAGTATACAAGCTTTTTAATTTCTTCACATCCTTGCCAACACTTGTTATTTTCTGGTTTTATGGTTAGTAACCATCCTAATGGATGTGAGATAGTATCTCATTGTGGTTTTGATTTGGGTTTTTCTAATGATTAGTGATGCTGAGCATCTTTTCTTGTGCTTGTTCGCCAATTATATACTTTCTTTGAAGAAATGTCTGTTTAAGTTCTTTACTTATGTTTTAGCTGGGTTGGTTGGTTGTTGTTGAATTGATTGCATATTTTTTAAAAGTGAGTTGTTTTTATAATGGTGGCTTATAGGGTTCTTTGTATGTTTTGTATATAAGTCATTTATTAGATAGTGTTTTGTAAGTATTTTCTCCCATTCTGTGACTTGGCTTTGGAATCTCTTAACAATAACTAACACAGAGCAGAATTATTTAATTTTAATAAAGTCCACTTATCAATTTATGTTCATGTATGTTTCTTTTTGTATTGTATCTAAGAACTCATCAGCAAACCCAAAGAAATGTAGATTTTCTCCAATGTTTTCTTCTAGAAATTTTCGTTTTGCATTTATACTTCATTTTATTCTCCATTTTGAGTTTATTTTAGTGAAAGGTGTAACATATGTCTAGGCTTATTTTTTATTTACTTGATATGAATACTCAATTTTTCCAGCACCATTGTTTGAAAAGACCATCTTCTCTTCACTGAATTGCCTCTGCTCCTTTGTTGAAGATCAGTTGACTATATTTGTGTGGTGCATTTCTGGACTCTATTCCTCTCTGTTGACTGATGTATCTATTCTTTCACCATTACCATGTTGTTTGATTACTGTCATGCTATAGTATGTCTTGAAATTGGATTTTATTTGTTCTCCAACATTTTTTTCTTCTTTGTTATTTTGTTGACTATACTTGGTCATTGGCTTTCCATATATACTTTAGAATCATTTTGTTGGTGTCTACAAAATACCTTGCTGGGATTTTGATTAGATATGAATTTATAGAACAAGTTGGGAAGAATTGACAACTTAACAATGTTGAATATTCCAATCTGGAAACACAAAATATCTCTCCATTTATATAGATATTTTTATTTCTTTCGTAAATGTTTTGTCATTTTCCACACAGAGGTCTGGTACATATTTTGTTAGATTTATACCTAAATATTTTAGTTTTGGGATGCTACTACAAATCATATTAATTTTTAAATTTCAAAGTTCAATTGTTCACTATTGGTATATAAAAAAGCAGTGGACTTCTTGTGTTAATCTGTTTTCCAACAACTTTGCTATAATCACTTACGTTTTGGAAACTTTGGCCATCCTTTAGGATTTTTTTACATACACAAACATGTTGTCTATGAATGAAAACAGTTTTATTTCTTCCCAATCTGCATATATTTTTATTTCTTTTCTTTTTTCTTTGTTTTTCATTTCTTTGTTTGTTTTTCTTTGTCTTATTGCACTAGCTAGGATTTTTTGGTGTGATGTTGAGTAGAAGTGGTGAGAGAGGACATCTTTGCCTGGTTACTGAGCTTAGGAGAAAACATCATTTCACTTCATTAAATATGATGTTAGTTGTAGGTGTTTTTGTGTTTCTTATTAAGTTGAAAAAATTTCCCTTTATTTCCAGTTTGCTGAGAGTATTATCATGAATGTGTACTGTCAAAAGCTTTTTCTGCATCAATTGATATGATCATATTTTTCTTCTTTTATTTATTGATATAGTGATTTTGACTATTTTCAAATGTAGAGCCAGCTTTGTATATCTGGAATAAATATCACTTGGTCATGGTGTATGATTCTGTTTATCCATTGTTGCATTTTATTTGCTAATATTTTGTTGAGAATTTTGGCATCTATGTTCATGAGAAATGTTATTCTGTACTTCCCTTTTGTCGTACTTTCTTATTCTAGTTTGGGTATTAGGGCAATACCAACCTTATAGAATGAATTAGAAAGTTTCTTTCTGCTTCTATTTTCTAGAAAATATTGTGGATAATTGGTATCATTTTTTCCTTAAACATTTATAGAAGTCACTGGTGAAATCATCCAACCCTGGTGCTTTCTTTTCTGAAAGTGTATTAATTATTGACCCAAATTATCTAATAGATAAATATAGGCCTAGTCAGACTATCTATTTCTCTTTTGGTAGCTTATGTCTTTTCAAGAAATTGGTCTATTTCATCTAAATCATCAAAAAAAGATGCATAATATTTGTTATCCTTTAACATCAGATTACTAGTGATGACTTTTCTTTCTTTCTGATATTGGTGATTTGTGTCTTCTCTCTTTTTTAAAAAACTTGGTTAACCTGGAGAGAGGTTTATCAATTTTATTGATATTTTCA
Organism: Homo sapiens; assembly: GCF_000001405.40. Taxonomy (NCBI): domain Eukaryota; kingdom Metazoa; phylum Chordata; class Mammalia; order Primates; family Hominidae; genus Homo; species Homo sapiens. The sequence goes on from NC_000008.11 coordinate 135,412,959, forward strand.
AATAACCAGCATTTTTTCTATTGTTTTCCTGCTTTCAATTTTATTGATTTTTGTTCTAATTTTTATTATTTATTTCCTTCTGCTTTAAGCTTAAATTGCTCTTCTTTCTCTAGTTTCTTATGGTGGAGACTTAGAATTTTTTAATCTTAAATCTCTTTTATTTTCTAATATATGCATATAATGCTATAAATTTCTCTTGCAGCACTGCTTTTACTGCACCAATTTCTGATAAGTTGTATTTTCATTTTTATTTAGTTCAACATATTCCTTTAAAATTTTTCTTCAGATTAGGAGAGCTCTCAAGGTGAGGGCATTCTAGGTTATGGGCACAGCCTGGTAAGGAGAAGTGAGAGAATGTGCCATGTTTATAAAACACAGATTTATTTCATATGACAACAATAAAATATGGGAGTGGTGCCCAACAAGGAGAAAGACTTAAGAAGTGAGAGGACAGATCATGACCACCCTCATGTGTCATGATATAAAGTTCAGACTTTATCTCAGAAGTAATGGAGAACCAAACATTCTACTTATTAGTTTTCAATGTAGATACTACACTTCTATCAGAACTCTATGTTGTTAGGTATAAGATTTATCACCCAGCATCTAATCAGTGTAGCTTATGAAGGACAATGGTCACAGTATCCTCATGTCAGGGAAATGTGGAATGCTAGTCCCTCATATACTACAGAAGCCTAAGCAAAGGAAACAGGATATGTTCCTCCTCCCCTAGGCTATACCAGGTTGTGCAGCTATACACACACAGTCTACTCCAGAATTTCCCCTTGCATAATGTGCATCAGCATTTTTTACATCTGTCTTCCCTCACTGAGAGTTTGGATGAGAGTGCAGTGGGTCCTGACTTTTCTTCTTTAGCATTTCCAATGACAAAGCAAAATTCTAATTGCCTGTATTAAATCCCTTCCTGCTCAGAATACCTGGAGGGATTTATCTTTTCCTGAAACACATATGGTTTCAGCATTTGATACAGCATTTGGCTCCAAGAAACAGGACATCTGATGTGGGTTAGATTTGAAGGCGGTAATGGCCCCATCTCCAGTGGAAAATCAAATGTTGGGAGTGCTTGGCTAATATTGGCTGTTTGACAAAGCATTATGAAAACAAATTGTGATCAGGGGACCATTAGCTGGTTTATAAGCAAAAATAAAAGGGATAGAATCCAGAAATATGGGACCTTGAAGGATCAGAAAACCTGACGGATTCTAAACAGGAATCAAATGGCAGAAAATATGATTGAGAAAATCTTTGATCTACATAGGCAAACAAGCAAACAAACCAAACTTTGCAAGAAAGATCAGATTAAGAATGTGGCCTGTTCATATAACTCTGATAGTCTCAGTGAACTATGAAGTTGAGAGAGAAAGGCATGGGGAGGAGGAAGGGGAGGAGGAAGCAAAGAAATAAGGTAGGCTTGAAAAATACATCCAGGAAAGATCTTTGGATGTGGTGATTGGCACTTGGAACTGATTGGAAGCAAAAAGTTTAGAAGTTGACGAAGATTTTGGGAGGATTGTATTATCAAAGAAAACACGTCTAGACAAAAAAAATCCTTAACAATGTGATAATTTAACAACCATTAAAACAAGCCATTGAACCTCCAACCTTCCATAAGCAAAGATTATGGAAGCTCCAAAAATTATACAGCCCCCAAAAAGAGCTTCTTCTCAACAGCTACTTCAAATGTGCTCCCGGAAGATAGGAAGCAAGGAAAAAGCTCCCAGAGAGTTAAGTCAGGGCCATTGAGGAAAACGAACATGGTAGTTCTACTGAAGGAGCAGCATAAAAGTCTAGGGAATTCACCCTCTGCTAGGGCAAGAAAGCTTCACAATGTCTGCACTGCACTCAGGATTTCCACCTTGCTATGGTCCAGCAACTGTTGTATGCCTTCTTTTCTCTCCTTTTATGAATGGGAGACATCACTGTGTAATTTCTATCTCTGTGGCACCATTGGACATGAAGAGAAAGAAATAATTAGTAATTTTAGTTTATAAGTCCCCAGATCTTTAAATCTTCTGTGTGGTCTTCCATGCCACCTGTCTCTTTCCTACCTGCAGGCTGGAAGTTAACACCCAGGATGACCTTGAGAATCTTGCACTGCATGTGGCAGTACCCACTAACCTGGGTCCCTGAATGACCATGTGGAACAAAGCCTTCTGCTGATCCACATTATATGGTGATATGAGAGAGAAATAAATATTTATTGTTTTAGGATATAAAAATTGTGAAGTTGTTTCTTACAGCAACTGGGGTTAATTACCCTGACTAATAAACACATTGAGCAACTATCTAAAGCCATGCAACAACTCAGAAAAAAATAAGCCCTGAGCCCCGGTCTCTTGATCCTAGTCCACTAAGTTTTCTACCCTTGGACTATGTTTTGTGCTGAATCTAAAATGACAGGGAACTCACTCCCTCGAGGCCCATCTTTATTCACTAGAATAATGGCATGGTCCTGTTGTTTTTCAGCTGACCAATCTTGTCCAGGTTAGTGAGCATGATGGAGGCATGGTCTGCTGACCCAATTTCTTTCCCTCTCCTGTGTTGAAAGATTTTATGAAGGACTGTAACTACACAATCACCTTCCTCCTTTATGAGCTTAGACAACATTTCCCCCTTTTTTATTACATTTACTGTCCTTGCTTGCCAAGGCACTTTTATGACTGTGGGAGCGATTGCCTCACTCTTGAGAAACTCGGGAATATCCCTCAGTGCTTCATATACCTTGTCACAATATTTTTAACAGCAATTCTTCTTGTGTTTCTCTGTGAGAACCTCTCGCCAGCATCTCCCCTGATGACACTGTGAGGGGCTAGAGGGCTCTGGCAGCCAGCATTGCCATTCTTGCAGCAGCAGCAGCAGCAATAGCTATTTCCCAGGGCTACGTCCACACCCAGCCTCTCTGCTGTCTTAAACTTGCCACCCATGGTCTCCTCCTGAATGTAAAGCCTTGTGGTTGGAGTTTGGGGCTTTCTTTGCATAGGAAGGGAAAAGAAATGCATCATCCTGAAATAAAATATGAGGTTCAGAGGAGCAAGAGCAAATGCACATCCTTATATGGAGGTTACTAGCAGCCATTATATTAACAGCAAGCATTTGTTTACAAAGTACTTTCATATGTAATCAATTTCTACCTGGTACAACAGTCTGGGGATGGGGACATTATAATTTGGTGCGTGATCTTCAAGATTCAGACCTTATTGGTCACCCGGGGAAGGCTCTGCCACCTCCACCATCATCCCCACTTTATTTAGATGCCTTTGTCTTGCCTGTGTTCTCCCATAATACCCAATGCTTATCTCTCTTACAATATGTATCTGTTTTGAGAACAAAGAAGCCATTCATCTCTAAATCTCAAACACCCTAACCAGTGTCCGACACATAGAGAGCAATCAATATTCATTAATCCAACATCAATTGAGCACCTACTATATGCCAGGTTCTGAATTAGGCATGGATGACACATGGTGAATAACACACACAAAGCACCTGATCTCAGGGAGGTTTAATTCATGGGGGAAGACATACAAGAAAGGTGTTTAAAAAAGTAAACAAGAAGGAGCATGTCTAGGAGTGACAACTGTCATGGAGACAATATGGCGGTAATGGTCAATGGTGAATGGGCAAGGAGGGGAAACTTGGTGGCTAAGGAGCCTCTTTAAGGGAAGATGTGTGAACTGAAAACTGAATGAAGGGAAAGAGGGAGCAGGAAAGATGTGAGTAAAGAAGAGTTCAGACAAAGGGAACAGCCAAAGTCCTTGCTGCATGAGAGGAATAGCACGGACAATGTTGCCAGGTTGGAATGAGCCTCAGTAGATGAAGCTAGACAGGCAGCTGGGGACCAGGCCATGCCAGGAGCCATGAGCCATCATTCTGAGAACAAAAGGAAGCCATTGCAGGGTTCAAGCAGGGGAGCATCATGATTTGGCTCGTGTTTAGAATGATCCCTCTAGACTGCTGGGTGGGGAGTGGAGGGCAGTGTTAAGAGTGGCCACAGGAACACCAGAGAGGAGTCTGCGGCTCCCAGCAGGTGCTGAGGGTTTGGATGAAGGCATGGGGTGGGACTGAGATGTGTTTTCAAGGCAGAGCTTCCCAGAGCACAGTATCCTGCTGAGATGGAGATAATCCAACCCCAAGCACTCGATGACATTTGTAAAGCATCTACCACACGGCAAATGCTTTATATTTGTTACTTCATCCTCGCATTTATATAACATTTATGGATCATCCTAGAGGTCAGGCACTAGGAGGTAGAAATTATTGTCTCCATTTCAACACTTGGGAAATTCCGTGTCAGGAAGAGATGTAGCCAAAGCCCCTGAACTGGAAACAGGATACAGGTCTAGCTCCAATGTGCATGCCATTTCAATTACACGAAACTATATTCCCTCCTACAGTTCTCTGTGAGGTAGAAACTCCCGGGGCCTTATCTCCTTCCTAAAATCACTATAACTATGAAGAGTAATCCTACCTGACATTCCCTGAACACTTACTATGTACTGGGCTGTGAGCCTGGAGAATGATGTACATCATCTCATTTAACTCTTGACAAGCCTGTGCCGAGAGGATGGAACTGAGGATCAGAGAGCTAATTAATTTGTCCAAGGTCACCCAGAAGTGACCTTGCAGAATAGTAACAATGCAGAATATTTGCTGGTAATACAAAAAATGACTTAGTAGTAGAAACAGATTTTAAAACCCGGCTCTGTTGGGCTCTTTGCCATCATGATTTTCTGTCTCCAGTGATACACAAATAGCATTTGTATTGCTCCCTGCTGTGTGGTGCTTTCTCAGAAATCACAGCAACTCCTGTAGGAGTTATTAAGGTTGGTGCAAAAGTCACTGTGGTTTTTCCTATGACTTTTAATAGACTGTGGGCCAGATCAGGCTCAGGTAACCAAAGGACCTAGAGACAGGAGGAGGCAGGGCTGACGCGGATGCCCGCCGAGGCTCCCGCTTGTCCCACTGTCTTGTTTTTCAGAAGTAAAGCAGAAACACAGCCCAGGGTTTACCCATGTGGGTCAACTTTCAGTAAGCACATCAAAGCACCTGAAAATATATCCCAGACAGATCTTTTCAGGCTTACATAGGAGAAACACCCCTGAAAATATTGACAACATTGCCAATGAAAGTGTTGAGCCACTTTTGCAAGTGACCCAAGACTAAAACTTTTTTTCTTCTTTGCCCAGAATGGCGTCCCCTTCATCTGTCTTACATTGTAATCAGATACAACCTTGATAGAATGAAAGCAGAGGTCACACTGAACAAACTGCTACTTTACGTGCTCAGAAAAAGGCTCCTTTGTAACAGGGAAATTACAGCATCTCTATAGAGGGATTTTTCTTAAAAAGACAGGCTGCTTTGTTCAAATGGTGCTGATTTCAGCACTGTGAGGAGATGGCCCTTTCAGACTGTCGACCTGCTGAAATTTGTGGAGTTCCTTTTGTTTGTAGAAACTTGCATATATTACAGGCAGTGTATTAAAATAGAAATTGTAAACCATTGTTAGGCAATGTTTTGATTGTCCAAAAAAAGTCAGATGAAATATAAACTGGTTCCCAATTTACAGTTTGCTTAGTGTCAGACGTCATATAGGCATGTATAAAATAGAGATCAACAGATCTCTGTTGCTGCAATCATGTTGATCCTCTTAAAAGGAGAGTCAATATTTTTAAGCAATAGTATTTTAGATCATAGTATTAGACTTGCATTTAAAAGGAAAACAACAGGGTATATGCCCCAAAGAAAGGAAATCAGTATATCAAAGAAATAGCTACACGCCTATGTTTGTTCCTGCACTGTTTACAATAGCTAAGATTTGGAAGCAACATAAGTATCCATTAACAGATAATTGGATAAAAGAAATGTGGTACACATACACAGTGGAGAACTATCCAGTCATAAAAAAAGAATGAGATCCAGCCATTTGCAACAGCATGTATGAAACTGGAGATCATTATGTTAAGTGTATCTGATAAGCCAGGCACAGAAAGACAAGCATCACATGTTCCCACTTATTTGTGGGATCTAAAAATCAAAACAATTAGAGTTCATGAACATAGACAGTAGAAGGTTGGTTTCCAGAGGCTGAGAAGGGTAGTGGGAGGCTGTGGGGAGGTGGGGATGGTTAATGAGCACCAAAAAAATAGAAAAAAATGAATAAGTCATACTACTTAATAGCACAACAGGGTGACTAAAGTCAATAATAACTTAATTTCACATTTTAAAATAACTTAAAGAGTGCAATTGGATTGTTTGTAACTCAAAGGATAAATGCTTGAGGAGATGGACACCCCATTCTCCATGATGTGCCTATGTCACACCACATGACTGTATCAAAACATGTCAGGTACTCCATAAATATATACACCTGCTATGTACCCAGGAAAATTATAAATTAAAAACATAAATTAACAAATGGTAAATTAGAACATTTAAAAATGTTTATAAAAGAAAAACAATCACAATAACAACATAACCAAACTCCTGAGTAATGTAACGCTTCCTATTATGTACAGGAAGAAGGGAAATGTATCTTAGAACTGTGGTGCTTTGCAATCAGCTGGAGCTAGGCCAAAATTTGTGAAATCATATTGCAAACCCAAGTGTGAAAATACGAGATGTGTTTGAGCTAAAAAACAAGTCTTTGTGTCAGTCGAAATGCCACACATGTCATGTCTCAACATGTAACGCTATCAAAAATTAAGCAAAGTGTTTCATTTTCCCGGTGTCAATTTTAACACCTAAAAATATTTTTGGCATTGTAATTACTGTTTTCATTCCATTAGGCCTTCTGCGAGTAGGAATGTTTTGTCTACAATTCTAATAATCACTTATACTTTTCATGAGCAGATTTATTGCTTCATTAAACCTAATTTTTTATAGCTAATAATAAAAGTTTTACCAAACCTAGTAAACCTCACAATTTTGTGCTTCAAAATTGTTTGTTCCTCACCCCCTTAATATGTTATGAATGAAATCAGTATTGTCATTTTTCACAAATAGACTATATGTCATCGTGATTTTCTGTTTCCAGGCAGAAAAGTCTCATTTTAGGTAAAATAAGAGTTGTAATCTCCTCTTGCAGGTATTAAAAAAGAGGGAATTCAAGTATAATATTCTTTAATTTGATTCGCAGTGCAGAATGTTTTTTAATGTAAGTCTAGGTGAGGAGGAGCTGCACTCTCTTTAGTTTCATTAGTCCATTGTATTACTTGCTAAGAAACAGGGTAAAAGTTTCATTAATAGAAAAATTATGAATGTCTTCCGTGCACCAGACCATAGTAAAGAGGAAAGATTCAATCCTGGAGGTAGCAAGATGAGCTTGATCTCAGATATACTAGGAAAGACCTACCTACAGCCAAGAGAAAGAGCACCCTTACTACATCCATATTGCAATGCAGCCTGGATTTGCATGACCAATAAACTTGCATCATGTTAAGCCATTGAGCTTTCTGGGTTTATGCATTACTGCAGCAGAGCCTAGCCTGTTCTAAGAGATACTTACTTCTCCAGGTTGTCATGTGTATCAAATGAGATATGCATGTAGAATGTCTAGGGCACTGCCCAGCATCTTGTATGTGCTCCTCAAATGATCCTCCCCCTCATCTAACCCATACCTAAGTTGGGTCATAAGAATCAATGAAGATAGAAAGGCTCAACCATGGCCCAAGTGGCATGTTATTTTTGCCTCGCCTCTCTGAATGTCATGACAGCCCAGAAAATGTTATAGAGCTTATGTGGCCATATGCGAATGACATGAGACTGCCAGGTTTACAGCAAATTATAATGGAGCTCTTGGGCTAACAAAGGCAGCCCTGGTCTGAAAGGTTGGAGAGCATTTTGATGAATATATATGAAGAGATGTTTCTTCTCTCCCTGTCAGGCCTTCTGCAGCTGAGATGATAAACATTTGAAGCTGCCTGGGCCATTCATCAGCTATGACATTCAATGGAGTTGGGATCACAGGTCAGCCTGATGCTGGCCGTGGGCAGAGACAGTCCATGAGTTCCTATCAGACCACTTGCTCAGAGTGAGGAACTAATTCCAATGACCCCAGGAGGAAATAGATTGTTTCTTTCTGGATACTAAGGGTAGAGTGCTGGGTTCAAGTTCCTTTTCTGCCTTAACCAGCTGTGTCCTTTGGGAGGATCGGCTCTCTCTAGGACTCCCTTTCCTCCCTGGTACATGGGTGGATGGGAATAGAGAGCACTTTGTACATTTCATGCAGAAACAGCAGAATCCACTTTTCAAGCAAAATCATTATGCGTAAATTTAACATAAAAAATGTAAAAGTAGAAATGTTTAGGTTGAAATAGGAACAAGGACGGGGAGACACTCCCAATAGCCACCTCACAGCCATCAGGCAGCTCCACAGCAGCCCTTGCTCTGCAGGATTCGGTTTGAAAACTTGAGGCATGGATCATCTCTCGGGTTTTTTTTGAGTTCTACTACTCTGTGACTTTCACTGTTTTTCTTCCACACCATTTACTGCGAGGTTTCTGCCCACAGTGGGGGCCTTACGCGGCCTGCTCTCATGCTTCTTGCTTTGCAACAGTCTGTCTTGGGTTTTTCTCAAACAAAGATGGGTTCCTTTTCTTTATGTTTTTTTTTTTTGTTTTTTTTTTTTTTTTTCTGACAGAGTCTCGCTCTGTCACCCAGGCTGGGGTGCAGTAGCACGATCCTGGCTCACTGCAACCTCCGCCTCCTGGGTTCAGGCAATTCTCCTGCTTCAGCCTCCCGAGTAGCTGGGACTACAGGCACCTGCCACCACGCCCAGCTCATTTTTGTATTTTTAGTAGAGACGGGGTTTCGTCACGTTGGCCAGGCTGGTCTCAAACTCCTGACCTCAGGTGATCTGCCTGATTCAGCATCCCAAGGGTTCCTTTTCTTTTAAGGAACTGGAAAGAGGTCGTTCAACAACTCTAAAGCTGCATGTACCCCTGAGGCTCTCCCCTTCTCTCTTTCCCTACCTTGGAGAAACAAATAAGATAATAATATGAACCGTTTCCTGTGTATTTATAGGACTGTGTTTTACATAAGTAATTTTAAAGTTTTACCCAGCTTAAGGGAAATATGAAAAAGAATGAGTGCAGGTGAGCCCACCCCTCTTCACCTGCAAGAGGGTCCCCAGACAACCCCCAGAGTGAACCCCCTCCAGGTGTCATCGCCAGCCTTTCTCTCTGAGCCCTCTCACCTGCATCCTGCCTGTATCCTGACTTCTCTCTCCTGCTGCTCCAAGCCTGACTGCCTCCCTCTGGATGTTGCTTTAGCTGTAGTCGGCTTCACTCTCACTTCCCACTTTGCTCTTCCAACACTGGCTCTGCTTTGTGTGGGGTAATTCCACCCCACACCTGCAGAAAGTAGGCCGGACCTGGTGTCCTGCTCCTCCTTGACACATTAGGAGACCCCGCCCCCACTCCAAACTCATCCTGGGCACCACATCAGTTGAGTATTCTTGTAGCACAGCCTCCAGGCCCCAAAACTCCATGCTGCTCTGAGCTCTGCCAGCTACAGAGCTGCCCCATCCTTCCTGTCTGGTAGGATATACATGCAGTCTCCACCTCTCTGACTTTGAACTCTGCATACAGTCAGTCTTTCTCATCCTCCACCTCTGATGATAAGCCTTGGGAAGTGTCTGATAACCCCCTCCAATTTCATCTGTGATACCTGAGGTGAAGCCCTCACCTGGCTCTCCTTGATTCTGTCTAGAAGAAAGTGGGAGAATAGAAGGAAGAAGAGAAGGTGGAAAAAGTGGCTTTAAAGTGCCCTGTAGCCCTTGAGATGTGAATCTTATACCCTCCTATTCCCCTAAAGGGAAATGGGAACAATGAAGATGATAAGTTGGTGGGTAAAACAACAACAACAACAATTCTAAGAATTGCTAACACATATAGTGTTTATTTCGTGCCAAACATTCTAGTCTCACTTGTTTGCCGTTGGATCCTTACGACATTGCAGAAAGCACTGCTGTTATTCCCAAAGGTGTTATTTTTTCAACGTGATGTAGTGAGGTCTAGTGTAAGACAAACATAGATTCAAATTCAGCTCTGTCATATTTTAGTCTTTTCACTTAAACAAGTCATTTCATTTCTCTAAGCCTCAGTTTTCTCACATGTACTACAGAAATAAGAAAGGAGATTTGCCTATAAATGCTTAGCACAGGACAGGACATAATCCCACCACACTGGCTTTTTTCTTTATTCAGAAGGTATTCAAAGTGAGCATTACAGAAATTAACATACCTAAGTGACAGGGTTAAAATATAGGAGTTAAATGAAAAGCTCAGTATTTTCTCCAAGCTATGTGGATCCCAATTCATTCATTCATGCATCCATTCATTAAATAGATACTTTTTGAGCACCATCTGTGCTTTAAGCACTATTTTAGGTAGGTACTAGGAATACAACAATGAACAAGACAGGCAAGCCCCTACTTTTACGGTGCTTATATCTAGTAAGGTAAACTGATAATAAACAAGTAACAAGAATATGTTAAGCATTTTGAAGTAGATACAGCAGGAATAATTTAATGTATCTCCATATGCCAATACACACATGAGCACACATATACATGCACACACATGCACATAACACATGCGCATGCCCAATCACAGGCACACTTGGATGCAAACTCACACCCACACACCTTTGCCTGTGTGCTCTTTCAGTGTCTCCTTTTACATTATCTTTACCCCACTCAGCCAGAGAAATCCATTGCCTTAGGGAGGATTAGGAGACTTACAGCAGTAATACTGAGAAAGCATCTATATGGAACTTTTGATTCCCAAAATAGTCACCCAGAGTATTCAGAGACTGGAGATGTCAGGCAAGACTTCTCCTGCCAGAAAAGAAGTGGATACTTTCTGTAGAGAAGAAGTGGGATACTTTCTGCAGCAGAAGAAGGCAGAGAGCTCTGTGGGTCCTCATCCAGGATGGAGATGCTGCCTTGGTCTCTGAAAATCACCCCTAACACTCAATGCTGGAGCCTCAGCCATAAGATGGGGTGATGCTGCATAATCCCTGTGTATGTGAGGGCTCCTCTTCCCCACCATGCTCACGTTAAAGCTGGATTGGTAAGCAGAAGGAAAAGAGTGAAGCGTGTGGAGGGGTGGCCCTGAGATGCTGCTCCAATCTTCCCATTTCTAGGAGATAAAGAAGCTTCCATGTACCCCGGTGGAGGGACTGGACAATGAGGTCCTGAGTGGACAGTGGACAGTCAGAGGCCTGAAGCTGGAAGGGGAGCCACTAAGAGCTGGGATATCATGGCTAGAGTAAAGGGTGGTCTCTACCTAGAGTGGAAAGTCACTGAAAGTTTCCAGTAAGGAAATTATATGATCCAATGCATATTTTTAAAAAGTTGCCTCTGGTGATGTGTAAATAATACTGTAGGGGAACAAGAGAGGAGTGGAGATTTGTCAGAAGGCATGCCCCATGCAAGGGGTATGGCCATAGCCACACAGCTAACAGCTGAGGCTGGAGCAGCTGGAGCCCTTCGGGTGTCTCTGGTGCTGTGGAGTCTCTCCATATGTCTCTTCCAGCATAACAGCTTCAGGGTCACCGGGCATGTGCGTATCAGTCTAGTACTCCAGGTTGTGCCATAAGAGAGTAAGTCAGGTGGAAGTTGCATCACTTTTCTAACCTAGCCCTGGAAGCATCACTTCTATTCTTCAGAAGCAAAGTACTAAGGCCAGCCCATATTCAAAGGGAGTGTCTTCATCCATTTGTGCTGCTATAACACAATGGCTTAGACTGGGTAATTTATAAGCAACAGAAATGTGTTTCTTCCAGTTCTGGAAGCTGGGAAGTCCAAGATCAAGGTGCTGGCAGTGTCAGTGTCTGGTGAGGGCTTGTTCTCTGCTTCCAAGATGGTGCCTCTTGCTGCATTCTCACATGGCCAAAGGGGCAACACTGTGTCCTCCTGTGGCACAAGGGCCAAAGGGCAAAAGGAGGTCTTGCTAGTTCTCTCCAGCCCTTTCATAATGTCCCTAACTCCGTCCATGAGGACTGAGTCCTCATGGTCTCATCCCTTCCCAAAGGCTTCACCTCTTAGTACTGTTGCATTGGGGATTAAGCTTCAACATGAATTTTGGAGGGGCACAAACATTCATAGTGGGAGACACCACCTCTTGTGTAGTCTGTATAAGAAGCATGTAGATATGACCACGTGAGAACTTGGCTACCTTAAGACTGCCACGCTGGAGAGGCCACGTATTGACACTCCAGTGAAGAGGCTAGGTGAGCCCAGCTTCCAGCCGTCCCACTGAGGCACCAGACGTGTGAACCCCCAACCATCCTGGACCCTCTAGAACAGCCTGTCTACCAGTGGAATGCCATCTGGTGGACCTCCACCAAAGCCTTGTGGAAGAGTTACCAGCTGAGTCCTGCTCAAATTCCTGGTCCACAAAATTATAAAATATAATTAAATGATGGTCGTTTTAAGTCATTAAGGTTTGGAATAGTCTGTTACACAACAAGAGATAACTGTAGTGTTGGGGAAAATCCATTATTTGGAGGCAACGAAAGGTTGGGAAGAGAGAATCAACAGTTCATTTGTAAACCTGTTAGGCTTGAAGTTAATGATGTTGTCAACAAGGCAGCTGAAGAAGTGAGGCTGGAGCTGCAGGGAAAGGCTGTGTGGGACCCATGGGCTGTGTAAGTGTCAGGGGTAGCTATGATTCAGCAGGGAAGCACTGACTTGCACACTTGATAGAAATTCTTGGATCCAGTTCAGCCACTCATTCATACATTCATTCATAGTGTAGGCCTGGGTAAGGTATTTCACCTTTCTCATTCTCACTTTCTTCATTTGGAAAATGAAGAGATCTTGTGCACATGTGAACCAACACTACCTGTATAAAATCACCCAATAGACCGGGTACAGTGACTCATGGCTGGAATCTCAGCACTTCAGAGACCAAGGAGGGAGGATTGTTTGAGTTCAGGAGTTCAAGACCAGCCTTGGCAATATCACGAGACCACCTCCCCCACCACCATCATGACCCCATCTCTTCAAAAAATTTAAAACTTGCCTGTAATCCCAGCTTCTCGAGAGGCTGAGGCAGGAAAATCGCTTGAGCCCAAGAGGTGGAGGTTGCAGTGAGCCAAGATCACGCCACTGCACTCCAGCCTGGTGACAGAGCTAGACTCCCTCTCAAAAAAAAAAAAAAAAAAAAAAAAAAAAAAAAAAAAAATTACTCAGGCATGGTGGTGACACATGCCTGTAGTCCCAGCCACTCAGGAGGCTGAGATAGGAGGAACACTTGGGCTCAGGAGGTTGAGGCTACAGTGACCTATGATCACACCACTGCACTCTAGCCTTGATGACAAAGTGAGGCCTTGTCTCTAAAACAAAGAAAAAGTACCCAAAAGAGCCTCTTTCCCTATGCCTTCCCTCTAAGACACAACAAACAGCCTAAACCGAAGCCCAATATGAGGATGGAAACCCTCATATCCGCCTGTGGTATTAATGAAGTAGGAAATATGGCTATTTATATTGTCATTGTCCAGGAAAATACCTTGAAAAGGACAATGTCTTAAAATAAAGTGTAATTTCTAAATTAAAAAAATGTTGAACATCCAGGTCTCAGGTGACTCTCCCATCTTGTGGAAACAAGCAGGAAGCCCACGTTATTATTTTCTTCTTTACTCAAAACACTGAGGAAAAAGAAATCTTCTTTTCCCTTTTTTAGTCCTGAACCACATTCACATCCCTGCCTCCCATGGAGACTTTTCTTCAGCTGCAATTTACAAATGTGAAAAGCTCCCCTCCAACCCCCACCCGAGACACACTTTATTTAGGAATAAGAAGGAAGGAGGGCCCTGCTGTGTCCTCCTTTTGTCTCCGTCTTCTTTCCTCTCACACGAGTGACACAGAAAGAGAAGGAAAATTATGCATCGAGGAAGGCCCTGAATGCAAGACTAAACAAACACGCGACAACCAAAACTGGGGTCAGAGGCCTGCTTTCCAAACTAGGTCTTGGGGGTGGGTGGAAATCGCGGGAGCTGCTCTATTGAAATTTGCTCTGGCTTCTGGGAGCCACATGTCCTGTCCAACATCCCCGCCCCCCACAACTCCCCACCACCAGACAAAAGAATTTCTCTTGTAGAAAAACAAGATCAGAAGACCATAATTGTTTAATTGTTTGTTGTTGTTTTCCTTAAGTAAAACATGGCAAGTGTATGTTAATGTATTTGGGGAAAGGGAGATTTGGCTGGAGGGCACAGGAGGCTGGAGGTGTATGCTAATTGCATGTTCTCTATTAAATCCTCCAGGTCCCTAAAGCTCCCTCCTCCCTGGCACAATATCACAGAGGTCTCAGAGGCTGCTTTGAGGCTTTTGCAGAGGCTGGAAGACAACCCTTTGGAGTTCAGCTATGATGATGACTGAGTTTTATTCTGGCCCCACGGTGATGGGCTATGCCACTGAGCCTGCCTTCTCCTGGAGAGAAAGGTGCCGATTACAGGCGGCAGGGTGGGGACAGCACAACAGGCGGGCCAGAAGCCCTGGCCCGAACTAGATTTGGACCTAGAGGGCTGCTCGCAAATGAGCTCAAGCCTTGCATGCGCCTCTCAGCCGCCGGCATGGACTGTTAGGGGCTTTTTGAAGTAAGAGAAATATATCTCCCAGCAGCCTGGGATGGAGGAGATAAAGGAATAAAGATTGAAGTGACAAGGCACAAAGTGAACAGCTGCTCCTGCTGGTTTGGCAAAAGGAAGGGTGGAGAGGTTTAGGGAAAGATACACCCTGAGCCTTAAAGGTGACGTCAGGGAGCATGGCCTTCCCACAGCCACGGTTCACTGAGGTATGGCAGCGTAGTGTCCAAGGGACCTTCCAGGCAGCTTGCACAAGCCTCTCCTCCTCCAAGGATGGAATCTCCCTGCCACCCACACTGCCACGTCTCTGCCCGATTCCTTCATGAAGGGCGACAATGCCTCCCGGACACACACCCCATATTTCCAAGGCTCTGACAGCTTTGTGCTCCTCATGCAGCCTTCAGACAGGCGCCCTCCCCACCTTCCTCCCGGCACTCCGTCGCTCCCGCTGACCACCATCATGCTATACCATGCCGGGTTTTGAGGGGTGAGCTGCTAATGGGAATGAATGTGGCTTGTATCATGTTTAGGAGGGAAGCATCCCCATCTGGTATCCAGAGGCTGGGGTTTAGCTCAGCTCCCATCTGGCTCCGCAGCTATAGGAAAGTTGCTCCTCTGCTTTCAATCTGTTATCCATCTGTAATGGTGGGATGACCTGGGTGATCTTTGAGTGCCCTTGTCCCTCCAGCCCCAGTGATTCTGTCTCCCTGGTACCACGATCACAAACTGGATATTGAGCTGATGAGTTTGACCCAGCATGGCTCCTCTGATGCCGGTGGGCTTGGTGTTTAAGGCAAATTTTAATTATAACTCTAGGAGGGTGCAGCACACATCAAAGCACATCACAGAGAAAATAGGAAGTAATTCATCAGAAAACAAAAGCTGTGAGCTCTGGAGACAGAGAGTAAGGGCTGTGTTAGTTTCCTCTTGCTGCTATGACAAATAACCACAAACTTAGTCGCCTAAAACAACACGCATTTACTCTCTTACAATTCTGGAGGTCAGAAGTCCAAAACAGGTCTCACTGGCCAAAGTCAAGCTGTTGGCAGGACTGTGTTCCTTCTGAGGGTTCTAGGGGAGTGACCATCTCATCCTTCTAGCTTCTCAAGAGGCCTCCTGCACACCTTGGCTCATAGCAGCTTCCCTCATCTTCAAACCAGCAGCGTAGCACCTTCCAATCGCTCTCTGACTCGGACAATCACTCTCAGACCTCCCTCTCTACATTTAAAGGATCCTTGTGATTACATTGAGACCTCCCAGATAATCCAAGATAACTTATTTATTTTAAGTTCAGCTGATTAGCAATCATGACTCACCAAGCCTCCACAATTGCACGAGCCAATTCCTTAAAATAAATCTCTAGACAGAGAAATGGATAAACAGGTAGATAGGTAGACAGATAGATAAATAGATAGATAGACAGATACACACACACACACACACACACACACACACACACACACACACACACACACCCTATTGGTTCTGCCTCTCTGGAGAACACTGACTAATAGAAACTCCCCCAAATGTATTATAATAATTGTCTAATACCTGTATTCCTCATTAGATTATAACTTCCATGTGGCAGAAAACAGGGTCTGTTTTGCTCAATCTGAAGCACACAGGGTACTAGTCAGCATCTGCCAAGACTCACAGCTCCGTGAGTTATGATGCTTTCTTCAATGCTGCAGGTTGGATGCAGGTTCACTCTTACATGTGTTTTCACATTTAAAGATCCAGCCAATGGCAGAAATGTATAATCCTCTTACAGGGGAAAAAGCAAGTAATTGAGAAAAATACAATCTACACTATGTAGGATAGTGCCTGACATAAATATTATTTATTGAATAGTGGTGTAGATGAGCTGCCTCTATAAAAGAGGAGAGAGTTGGGAAGGATTGGGTAGGCCCTGTACATTACCATCTCTTTTAATCTTCATAACAAGTTTTCCAATAAGGACTTGTAATTTCTATTTTGCAAACGAAGCAATTGTGGGCTAGAGTGAAAATCAAATCCAGTTCTCTCTGGCTCTAGCATCCAGACTCTTCATCTAATCTTTTTACCCTGAAGAATTATTGGGAGGATAAAGCATGGCAAAATGTTGTCTTAAAGGATTGACATTTACTATATAAGCACAAATTATCATTAGCAGTGGGAAGTTTGATTAATATGAATATGGACTACAAAAACAGTAAAAAGCTGATAGATTAAAACTCTCAGGCCCTTTATATCTTATGAATGTAAAGAAATGCTTGAAGTGAGAGCTAGAATCCAGGTTTCTCCTCCATCCAGGTCCTTTCCTACCACATCTCTCTAGGCCAAAGCTTCTTTTTCCTATGGCAACATGGAGTAGTTGACATGTAACTGGCGAAAATTGCATTTGCTTTTCACCATCTACTAGGATAAGAGAGGCAATGATCCAGTAATCCAATTGCCAAGTGCCAATTTCATTTGAGATAATTGCTGATAAAATCAGAAAGAAAACTTCAGCAAATCTGAAAACAGATTATGGCAGAATTCAGTGGCACAATGGGCTGATATTAAATATTGTTTCAGTGCTTGGGATCAGACTTCATACTGACTCTAGATGAACACTGGGCCACGGGATTTGGATTAAAGCCAGGCAAAGCCAGGTCTCCTGTTATTTATGGTACTTGGATTCTGAGTTGGAAGCAGATTCCTAAAGCAACCTTACCTGTTTCCACCTGAAGCTCACAACTATTACAGATTTGGATTCAAGAATAGCTTGACCTGAAATTGCAGTAATCTCACTGTCTGTGCCACTTATGTACTCCTGCCATCATTCCTAGCCTCACGTCCTAGGAGGTGGATATTACTTTCTTCATATAACTGCTGAGAATTTGATTCTTGCTCAAGTTCACATTGATAATAAGGGACAGAGCTAGAATTCAAACCTAGGTGGTTTGTTTTAAGGGACTTGATCTCCCTATTGGACCACACTGCCTCTTAATACGTTCTGAATGATGGTAGCCATATCATATAATTGAGGGTCAAAAATCTACCTTGGATAATCCTATTTAGCTTTCTACTATGATTAGTTTAATTTTATTACTGCCACAGTCTGCTTCATAAATGCAGCACAGAAAAAGCCGAATGTAATTAAAATAGCTAACTATTGAAACAGATGTGCATCTGCAAAGCTGAGCACCAATTGAATTTTTAAGCAACATATCGTATTTTATATGCAAAAACATCTCCATTAATTTGTTCATTCAACAAACAATTATTAGTGCCTTGATGCCAGCAGTCACTTTAATAGATCCTGGGAACACAGAGATGAATGTGACCCTGTATCTGTTTTGAGAAGCAGAGACTTTAGTGAAGGGGGATGACCAAAGAAATCATGTGATGACAAGCCTCCTCCTTAGTCACCCCTCTCCTTTACACCCAAGACCACCCCTCTCACAAGGCTTCTATCCCAGGGCCATCTGCAGTCCTTTCCTGCTCTCTGGCCGTGCCCATCCACACTGTCCTGAGACTGTGGCTCTGTGAGCTCATCCTTGTCTTCTCTGCAAGGGTCCAGGTTAATTCTGAGCATCAGTAGTGGCTTCTCTACTCACATGACCCAAAGAGACCTGGATGCAATAGTCAGACATATTTCCACTGCTTCCCTCGCCTCATGGAAATCTAGCACTTTCCTATGCAATTTCTGCTAAGTCTAGGGGGCTCACTTTCTCAGAGCTTCTTCAGCCTCTTATGTTCTTATTTTATGTGCTGTTTCTGTCCTACATCATGCTGACCTCAACATGAAAGCAAGCTCATTCCTAATTTCTGCATGCATGCACAAACACACATGTATGCATGTATGCAGACAAAATGCACACATGTACACAGAGCACACATATGCTCACATTTGCACAAATACACATACACACAAGCACACATACTATGATGGATACTTTTATGTGTCAACTTGACTGGGCTAAAGGGTGCCCAGATAGTTGGTAAAACATTATTTCTGGGTATGTCTGAGGGAGTGTTTCTTAAAAGATTAGCATTTGAACTAGTAGAGTGAGTAAAGAAGCTCTGCCCTCAGTAATGTGGGTGGGCAACATGTAATTCATGGAGGCCACAGATAGAACAAAAAGGCAGAGGAATGACAAATTACCTTTATCTCGCCTTGTGCTGGGACAATCACGTTGTCCTACCATTGGACACTGGAGCTCTTCAGGACTTTGGACTCTGAGACTTCCACCAGTGGCTGCCAGGTTCTCAGGCCTTTGGCTTCGGACTGAATTACACCATCAGCTTTCCCAGGTTTCCAGCTTACAAATGGCATATGTGGGACTTCTTGACCTCCATAATTGTGTAAGCCAATTCCCATAATATATCTTCTCTTCTGTATCTCTCTGATACATTTTGTTGGTTCTGTTTCTGTGGAGAACCCTCACTAATAAACGCACATACACACACACAAACACACACACACACACACACACACACACACACCACTTATAATAAGCATTCATGAGTTTGGTAAACTTTACTGAAGATTTGGTGCTGCAGGTGTGGGGGATGGGGATAGCATTGCACACCACACAACTCCCAGCTATCTTATTTTCCCACCTGCCCTCCTTCCTGCCATCCCTGCTCCCTACTATTCCCCCCAGGATTGTCCTGGGATACTCTGGATTCTTCTTTCCTTTACACAGAATAATTCAGCTCCCACCCCCTGCATGTCCTCACATACCTATCCTGTCAAACCCAACAAGCAGAGCAAAAGGCCTTCCACATAATGCTTTCACCTTCTATACATAGCCCTTGTAATTTTAGCTTAAAAAACTTGTTTTTCTACATGCTGCACTTGTGGATTAATTCACTTAGCAAATTCACTGAGCAATCCTGTGCTAGCACTGTGCAGGGGCAGTGAGATGCAGCAGTCAGTGGGACACTCAGCCCCTGCTTGCTCTCAAGGAGCCCATTGACTGGCAATTACAGCACTCAACTGCCTTGGTTAGTTTATCACAGGAAGGGGCATTAGATGTCCCAGAACATTCAACAACCAAGGTGTTGCTCTCATCACAGCCTGACCTTCAGCACAGCTTTGCCCCTACTCTGCCTCTTTCTGCTTCCAGATGAAGGAGTCCTTGGGGTCCCCAGAGTGACTGGCAGGTGCTCCAGATGTCCACTGAGCAGGCTGAAGGTGGGGGCCAGAGGAAAAAAGAAGCAGACAAGTGTTGGTGTCCAGAGTTTCTTGCATAGACAATGAGACAGACTGGTGGAGACAGTGACAGGGTATCCTGGATGAGGCAGGGAGGCAGGCAGCCTCAGGAAACCCATTACCAAGAAGCAGGCCAAAGGCCACAGTGGAAGCACCAGGCAGCCCAGCCTTGGGAGAGGGAGGGAGGCAGAGGAGCAAGGGCCACTGGCTGGGTAAGGCCGAGCCACAGATCTGTGTACCTTCCCTCTGCATAGCACACAGGGCCTCTCCCAGCATTCATGCTCATTCTTGGAACAGAGGAGGACTGCAGACGGCATTTTGTGGTTTTAAGGATACTTTGGGGAACCATTTGGAAAATAAATTAAGCATTGGCAATGGGAAAAATCACTCCAGAAGCGATTCGGATCTGGGCCTTCCTAGAATGGACTTCTGAAAGTAGGGCCTAAAGATTCTTTCTAAGAGGACAAAGCTGCTGTTTGTGAAGACAGAAAACTTTGGGAAACTTCCAGGGGAGCCAGGTAGGAAGCAAGTGATGGTTTCTGGGCCCAGGGAGGAGAAAGCAGACTGAGTCAGTGTCCTCCAGGAAGATGTAAACATGCACACACTGATCCCTACATGTAGGGATGGAGAGCAATGTTAAGGGCCAACTTAACGACTGCTAGCACATGTCCTGTGAATTAACCCATTTAATACCCACAGCAACCTATGAGACAGGCCTGGGGCCACAGTACATAGGGAGACCCTTACCTCGTCTTCATCCTTAGTCTGTCTCTTATCACGAGGGGGCAGACATTCAATGCATGGACTGTCCAGTCACAAGTTGAAGCTCAGTCCAGAAACCTGTTGCAATCAGCAGCCCCTTGGACACCCTGCAGGCCTAGGAGTGTCATGGCACTGTCTGCCCTGAGAAGGACAGGCCAGGGAAGAAGCCGTGTGGGCCCTGCAAGGCCATGGGTTAGAGGCTACTTAGGCCAGGAATTCCTAAGCTCCTCACACCTAGAATGTGGTGTGGCAGCGGGTATGGAGGATCCCGGTGAAACGTGCCCCGGTCCCCAGAGAAGGATGTGGCTGGAGGAGGCCAGAACAAAGCTCTCCAGAGCATGGCCTAGGCTGCCCTGATCTAAGGCAGTACAGCTTGTTATCATTGGTTCCATTCTCACAGATGAGGAAACCCAGGCCCCAGAAGGTCAAGTAACTTGCGCAAGGTGAGGGAGCTAAGAGGAGGCAGAGGTAGGATTTGAATGCAGGTGGTCTGACTGGCTCTCACAGATGGCTACCCCTGCCTCCTAAAACCTCAAGGCTCACAATAAGTTTGTGTCTGTGTGTGGCAGGGGGTGCGGGGGTGGGGGGTTAAGCAATTACTTAAAAAAAATTCTGTTTATTAATTTTTGGAGTTACATAGTAGGTGTATATATTTATGGGGTACATGAGATATTTTGATACAGGCTTTCAATGCTTAATAATCACATCAAGGTAAACGGAATATCCATTACCTCAAGCATTTATCCTTTCTTTGGGTTAAAAACAATTAATTAGATTATTTTAGTTATTTTTAAATGTACAATAAATTATTGTTGACTGTAGCCACCCTGTTGTGCTATCAAATAGTAGGTCTTATTCATTCTTTCTAACTAGATTTTTGTACCTATTAACTATTCTTCCTACCCCCACCCCACTATCCTTCCCAGCCTCTAATAATGATCCTTCTACTCTCTATATCCATGAGTTCAATTGCTGTAATTTTTAGCTCCCACAAATAAGTGAGAACACGTGAAATTTGTCTTTCTGTGCCTGGCTTATTTCACTTAACATAATGATCTCCAGTTTTATCCAGGTTGTTGCAAATTACAGAATCTCTCTTTCTCTCTCTCTTTCTCTCTCTCTCTCTCTCTCTCTCTATATATATATATATATATTTTTTTTTTTTTTTGAGATGGAGTCTAGCTCTGTCACCCAGGCTGGAGTGCAGTGGCGCGATCTTGGCTCACTGCAACCTCCGCCTCCTGGGTTCAAGCAGTTCTCCTGCCTTAGACCCCTGAGTAGCTGGGATTACAGGTGCCTGTCACCATGCCCAGCTAATTTTTGGATTTTTAGTAGAGATGGGGTTTCACCATGTTGGTCAGGCTGGTCTCAAACCCCTGACCTTGTGAACCACCCGCCTCGGCCTCCCAAAGTGCTGGGATTACAGGCATGAGCTACCACCCTCGGCCAGAATCTCATTGTATTTATGGCTGCATAGTTATCCACTGTGTATCTATACCACATTTTATTTATCCGTTCACCTGTTGATGGACACTTACGTTGCTTCCAAATCTTGACTATTGTGAATAGTTCTGCAATAAGCATGGGAGTACAGATATCTCTTTAATATATTGATTTTGCATCTTTTGGGTATATACTCAGCAGCGTGATTGCTGAATCGTATGGTAGCTCTATTTTTAGTTTTTTGAGGAACCTCCAACTATTCTCCATAGGGGTTACACTCACTTACATTCCCACCAACAGTGTATGAGGGTTACCTTTTCTCCACATTCTGGCCAGCCTTTGTTATTGCCTGACTTTTGGATGAAAGCCATTTTAACTGGGGTGAGATGATATGGCATGGTAGTTTTGATTTGCTTTTCTCTGATGATCAATAATGTTAAGCACCTTCTCGTATACCTGTTTGCCATTTATATGTCTTCTTTTGAGAAATGTCTCAACCAAAACAACCCACCAAAGTGAAAAAATGTGTTTGAAATGTCAAGTTTTCTTTTAAAAATGTAAAGTTTGCACACTAGACCAAAATATCCCAGTATTTGCTTTAACTTAACAATTATGTTAAATTACTAATATTAAACACAACCCATACTCCAGGAGGGCTTTCTGTGTTGTGCTGTGTCCTGCTCAGCATGCTGCTAAGCTCTCCCAGTTGAGAGCATCACAATGAGTGATGGAGGTCCACTGAGGGTGTAGGGCAACTTGATTAGATGTCTCTTTTGAATTAAATGTTTTTTCTCTTGGATTATCTACACTGATAAAATAAGCCATCAACTTCCTCTGTTTTGAGGAGCATACACCAATGGCTTCTGCCCACAAATTCTTATTCTTCAGTCCTATATGAGGCCATATAGGATACAGGAAAATGGTTATTCTCAATAAATTATAAAAAACAATAAAAACTGTGTGCATTTGGCCTGAGTGGAACAGGAATCTCCCTTATTCCCACCTGTCTTTCAGGGAGGGGGTCCCACTCATGGAATTGGTCAGATTCCAGGCAGGTGATCGACTGCACCCTGCAGGTCAGGACATGAGTGTGACCCTGTTTCCTCTCTCTCTCTCTCTAAATGGGTTCTCGCTCCCTCTCCTCTTTTACATCCACAGTAGAAGTAGTAAGAGGTGCTCTTTCCTGGACTTACAGGTGATGGTCAAGAGGTGATAAGATTGGCAGTCTGGTTTGGGGGTGGGGTAGTAGAAACCCCCTGGACTCCTACTTGAGGCCACTTGGCTTAGCTCATTTTATCAGAGTGCTTTGCTTTGGGGGCTGGAGCCCACATCACTAGGCAATCAAATCTCACATTTAGTTTTGCCTCATACTGTTTCCTGTGTGTATGTCTCCCTGTGGATTTTGTGTGTATGTCTTGTGTTTCTCGTGTGTATGTCTCCCTGTGGATCTCACTGGAAGGATGTCTCTGGCTTGGACTAAGATTCCGATGCGCCTGTACTCCTCAGCCATAATATCATCTTAGTGCCTTGGAAAAGCACCCCAAGCCCAGCCTCATTCCTTTATTCAAAACATGTGTATCGAGCACTTACCATGTGACAGGCGCTGGGAATACATTAGAGAAAGAAGGTGAAAACTGCTAGCCTCATTTTAGGGGACAGGGAAGACACTTGATGGCAAGATGAAAAGGTAAATTATATATTATGTTATAAGGTGAAAAACGCTAGTAGGTGTGATGAAAATAAAGCAGGGCAGGGGGACAGGGTCCAGTTTTAACTGGAGTACTCAGGAATGGCATGACCCGGAAGATGACATTTAAGCAAAGATTCAAAAGAGGTGAACCCAGGCCAAGTGAGTTGTGGCTAAGAATCCCTGAGGACAGAAGGCAGGTTCTATGCAAATGCTGGGGGCAGGACAGGGCCGGATGTCTGGGCCAGGAAGAGAATGGAGGGCCAGGCCAGGAAGGGCCTGCAGGTTTTTTCAGGACTGTGGCCTTGACTCCTGGTGAGGTGGGACCCACGGAAGGTGAACACAGTCTGAGGTCTGTTTGCAAAGGTGCCCCCTGGCTTGCAGAGTTGAGGAAACAATCTGGGGAGCAAGGTGAAAAGCGGAACAGTTCAGAGACCAGCAATTCCTGAGAGTCTACGTGAGGTCATGAGGCATGGTTGATTCTAAATTAATTTTGAAAGTAAAGGCAACATGGTTTTTTGAAGCATTAGGTGTGGAGTATGAGAGAAAAAGAGTTTTCAGCCTGTGCAATGGAAAATAGGACTCATCCTTGAACTGAGATGGAAAAAATTGTGAAGGCTCAGGTTTGGAGGGCAATTCCCTTACACTTCATCCTAAATAACATAATTGTTATTTACAGGGGTACTGTTTTGGAATTGGAATTGGGCTCTGCCTGTTAGTAATGGTATAAACATGGTTAAATCATTTAACCTCTTGAGGCTCCATTTCCTCACCTCTCACCGGTACAATGGGAATAATACCTTACAGGTTTGTTATGCAGACTGGCCGTAACTTGGTAAAGTGCCTTGCGTGGTGCCTAACACATAGGGGATGTTCGATTAATGCTAGCTGAATGAATGCTTGAATAAAAGAATGAGTGAATGAGTGAAATGCCTGTGGACATGATAATTAAGTAAGGAAAGGCCAGAATGTGAAAATTAAGCAGGAAAGGCCAGAATTATGTACACTGTGTGTTCATTCATTCCTTTTTCTACTGTGCATTTAAACACATAGGAAATTTGTAGGCAGCTGTGATTCCTAGTTTAGCCAACATTCTGCAAAAAGGTGCACTGCTTTGGTGGTAGATTTTAAACCTGTAAGAAAATGGGAAAGCAGTTGGTGACTTTCTTGTCCTACCTTTTTTGGTGATGAGCCAGGAAGACAAGGCAGCAATTGTTTTTTATTTCTTAACCAATGATCCAGACAGAGAAAGCAGGCTGTTGGATTAAAGTGTTTTACTCTTCTTCTCATTGGCATCCTGGGCAGTCTACAGCTGGTCCAGTTTGTTACCAAATAATGAGATGGATTAAATTATCTACCGGAACATAATGGGTTACTTGCTTAAGGGATAGAGCCCTGTTTTTAGCTTTTTCTTCTATCCCACATAGCGGCAAACCTGAGCAGGTAGAGTAGGTGCTTAACAAATACGTGCATGGAATTTGGTTCATTTAGCAACCACGTGTCAGGGAACAATGCCAAGCTTTGGAGTTATAACTCAGAATGTCACCCTCCAGGTGGTGGACGTGCTAATATTCTTACTGATTGTAAACAGGTAATGGGCACCTGTTACGTGTCAGATCCTATAGGAGACCTGACTATGATGTAATCCCAAACCTTCACAGTAATCCAATGAAGTATTATTATCCCTATTTTTAGGATGAAGACACAGAGGCTATGAGAATTAGACGATTTGCCCACAGTCCCACCATTACTATGAATCGAAGTCAGTATATTAACTTATGTCAGCCTGACAATTTTCATTACATCATGAAAAGAAAAGCCTCACTCCCGCTTGAATAAATATTTCCTCACCAGCCTGATGAGTACAGTGGGACCAGACTCAAATTCCGTGGTTCTCATCTAGCAAGTCTGGGTTTAATTCAGTTCAATTGGCTTTCTTATTTAAGCAAATAGAGGGCACCAAGAGCTGTTCCATGCACCGTGCAGAGACGAGGAAGAGACCCATCTATGGCTGACGTCGTGCCTGGGTGAGTGGGAACCCCAGTGTCATCCTGAGTCCTGCAGGGGCTTTGCCAGCTCCGAGAGGATACACAACAGACAAAGGTGCAATGGTTTATCAAGCTCCCTATTCCCATTTCCACCAAAAATATTGAGATGTTTTGATATTTTGAGTGAGAGGGAAATGGATAGAAAAATGAAGAGACAGAGGGAAGGAAAGAAGAAAAGAACAGTAAAAGGAAGGAAGGAAGAAGAGAAGGAAGAAGGAAGGAAGGAAGAAGAGAAGGAAGAAGGAAGGAAGGAAGAGAAGGAAGAAGGAAGGAAGAAGGGAAGGAAGGGAGAAGGGAAGGAAAGAAGAAAGGAAGAAGGAAGGAAGAAGGAAGGAAGGGAAGGAAAGAAGGAAAGAAGGGAAGGGAAGGAAAGAAGGAAGTAAGGGAGAGAGGGAGGGAGCAAGGAAGGAAGGAGGGAAGGAAATAAAGAACAAAGGAAAGAAGGAAAGAAGAAGGTAAGGAAAGAAGGAACAAAGGAAAGGGAAAAAGGAAGGAAGGAAAGAAAGAACAAAGGAAAGAAAGAAGGAATAAGGGAAGGATAGAAGGAACAAAGGAAAGAAGGAAGGAAGGAAGGAAGGTAGGCAGGCCTACTGAAGGAAGGAATACTAAATGCCAACTGTGTGAGAGACTCTGTGCTTGGTGACTTATATGAAGGAAGGATTACTAAATGCCAACTGTGTGAGAGATTCTGTGCTTGGTGACTTATATGAAGGAAGGATTACTAAATGCCAACTGTGTGAGAGATTCTGTGCTTGGTGACTTATATGAAGGAAGGAAGGAAGGAAGGAAGGAAGGAAGGAAGGAAAAATGTGAGTTACTTCTATCAGAGAATTTCTGTTCAATTTAAAACAAAGCCTTAGGTACAAAGAACAAAACCACCACGGTGAAAACTCAGAGATCAATTAGCAGAAGAAGACCGTATTCAGGGATTTGAGACACATTCCAGAGATAACTAAAATTGTATTATGAGGACTCTGCCTATTTTAAAAATTTCTTCGCAGCCATGTACCATAGAGGGGGAAAAAGAGGGATGAGATGCAGGATGGGAAAGCACTTTGTATTGGAAAAATAATGGTGTTGATACCCTTCAACAGATCTTCAAGCAGTTTGTTTCTTTGCTTAATTAATTGTAGATTGCAGAGAACTCATTCTGTGACAAGACTCTGTTCAATTGACATGACTACCTAATGAAATATAATTTTATACTATTTCAGAAATATCATCTACTAGATGTTGATTATATAGACATTAAAACAAGCGTGGGTTATTTGGCCATATTTTTCTTTCCTTGAAATTTTATCCTCATAGGTCTTCAATCAATTGTTTTGTTCTGTGTTTCTTCCTGTTAACACAAACCTCCTTTTCAAAGTTAAATTATGCTGTGGAAGAAGAATGCAGCTTTCAAATATTATAACAAAACATATATGAGATAAATAAATATCTATATATTTAGCATAAAAATAATTCCCAATTATTTTGGGGATGGTAAATGAAATCACCATCATTGTTTTTTGTCAATGATTCATAATGGAATCAGAATAAAGGAAAATATTCAGAGGGTGTCTATTTCAATAGATTTAATAAAATAAGTTCATAGACCATTGGAGGTAGGAAGATCTTAGAAATAGCCTTATTCTATATTCCATCGTTTTGAAGATGAAGCAATTAAGCAAAGAGAGGCCTATGACAATGAGTCACAAGCTCTTAGGCCTCCAGTGAGGTAGGTGGAGGACTCATGACAAAGGGTTCTCCCTCTAGCCTGTCCCTTTCCTGAACATCTGAGTTAAATGGGCCACCCGCTGTTCTTCATTCAGAACATTTATCACCACTTCTCTTTTCCATATTGATGTGTGAGCTTATTTGTTTCATCTATGTCTTCCTCAGAGAGAAGCACAGGGAAGATTCCATGAAGCCACAGCCCTTTCCCTGTTGTGCCTCAGGCCAGGCACATGGTGCTCAATGATTGCTGAATAGATAAATGAATGAATGACTGAGACACATTCTGATCATAGTAGACGTAGAGATGATAACCTGAATTTTCTGAACACCAGTTATAGGAGGAAGAAAAATAACACCTTTTTTGGCTCACATAGATTTCACTTTTATTCAAATGGATGTGATTTTTTTTTTTACGTAATTGACTTTCTAGATCTGATATATAACAAACTATTAAGTAATTTCACATTCTCTTTCACACTTGGAGCTGCAAAAGCCCTGAAACTTGATGCTTCTCATGAGTACAGGAAAGTATGCCATGTATTTAAAGCTCTCCCCACCTCCACCGCCTTAAAAATTCTCCAGATAATAGCTACAGGCATTTTTTTTTTCTAAATGCTGAAACTGATTATTCATAACTAGTTTTCCTTTTCTTTTGTGTTTTAAACTACCACAGCTCAGAACAAATCAGCCCAGTATGAATTTGTTGGATATGAAATGTAGGCAGATGGCTTAAGTCACTTATATTAAAATGTATTTTTTGAACCTATTAATGGAAATACTTGCCACAAATTCAGGGCTACAACAGTGATGAGTCATTTGTTCGTCTGTTCAGCTAACATTTACTGAGAACCTCTGGGCTCTGGCCTCCAGGAAAGCACAGCCCAGTAAAGGGGATGGGTGAGCCAGCAGCAGGCGGCCATGCCATGAGGAAGCCCAAAGCTCTGGCAGCCCAGTGGAGGGGCACTGCGTCCAGGAAGGGCATGGCAACAAGATGAGTTGTGAAGGAACAAGTACAAGTGTGAGGGAGCCACAGGAGGAAGGAGGGGAGTGTGGTGTCAGTAGGGGGACAGGAAAATGATCCTTTAGGAGGGAGAACAAGGGCAGAAAAATGTGGCTCTCCCAGACCCTGGAGTACAAGCATGAAGCAGACAAGCTATAAATGCGGCTATATTAGTCTGTTTTCATGCTGCTGATAAAGACATACCCGAGACTGGGTACTTTATAAAGAAAAAGAGGTTTAATGGACTCACAGTTCCACGTGACTGGGGAGGCCTCACAATCACAGTGGAAGGCAAAGGAAGAACAAAGTCACATCTTACATGGCAGCAGTCAAAGAGAGAATGAGAGCCAAGAGAAAGGGGAAACCCCTTATAAGATCATCAGATCTCATGAGACTTATTCACTACCACAACAACAGTATGGGGGAAACTGCCCCCATGATTTAATGATCTCCCACCAGGTCCCACCCACAACAAGTGGGAATTGTGGGAGCTACAATTCAAGATGAGATTTGGGTGGGGACACAACCAAACCATATCAGTGGCTCACAGTCCAGGGGCTAAGAGACAAGTCAACAGACAATTACATTATAATAAGATGAATGCTTTGTCTGGGGAACTTCAGGGAATTAGCCCATACCTAGGATAGGGTCTCCGTGGAGTGAAGAGGAGAGATCATGGTCATACATAGACCCTGCTCAAATAAGCGGTTACGTGAGCTCAGGAAGTCTTATGATGGGCCTGGGAAGACAGGCTATGAATACATATAGGGGTAATTCTGAGAAGGAAAAGTTTCACCATTTAGTGCAATGCCTCATCGACTGAGAAGCTGAATAACCTTTGGCCTCAATTTCTTTATCTGTGAAACAGGAATGATAATATCCTTTGATAGACGCTACACAAAAATCTAATTTCAAGTACTGCCCCAGCCCCCAGCCCAACCTCAACATTCCCAATGTTTTGGCCTCTTGACATCTTCTCAGCTTCCTTCTCAGAAATCTGTCTTAATTCTTGTTTCAGAAAACGTGGCTTCTTCAGGAAAAGTACTGTTTTAGCTCAGAGATTATTCAGACATTACTTCCAGCTGTGAGGAATCAGTGCAATGCACTCATGCTGGAATCACTGGAATTGTCTCTCTTCCTCTCCCTTGCCTCTCATGCAATGTCATCAGGACTCGACAATTTACCAAGTCCCCAGATCTGTACAATGCACAAAGGGAGATAAAGGAAAAAAGAATAAAAGAGGAGGGAAAAAGGGAAAGGACAGGAGGGAAGGGAGGGAGGGAGGCAGGTGCAATTTCAGCCCCTTGAAAAGGTAAATCTTTCATAAGTTAACAAAAAGACATCAGGACTAAGTGTGGCTAAGGTCCTGGCTTTTTCAGATCACTTCAGATCTCTGTGGCCTGGAGCAATCCAGTACTTTCCTGAAAGAAGTGAATACTAATCAAGAATAAGACTGAGCACAATAGGTGTAGGAGACTGGTCACATAGGAGAATGTCCTCTCCTGAAGGAAGTCCACGCGTGGGCCAGGGACACAGGAGACAGGCTGGGACACCCTGGGCAACAAACTCCTCAGGGATGCATGGGCAGCCCCATCACTGAGCAAGTTAGCACAGCCTCAGTTCTCAGAAAAGAACAGAATGGGGAAAAATAGAATCCTCTTTACTGAGATATTGTGAAGAGTAAAGAGAACATTCATGAAAAAGGCTTGGGTTAGAAGAAGTGCTCCACCCACTGGTTAGCTACTGTGATGATTCTGGATTTGACTGGTGAAGCGGGCAGGACCGAGGGTTTGGAGTTAGATCCGCTTGGTTCTGAAGCCCCCAGACTTACTGGTTATGTGTGTGATCTCAGGAGGCAATCGTTAATTTTGGAGGATGCTTAGCATAGAAGAGCAGATGGACAGATAGAGAGCACCCCGTGATTTGTTAAATGCCTACTGTGTGAGATACTCTGTGCTTGGTGACTTATGTGAGTTATTTTATTTAAAATCTTCTGCATTGATGATGTTCTCTCTGTTATTGCTATCCCCCATTTTTATATAATGAACATTGTAGTTTTCATTTTGTAGATGAGGAAACTGAGCCTCAGAGTGCTGACATGACTGGCTGGGGACACACAGCCGGACAGCTGCAGAGCTGTTGGATCCGCAGTTGTCTATCCCGGAGACCCAGCTTTGCTCTGCCGCATCTCAGATTTGACCCTCGGCCTCTGCTGGCCATCATGGTCAATTCCTTCACATCTTAATGGTTCCCTCGTCAGAGGGCCTTTCCCTCAGCACTCCACCTAATTTTGAGATGTTCCCTGAATCATCTTTATCATTGCACTTGGTCTTTCCCTTTCAGAGAACTTACAACAATCAGCAACTACATTCCTTTGTTACCATAATAAAAATATGAAACTAGTGTTTATTAAAGATGGATATCATCCTAATATTATTCTAAGCACTTTTCTTGTATTATCCCCTTATATTTCACATCAGTCTTATGAGGCCAGCTCTTAGCAACTGACATGTTAGTTTATTTCATTCCATAACAATGCTGTGAAGATGACACTGATATTTTAATTTCTTAGATAATGGACCTGGGACACAAGAGGCTAAGTAACTCCCTCAAGGCCATAAAGCTAGTAAGCAGTATGCATGCCCCTCCACTAGACTCTATGCTTTTTGAGGGCAGGGAACTTGTTCCACAGCCTGAAATAGTAGCAGGCACATCATAGACAGTCAGTAAACACTGGAGTCAATATAGAGATGAGTACCAAGGGAAAAGAACACAAAGGAGTTATGATGCTAGCGATGAGATTTTTTCTGTGCTCAGAAACAGTTGCTGTATCTCTGACTACACTGATTTATTATGCTGATTTACTGAGCTTTGTAAGTGCCCAGGTGCTGGCTTAGGTGCTGCAATCTGGGGAGCAGTGTGGGTGTGTGTACTTGTGTGCATGTGCACATGTGCTCATGTATGTGCATCTGTGTATAAGTGCATGCGTGCATGCATGTGCATGTGTGATGGGAAGATAGGTTAAGGTTGTGGAATATCTGTTGACTCTTAGTTCACCGTTATGAAGTTCTGGCAAAGGGACCAGAACTTGAAACTATATAAGCCTATGCCACCCCCAGGGAGAGAGACCAGCCACAGAAGGAACTGTTTTCTTGGTGCAAAGAAAAGAATTATGAGTAGAAGGAAATGATGGAAATGGGTTAATAGCCAGAGTCAGAGGAATATTAAATTTTAATGCTATGAGCAGAAGGGAGCCATTCCAGGCTATAGAGCATCCATTCAAATCATTTACGATATATTCCCCAAAGCCCAAAGTTCTATGTGGCTGGAGTAATATTAGAGGAAATTGTCAAACTAGGCATGGCCAAATCGCACAGGGCCTTCCTGGCTCAATAAAGAGTTTGGTCTTCATCTAAACCAACAGCACTGGAGACCCCTGAAGGGTTTTAAGTAAGGATGAAATAACCAGACTTGCATTTTTAAAGATCAGTCTTGGTACAGTGTAGATAACGGACAAAAGGGAGGCCAGAGGCCATGAGACCAGTGAGAGGACTGTGGAGAAGAGAGAGTAGGAAGAGAGAAGTGCAGTGAATCCAGAAATATTCAGAAGGAAAAGCAACAGGAAATGCTGACAGTCGCCGTGGGGGTGAAGGGGAGGGGGTGGTATTCAGGTTTCTTGAATAATGGAGAGGCCATTCATTGAGACAGAGAAAACTGAAAGAGAATAAGAGTTGGAGACTAGGAGAAGAAGAATAAAATAAAAGCTATTTGTAAGAGGATGGGCAACTATTTTATGAAAGGTAGAGATACAAAGGCAAAAACAAGACCACAGTAATCCTTTAATCAGGGATTTTGTTTGTTCTAAGGGGTCTTAGGCTAAATGGAGGGGCCTGTTATGAGAGCAAACTTGACATCTTGGAGAAACTATTAAATGACTGACCACGACAGCTCTCCCCACACAGCCTCAGGTTCTCGGCTAATTTTAAAGGCCTGTCTAGAAGCAAATTTTCCAGCACTAGGTGTATCTCTGTGGCCTTTGCTTGAAGTAAATTGTTCTCATGTCATTAAAACTTAAAGCTTCTTCAACAGAAGTGGCATTATGTATTTGGAACATAATGTTTTATTCCTCCCTATGTTTTAGAAAATCTAGAAAATAAATCAGTGCAAGAGCAATTCCTGGAGATGATTTTCTTTATCTACTTTATATATACAGTCTGTTTGATTTGATGAGAAGCTTAATTTTATTCAAGGGGACATGAGCTTACTATGATGATTATCATTTACTGAGCCCATACAGTGTGCAGGCAAGGTATGTATGAAATATTACTTAATCAATCCCAATATTTTTGTAAAATCAATATTTACCATTGAGGAAACTGAGGCTTAGAAACATTGTCACTTGCTAAAGGTTATCCATGACCTGGCACTGAAAAGCTGAGCTCCAAAGTCTGCATTTCCTGCTATGCCTCCGAGGAAGTGGCCCTTTTGTTCAAAGTAGAACAGTAGAGACTTCTTTCTGATTAGCACAGGAAGGAAACATTGCCACACATTGCTTGGTCAGGAAAACAAATAAACCCCGATGTACATTTGGCTTCAAACTTGTTGATGCTTGACTAACTGATGCCTTCTGTGAAATTCAGTCTCCAAAATTAGATTTTATTTTAGACTTTCTCCATATTCATAGACGTTCAAAGATGAAAGGTAGAAGGAAACCACTCCCATTGACTAAGTAACTGCTATATGCCTGTAGGAATATTTGACATAGGAATTATCCCCATTTTATAGTGAGAAAATGGAGGCTCAAAGAAAGGTGAAATAACTTGACCAAGTCATACAAACAAGCCAGTAAAGGCCGGGCGTGGTGGCTCACACCTGTAATCCCAGCACTTTGGGAGGCTGAGGCGGGCGGATCACGAGGTCAGGAGACCAAGACCATCCTGGCTAACACGGTGAAACCCCATCTCTACTAAAAATACAAAAAATTAGCCAGGGGTGGTGGCGGGCGCCTATAGTCCCAGCTATTCGGGAGGCTGAGGCAGGAGAATGGCGTGAGCCCGGGAGGCGGAGCTTGCAGTGAGCCGAGATTGCACCACTGCACTCCAGACTGGGCGACAGAACGAGACTCTGTCTCAAAACAAACAAACAAACAAACAAACAAACAAAAACAGGCCAGTAAAGACGGAGCAAGAATTTCATTCCAGTTGGCTAATTCTATTATCCCTTGATCAAGAAATATTGCCAAGGCTTTGTTTTGTCTATGAGAGTTTTAAAAAATCAAATTATTCTCAGGCTATAGAATGTTAACAGTGGATTTGAGTGACTTGTATCAATGTATGGCCTCTTGATTTTGCTGACTTAAGCATTTTCTATCTTTATCCTGGACAGTCAAGCACAATTTTTGTTTGATCTCAGCACCCAAGAGAGGCCAGTACTCAGACCAGTACTGAACAGTAGGGAAATCAACTGGGCAAAATTTGTTTACTAAACTGAGAATTTTCTATGCATTTAAGAAATCTTTATAAAGCATTTACTATATGTCTTGCCCTGTTCTGAGCACTTTCAAATATACTAATTTCATCTCCAGTGAGGATGAGGTAGGTGCCGTTGTAATCCTCTTTGTACAGGTGAGGAAACTGAGGCACAGAGATGTTAAGTAACTAGCTCAAAATCACACTGCTAGAGTGAAGCTGGCTCTTTAGTTAGGATCTTAACTGCTATGCTAGGCAGCCCTATACTTGGAAGAAACCCAGTTATTTCTTGGGCAGAGGCGTCGGGGATGCAGCTCTTGTGCTTTCCTTTGCCTGAGGACTGTGAGCCATCATCCATGGGCCCTACTGTATCCTTTATTCCTTCTCCAATGCCCCAAACACTTGCTTGTCTTGGATCTAACAGGGCAAAGGAAGTTCTCTCAGAGCTCAACAGGGTGCTGTCCATGTGCCCAGTTCTGATCAGGCCTCACGTTTCCCTTGAAGGAAAGAAGGGAGTTCAACAGGTATTGAGCACACACTGCGTGCAGCTCGGTGCTTTACATATAATTGGGGACATTGAGTGTTGGCAAGTGCCACACACTGTCCCAATTACTTTTCATGTCATTGAACATTTTTTCTCACAATCACATTACATGGTGGGGACAATTTCTCTCTGTTTTGTGGATAAGGAAACTGAGATACTAAAAGATTAAGTAATTAGCCCAAGGACACAGAGCCTAAAAATGGCAGAGATGGGATTTGAACCCACAAATGCTACCTTGAGAACCTGAACTCCTAGCCATTGTGTCTACAGCTTCCACAGGGTACCAGAGGCATAGAAAACACACCACTTTAATATTCACAACTACCTAGTGAGGTGACCACTTTTCCTCCCGTGATACTGATTAGAGAGCTTGGTTCAGAGTGGCCTGTTAACTTGTCCTAGCTCACATGATGAGTTAATGAGAGAGGCATGGAGTGAAATTCTGGGAGAGCCCAGAAACTGTGCTCTGTCTGTGGCACCAGGATGCCTCTCTGTCTCTGGCTTCTCAACCAGAAGCCACGTGTGTGCATAACCTGAATGAGGATACCAAACACTGCAGGGAGAAAACATAATTAACCAGAGTAGAAATCCAGTAAGCCAGTGCCAGATGTTTCAGGTAAAATTATTTACTACAGCACATTGCAAAAGGGTTTGGTCTTCTTTGCCTCCTCTAGATCTACTCTCAACCTTTTTCAACCACAGTCTCTACCCTCAGAGGCTTGCCTTTATGGAATACATCAGTTGGGCTCCCCTGATCCCTGACTTCGGTTCCAACTCAGCCAGTGGGAGGCATTCACAGGAGATCAGAGGGTGGAAGAGTAAGGTCAGGGTGTTTAGTGCCTTGGCTCCTTCCTGGACCTGCCCCTGTTCAGCAGGGCTGGTGTCTTCTATATTCAGCCACAGCTCCTGCTGGAGGCCTGCTCCCACCTCCACAGCTCTCTCAGGTTCTGACATCTGCTCTTTCCTGGCCTCTTTAGGCACAGGATGAGAAGGTCTCCCACTGGTGGCCTAGACGGCCAAACTCTTCCCTTTGTATCTCTTTGCCTTACCCACACCTTATAAATAGCTGTTTATGAAACTCTCTTTAATGACTCCTTTTGAGTACACCATTTGTTTCCTGCCAAGATTCTGACCAATATATGAAATAATAGGATACAGGAAAGAAAACACAAGATTCACTGTAGCATGATAAGAAAAAACTCAGAGGTCAGGCGCGGTGTCTCACACCTGTAACCCCAGCACTTTGGGAGGCCGAGGCAGGCAGATCATGAGGTCAAGAGGTTGAGACCATCTGGCCAACATGGTGAAATCCTATCTCTACTAAAAATACAAAAATTAGCTGGGTATGGTGGCCTGCGCCTGTACTCCCAGAACTGGGGAGGCTGGGGCAGGAAAATCACTTGAACCCAGGAGGTGGAGGTTGCAGTGAGCTGAGATCCCGCCACTGCACTCCAGCCTGGTGACTGAGCAAGACTTCATCTCAAATAAAAGAAAAATAAAAGAAAAAGTTCAGAATAGTTTTGTTGGAAACTATGTGCTGGGGGAAAGTGAGCATTTTGTGTGCATTAGTTCATCTCAGCTTCACAATTGGCCTGTGAAATGGTCATAATATTGATCCCACTGTGAGGCTTAGGTTTTCAGTAACTCTCCAAGAGGAAACAAGACCATATCTAGGTGATGCTGAGGTTCACAGTGCATCTGTTCCTGCTCAACAATGAGCAGAGGCATAGTGGGGAGACAAGAGCACAGGGAGTCAGCATCTCAAGAAAGACCTCCAAGCTACAGCTGAGCCCATGGAAACATCTTTGGTGCCTGTAAGAAAGAAAGGGCCACAACAGGGGGCGCACACCTGCCTTCCATCTAGTCTCCCTCCTGGTTGCTTACAGCTAGTCCCCATCCAGCACTAACTTGAGCCACAGCTTCTCCCTCAGCCCCACAAAGGAGGGACCTCCTGCTCACGCCACACCTTGTTCTGCCTGGAAGACTCTACTCCTTCCTAGTACCCAGAGTCCACTCAGAAAGGCAGTCCCATCCTCCTGCCCTCCCTTTCCTGTATGTTCTGATTCCCTGGGTCATACCTGGCTGAATTGTAAGATGCAATACAGGAAAGGGAGTTTTGTTTTCTTGAACCAGCAAAAAATGTACAACCCTATTGTTTTATTTCTTTAAAGACTGTGAGTGCCTCCTCCAGATCATCTGAGAATTTGATGGTAGTTGTACAGTAATAGAGCCAGGAGTTGAAGTGGTCGTGATAATTGCAGATGCCACCTCGGATAGAGGCTGTCAGTTGCTTCCTAAACATCAATTGTCCTCTATTCCTTACTGAGGAACTCTACTTTTGTTGGAGGATGCGATGTGCCCAGGGAAAACACTATAGTTACCAGTTCTGACCCTTGCAAATAAGGGTATCCATGTGTGATACAGTTTGGTTAATGATACTTAAGAAAAAGCCATTTGATGAGGCTTCCAACAAGGCGTCCTATCAGCTGCACAGACTCAACAGGTGCTGCGAATTTTCCCTTTAGCTCTTTCCCTTTTCCTTACTCCTGCCTGGAATCAGGTCATGATGCCCATGGTGGAATGAAGACAGCCCATTTTGGCCCTCTAAGTTCGATGAAGCAGAAAGATGGCAGGGGCGTGGCACACCAACAACATCTTGTAGCTGCTGCCCCTGGCTTGGGCAGCCTACTCTGGGACTTCATGGGGAGGAGGGTAAGACAAGGGTGAGCCTATTTGGTTAAGCACTTACAGGTGTGTTTTCTAATCCACGTCCCAGAATAATCTGTACGGCCCAGTACCACAGCCACCAGCCACATGTGGCTAATGAGCATTTGAATTGGGGCTCTCATTAGTGAATAACTGGTTTTAATGTTATTTTAACTAATTAAAGTTAAATTTTAAAATGGAAGCAGTGTAAGATTTTTTTTTCATTAAACACAATTTTATAGTTTGGATAGAACCGCATTTTACCTTAGGTGTTGAAAATTTTACATTGGATTGACATGTACTGTAGGTGCAAACTACACATCAGATTTCAAAGACTTAGTCAAAATAAATAAGAATGTAAAATATCATTAATATTTTAAAATTATTGATTATATATTGAAACAGTATTCTGGATACATTGGATTAAATAATCCTATTGAAACTAACTTCATCTGTTTCTTTTCACATTGTCAACTGGCTTCTAGAAAATTTAAAATTAAACATGTGGCTCACATTAATTTTGGACAGTGCTGCTCTACTGATGCTGCACCCATTCTATGCCCCTGGCGTGTCAGGTTCTGTGATAAACACTTTAAATACATGCCACTCATGGAGGTCCTAAAGTAACTGTTTGCAGGGGAGGGGGTAATACTGCCTTCATTTTGCAAGTGCAGAAAGAGAGGCACAAAGAGGCTGCCTTGCCCCAAAGCTCCCAGATTATTAGGGGCAGGCGCACAGTGGTATCAGACTCCTTAACTTGTGGCCTCAACCGCCATATGCTCAAGGGTAACTTACTCTTGAACTGTGCACAGATCATGATAGTCTGTATATCTAAGTTGCTAATGCTTGCAGACCAACAGGTATGGCTACGAAGACTGAGAGAGAATTTGCTCTCAGGATAAGATTTGCCAGAGGAAGCTGGAGCGTTGCACATGCCAGCTGTCATTAGAGGTGTGATAAAGTTGATCGAGGTTGCCCAGGTATAACCAGTAACCGCAATCTCTCCATTAACAACAAGCAATGGATTTTGAGGCATTGTGTCTCCTCTTGGTATAAATCCAGACATGGTGGTGATG
The DNA here is from genome assembly GCF_000001405.40 of Homo sapiens. Classification (NCBI taxonomy): domain Eukaryota; kingdom Metazoa; phylum Chordata; class Mammalia; order Primates; family Hominidae; genus Homo; species Homo sapiens. The sequence goes on from NC_000008.11 coordinate 135,451,206, forward strand.
AGGGCTGATATTAGTGGGAAGGCTAGTGCTACGCTAGAGAAACGCCAAAGAATGAAATTCACAGAGACGTTCAGTGAGTTTGCAGTTGAGTCACCAACAAAAGTCGACTTTGATTTTGAGAAAAAATGTTTCTCTTGTAATTCAGTGATCTAACTTAAGTCCACAATCTCAGCTTTATGTCCATTCTTTTTCCACAGCCATTTTTGTTAAGTTTGTTTCTTCCTTTCTTAACTAAAGAAAAACACAAGCCCAAGCTGGCATTTTTCTATGAAACCCGGATGTGTTCACATTTGCAGTGGGCACTAAACACTTTATCACCCCCTTGGTAGCTGTTCGGACACTAAGGGTAACTTGACACTGACAGAAATATTTTGTTTCTGATTATTTTGCCAAACTCAGATATGTGCAGTTTTGCTGTAAAACATTCTACTAATGTGTACAGAATTGTTTCATGTGTATCTCTATGCATCCTGACAAGAAATAGTGGACTAGGAGATGGACACGGATATTTTTACTACTGTGGCAATAATGTTTTACATTTCGACAGTGCTTTCCAAATCACAGCATCTTCCAAAGCACCAGAGGTGGTGATAACTTGATGCACTGTTGAAATACACCAAGTACTTTGGCACTCCAGCATCACATATAACCTTTTACACCAGGAAGCAAAGGATGGAGGGTTTTTGCTGCATTGAGCAAAATAACAAAACACATTTCTGTGATGGTTATGTCCAAGAGCTTAGAGCACTTTTCAGGGTTTTCTCTGCAAATCTTTATTGTTCTCATCAGAACTCAACAAACAACTGCTATTAGCTACCCTTTACAAGCTCAGAAATAGGGACAGAGAAAGCTTTGGATTCTGAAAATATTACCAAGTCAGGCAGTGACGGGGTCAGATACGGGCCCTGTCACCTCTCATCCTTGGCTCGTCTGTCCCCACCTGCCTGTGTACAGGATGGCCAGCTGACCCTGGACACACCAATTCGCATTATTTTCCATCATTACTTTTTGTGCTTATATTTGAAATAGAGAAAGACTTCACATTGAGAAACGTCCCTCCTTTAAGCTTGCCTTATTTTTTTCTCTCACTCCTCCTATTCTATATACCTTTCTTTAATCTTCCTTTGGTTCTCCTGCCTTCTTTTTCTCCATCACATTTTTCTTTCTCCTCCCCTTTTCTTTGTCTTTTTCCATTTTCACTGTCTTCCACATAAGATCATCTTTCACCATCCTCCTTCCTAGGATGGAGTTGCAATCCTATCTGGGGTTTCCTTCTCAAACTCAAGTGGTTATCAACCCCAACGCAAACTTTGTGGGGCATGTGCCTCCACATGTGGCCACTAGGGGGTGTGTGCACAATATCTGTGTGTGTGGTTATTTATTTATTTTATTTTTTTAAGCTGCAGAAAGACAGAGCCAGGATGGCTCGATTCTCTTGTCAAAGAAGAGAGCTGACGAGAGAAACTGAGGTTTCCATCCACCAAATACTGACAGGAGGGTATAGATTTGCAGGGCAGATGGATACAGAGACAGAAAGACAGGTGTCTTCAGGTATGTGAGTGACTGGGATTGAAGGTCTGATTGTATCCATCCTCACATTGGGTGGAGTGTGTGTTTGTGTGTGTGTGCGCACATGCGCGTGCGTGTGCATGTGTATGTGCATGCAAGCATGTGTCCAATTCTCCACTTACTATCTCTGAGTCACTTAAACCTTCTGAGCAACAGTTTCCTCATCTCTAAAAAGTGGTGGCTTGTGACTACCTGAATGAGGAAGTTTTTTGGAGCTTGTTTGAGTAAAATACAAGAGAGCCACTCATAGACCAAATAGTCCTTGGTGAAGGCACTCCAGATCTACACTGGGCTTTGAACTGTGTGAAGCCTCCCAACTTTGAAGAGTTGCTTTGTGTCCTCCCCCACTTGTGTCAAGGCTTTTCAGCCACAGTTACAAGTTTTGAAAAAGTATTTCCTGCTGTAACTGACTGGAGTCAGGGATCAGAGTGAACACTCTTGTCTTCCTCCCTGACACATAAATGACTGATTTCTAGGTAAGGATGTGCCATCTTTTGGTGCCTGCCTTACATGACAAATGAATTGGCCTCAGATGGCTGGGTAGCATTGCTGTTCCGGGACTGCATTTTGGGAGACACGGATCCAGAATGAATGCTGAGTGCTTGCTGTGAACTGACCTCTGGACCAGGCACTGGGGCTGGGCAGCTGAGCAGGCTCTGAGGACAGTGTGAAGGCAAAGGGGTCCACAGATGACGAGGACCAGATGTGTTAAGTGTGAACAGGAGCACAAACAATGCTGGTGGAGAGGACAGAGAGTGGAAAAGCTTTAAAATGCACATGGTGCCTATGTGAGCTTAATGCTTCAATTTCAACCTCAAAATGATCCTGTGAGGAGGATAGTAAGCAAGGCAGCTGGGGCCAAGCCGAGGTCTCTCTGGCCTTTGGTACAGTCGGATTAGGATTTCACAGTATGGCACTGCAGAGTTTTGGAGTAACTGGGATAGGATCCACCTTTCTTAAACAAAATGAAGAGGAAGCTTGTGGTGTGAACAGCAGTGAGAAGCTTGTAGTGTGAGCAGCAAATATGAAAACTTCCTCATAGACACACTCCCTACATTTTGTGTCTCCTCTGATGACACTGAGTTTGCTGCAGCTGTGTCTGACTTATTGCAGTTAGTGTCATAAAGGCCAAGGACTTGTCTTTCTCTCTCCAGGAGTCAGTAGGTGGGTGAAGAGGAGGCAGGTGTGGATTCTGGCAGACAGCGCTATGGCAGTGGGCTGGGGCCACAGGGACTTGCTGTGTTCTCAGAGATGGCCCAGTGTCACTGAGTGGGGTGGGTTTGGGAAGTACCCTTTTGTCTCTGGGGCTGAGAAGCTAGTCCCAGACCTGGATGTGAGAAGAAAGAGCAGCCACAGTTCCTTATTGCAGTGCGGGGCTTCCCGTCCAGACCTGAGCGCCTGGTCAGTCTAACCACAAACTCTGCAGATGGAGTAAGCAGCCCCAGTGCCCTGGCCTTAAGGGCCTTTGGAGAAGTCTGTTCTGTCCATGGCTATGTCCCCTGTACCCAGAGCAGTCTCTGCACATAGTATGTGCTCAGTGAGTACTGGTGTATTCTAGAGAGACCTCTTTTGGCCTGGAAGCCAAAAGACCTGAGTGTGAATACTACCTGCAGCTGCTTGTAGGAAAATCACCGGCTTTCCCAAGACCTGATTTCTCCTTTTCAAAAGAATCAGAGGGTTAGCGCCTGCAGGAAGGTGATCTCATGAAGATGAGCGGAGTGTGCAGCACAGCATGGAGGTGCCCCACAGCCAACGGCTCAGCCAGGTTGGTGGGTGGGGACAATTTCCTGAGCATCTCACAGAGACATTCATCTCCCTCCTCCCCGGAGGACCCTGCATGAGCACTCACAGCGTTTGGCACCTGCCTTCTTGGAAGGTTCTCGGAGAAGGAGGGTCTGGAGCAGAAGATTCAGTGCCCTTGCTGTCAGTTTCCCAGTGCATAGCCCTCCTCCACAGCTGCTGGTGGACTGACTGCCAACTCAGATCAGGGAGGGATGAAGAGCCAGTCAGGAGTGTTCCAGATTGCTACCTGGGAAGGCAGAACCAGGAAGGGAGAGAAAGAAGGGTCAGAGAGTCAGGTGGGCCTGGGATCCCCGCCGACAGCTGTGGAGCCTTAAGCAAGGTGGTATTAAACTGTCCCGGGCCTCAGTTTCCTTCTTTGTAAGTGGTGATCAATAGAATTTTCCTTACAGGGTGTTGCGAGAACCATAGTGAATCCTAAGTCATAAACATAGGGCTGGCACTTAATAAAAATAGTGATTACTCAAGGTCTGGACTGTCACCGGGGCAGATGGTCTGAATGGAAGACACAGAGGGAGAAGAGCTGTTAGAAGAGAGAGAGTCTAAGTGTTCCAATGAAGCCGCTGGGCATCCAGGCCCCATTGTCCTCTTCTAGCCTCATCCCAAACATTCTCTGTCCCCCTTTCCCCCTTTACAAGCAGCTGTCAGGGAACCCTACCATAGAATGTAAGTTCTGTGACACAGGAATATAAGCCAGAGGTGTATGCTTCCCTTCAGTTGTAAAAGGAAAAGACATTGTCCTATGAGTCCCTCCTGTTGTCCAGCAGGACTACTGGCATACCCCTGGTTTTGGGGGTGTGGACTGGGAAGCTCAGGCTCTAAGTTAATTAACAAAGTGGCATAGTGAGGCAGGTAGCAGCCAGGATGCAGGCATCCAGACTCCTGCCCTTCTGGGTGAGGGTGGTTTGGGAAGTGCCCTTTTTGTTTCTGGGGCTGAGAGGCCAGTCATAGACCTGGGATTGAGAAGAGCAGCCACAAGCAGCCTACAAGCCTGACGCTGGGCCCAGGTCAGAAACAGAGGTGCGACAGTCACAGGTCCTTCACTCAGTTGGCCAGGCCGGGGCGAAGCACCACGACCAGCAGTGAGGAGTCCACAGATGGGTGTCTGCCCAGCATCCCTGGAGTTACAGCTGAAGGGAAGGCGAGGGAGGCTCAGAAGGCCCAGAGGACAGCCTTGCAGCCGGAAAAAACCCAAAGCAAAGATCAGCTCAGCATTTCCGATAGGCAGAGTGCTGTTTTGGGTATTTCATTATGAGTTAACATATTTATTCTCATGAACTTCTTATGAAATAAGTTTGGTTGTCATCTCCACTTGACGGATGAGGACCCTGAGGTGAAGAAACTTGCCCAAGGTCACAGCTAGTGAGCAGCAGATCCATGATTCCAAATCCAGGCTGTTTAACCCCAGAGGCTTTGCTTTTAACTGTGCCATTTTTCTGCTTCTTGCAAGTTGAGACTGAAGAGAGCCATGAAGAAGACTCTTACTGGGGACTCTGAAATGACACCTTAGCCGGGGGAGGAGTGGAGCCTTGAGAGTGAGGGCAGTTGAGTACTCGGGTCTGGGACTTAGAGCTTCCAAGATTTCTACCACCTCCCACTCCCCTCGGGTTTGTAAAGCTGCCTCCATTTGCATTGGGAGTGCGGGGGGGCTGCCTGGGGGACTGTGGCGATTGTCCTCAGGCTATTGGCTGAGAGTGGTATGCCACTGACTTATTCCTCCAAGAGACATTTCCAGTACCCTCCATCCCTGCCCCCTGTACTACACACTGGTGACCTTCCCCCTCAAAAACAAAACTCAAACTCTGTCCCTGATGCTCATGGTCTACTGAAAACAGAATTACAGCTGTCTGTGAATGACCTCTGACCAAGCTGGGGGGACACAGAGAAGGGACTTGTGACTTGCTTTGCCAGGGAGGTCCTGAGAGGCTGTCCAGGGAAGGTGACATTGAGGCCGGGACTTGAGCTGGCTGTTTGAAGGCAGGAAAAATGGCAGGGCAAGGACTGGAGTCCTTCGCCTTCCTGGGGGACGTTTATTCCACATGCCTCGGGAAATCTGAAATGGCCTTGGAGAGCATTTGCTGGGGGTTGGGGGTGGGCGGAAGGGGACAGAGAGCATTGCCACCGACAGGCGGGGCGTCCCAGGGCCTCTCCCCAGGAGCGGATGAGCTCAGACGCGGCTCACTCAGCTGTGTCCAGGCACAGCCGGTTTATGACCTAAGAGAATGACAACCCAGGAGCAAGTCGGGATGACAAAGACGCCCAGAAGGGCACGCGCTTTTATGTAACCGACCTCTGAGCTGGCGGATCTCAGGAGGTTGGCGCTCTGAGCTCAGGCGCGGAGAAAGGACGGCGCCCCTGCCTTACTCTCTTATAAGTACGAGGGGACAGCAACGCGACATAACTTAGAGAAGTCCAGGAAGCTTTAGAGAGCAGGGCGGTCCCGCTGCTATTCCTCAGAGCGCGACTGGGGCGAACTGGGGCGCCCTTCCCAGCTCCAGCTCGGCCCTTGTCCCCTCTTCCCAGGATCACTCGCTGGGTGACCTTGGGCGAGCCACTTGACTTCTCTGAGCCCCAGTTTCCCAGTCCGTGCATCTGAAAGGCTGTAATAGCGTCGTGGGGCTCCCCACTCGGCCCTCAGGGCCAAAGGTGGGCGCCGGACACGCGGGAGGGGCCCTTGGACGCACCCCCTCTCGCAAACGCCCGGTTAGTCCCGGCGGACTCGCAGTGGAGAGCGGCCCCAGGAGGCGGCGGGCGGCGGGGCGGTGGGCGCCAGTGCGCAGGCGCGGCGCGGCAGGGCGGGGCGGCGGGCGCGGGGCGGGGCGGGGCGGAGCCGGGCGGGGCGGGGCCGGCGGCAGGCGCTGGGCGCTCGGCGCGGTGGCTCAGAGTGCGCGGGGCGGCGCGCGGCGTGCAGGTCGCAGCTGTGGCTCGGGTGCTGGCAGGTGCTGGCGGGACTGGCGGGGATCGCCGTGGACTGCCTCAGGGGCGCCGCAGCCCGCTCGGCCCGAGGGCCCGCCTAACCGCGCCGCCCGCGCCCGCTCCTCCTCGGCCCGCGCCCGGAGCGCGGGGGCCGCCGGCGCTGGGTACTCGGCGGCCACCGGGGATCGGGGCTGAGCGGTCGGTTCCCGCCCCCGTGCCGCCGCCGCCGCCTTCCGGCCGACCGCCCGGCTTGGCCGCTGCTGCCGCGTCTGGCCCCCGGGTCCCCGCCGCTGGGGGCGCGGGCGGGGTCGGGGGTTGCCGGGCGCCGCCCCCCGTGCGCCTGGAGTCCACATCCCGGGCCCGGCGGCCGGCGAGCATGGAGGAGAAGTACCTGCCCGAGCTGATGGCGGAGAAGGACTCCCTGGACCCCTCCTTCACGCACGCCCTGCGCCTGGTGAACCAAGGTGAGGCGCCGGCCGTTAACTGCCGGCCGGCGGCGGTTGGGGGCCGGGTGGAAACGCGGGGGCCCAGGGGGCCCCTCCGTGCCCTCTGCTGTCAGCGGACGCGGCGGAGACGGAGGCCCGGGTGGCCCCCGGGGTCGTTTGCACGGGGACCTGGGAGGCTGTGGGACACCTAGGGGAAGACCCTGATGTGAATTTTGGGGACTTGGAAGGAGAAGGCTGGGGCGCATGGGTGAGACTTGAAGGAAATCTTTGGGGACTCGGGCACACCCAGGGGAAACTTCTGGGTGGGGGACAGCGACCATCTGGGGGCTTCGTTGGGAACGAGGTTGAATTATGTCATGGAAGGGGAGCGTGTTGGACTCGGGGAAGTAGGGCGTTTGGTTTGTCTAAGGTACTGGAGAAAAAGCTGGAGGAAAATGGAAGGACTTGAGGGACTCAAATGCAGAAGAGGTGAAGGGAACAGGTGCTTGCATTGTTAGCGAAGTTTGGGGACCTTGGAAGAGGGTTGGGGTCAGACCCCAGCACCTGAGAGGAGAGGAGCTCCGTGGTCCCAGGGGAGGAGCCCAGTTCCCCCTCCCAGCCCTTTGTCTCTCCTGTGTCCAGGCTCCAACAGCCCTGGCGGGGCAGTCAGCCCTCCCAGGGGATGGGCAGCCCATGCCAAGCCTTGCAGGCTGGCCCTTGGAGAAGTCAGTAGGGGAGAAGAGGCCGGCAAAAGAGCACCGTTCCGGAGGGCGTTGGGTTGGGTGACCCTCATTGGTGGCTGGCTTGAGGTTCGGAATAGTGGTGAAGGGAGTCCTTGCCATTTTCACACGACTCCAGCCAGCTCAGGGTGTGAAAGATCCTAGGAAGTACTGCGGGTCAGGGATACAGAGATTTCTGGAGGCACGCCTACCCGGGACAGTGTTCCCCTGGCTTTTTCCTCCTGTGGCTTCCTGAATCATCTGCTGGCATGCACGGTAAATTAAGCCTTCCTTCCTGGGAGCAGTCTCCTACTTTTCCTGGAATATGTGTTTCAGATGAAGATGGGTGTGGGTGCCACTGGTCTGTCTTTTCTCTGGGAAATGGCAGCAACATGATCTGGTCAGATCTGTTACCTTTTGCAGGAATTACTGTGCACTGACAGTCTGTGGTTCCCTAGATGAATCGGATCTGCTGCTCTTAGTGCTCGCCCTGGCTTTTTTATTGTTGGAAGTGAAAGATGAGGCAGACATATTCTATTTGTATATAGATACCTATATTTTAAAACAGTGACCTCCAGTTTTTGCCTGTTTCAACCAGTTCTTCAGAGTAGAGTGTGTGTGTGGTTGACCGATGGTGGAGGAGAGACTCTTTACTGTCTCCAAGAATTTAAGAATATTTGAATTGTTGAACAGAAATAGACTTATGGAGCTCCCTCATTTTATTTTAATTGCAGGCTTATTTTTATTTCTTTAATAAAATGGGCTTGTGAAAAAGTGAATGGGCATGCATTCCTAAATAAAAGAAAAAAAATTAAGTTTTATTTCTATGCCCTCTGAACAGTTCTGCAGTTGAGTTTGTACTCCTGTGCCTGATGATTTACATGTATCTTTTATTGCCTGCTGGGCTGTCATCTCTGTGAAAGAAATTTCTTCATACATTGCATGAGATCCGTGGCATTGGAAATATTCTGGACTGTGGACTCAAGTGCATTTTTCCTAATAAAGTAGCTGAATCAAAGTTAGGTTGTACTCAATTAAGGAACAGTTAAACTGAAAGTACAGTGCGTTATCTTATTTTAAAAGTCAGAATTATTTTCTCTGCCGTGTTGCCATAGTATTGTGTTGCTAAAACGTCCAAAATTCTTTTGGATTCTGTGTTTTTACCAGTGTTAATGGCTTCCAGTTACTTGAAACAGATATTTACTGGGGAAATGTTGCCATTTAGTGTTTTTTAGGTATTCAACTTGATAAACTTACTTTTCATAGAAGTAATTCTTATAAGAAGTATATTTCTCACATGTGAAGGAAGGAGGAGGTGCTGCTCAGAATCTTGTCTTACTGTTAGTTTAGATGACTTCAGACTGAAACATTTTTCTCTTAAATCACAGGCTGATATTCGGAATGCAGAGCTTTATCATTTAAAACATTAATTACACGCTTATGTAACTGCAAAATTACAAGTGTTTTAAATCTGAAGCTACATGATTGTGAGGAAGCTTTGATTTTAAATCCAACCATCTTGTTATGGGCTATTTTTTCTTATTTAGTTATATTTGTGTTTGCCTCTAATGCAACTGTGTTTTCAGCAGTTATTCACATTGGAGTTGGTATTTCAGCACTAAATTGTAGAATGGGCCAGCATGGCAAACCTTAGCGTGCCATGTAATAGATATGTTTTATGGTATCTCTAAACTCTAACAAGGCCTTACATTTGCATAGTATTTTAAAGTTTCCAAGGCACTAGTTTTGTCCTCACACTTGCATTCCGGTAAGGCAGATGTTCATGTCTTCTCTTTTCAGGAAGGCAGCTGAGGATCCCAGCTATCTAAGCTTTTGGGCAACTGAGATTTAATTTGAAATCTCAGGTCTTCTGTCTCTGAAGAGGTTGTTCTTTCTTATTTTGGCTTCCTAAAATGTTGGAATGAAATACTTCTCACTTGCTAACTTCAGACCCTGCAGAAATCAATATAATTAGTATGATTGTTTCCAACTGACTTAAATGTGTAGGAAATAGTATATATCCTTTAGGAAGTTTATCCTGATTTTTACAGAAAGTTTCTGTCTGCACTTGCCTTCTTTGAAGAAGCAAACATTCACGGTAGATTTATCTTCCAGGATTTTGATGCTGAGGCCAAGAGGCAGTTTTGAATTAAAGCCCTCCTGTGACTAGTGTATTAGTTTAATAATCAATGCATTATGATAATGAAGCAGTTTATAGATGAGGTGTAGTCGTTCTTTAAAAATTCAGTGTTCGTAAAGATTGATCAACTTCCTAACTGAATTACTCTTTTTCTTTCTTGAGCTAGGATGACAATAAGAGATATACTCCTGTCTGGTATACATTGGCTTTTATATTTTTCCAGACTTGTGTTTCATCGTGGGCACTGATTGCTGATTTTATTTTCATTTTACCAGAATAACTGGTTCTCCTCCTCCACCTCCTAAATGAATTTGTTTCCCGAATATTTATTTATTTATTTTTTTGAGACGAAGTTGCCCAGGCTCTGTTGCCCAGGCTAGAGTGCAGTGACACAATCTAGGCTCACCGTAACCTCTGCCTTCTGGGTTTGCGCGATTCTCCCGCCTCAGCCTCCCGAGTAGCTGGGACTGCAGGTGTGCGCCACCATGCCTGGTTAATTTTTGTATTTTTAGTAGAGACGGGGTTTCACTGTGTTGGCCAGGCTGGTCTCGAACTCCTGACCTCGTGATCTGCCTGCCTCAGCCTCCCAAAGTGCTGGGATTACAGGTGTGAGCCACCGTGCCTGGCCTCTGAATTTGTTTCTCTAACAAAATTAGTGGTTAATGTTTATTTGATGTTAAAAGTCAGTCAAAGAAAATAGGCTTTGGGATCCCACTCCGGACCCCGCCTTGGTGCCTGTAGGGTGAATTGACATTGCAATTCTTGCCAAGGAGAGGTTAATTGCAGATGAAAGTGGTGTTGCATGTTTTATATTTGCTAGTAGGGGATGTGCTGACTCTTACTAAAAAACATCTTTAGAAATGTCTTATGCATTATAATTTAATCCAAGTCTCTGATATTGGTTTGGATGGTTTTCAATACAAGCCAAGTAACCATTAAATAAGATTACATAACACTGTATTTTTAATTATCTGATATAATGTATGGATTGGTGGCTGGCTCACTGCCAAGTTACATTTAGTTGTCGTTGATTACAAGAGAAAGTGGAGCTGAGGATTCAAGATTAAGGTGGTCCAGATTTGTGTCTAGGTTGATAAAAGTTTTTTGTTTGTATATCAAAATGGTTTTTATATCAGTTTCTCAAATATTACAATTCTTAGCATTACTTAGAATAAATATGGAGGATAAAAATATATTAAGGAAGGATTATTATTTTATGTACATCTCTTTGTAATCCACAAAACCCAGGGGCTTAAAACTTGATTTTTGGGGACCCCTTTTGGAAAACATTTCGGATTTGCTTGAATGTCACAGACTTGTAAAGTAGAGAGTAAGAATGAGAACTGCAGAACTGTATTTAGGTATGGTGCCTTCATGCTATAGTTTGTGATTTTCTGTTTCATCCAAAGGAGGATGTGATTATTTAGTTTTTAGTTTTTTATTGTTTTTCTTTGTGTTATCAGTTTTTTTTTTTTTTTAAGAAAATGCGATCACTCACAGTGTTAGATATGCCATTTCTGAGTTTTATACAGTGTATTATGATTAAAAGTGACCCAGTGATTGTGAGTTACAGGGTTTTGGTATTGGACATTAGTAACAGGCTTATAGAGAACCTGCCATGCTGGTTCTCTGTGTTGGGTCCCAGGGGTAGGGAGGAAAAACAGTCTGCACTGGTGAGAAGCTCCTGCTCTCCTCTGTGTGCGTTTGAGAATGAATTTTCGGTTTGTAGATGCCCTCTTTCCTAAGGAACATCTTAGTCCTTCAACTATGCTGAAATATTTAATGATTGGATGGCTTAGATTTACTGTTAATAAATCAGCTTGTGGACATTTTTGAGGCACTTGTTGGTACTGGGTCATGTTTGTAATCTCGATACTGGTAACAGCTCAGAGATGGAGAGGTTATTAGCCTAGTTTTTCAGTTGTAGAAACCAAGATTCTGACAGCTAAAGTGACTTGCCCATGGTGACATGCTTATAATAAAATGTCAGAGTGAAGGGTCAAGCTTTGTTCTTTTACAGGTCCATTGTTCTTTTTACCATGTCCTACTGACTCTCAGTAACACTGAGAGTCTAAAGGGCTAAGTTACTGGCCAACCTGTGATGGTATAATTAGTGAATGATAGAAGGAGAATCAAAACCCTGGCTTTTTTATGTGCAGTTTGTTTTTCCTCTAGCCTGTGCTGAATTGAAAGATAAATTATATAGCATCCATTTTCATACTTCATTCTTCACATTTCTGCCCTAAGATAAGTCCTCTGACCTTTTTCAAAATGGGTTGGATTGCCTGTTTTCTGGTGTCACATAACACCTGGTGCTCTTACGGTGTGATCCTCATCACACTGCTTTGTTTGGATCTTTGTCTTTCTTGGTAAAGAGTGAGTTCCTCGGAAGACAGGGCCTGGTCTTTCCTCTGTATCTTCAGCACCTAGCATACGTCTGAGCACAGGGCCCTTGGGAACTCCTGTCTTCATTTCAGTGTTACGTGTTAATTATCATTAAGGGTAGCAGAATCAGAAAGTATATTTGGAATTTAGCAGTCAGTAAAGAGCTTTGCTTCTTACAGCTTTAGAGGACCTGAATTGGAGGTGGGGATGAAGTCAACAGTTCTGCCCATATCAATGAAAGAAGGTTCTGAGTGAAATGCAGGGTTGAACAAGCAGAAAAGCATCCCAGTGCTCTTTAAATGTGGTTGCACAGTAGGGATCCTTCTCTAGGAGATAATGAGAAGATGTTGTCAGATCTGCTTTGAATCAGATGTTTATTTACTTTTATTCTTTCTTAAGGAATTTATGAAATCACTGCACTCTCATCAATTTGCTCTCCTTCTCTAAACTCCTAATGATATTTCTCATGACAGATTAAAAACAGAATTTTGGAAGCCCTAGTCACATGCCAAATAAGGTTTCTTACCTGAGAGAGTTATCCGCAGTTTCAGATGCCAAAGGGAAACTCCGAAAGCCAGAGGAGCGATTGAAACCGCAAATTGAGTGCCAACAGCAACTTTGATATCAAAAGCCCCATTTGCCTGTTGTCACCAGTCCCGCTGAGTGAAGATAGAATGACTTATATCTTCTACCAAAACAATAGAAGGAGAGTGTTCCTTGGCGTTGGGGATGATGATTATAAAAGCCACCAATTTGAGGCTCTTCCGTGCCAGCTGCTTTCTGTGCATTCTCTCCCATCCCCGCAAGATCTTGCAAGGTAGGAGGTTTTATTCCCTGCGTGCCTCCTTTATTTTTTTCAAATGAGGCCTCTAAGGCTCAAAAACACTAAGTAACTTGCCCAGTCAAGGTACACAGCTTATAAGTAGTCAGGCTGAAATTTTAAACCAAGTCTGCAGTATTTTGTTAAGATACTTTAAGAAAAGAGGTAAAAGGACAGAACTCAACATTGTTGTTTTTAAATAAATGTTTCATTATAGCAGAAGCCTCTTAGGAATTTCCATTGGTGATGAATTTTTAAAAGGGGTTACTGAAAATGTGTTTTACCAAAAAGGCAAGCTCACTTTTTTTTCTCCTGTGCTCTCCGGCAGTCTTCAGTAGGCATTCAAAGTAAGGATTTTTAAATATGTATATATTTCAGTGACCAAAAAGAAAATAGAAAAATATTCCATATAGAAAGCCAGTGAAATTCTTGCTGAAGTTCTGTCTCTTGAGGGAGCCTCCTAGAGGTGCAGTGCTCTTTGTATTTTAATACTTTGCTTATCACAAAAACAGTCGAGAGTATGATATCAGGGATTTATAGTCAGTTTATGGTATATTTGTGAATTCTTCATTCTCTAAAAATAGGTTCACAAAAGAAAAAAAAGTATTCCCACAGATAATGCTTTTGGCTTTCTGGAAGGGGGGAATATGTTTAAATATACTTGCCCTGCAGTTGCTAATGATAGTAGCTACCATTTATCAAGAGCCTTTTCTGGTTTACGTGCTTTATGTATGTTATTTCATTGAATTAGTTTAACAGTCTTAAAAGAGTAAGTCATTTTACCTTATTTTATAGATGAGAAAACCGAGGTCAGGAAGGTCACATAATTTGCCTAAGAACACATAGCTAGTAACTGGTGAATCAGGATTCAGATCTTTGTCTGCCCAACACTATGACACTATGTAGGGCACCTGTTAGCATCAGATAGAGGTGGAAGCTTTGAGTATGTCTTGTTTTTCATGTTTTACTTTTGTGGGGAATTTGGATTATGCAGCTCTTCAAATTACATGCCTAGTATTGGACTGGGTGAGCAGGGCAGTTGCGTACCATACAGAGGGCACACAGGGGCATGGCAAAACGGCATAGGAACTTTCTGACCAGTGGCAACATCTGGTAGGTAGCATTTACTTGGGAAACAGTGTTAACTCAACAAGGAATGAGCTGGTGCAGAAAGAGCCATGTGATTACAGGTGACAGCTTTCTAGTCTGTAATCCCCTGCAAGTTACTTTATTTCTCAGAGCCTCAGTTTCCCCATCTGTGAAATTGGGGACCTTATGCCTTCTTTGTAGGGTTGCTGTTTTAGACGTAAGTACAGTGTCTAACACATAGTAGGTGCTTAATAAACGTTACCTGCAATTTTTATAAAATGTTGTAAGACAGATGTGTGAGTATCGACATCACTTTTCAGATATAATGTATATAATACAAATTCAATACATAAATCATCTACTTTCATTTCTTAGGGTAATTTTATGTTGTTAGAATTATTTTAGTTTTCCAATCCAGGAAATATTGAAGGAGAAATTCAGTCTTTAGGAAGCTTCTTTCATTAATATCATGCACAAAATTAGCAGCAGCTCTGATTGATTTTTATTATGCTATTCAAGACACAGCACCTGAAGCTTAAATTAACAAATGAAGCTTCCATAAACAGTTTTAAGACTGCATATCTTAAAACATGTCTGGACACCCAGCAGCCTCTTTCCACAAGCACAAGATACCTTACTCTGAATTGGTAAGCTGTAAATTTCCATAATTTTTTACATTTCCATAATTTTTCGTCAATCAGCCCCTGCTGCTATTTTAAGAATTTTAAAAGGTGCTCCTAGCATATTATTGATGTTCTTCGTTGATATGATAAAGGGCAAGAGTATGTGAGGGCACCCTTTTAAATGTCTGTTTTCGATATATATCTTACACTTGGGGTCACTGTTGATTCGTGCTCCCATGGGAGAAAATATAGAAATTATGATGAAGATAAGGGGCAGTTTTCATTTTCAACATTTTTCCTTGTTCTTTCTCTGCTTCAATGTTTGTGCCGTTTGTGCTCTGCTTTTCTTCCACTAGATGGCGCTCCACATAGCTAGGTTACCTTCTTTCTTTCGCATTGGTAGCTATTTCTGAACTGAGTCTTGATCAATAAACGTGCATTGCTTTTGATTTTCATGCATTGGTATTTTTCATATTATTGATCTCTTAAGAGGCATACTTGCTAATCAATATTTGCAGAAAGCCATGCCTTTTTTTGTAGCCACCATTGCTCAAGCGCCTGAGGTATGCCTGGCACTGTAGCTAGGTTCTTCACACATTTCTTCATTTAATCCATGACTTTCACGTGAATTTAGTTTTGTTGTTCTCATTTTACAGGTAAGAAGTGGAGGTTAGAGGGATTTATAACTTGTTCGAGGTCACAAAGCTAACTTATATTATAGGGATTAGTGTGCCCTAAAGAAAAGTATACTCCAAAAACATTAAATTGAAAGCTTTTGTCAAATAACTTGTTAGGATAGTCTGACTTACGGTTACTGGCCATGGTAATATGTTTATTTTGGGGGAAAATTATACTCCTCACAGTTAATTTGCTTTGGAATATATAAATCAAATTCCCAAATCTGATTTGTATAAGAAAGCACACAACAGTAACAAAAGATTTGTCAGTTGGTGTGCAAATTTCTGCTTCCTCTTGCCTTCTGTTTACTGACTTGAGTGGGCTGAGACTTGATGAGTACTAGCTATAAAATGTGGGAGGAATTTTGGACAAAGCCAGGCTTCCTGTTTTAGTAACTTTTAGCAGGGCTGAATGCTGTTAACAAGTCCCCAGGACTTAAAAAATTTATCCTTTCATTTTATTCATTTATTCGACACATATTTGTTGAATTGCTGAGTTGACCTGTGTGTTCTGGACCATGACTTTACCTCACTGAGCCTCTATTCCCTCATCTGCACATGGCAGGCAGGATGCCACCTCAGTGGTTGTCATACATTTTAAAATAACTAAAAGAGTATAATTGGATTGTTTGTAACAGAAAGGATAAATGCTTGAGGTGAGGGATACCCATTTCCCTGATGTGGTTATTATGCATTGCATGCCTGTATCAGAATATCTCATGTACCCCATAAACATGTACACCTACTGTGTACCCCCACAATTAAAAATAAAAATTAAACAAGATTAAATGACAGTGGTTTCGTATTTGTTTAATTTCACTATAAATTTTTAACATAGAATATATTCGTTGTATCTAAGATGAGATTATTACACATATATTTCTGTTCCTCATATATTATCTTTTACAAATGAATACTTAAATAACTTGACATGTATTTATTAAAAATAAGGGCCTTCCCTTTCATAGCTGTCATACAATGATCCAAATTAGGAAGTTTAACAACCACACAGTGCTGTTATCTCATCTACAGTTCACATGCTGATGGCACCAGTTGTTCTGGTTTTGTCTTTTACAGGACCCAAGTCAAGATCACACATTTCGTGTAGTGTCAGGCCTCTTTAGGGTTTCAGTTTGCAGTAGCTGCTTTGTCCGCCTTTGCCTTTCGTGATAGGCATTTTGGAAAACTATACAAAAACTATACAGGCCAGTTTTTTGTAGAATGCTTCTCCATTTAGGTTGTCTGATGTTTCCTTAAAATTAGATTTGTGTCACACACTGTCTTGGCAGGAATGCCACCGAGGTGATGGTAGGTCCCTCTCAGCCCCTCGTACCCGGGCACACCACGTCTGTGTCGTTACTGGTGAAAAGTTCAATCACTTGGTTAAGGTGGTGCCAGTTTTCTCCTCTGTGAAGTTACTACTTTCCTTTGGTAATTAATTAATACTTCTGTGAGGAGATACTTTAAGACTATGTAAATAAATATCCTGCTCCTCATTAAACTCTCCCTCACATCTTTTAGATCCATTAACATTTCTTACCTGAATTATTACTGTGATGGTTGTAAAATGGTAATTTTCCAACAGTCATTCCATCTACATTTATTGGTTGATATTCTACTGAAAAGGAATCTTTTCTGCTCCTTCTTTCTCCCTCTTTCTCTTTTTCAATCCCTCTCTCCCTCTTTGTTATTCAGTCGTATCTGTCTTCTAAATTCATGCATTTTTCTTTAATTCAGTGGGTTATAATCCTTTACTATCACCGTGTAAATTGAAGCTCACATTGTTTAAGATTTGGCCATTGAGGGCCCTTTGCTCTGGCTCCTGGGTCCATTTGAGAGGATCATCCCCTAAATTGGCTTAGTATTTTTTTAATCTCTGTAACAGCAACTTGTTCTCTGCTTATCTTGTTCTTGCTCTGCCCTAGCCCTCAAATGAGCCATTTTCCCCAAAGGTGCCCTGGTTTCTTTTAGTGTGGAATGTTGTTTAGAAGCCAAGATCTGGGTGCTGGTAGTCATTGCTTTCAGGCTCTTTCATGGACAGCTGGGAAGTAGATACCTATCTGTAGCTGTACCTTCATTGTCTTTATGCGAAACTCTACGCCTAGGGACAGCAAACTTTTTCTGTAAAGGCTAAAGAGTAAATAGTTTGTGGGCTGTGCATTCTACTCAACCTCTGCTGTTGTAGCAGAAAAGCAGCCACAGACACTATGTAAATGAATGAGAATAGTTGTGTTCTGATAAAACTTTATTTATAGAAACAGGCAGTGTGCCATGGGCTGTGGTCTGCTTACCCTTCCCTGCTCTCAGCAGAGAAACTAGGAGCCCAGGCTTTATTACCAAACTTGGTAAAATTCATTTGTACCCATGCCTTCCAAAATAGGGGCACAATAAAAGTTATTTGCATGAATGAATTAATGATAATTGTGGGCTCTTTCTATTGCAGACCTCTCATGGCTCTTTTGGACATCAGTCTCTTATGACTTGTCAATTTGTTCAGGTCCTTGTTTAAAGATGAGAGGCTTTTAGAAACATAATGTGCACAATATGCAAAATAATACTGAGAAAAATGATTTTATAAACTCGTGAGGGTATTTTTCTTGTCATGATGAAATAGTTACCTTTCCCTAATGAAAGCATATCTCAAGGCATAGCCATACTGCAGGCAGAGCACATGGCCCCTGCTTTGGTCTGGTGTTGCTGCATTCTGCATAGGGTCAGCTGAGAGGCACGACTCCAGCACCAATCAATTGGGTGAAAAATTTCAAAATTATACCCCTTTTATTGTCTCAGAACTGTGTTTCTTCACAGTTTTCTTTATGTAATTTATTGCTCTAATTCATTCAAAAAAGGATTTTATTACAGCAGTGAGAAATCAGGGAGTGATCCCATTCTCAGAGAAGAGTATGCCATTAGGAAGGACCGTCTGTTTTTTTTGAGACGGAGTCTCGCTCTGTCGCCCAGGCTGGAGTGCAGTGGCGCGATCTCGGCTCACTGCAAGCTCCGCCTCCCAGGTTCACGCCATTCTCCTGCCTCCTCAGCCTCCCGAGTAGCTGGGACTACAGGCGCCCGCCACCACGCCAGGCTTATTTTTTGTATTTTTAGTAGAGATGGGGTTTCACCATGTTAGCCAGGATGGTGTTTTTTTTTTGTTTTGGTTTTTTTTTTTTTTTTTTTTTTTTGAGACGAGTCTCGCTTCTTCACCCAGGCTGGAGTGCAATGGCGCGGTCTTGGCTCACTGAAACGTCTGCCTCCCAGGTTCAAGCAATTCTCCCGCCTCAGCCTCCCCAGTAGCTGGGATTACAGGCATGTGCCACTATTCCCAGCTAATTTTTGTATTTTTAGTAGAGACAGGGTTACACCCTGTTGGCCAGGCTGGTCTCAAACTCCTGACCTCGTGATCCACCCGCCTTGGCCTCCCAAAGTGCTGGGATTACAGGCGTGAGCCACCGCGCCCGGCCAGGACCACCTATTGTTAATGCACAGAGACTGCCATCAAGGTGATGTCTGACACTGGAAAGAAACCAAGCGCTAGAGTACATCGCAGCCGATGCCAGCAGCTTGAGCATAAAGATGGAGGTTCATTCTGTTTAATGTGTCTCTGATGACTCTAAAATAAATTAGGCTTTAATTACTGCTTAAATTTTTATTTAATTTCAAAAATTCAAAAGTCGATTTTAAACCTGTTGGTGCGTAGCTTCTTTGGTGTTCAGCAGGCTATTCGTCTTCCTCTCTGTGAGAAGCAGCATGAGGTTCTGCTTGCTCCTTTCTCTAGAATCCAAAGGAGTGGTTTAACGTTCTGGGTCACAAAACAATCCTTGGATCTGTGGAGCATCCTGGCGTGCTGATAAAGGAAACCGAGCAGGCTTCTTTCCTCCCGTGGCTTTTATCTTCTGGGTCTTGAAGTGCCTTATAAGATTTTGATTTAACAAGTTTTACTGGTTTTTTTTTGTTTTAACGTGAGAAGTACTAAAGTGTCTCTTTCTCTCTTAGGCTCATTAGGAATGTCTCCTTTTTGACATGCTGCCCATCGTTTGGTGTACCACCCATTCAGAACCAACAGCGATAATCCCCTGCCCTGTGTTACACGGTTTCTAATAGCTTCAGAGAATAAGGAGACAAAAAAAGCCATGCCATTAACAGTCGATTGATTGTATTCTGGATTGTATTTTTCTCATCCCTTTTTCCCCCTTGGTCAGGGTTTTGCTGCTTTTTTTTTTTTTTCTTCTTCTTTCCCTGAGACAGAGTCTTACTGTCTCACCCAGGCTGGAGTGCAATGATGTGATCTCGGCTCACTGCAACCTCTGCCTCCCAGGTTCAACTGATTATCCTGCCTCAGCCTCCCAAGTAGCTGGGATTACAGGTGCCCGCCAGCACACCCAGCTAATTTTTGTAGTTTTAGTAGAGACGAAGTTTCACCATGTTGGCCAGGGTGGTCTTGAACTCCTGAGCTCAGGTGATCTGCTTGCCTCGGCCTCTGAAAGTGCTGGGATTACAGGCGTGAGCCACCCCGCCCAGCTGGGTTTTGCTTCTTAAATGGGCGAAGGATGTGTTGCTACCTGTGGAAATAGTAAGCTTGAATAGCTTCAGTTTCTTCATCTGTAAAATGGTCATGAGAGAATCTGTGTAGCATGTCTGGTGTATCTGTAAGTACTCAAAAGTTAATTAGGTGAGTAGGACAAGTTTTCTTGTTTTCCTCCTTCATGGAGCCCAGCATGGAATACTAGGCCCAGAATTGATACTCGTTGTATACTCCTTGAAATGTTAACTTAGAAGAATGTGCGTGAATTCTTGTCTCACCTGTCTTAGGTAGGGCACCATGTTACTTCCAATAAAAGGTCCATGGCAGAAAGTAGTCTTTTAGGTTTGGAGAGTGAACATTAAGGCAAAAGAGTAGCATAATCTATTCAGGCTTCAGACTTTTAGACCCTTTCAGGAAATCACTATTTATAGACTTCTGGGGGAAACACCCCTAAGACTGGTTGGGTGTCTGTTTCTCCACAGTCTTTCCTACTGGATTGGAGAAGTTGCTGTTATTTCTCCCCTTGTTCAGTAAGGATCACATGCTTAGGCTGGGCTAAGTGCTGGGATGCAGAGCAAGCTAATACTTTATCCCTGCTTAAAGAGTGTTCAGCTCAGTGGGGAAGTGGCCAAATTAAAAGACATTTATATTGTGGGGTGGAAGGGCTGTAATAAAGACAAGTGCACACGGCACTGTGGTGCTGCATGGAGCTTTGTTATTCCGATCTGGTGAGGGAGTGGGCACTTGTGTGTGACTCCTCACATAGTGGTAGAAACGTCCTGGGCTCCAGAGTGTGATGGAACTAATGCAAGTTCACTTCTCAGAGTCTCTCTGCTTAGTATTAAACCATGGCATCTCTGAGCTCGTAGGGCTCCCTGTCTGGCTTACAGTGTGCAGTGAATGCATCCCTGTTCTCTTCGCTCGCTCTCTGTGTGCCAGCTACTAGTGTAGTACCATCCTCTGTGCATGCAACATTGCATTTATCACACTGCGATCGTGATGTTTGGGTGGGAGTTCTTTCTCCAATGAGAATCCAGCTGCCTTACAAGCAGGGAATCTGACTCATTACCTTTGATTCCTTCTCCAGTGCTCAGCGTGGTGCCTGGGAGATAGTGGGCACTCAGTGTGTGTAGAATGAATAGCCAGTTGGTCTCAGCTTCCTCATTGTGGATGACAGCAATGAATTCATTCTTTCAGAATGCAAGTGAAAGAAGATTGAAAAAGTGTTTTCTCTTTATTAGAACTTCCGGATACTGATTTTGAGGAGAGATCTGCCATTTTTCAGATAGGTGTACCAAGAGTGTTCACTCTATGGCAGTGTGGGCACTAGCCTTGGCTCTGGTACTCAGACTCAGTTGGAGGTACCCCTCTGTCACGGAAGAGTTACTGGGCCCACGTACATACCTTCACTGCTCTAAACTCCAGGTTTTCACTTTGTAAAATAGGCACGACACTACCTCCCAGACACCAGACACACGATGAGGATTCAGTGACCTGCATCAAGATGGTGCCTACTAGACTCCAGGCCCTAGAGAGCTGGGGCATTTATCCTTGCTGGGTCTCCAGTGCCCAGAGCTGTGTCTGAAATGCAAAAGACAAACTGTGTTTGTTGAATGAATGACGTATGTGAAAGCTCTTCCTAGCAGTCTTATTTGGAGAATAAAGCTAATGCAGGAATGTGTGGAGAAATGGGACAAGAGGATTAGACAGGGACTAGGATGAAGGGCCTCATGCATGGCTAAGGAGTGCAAATGTGTTTTAAGGTTCTGGATCACAGCTGAAGGATGTCATGCAGGAGAATGGCGTGCTCAGCTCTGTTCTAGATGGATCGCTTGTGGGTACTGAACAGGGAGGTTGAAACGTTTTGTATTATGTGAGTTTAGAATTACATGTGGTCTTTCTAGACACCAGCCTTACTAAAATGCATTGCCCTGACTTTGAAGTTGTGGCTGAGGATGAGATCACTCAGGGAGTGTGTGGAATCAAAAGGGAAAGGACAGGGGAGGGATCCTTGTGGCTCTATCACCATTGAAAGGTTGGTCAAAGGAAAAGAATCCCTCAGTTCTTCCTTTCCTTGCTTACTTAGCATGACTAAATAAAAAGTTTACTGAATTCTGTAAATTACACCTAAAACTGTTTATTTGAAAAGTTTTTTTTTTTTTTTGGTGATGCATTTTTTAAGTAGGAATCTTAAAACTCATTACTTCCAGTGATGCTTACCTGCATGCTTCTTGAGCCATAAGCTGATGAGAATTTGGAGGAGAGACCTTTGGTACAGAGAGCTCAGCAAGTGTGGTGGAGTAGCTGGGGTGTCACAGGCTCCTCCGTCCGGAAAGCTTCCTGGCTCCTCAAAGCTTCTCTTCATTGGTGACCACGTGGCTTCCAAATTGACTTGGACTTGGTTCACACTTTCCATTTAGACGACGCGCTTTGTGGCTTCCCATCCACACCAGCACATGCATGCTGAAACTGCTGCTTTCGTTCTGAATGTTTTTGGTTAGTGTTGCTACTTCTGGTAGTGGTTGGACTTAGATCTTCATGTCCTGAATATGAATCCTGTTGCTTGATGAGGGTCTAGGTCATGCCTCGGGGGTACTCTGAGGATATGTGTGGAGTGCAGAGACAACATTCTAGACAGATATACACTTTTTATTATTAACAAACTTTGGCCACAACCTTTGATGTATAAATTGCCGGATTTCCCCAGTCCTTTCATTGTGGCTTTGGACAGGAGCAGGCTCACTTGTCTGCTTCAGGCTGCCTTTCTCTTGGGTTGCACCTCAGTTCTTACTTATTTATTTATTTTGAGTGGAGCATAGGGGCCTCTTCCAAAATGGGTAGAGCTCAGGGGCTTTCTTATTGAAATGGTCACATGATAAAAACGGGCTGAAAAAGGAGAGTTCCAGGAGAAAAGCCCAGAAAAGGGCCCCTCCTCAGAAGACAGCCTTTAAGCCTCTTGCTTACTGAAGGAAGCCCCACCTTCTAGCACTGAGGCCGGGTCTGATCTTCCAGAGGAGTTGGAGGAGTCCATGAGAATGGCCACCATTCTTGCTTGCTGCTGCTGATGTTGCAGTTTTGAGAGAACAGCGGGATCCTTGTTGTCCTCTAGAGACTTGAGTCTGTCACTGACATTTTTTCAGTTCCTTTGCTCATAGACCATACGAGGAATTAGTGATGTGTCAGTTGAGAGTTCACAATCTCATTGTTCATTTAATTCACTTTAAAGTTGTCAATTTCTGTGTGAGTAACCTGTAAAAGACACCTTTCCAGAAGAGTTTTGCCGTCTGTTTGAAAAAAAAATCTTTATAAACTTTCCTAAGTATCTGGATTTGGATTCCTTATTTGGAGAGAAAATGTTGGCCCCAGCTCACATCACATTTACATAAATAAAGCAGTATTTCTTCTGATTAAACCAAATCCCAATATTCACAAGAGATTTCATACCACCAACTTTGCCTTGAAGCCTGACACATGCAGTATGCATGAATCGAACCAGATGCCCAGTGGAAGTATGCAGTATGTCTTGTTTAGTTTCTAAGAATTCAGACTTCATTTGAGTTGGCTGATTCTCCTAAACTCAGGTACTTCTGTGCTATGCGTTATCTCTTATTTAACACCATTGGTCCAAAATGTTAATGAGCCAGTTTATATTGTTTAATAGTCTCTAAATTCTTTGTGGCAAGTCCTTGAAATCAAGCACTGTTAAGAAGATCACTCAATTTAGTTTAATAAGAAGTTGTATTCTTAAGAGATTTTATTTTAGAATGAGGTGTATCTGTGTAGGAAAAAAATGCTTTTTCTTTTTTCAAGTTTCAGATTCAGATGTTCTCTGAGACCTATTTGAAATAAGATGGAAAAACAAAGTGAGAGTGTATTGGTTTTCTATGGCTGCCATAACAAATTGCTACAAATTTGGTGGCTTTATGACCATGGGGTCCTGGAGCTCAGAAGTCCGCGTGGCTCCCACTGGGCTCATGTTACGGTGTGGGCGCTGCTGTGCTCCTTTCTGGAGGCTTCAGGGGAGAGTCTGTGCCTGAGCTTTCCAGCTCTGGAGGCTGCTTACATTCCTCGGCTTGTGGCCCCTTCCTCTGACTTCATAGCCAGCAACTCCAGGCTGAATGTTTTCGCTCTGCCATTTCTCCGCTCCTCTCTCTTCCACCTTTCTTTTCCATTTGTAAGGTCCTTTGTGCTGACATTGGGCTTACCTGGATAATCCTGGATAGTCTCCCTATCTTAAGGCTAGGTGGTTACTAACTTAGTTCCATCTGCAGCCCTAATTCCCCTTTGACATGCGACTTAACATTTACAGGTTCTGGAGGTTAGTATGTGGATGTCTTTAGGGGAGCCATTATTCTGCCTACCACAGAGGTATGACTGTGTGTGGCAAAAAACTGTTTATCAAGTACCTAGTGTATCTTCAGCCTGTTTTGTTTTGGTTTTTGAGACGGAGTTTCGCTCTTTTGCCCAGGCTGGAATGAAGTGGTGTAGATCTCGGCTCACGGCAACTTCCACCCCCTGGGTTCAAGCAATTCTCCTGCCTCAGCCTCCTGAGTAACTGAGATTACAAGAGCCCACCACCATGCCCAGCTAATTTTTGTATTTTTAGTAGAGACGAGGTTTCACTGTGTTGGCCAGGCTGATCTTGAACTCCTGACCTCAGATGATCCACCCTCCTCAGGCTCCCAAAGTGTAAGGAGCATAGGTATGGGGGCCACCACATCTGGCCTTCAGTCTGGTTTTAAATCTCAAATTATACATCAGCGGTCCTAGAGACATTAAGTGACTTGTCATTGTCACATAATTATTAATAATAATGATCTGTGATTTGTTGAGTTCTTGCTAAGTGTCAGATACCATACCAGGACATTTATAGACCATATTTTTCCCAACCTCAATATATCCCTCTTAGATGCATGACATAAATTCCATTTTACAAGTGAGAACACAGGCTCTTCTGGAAGTTGTGACTGATGCAGTGTCACATGGCTAGCTGATAACCAAATGCTTTGGACTTCATCAGTCTGATTCCCAAACCCATGCTGTTTCTACTAAATTACAGTAGATTAAAATGGAGGGGCCTTATGGAGTTACTTTGTCTTGCCTCCCACATCACAGTGCAGTCTTATCTGGACAATCTGTGTAGTATTCAGAGTGCCTGTCAGGGTATTTGTCAGGTTGTTTGGTATCATATGTCAAAATGACCAGGTAGTTAATTAATTGACTTGACAAATTTTCTTTGTTTTCCTTCCATCTTCCCACTTTTTTGTTTTTTTTGAGATGGAGTCTTGCTCTGTCACCTAGGCTGTAGTGCAGTGGTGCAATCTTGGCTCACTGCAACCTCTGCCTCTTGGGTTCAAGCGATTCTCCTGCCTGAGCCTCCTGAGTAGCTGGGATTGCAGGTGCACACCACCACGCCCAGCTAATTTTTGTGTTTTCAGTAGAGATGGGGTTTCACCATATTGGTCAAGCTGGTCTTGAACTCCTGACCTCGTGATCCACCCACCTCGGCCTCCCAAAGTGCTGGGATTACAGGCATGAACCACGGCGCCCGACCCCCATTTTTATTAATAAGAATATATTGTGCTCCTCTTTAACTGCTGCATTTGTTTTTCCCCCAAACACTGTCTTCTCATCTTAACACACTGCAGTTTGGGAAATGGAAATCATTATCCTTGCACTTGCTTTTCCCTCTGCCTTTTCGTGCTAGGTGTGTTGTATTATCTAAAGCACCTTTTAGGTAATAACACTGTTACCATTGAGTAGATGGGGAAACCGAGCATCAGAAAGGCTAACTAACTCTCAAGGTTATGTAGTATGTAGTAGAGCAAGAACTTCAATTTGTGTCCATTTGGTTTCAAGGCTCTGTAGCTCATGGCCTCAGAAACTTTTCACATTAGGTGGGTAAAAAATATATAAAAATATAGAGTAAGGATAAAAAAGGTAAATGACATTGAAAGATGGGAATAGAGGAAATGTTGAAAGTATAGTGACTTATTTGCCAAGTGAATTTTACCAGCAATTGATATAGTAGAAGTTCAGAAGAGAAAGATTATTTTAGGCTGTGGTCATTGTTGATGGCTTATGAAAGAGAAGAGATTATTATTTAATTTCCATAAAATTTATTCTGAGATATTCATAATCAGAAATAAAATATGTAATAATGACAATGATAACTACTATTTATTGCACATGCAATTCCAGGATCTGTTTTCCAGATCTTTTCATATATTATTTAATCTTTGCAATAATGTATATAGGTTACATATACAGATAGATAGATACAGCCATATATATTGATAGATAATAATTATCTTATAGATATTGTTTTGTAGATAATAAAACTAAGCCTGAGAAGTTAAATCTTAGTGTTTACTGATATGTAGCAGGGCACTATTAAAACTGAGCTCTGTTTTGACTTCAAAACCTGTGCTTTTTTTGCTGTGCTGTAAAAAGTGTATCTTATTCACAGATTTTTGCTTCCGTTCTGCATATTCAACATGGTCACTTGAAATGATTTCATAAAATATTGGAAAAATGTAGAGAAACTAAAAGTTTCTGACATAATAAGTAAACAGTTGTAAAGAATACTCAGAGAACACAAATATACATATTTAAAAGTAAGGCTAAAATGTGCTTGACTTATATTGAACCTGATGAGCTCAGTGACATGAAACAAACTAGGACTTGATTCAGTGATTTGTTTCCATTGCTGTCTGCAGTAGGTTGAATTATGGCCCCTAAACATGTCCTTATCCATTCCCCACAGTTTGTGAATGTTACCTTACATGGTAAAAGGTGCTTTGCAGAAATGATGAAAAATCTTGAGATGAAGAGAGTATCCTGGATCATTTGGGTGGACCTGTTATCACAGTGGTCTTTATAAGAAGGATGTGCAGGAGTCAGTCAGATAGGAGTATCACAACCAAACCGGATTGGCGTGATATGGCCATAAGCCATGGATGCTGCAGTTTTCAGAACAGGGATACCGTGTTCAGATGTGTCCTCAGTATCTGTCCATGGCTTGTAAGGAACCGGGTGCTCAGCAGGAGGTGAGTGGCTGGTGAGTGAGCATTACCACCTGAGCGCTGCCTCCTGTCAGATCAGCACCACCGGCATTAGAGTCTCATAGGAGTACAAACCCTGCTGTGAACTGCACATGTGAGGGATCTAGGTTGCATGCTCCTTATAAGAATCCAATCCCCTTGCACTCCTGTCTATGGAAAAATTGTCTTCCATAAAACTGGTCCCTGACACCAAAAAGGTCAGGAACTGCTGTTCTAGAAGATGGGAAGGGCAAGGAAAAGGATCGGAGCCTCTAGAAGGAATGCTGCCTTACATACCCATTTTAGATTTCTGGCCTCCAGAACTGTAAGATAATAAATACATTTTTGTTACTGTGTTAAACCACTAAGTTTGTAATAATTTGTTACAGTGACAACAGGAAACTAACACAATGGCTTTAAATAATTATGAACTTTTTAATAATAATAGTTGGAGACTTCAATACCCCACTTTGAATGATGTATACAACAACTAGGTAGAAAATTAGTAAGGAAATAGTAGATTTGAACAACATTGTAAGCCAACTAGACTCAACAGACATCTGTAGAATCTGCCCCCTGGTAACCACAGGAAATGCATTTTTCTCAAGTGCACATGAGGTGTTCTCCAGGATAGACCACATGCCAGTTCATAGAACAAGCCTCAGTGAGTTTTAAAGGATTGAAATTATGCAAAAGATATTTTCCAACCACAGTAGAATGGGATTAAGAATCAATAACAGAAAGAAATTTGGGAAATTCAAAAATATGTGGAAATTAACAAACTCCAAAATAACCAGTGAGCCAAAAAAGAACTCATAAGTGAAATTAGAAAATATTTTGACATAGATGAAAATGAAGACACTACATGTCAAAACTTAAGAGATACAACAAAGCAGTACTTAGAGGAAAAGCCCTATATTAAAAATAAAGGTAAATCTCAAATAAGTTACCTAACCTTCCATCTTAAGACACTGGAGAGCAAATGTGAAGTAAGCAGAATGAAGGAAATAACACAGGTTGGAATGGAAATTAATCAAATAAGAGAATAGAAAATTAATAGAGAAAAGTCAACAAACCGAAAGGTGGTTCTTTGAAAAGATCAACAAAATTAACAAAACTTTAGCTACATGGACTAAAAAGAAAAGAGAGAAGACTTATGTTCTGTAGATGTCTGTTAAGTGTAAAATTAGGAATGAAAACAGAGGACATTCCTTCTGACCTGATGGATACAGAAAGGATTATAGGGAATACTATGAACAACTATATGCTAATAAATTAGATACCTTAGATGAAATGGACAAATTTCTTGAAAGACACAAATAACTGAAACTTGAAAATCTGAATATACTGGTTTATAAATTGTTAAACAACAACAAAAAACCTACTCGTTAAGAAAAGCTGAGATCCAGGTGGCGTCACTGGTGAATCCTAGCAAACATGTAAGGCAAAATTCTTAATTCTTCACAAACTCTTTCAAAAATCAGAAGAGGAGGGATTGCTTCTGTCTTAGTCCTTTGGCATGCTATAACAAAATTTCTTAGACCGAGTAATTCATAAGCAACAAAAATGTATTGCTCAGAGTTCTGGAGGGTGGAAAGTCCAAGATTAAGGTGCTGAGAAATTCCTTGTCTGGGGAGTGCCTGTTCCTCATGAATGGCACCTTCTATGTGTCCTCACATGGTAGAAGAGTGAAAGGGCAAACAGGCTTTCACAAGCCTCTGTTGGCATTAATCCCATTATTCATGAGGGCAGAGCCCTTCTGACTTAATCACCTCTGAAAGACCCTACCTCTTTATACCATCACCTTGCAAGTCAAGTTTCAACATATGAATATTGCGGGGACACAAACTTTTAGACCATAGAAGCTTCCCAACTCATTCTTTGAGGCCATTATAACCCTGGGTCCCAAGTCAGAAAAAGACATCACAAGAAAACTACACATCAGTATCTCTTATGAATTTAGATGAAATCATCTTCAACAAAATATGAGCAAACCAAATCTCAGAACATATAAAAATGGAGGATTATGCACCATGACCATGTGGGATTTATCCTAGGAATGCAAGGTTGGGTTAGTATTCACAAATCAAGTAATAGAATACCTCATATCAAAAGAATAAAGGACACAAACCTCATAATCATTTCAGTGGATAAAGAAAAAAGCTTTTAACAAATTCTGACCACTTTCATGATAAAAAACACCCAACAAATTAGGAATAGAAAGGAACTTCTAAAAGCTGATAAAGTACAATATATGAAAACCCACAGGTACCATTATATTTGTGAAAGGATCAGGAACAAAGCAAAGATGTTGTCTTTACCACTTCTATTCCACATTGTCTTGGAGAGTCTAGTCAGGGCAGTTGGGCAAGAAAATAAAAGGCATACAGATTGGAAAGGAAAAGGTACAACTAAGTATTTGTAGGTGGTAATCTTGTGTATAGAAAACAAGGAATCCACTAAAAAACTACTAAAACTAATTAATTTTAGGACATTTCTCCTTCCCCCTCCCCTTTGCATTTAAATTCAAAATGGAATATTTCTTCTGATAATAAATGTAGTATATACTTTACTGGATTATAAGTTTCCAAGATTCTTGTCTGTTTTGTAGAACCCTGTGTAAGTACCACCTGTACAAATGTCTAGTACATAGAAGGCACTCTTTACATACTTGAATGAATGCTTATTATAGAAAAAAAGTGGAAGATGTAAAAAAGGTAGAAAGGAAAAAAAAGAGAAATGTGCTTTCCATAAAGCAATCAATTTGAGATAACTATTGGTTATATTTTAGACAATTTTCTTCATTCTCCATATGAAATTTTATATTAAGTTTAATATTCTGTCGTAGTCATTTTCTTAAGTCGTCAGAAAGTTGTGAATACTGTTTTTCATAGCTGTGTAGTACTTCATGTTACATATGTCATCATATTGTTAACTGATTCTTCACTAATGAGCATTTCCAATTTGGGAATTATTAATAATCCTGATTTGTCTGTCCTGTCTTTACACTCTGTCCATCTCTGTTCTTACCTTGATTGGCTTCCTAACCACCAGCATTATTCTTCTCCCTTTTCAGGTTTGCAGTTTAAAAGGTAGCAGTGCAACAAGCAAATCCAATGAAGTCATTCTTTTGTTTAAAAATTTTTCATTAGTTATCAGATTAGATCTTCAAGATTGTTTTAGGATGGTATTCACTGCCCTGCTTACCTGTCCAGTCTTATTTCTGCCACTCCTCTCTTTGACCCTGAGGTTACAATCATGCTGGATTTCTTGTCTGATTCATGAAAGCCACGATATATATATATATATATATATATATATTTAATGTAAGCCTTCTGTGTACTTTTTTTTTTTTTTAATCACAGGTGCTTTTTTATCTTATGTGCATATCAACTCATATTCTTATGGACTCAGTTCAGGTGTTATCACCTACAGGAAACTGCATTGTCACCCACTTTAAATTATGGCTTGAGTACCCACTTCTGATCTCTTAGAGCACGCTGCATACCTCTGTCATAGTCTCTGTCACACTGGATTGGAATCTTCTTTATGTCTCCCCTGTAGAGGGTATGCTTTGTGAAGGCAGGGACTGTGTATGCACGGTGCTTGAAACGAAATAGGTCTTCCATAAACGTTTATTCAGTAAATTCTGCAGTGAAGCTCTTTGTACACAAGTCTACCAGCCAAATAATTTCTTTAGGAGAGCTTTTTAGAAGGTGAATAACTAGGTCAGAGTTAATCAACATTTTAAAGGTTCTTGACTTACATCGTCGACTAACGTTGTCAAATTGATTTATAGATGAGTTGTATTAGTTACACTCTGCCATCATTGCATGTGAGCACTTAAGTGGGGCCTTCTAAATCATATTTTGTAGTAAGTTCTGTTAAGATAATTGGTGCTGTCACTGCTTGGGCCATGGCTGTTTAGGAAGATACCAAGTAGAAAGCATTTATTTGGCAGGCTTGCAGCCTGTCACCGTTTATGAGTGCTTGATAATGGGAACAAAATGTGCCAAACTAGAAAACTGAAGGTTTGGTTTTCCATTTCCCGTCCTGGTGTTTGGTTGCCTTTCAAATAGAATTTGTTGTTCCTTGATACTGTTAAATGGGCAGAGAGCTTTCTTTGGCACTCAGCATAATGATCTAAACAGTAATAGGCACACTGCCAGAATAAATGCTTTTCAGAATTTGGAAAAGCTGTTGGAGAAGCACTTCTTTCTGGTTTTCTTCTGGGTTTTGCGAAGTTAATAAAAGATGTCATTAATGTCACTGGACATTACATTAATGTATAACCTCAGAGTTGCTGATTAACTTATTATAGTGGCTAAAGTTGTCCATAGGCAGAAAGAAAAATAATTAACAATAATATATGCAGTCTTTGGATTTGCATTTGATAAAACCTGGAGTAGGATTACAGAGCATTTCCCAGTGTTGCCCTGGGAAATGGTAAATGGTAAATGGTCAGATTTTTCTTTTTTAAGCCTTAGTACGTAAGAAAAGAGGGGGAGGGTAGAATGAGCTCTTGGTTACCAGACTGGTTTCTGGAAGAAACCTCATGTTCTCTGAAATAATTCTTGATCAGTTACATGCTCAGATTGTCCTTATGCTTCTGCAGACCCAAATGTACCTACGTGTCATCTTTTTTTCCCAATCTCCATTTACTTCTTTGAGTTTTTGGGCGCGTGTGTATGCCGGGGTGGGTGAGAGGTGGCATTAGAGACTGGAAGCTTGCTGTTTGAGATGATGATTTCATTGTTTGGACAAGGGGTCTGATAGAATGGATATAAAATGGGCTCTGCAGCTATTAGCTGTGAGGATTTGGGCAAGTTAGTCTACCTCTGCAGCACTTTGCACCTCTGAAAAGTTGACTAACACCACCTAGTAGGTAGCAGGGATGTTGGGAGGTGTGTATGAAGGTCAGTGGCAGTAAATGAAGTATTTGTGAAGCACCTTATTAAACTAGTGCCTGGCCAGTAGTAGGTGCCCAACAAATGTTAATTCCTTTCTTTTTCATAAGGCTGTTTCCATCAGAACATCTAGGAAAGAACGATGTACGTAAAATAACAGGTAGTGCTTTGTTGTTCTCATGCTTATTCCTGGAGACAATATCATTATTTGTTTTTTTTGTTTCTCAGCATTTCTAGACATCAAATATCTTTCTCCACCCCCCAACCCTGTATCTCTTTTGCATTAAAAAGAAAGGTCAAAACTGAAGGGTTTTCTCTATCGAATTGTATTTATTAATTAAATACTCTTTGCAACTGGCTGATATTTGAAAGTTGCTGATTATATTTATGGACTCTTTTCTTTTACATTAAACATGTGGCACAGTGGTCTGACCTGTCTGAAAATATCTTCTTCTCAAACCAGTAATTATTACAGTTGCATTATACAGCACTGAACCCAAAGCATGATGGATTGTGGCAAGTAAACACATTCTGCTGCCATTAGTGGTTTGTTGTGGTTTGTAACTGCCCATGCTGGCTGTCATTGCCGTCAGATTGGGGTGTAGTAAGATGTTGTCATGGTGGCTATGGGAGAAAATGGAGGGAATTTTCTGCCCTTCGGAATCTGAAGCTAATTAGTCCCTGGAACTAAGTAGTATAAAGCATAGACTTCAGATTCGTACTCTGAGTTTGCATTATTCTTTACTTTTCCTTTATGAACAGAGGAGGATATTCATGTCATGAGGGTATCATATCCTTATGATAGAGGATATTTGTGTGATGAGGGCATCAGCCTTAGGTGCCTGGTTCTGTCCCCTGCATGGCTTCCTCCTGTCCATCTGCCGTCTCTTGCAGGGCTGAACTTACTCTTCCAGATTTGGAGATACTTGGAGTGTTTGATGCTTGAATCCTGTCATGACCTGCTTATTCTCTCTCCCTATCTAGGGCTGTTGGGACTGTCTGTTTCTGGGCCTGGACAGGACATTTTTAGATATGTTTAGAGCATAAATGAAGAATTCCCATTGGTTTTGATGTAAGATGACTTTGAATGTTCACTATTTTTGGAAGACAGGATAGCATGGTGATGAAGATGAGGCCTCTGGAATTGGACCGCTTAGGTTTGGGTCTGTCTTATCCCTGTGGCTTACTAGCTGTATGTCCTGGGGGAAGTAATTTAACCCCTCACTACCTACATTTCCTCAGTAAATTAGAGGTAAAATGTGGAATAGGTAAAAATAACCACCACAAAGAGTTAATGTGAAGTAATATGCTAACATATGTAAAGCATTGAGAAATAAAAATAAAATCCTAAGCCACCCAACTGACTGGGTAGACCCCTCTTGGCCAACGGGACCCCAGAAAAACTTTAAAAACTAAGTTTCCCAGCCAAGATAAGATGGAAGGCTGATCACGCCTTAGTACACTCCCTTCCTCACCATCGCTAGACCTTCTTCCCTAAGAGTTAAACAGGAACCAGCCCTGGAAAATGAAGAATGGAAGACTTTGGCTGACCCACTGCCTGACACCTGGGCTAGGCCCCTCCTCTCCGCCGGCTGTGCCTGGCAGCCACCTGGTTGTGGTTACAGAGCTTGCCTCCTGAGACCTGACCATTGCCATGAACTGGCTCTGGCCAGTTTCCAGCGGTTGCTCACAACCCGCCTCTGTGTCTAAAACTTCACCTTTGGACATTTAGAGCCTAATTTTACTGCATTTTAATGTTAACTCTCTACTGCAAAGTGAACATGGCATTTATGTAACATGTATGTTTGCTCATTACACATATGTGACTCCCCTTTCATGAATATTCACAGCTCCTCCTATAAGCTGTTAAATATGTATGTTTGGCCAACTTGCTTAGCATATTTAAAACTTCTGTTCTCCCCTTTCTTCCTCAAAGTCCTGCTTTAGATTTCAGCCAGAGGCTCAGCCTGCAGGTTGCAACCCTTAGAAAGTTCTCCTTTCCAAATTTATATATTTTAAGTTGACAATATTTATTGCCTGGGAGGTAGTAACATTTATTAAATGCTAGCTATTATTATTATTATTTTATAGATGCTATTTGTCGAGTGCTGTGCCAACTGTGGAGCACACGAAGATAAGAAATAGCTCCTGACAT
This sequence comes from Homo sapiens, assembly GCF_000001405.40. Classification (NCBI taxonomy): domain Eukaryota; kingdom Metazoa; phylum Chordata; class Mammalia; order Primates; family Hominidae; genus Homo; species Homo sapiens. Next base: position 135,484,993 of record NC_000008.11, read on the forward strand.
CAGAAACGCAGTTGACCAGGATGTGTACAGTGGCACTGTATACAGTGTGATAAATGCTGTGTACAGAAAAAACCCTCTCTCTCCATCTCAATTATCCTTCTTACTCAGTTCAGTTTTCTTCAGTGCGCTCCTTTGCCATCTGACACATGATCCATTTATCATGTCTGTCCCCACTACAATATCAACTCTGTGTAAACAGCACTTTGTTTATTGCTATATCCCAGCACCTACAGCAGTGACTGACATGAAGGAGACATTCAATGAAAGATATTGAATGAATGAATATTGAAAGTGCTCTGGGAAGAGAAAACAATAAATTAATGTGGATGAGACAAGAAAAATTACACAGAATGGTAGTTTTTAAGTTGGGCCTTACAGGATGAGTAAGAGTTTGCCAGGTATCTACACGGTAGAGAAGGACATTTCAGCCAGAAGAGCCAAGGTTTAGAGATAAAGTATGACGGTCTATGGCATGAGTGAGGGGAACCAGTCACACATGTTGTCACATCAGATCATTTGAGGGCCAGTTTTCCTGGATATTCATTTTTCCATTTGATTACTTTTTGTCAATCCCGTGTTCTCATCTAAGTTCTTGCTTATTGCAGGAATTTTTTTATATGATAGTTTATTTTTCTGTGTGAAGTTAATTTGCAAAATACCAGCTATTCCTGAGTGATATAATCACGCACAAATAGGACTAAATAATGATGATAAAGATAAGGGTGATGACGGTGATGATGGCATTTGCAAAGTCCTTCACAGGCCTTCACCCAAGCATTTTCACCTGTTACTTCATTTTAGCATCCTAGTAACACTATGAGGTATGCAGGATTGATTGGCATTTCAAGTTTATATATATATATATATATATATATATTTTATTTTTCTAGAGCCTCAAAATATAATGTTTACAAAGATACACCAGGCAAGAATCCTTTTAATACTACCAAGGGCCTTAGCTCCCGTCTGGTGTCTTTGTTGTTGACTTGTGTTAGGCAGTAAAGCAGTCTGGACCAGAGGGCACAGAGCAGCATGCCAGAGACTCCATTTGGGTTCCCAGTCAGCTTTCTGAGAGTGGCCGTATGCCCAGTCATGAGGCACTCCTGGACTCATCCTCTTCATGTGGTCTAATGGTTTGAGAAGCGAAGTAGAAGAGGTCAGTGAGACAGGGGGTGATGAGGTGAGTCTCTTTCCAGTACATTTCTAATCACTTATTTTTCTCTTTAAAGGTATCATTTTTTTCTCTAGAATGGAAGCTCTATGAAGGAAGGGTTTTTGTATTACTCACTTTTGATTCCAGATAGTCAAAACAGTACTTGACATGTAGAAAATAGCAAACATTTTGGATGAATGGATGCTAAATAGGTGGTAGCTCAGTTTGTCTACAAGTAGTAGTACGTTTTGCCCTAGGGCTCATCTGAGCTCCAGTTCTTGGATAAAGGGGAGATGAGGGAAATTTACACACAGCCCAGAGATTAGAGGTTTGCTAGTAGGAAAAACAGATGCTATCTTCATTTTCTAAGTGAAAAGACTGAGACTTAGAGAGGTTAAATAACTTGCCCAGGGTTATATGACAGGTTAAGTGGAAGAACTATTTTCAATCCCAGGTGTCTGATATCCAGTTGAATGGCTTCCTCAGCTTCATTAGAAAGGATTACTAATATTTGTTTATATGGAATCTATGCATATTTAGATATGTATGTCTTGTGTTTTGTCTCCCAGATGTTTTCAGCATATTAACACAGTTTGAATAATATTCCTTGGTGTTGTGTACATTCATTAAAAATTGACATGCTTAATTGTGACAGAAATTGATGTGGAGAAATATTGTTATCAGATAAGATCAAACATGAAGCATACTGCACACAAATACTTATTTTAAAACAATATATCTGATGAAAGATACGTGTTTAAAAGACCCTTGTCTTTTATTTTCTTAAAGAGGATGGTTTGAGCTAATGTTTGGACAAAATTATTTTTCTCTCCTATCAGGTATTTTGACCATAAACCTTTAGACCTATTTAAAACAAATTTTCTTCCTTTATTCTTTCCTTTATATTTCTTTAATTTTTCTCAGCATTCTATATCTTTTAAATGTCATATATTCATTGTCTAAGTATATTTGTTATTTGACACCATTTGTATTTAACATTACATGTAACACACGCTTCTTATGTTTGCTAGGCTGTAGTATTTGTCACAAAAAGAAAGATATTTTAACAGCTCAATAAATGAAAGAAACGTGGTTCCTCCTGCAACCTATCATGTATACCTGGTAAAGCTACTTATTTAGTAAGTAGCTTAGAGGTGCTGCTGGTTCCCAGGAGGGCCATTCTTGTGTCTCTTTCTGCTCATTGTTGGTTTCCTAGCACATGGTGGGCTTTAAATGTCTGTGAAATAAGTGAATTTATTAAATACCTACTATAGCAGATACTGAACTCTGGGCTAGATAGAGGAGAGGAGGGGAATAAAGATGATATTCTGCTTTCAAGATGTACATAGACATGAAAAATACATTAAGAGAATAAGGTGTTACCATGGTGATCCTATCATGGTGGAAGCGTGCCCCAAGCATGGGGAGAGCCCTTGGAGAACACAAGTCATGGATATGTTTGGAGGGAGTTTTCACAGGAATGGTACATTTGAGATTGTGTTGAAAGTGTAAATGGGATGGAAGGAGAAAAGGGAGACAGGATAATAGCACATACAAAGTCCTGGAGCCTCGATAGTCCATGGTGGATTTCACAATGGTGAAGAGTTATGGGTGGATGGCTGCTGTAAGGAAGGGAGAGAGGATGAGCGAGAACGTTCAATGTGACTAATTCCACCTGGGTATCTGTACTGATTAATGGAATGTGGACATTGCTCTAAAAGCAAGCAGAGTAATCTTTGTAACTCTGTTGGATTTAAGGGATTGTTCATAAGATGATTAGATCTTGTTACACAGAAGTGCTTCAAAAATTATATCAAATCATTGTTAAAAATTTTAATTTTAATGTGTTTTATTGTTTTCACAAATTGGTGCTGTGTGTGCATGTGCATAGGTGCATATGTCTATATACATGTGTATGTATAAGTGTGTATGTGGGACATCAGTATTCAGAAAACATCTCTATATAGTATACAAGTATGTTTATATGTAAAATTGCATATATAGTTATATGTAAAATTACGTATTTTATATAGTTAGATCGATTTGATTTTAACTGGTACATGTGCTGATACTGATCATGCTTTGCTTAAAGGAAGATTACTACCGTATTGATTTCAGAAACAGAACTAAGCGGGGAATGAATTTTTTAGGTCTTTGGGTTGTTATTGCCAAATTATTGAATAAGTAGCATTGTCAGGTATACGTGATAAGTTGCAGGAGGAACCATATTTATTTCATTTACTGGGATGTTAAAATAACTGTCTTATTGTGAATAGATACTGCAGCCTGGAGAGACAAAAAGTTTGCAGACCGACTTCAGATTCAGCTTATTAGGAGAAACACTTAAAAAAAAATTTATGCTCTTATGCGTACTGGTGTTTGGATTCAGCATCTAGAGATTAGAGAAAGTTAAGGATAACAATTCTCAGTGGAGTTCCAGGCATCCTTTTGAAAAATTATGTCATCCTTAACAACAGGGTGGGTTGAGAAATAGACCAATATGAGGAAGCAAGCCTACTGATATTCATAGTATAGACTTCATATTTGATCAGGAGTCTGGCTGTTACCAGAAGCATAGAAAGAGTAGATGTACAATTTGCAGCTACTAAACAGCATCCATGATTTGAATACAATATGGCATTGTAACTTAAGGAAAAGGGGCTTGATACTTACTGTAGTCAGCATCAAGGTAGTTCCTGCCTTGCTTAATAAGTGATGCTTATGCTTAATAAACATTTTCTGAATGGCTGTTAAATGTTTGTTCCCAGCTAAGCCTGAGTTCTTAACCCAGCACTGCTAATTATTAGTTGTGCAATGTTGGTTACTTTTTTAAGCCTTCTGTATTTTTCTGAAAAATAAAGGAACTATTGTGTGTAAAAGCCCAGTAATGTACCTGCTTTTAGTGAATGACCATCCAGTAAATGGCAGCAGCTGTTAGTGTGATTAATATTTTTAAATTATTGTCAAATTTTAGCTAGTAATATATTTAGAGAATTTCTTTTTTCTTTTTTGGTAATTCTGTCCAATGCCTTCCCCAACTCCTTTCAAAGTTTGCCTTACTAGCTAGACTCTAAACCCCAAGAGGACAGTGCCTGTTTTTTTGTTTGGTTTTGTTCTAAATTTACCACCGTATCTGTCATGGTGCTGGACAGATAATGTGTGTGTGGTAAGATAATGTGTGTCTGGCCTAGACTTAATATGTGTGTATTTGTACTAGTTTTTAACAAAAATAGTTTAAAAAGTAAAGCTATTGGCCAGGCACGGTGGCTCACGCCTGTAATCCCAGCACTTTGGGAGGCCGAGGTGGGTGGATCACGAGGTCAAGAGATCGAGACCTTCCTGGCCAATATAGTGAAACCCTGTCTCTACTAAAAATACAAAAATTAGCTGGAAGTGGTGGCACACAGCTGTAGTCCCAGCTACTCAGGAGGCTGAGGCAGGAGAATCGCTTGAACTCAAAAGGTAGAGGTTGCAGTGACCCGAGATTGCGCCACTGCACTCTATCTGGCCTGGCGACAGAGCGAGACTCCATCTCAAAACAACAACAACAAAAAGTAAAACTAGAGTCAAAAAGTTAAAAAACAAAAGTTTATAAAGTAAAAAAGTTATAGTAAGGTAATATGAATTATTTATTGAAGAAAAAATATTTCTTAATAATTCAGTGTAGCCTAAGTATACAGTGTTTGATAAAGTCTACAGTAGTGTGCAGTGATGTCCTAGGCCTTCACACTCACTCACTCTTCAGAGCAACTTCCGCTCCTACAAGCTCCATTCATGGTAAGTGCCTTATACAGGTGTTCTGTTTTTTATCTTTTATAGCATATTTTTACTGTTCCTTTTCCTTTTTGGCTAGATTTAGATACACAAATACCATTGTGTTACAGTTGTCTAGAGCATTCGGTACAGTAACATGCCACATGCCATACAGGTTTGTAGTTTAGGAATAAAAGCCTACACCATGTAGCCTAGGTGTGTAGTGGACTGTACCCCTAGGTGTGTGTAAGTGCACTCCATGATGTTCCCACAGAAACAAAATTGCCTAATGATGCATTTCTCAGGACAGATCCCCATCATGAAGTGACACCTGACTGTTTATGTTACCAGTGTGGATCTTCCCTTGCCTCCCCTTCCTCTCTAGTGGCTTTTAGAATTGCTTGCTTTTCACAATACTCTAGTGATGAGAAGTGATTGATCCCTAGTTCCTGGTCATCAGCCTAAGAACACATCCCCTTTTTTCTCCTGTCTCCCTACCTCTTACCTGGCAGGGAGAAGCTCCTGCCATTCCCATCTTAATAGTGTCAAAGTCACTTTTTTAGGTTTATAGGCTGCCTGTACATATTGAAGGTTAGAGCCAGTTTTTGTCCTCAAGTTTAAAACTCAGTAGGGACTAAAGTGTGGACAGTTGGTTATCAATATTAATACCTGTATCTTCAGAGTTAATATACCTTTTCAGATAATAGTAATAAATGAAAATAATATGACTTATTAAAAATCAAATGGGAAGTTTCTCTTTTTGTTTTAACCAAAGTTGTGTTTGTTTCTGAAGCCCCCATCTGTAGGTAGTGTAGAATATGAATCACAAGACCAATTTCTGATTTTTTATGATTAAAGGGATAAGACAAAGCTTAGATAATACAGAAGAGAGGATAATAGCTTGAATGTGGAGTCAGTGGGCAGCATGCTGATAAAGTGTTCCTGGCCAAATGAACCTGCTCTGTGGAAAGAATTTGTACTCTGTATTGTGTGCTCCATTTAAAAATTGGTAATACATGTAATTCAGAAATCAGGAATTTTTATGTTGGCATTATTAAACATTACTTGTCAGAGATATGGGTGTTTCTTTGCGTTTCTTTGGTAGTCACAGACTTAGGTATCTGTTTCATTCTGTTGCTGAAAATGTGACTTCAGCCTTAATTTATGTATATTTTTCTCCTTTAATTTTAAGAATGCTTTTTCTGCATTGATGCTTTCTTATTTTGTACTGATGGTATTGCTCTCCTCTGCCTCATTTCTCCAAATAATTGTGAACTTTGGAGTTGGGTTTTTTTGTATGTGTTTCTATGCCTGTCTGTATCTCTTTCACCTTTCTTGAGAGGAAGATGAATAGAAAGATAGAATATCTTCAGTTACTTTTCATGTCCCTAGATAATTGTGAGGTATCTATTTTTGTGTATGTGGCACTTTACTTCTCCAACCACTGTTAGGTACCTAAGGAGGGAAATTCTTTAGGTTTTAGGAACAACCAAAACAGCCCCCACACCAAAAAAAAGGAAAGAAAAAAAAAATGAACTGGAACTCATGCATTCAGTTAGCTTTATTCCATTTAGGTAAATACTTAGGGCGGGATAAAGGTAAACAATTCTACTGTGTGTATGTATGTGTGTATACATTTAATTTTAAACTACATGCAAGAAAACTGCCCTGGTTTACAAAGCTAAGGACCAGAGAGCCCCAGGAGAGAAGAAGGGGCAGTGGTTTTCTTGGTTGGAGAAGAGAGTTGACATTCATATTCATAGATTAGCGCAGTGGTTCTCAGTGTGTCATTCAGGAAGCCCTGGAGGTTCCTGAGACTCTCACAGGGGGTCTTCAAGGTCCAAATGATGTTTTATAATAAGACAACGTTGTTTTAGCCTTTTTTTACTATGTTAACATTTTTACTTATAATTCAGAAGCAATGGTAGGTAAAACCTAAGCCTCTTAGCAGAAATTAAGGCAGTGACAAATTAAGGCAGTGGCACCAAACAGTACTGGTAGTAATTTTCTTTTTCACTGCCTGGTGCCAACTTCTTTTTTTTTTTTTTTAAGCCAATTTTACTTAAGAATGTTCCTTGATGGAGCAATAGAAATGATTAATGTTATTTAATGTTGTTCTTTGAGTACCTTTTTAAAGAAAAATATTTGTTTGTGACAAAAAGAGAAGTCCATATGTATTACTTCTTGTGGATACCATAGTACTAGATAGTTGTCTCAAGGAAGGTATCAAATAGAATGCTGATAATTGTTTGGCAAAATTCAGGGATCCCTATGATCCAGTAATATGAGATAATGGATATGAAAGTACTTTAGGTAGTAGATTATTAGGATTATTAGCACTAGATACGTGGATTGTAGTACTTAGCTTTGCTTTGTATTTTTTTAGCTGAACTTTGTGTATCTTAAAATGCATTTCACATTTACTTGATGACAGTAATTCAAATACTTGTATATCTGTGGAACTAATCAAGATAGAGACAGCTTTATGTCTGGAGAAAGATGTAAGATATATTAAAGAAATTGGGAAGCAAAAAAGGAATATTGAGATATATGTTCTACTTCCAAATTAATCTGCATATGGTGAGGATCAAAATTCATTAGTTTACATATATATATACATATATATATATATATATTTCCTCTAAAACCATTTGTTAAATGAATGTATTTTCTCCACTGAATGCCTCTCTGTCAAAAATTGATTGACCATATGTGTGTGGATCTGATTCTGAACACCATTCCGTTCTGTTCCTCTGTTTGTTTTTCCTTAAGCCAGTACCAAGTTATATTGATTATTAGAGCATCTTAGTAAGTTCTTGAAATCAAGTAGTGCAAGTTCTTCAACTTTGTTTTTGTTTTTCATAATTTTCCTCCCTGTTTATATAAGGACCTTGTATGCAAGATCCTTTTGCACATGTATATGTGTTTTAGGATCAGCTTACTGATTTCTGCAAAAACAGTCTACTGTGCTTTTGATAGGGATTGCATTAAATTTATAAATCAGTTTTGGAAGAAATGATATCTTAACAATATTGAGTCTTCTGATCCATGGACATGGTATATGTCTTTATTATTTACATCTTTTTAAATTTCTACCAGCAATGTTTTGTGGTTTTCAATGTATAGGTCTTACACACATTTTATTAAATTTATCCCTATTTCATATTTTTTGATGTTACTGGAATTTTTTTTTTTTTGAGATGGAGTCTCACTCTGTCCCCCAGGCTGGAGTGCAGTGGCACGATCTCGGCTCACTGCAAGCTCCGCCTCCCGGGTTCACACCATTCTCCTGCCTCAGCCTCCTGAGTAGCTGGGACAGTGGGTTTGTTGTAGACTCCTTCGGATTTTCTGGATAGTTTTTTTTTCTCCCAAATCTGAATTTCTTTTATATTTCTCTTTCTTCTCTTATCATACTGGCTAGGACCCCACTACAGTGTAGCATAGATATGGTAAAAGAGGACATTCTTTCTTTTTTTCTGATCATAGGGAAAAATCATCCAATCTTTCATCATTAATTGTGATATGTGTAGGTTTTTCATAGATGTTCTTTATTAGGTTGAAGAAGTTTCTTTTTATTCCTGTTTTGCTGCAAGTTTTTATTATAGTAGTTGTTTAATATTTTAAAATACTTTTCTGCATCTCTTCAGTTGATGATATAGTTTTATTGGTCTGTTAATGTAGTGAATTACATTGAATATTTTCCAGTGTTAAGCCAGTCATCTACTTGGGGTGAGCCACACTAGGTGATCATGTATTATCCTGTTTAAATATTGCTAGATTTCAATTTGTTAAAAACTTAGTAATAACTTTTTCATCTTTCTTTATGAGGAATGTTGGTATGTAGTTTTCTTTTTCTTGTAAAACTTTTGTGATTTTGGTATTAGGCTAATAAAATGAGTTGGGAAGTATTCACTCTTTATTCTGGAAGAGTTTGTGTACAATTGTTATCATTCTATCTTACATGAGTTCACCAGTGAAGCCATTGGGCCTAGAGTTTTCTTTGAGAAAAGCTTTTAAACTATGAATTTAGTTTCTCGTATATAGAAGGCCTATTCATGCTATCTTTTCCTTTTTGAGTGAGCTTTGGTAGTTTAAGGAAATAATCTCATCTGAATTATCAAATTTATTGGTGCATAACTGTTAATAATATTCTCTGATTCTTATAGTGAATGTAGGATCTGTGGTGGTGTCAGTGTTATTCCTGATACTATTAATTCTTTACTCTTTTTTTTCTTAATCAGTCTGGCCAGAGGCTTATGAATTTTATTGAGCTTTCCAAAGTATCAACTTTTGGTTTTATTATTTTTTTCCAATATTTTGTACTTGTAATTTCTTTGGTATCTTCTCGTTATTTTTTCCTCTTCTGTTTCTCTTATTTTTTTTTTTTTTTTTTTTTTTGAGACAGAGTCTCACTCTGTCACCCAGGCTGGAGTGCAGTGGCGTGATCTCGGCTCACTGCAAGCTCCGCCTCCCGGGTTCACGCCATTCTCCTGCCTCAGCCTCCTGAGTAGCTGGGGCTACAGGCGCCCGCCACCACGCCCAGCTACTTTTTTGCATTTTTAGTAGAGACGGGGTTTCACCGTGTTAGCCAGGATGGTCTAGATCTCCTGACCTCGTGATCCACCCACCTCGGCCTCCTAAAGTGCTGGGATTACAGGCTTGAGCCACCGCGCCCAGCCCTCCTCCTTTTGTTTCTTGAGCCTGATTTACTAGTTTCTTCAGTTGTCAGCTTAGATCATTGAACTGAACCATTTGTATCAATGCAGGATCCTGAGCAAGCTGGTTTTCTGCCCTTCCTCCAGAGGCAGATAACCTTTAGTGTTGGTGCTGTATGTGTGTGTAGGCTAAATCTTCCATAGTGGGTTCAAGAGAATGTCTTCTCATCCCCTCCACCATCGCCATTCTCTCACCCAGGTGACCTATGGCTTTGGTTCCAACCCTTTGGCTGGAAGCTGTGGGGAACCTGTGGAGGTGGAGGAAGGCATTGATTGTGAGGGTTACTGACCTTGCCCTGGGGGTAGATGGTTTTTGCTTTGATTGAGAGTCTGTGATAATGCAAGCAGAGTTTGTTGTTGTTGTTTATCTAATCTCCACTTGTACCACCTGGAGGAGCTCTCTTAAGTACCCTTTCTTCTCCCCTAGTCGTGCTTGTGAGCATCTAAGTGGAATTCTGTGGAAAATGTTGGAGAATGAGTGTTTTCTCCCAGGTGTTTTAAACTATTACAGGAGCCCACATTTAGCCTCTGACGATTTGATAAGATTTTGATTGTTTTCTTCCTGCTTTCTTTTGTAGCTGCCACTTCTGTGTTCTGCCAAAGGTGAAGCATTTCTTGGGTCTCATCTCTCTTTGGAGGGGCTTTAGAATTCCACTCACCTGTTTTTGTGACCGTAACTCTCTGATGAGCTCAAAAATTATTTTGTCAATTATCCAACTTTTTGTCATTATTATGGGGCAAGCTATGTTCTCTTGCTGTTTTCTAAATCCTAAGTAGAAGTTGAATCTCAGCCTGCCAGGCTTTTAAATGCAAGCAGTTAATTACCTTTAGGACTTAGAGGAATAGCTGAATTAGAGGTAGGGGAAATATATCATGACAAGAATTAATTATATCAGGCAGAACATGATATCAGTGAGAAGACGATATTTTCTTCTTCCAGAATTTGTGCCAGTAAACAGCACTTTTACTCCCACTTCACCCTAGTGTCTGTTGGTCCTTTGCAACTTCTTATTTCACTTATCATATTCCACCATGATTTTTTTCTTTACAAGTTTGTTGAAGCTACCAAAATCTGAATTCCTAAAGGTTAGGGGCTTATTTTAATCATTGTTTCCCTAGCTGCAGTTTAGTGCCAGGTCTATGGGCCATCACTGGATGGATAGGTAGATAATTGGAGTGAGAAGAGTGGTGAAGAGTGGAGAAGAGTTGTGTAGGAAGAGCCGATCTTGGCCTCTCTGGAGGTAATTAGAGAATTGGGGGAATGAATCTCTGAGATGGAAGTAGTTACTTGGGTTTTAAGTGTAGATATGTGGCACTTTTAATATTTTAGAAAGTGTAGTTTAAGCAAGTAAATATTACTTTTGAAATGCAAATATGTGCTACAGAGATATGTATTCCCTTCTAGGGAAGTAAAAGTAGACTCTGCAGATGAGCCAAGGGCTGTGTGAGATAGAGCACACTGAATCCTTGAGCTGAGGGGTGCATTTAACTACAGCTAGAGAGATATATGGGCATGGATCTAGTATGAGAAAGCAGAAGTAGGAAGGAAAACTGTAGAGAGAGGGAAAGGTCATGCAAAAAAAAAATAGCAAAAGATAATCAGTGACGAAGAAAACTCTTCAGAAGCATTTTTTTTTGAGACAGAGTCTTGCTCTGATGCCCAGGCTGGAGTGCAGTGGTGTGGTCTCGGCTCACTGCAGCCTGTGCCTCCTGGGTTCAAGCAATTCTTCTGCCTCGACCTCCCAAGTAGCTGGGTTTACAGGCACATGCCATGTCACCCGGCTAATTTTTGTATTTTTAGTAGAGATGGGTTTTCGCCATGTTGGCCAGGCTGGTCTCGAACTCCTGACCTCAGGTGACCCTCCCGCCTTGGCCTCCCAAAGTGCTGGGATTACAGGTATAAGCCACCATACCTGGCACAAGCATTTTTTAAAACAAGTAATAGGGGTTTGAAAAAAAAAAAGTCTGTAAATATCCACTAGGCTGAACATGAAGGAGGCTACTTAATAGGCAGGTGGCTGCCTTGGCAGTTTCTTAACTTAAATTTCCATGTCCTGATGTATATATTTTATTTATTGCTATGTGATCAACTACCTCAAACAAAGTGGTTTAAAACAGTGTGGTGTTAACCCAACTGGGCCAGACACTCAGCATGGCTCATCCCATGGCTGCTGGTCGGCTGGTGGTCAGTGGCTGGGAACTCAGCTGGGAGCTTAGCTGGAGTTCTTGGCCAACTAGCTTGCCTGTTGCTTGCCCGTAGCTTGCCCATAGCCTTATCATGGCTTGGGCTTCTTAGAACACAGTTCACAGAGGGACTGTTGCAAGGGTGAGCAATCAAGAGGCTAAGACAGGATCGAAATGCATCTTATGACCTAGACAAGGAAGCCCCAGAATGCTACTTCTGCCACATTCTTTTGGTTCAGTCAGTCAGTAAAGTGAGTCCAGACTGAAGAGGAAGTGAATTAGACACCTCTGTCCTTGGAAGGAGTAAGAGAGGGAAGTTGGGACCATCGTCGTCATTTGAATGGTGATGAGCACAAACAAGGCTTCACTCTTTTACAAGGCAGACTAGCCCTTAGAGCCCATTGGTATCGTCCAGTTTGAATATCCCCACTTCATTCCTGGACTGCTCTGAGTGCCAGTTGAGTCAGAAAATCAGCTATGCTGTTAACAGTGGATATGTCGGAAATGCTCCGGCAGTCCTAAAGGCAGGTTTAGAGGAGTATTTCCGACGAGGAGATTGTGTCTTATGACCTCAGCAGCCCCTGCTTGCATGTCTTTTCTGCCTCTTCATCGCTACATTTTAATGGCTGTTTTCAAGGCCTTTAGGGTTTGTAAGTGTTTCTTTTCTGCATGAATTCAGCCTTATTACCTTTTATCACAAGCATCACAAGCATCTCTTGTGGTCTCTTACTAATAGGAAGCGACATACCAGAAAACTCTTCTCTTGGGCGTGAAGGGGGAGTCACAGGCACAAATTATAAGGTTATTAGGACAAAAAAAGTAATATATCAAAATAAATTGATAATGTTTTACTATAAATGCCTAAAACAGCAGACATTTATTAATGTCTTCCATATATCAAGCACTGTGCTTAGGAGTTGCTCTTTATGCACTGAAGTTATTTAATTTTTTTCAGTAACCATGGTATGTAAATAATATTTTCCTCCCTTTTACAAATGAATAAAGTGTTAACCAAGTGAGTAAGTTACCTATCTGAGGTCGTAAAAAGCTAGAAATTGGACATTCTGTTTGTATTATTCCATTTGACTTCTCAAAAATACATTCTTATTCTGTTAATAATTGGGCCACTGTTAGAGGATTTACATGTGATAATAGGAAGCAGTGCTGTCCTTTTGCACTTAATTACCATGGCATGATGGTGCCTTCCTTCCTTGATGCTGCCCTGTGAACCTAGGTTGGTGGCTGGATTCTTAAGCTAATGTGTTCATTAAAGGATGATGCATGGCTCTGTATGAAGGGGATGAATGGGTTAGAAGACATTCTCAACCTCAGAGATGAAAAAAAAAATACAGTTCTATCTATATTGCACTGCTCCAAGGAACTGAAGCTTTATTACATAAAACACACTTTCCTTGGGGATTCTTTTGGGGATGACAAATAAGAGAGCTTTTTAGTTTTAATTAAGGAATGCCTCAGCAGCAGTCTTCTAAGTGGTTCAACTACCGTACTGCATTACTTCTCACGAAGCAAGCCATCCTCCCTAGGGTGGCCAGAATGATCTTTTATCAACCAGACCTGATCACATAATTCTTGTGTTGAAAACTTTTCAAGAGATCTTAGTTTACATGTCCTTTCTTTGATCTGAAGTGGACTGGATTGAGCCCATCTGCTGATAGATTTCATAGCCCTGCCTACACACCTGTTCAGAACATTCATTAACCTTTGCTGTAATTGTCTCCCTAATGGCTTCCTTCCCTGCCTGCTTTGTTTCTTGAGCATCAAAACTTTGTTTTTCTTGTTTCTGGAAGAATTCTGCAGCCAGTATATAGTCTGTAAAATGTTAGAGGCATTCAATAAATCAATGAATGAAAATGGTTTCAAGTAATGGTGAAAAGTTGTTTTTTCTTCTTTTTTTTAAAAATATCATTACGTATGCATAGATTAATCATTCATTTAGTCATCTAAAATACGTTAAATATATACTCTGAAATACGGAGGGTGCAGAATTAAGAAAGCCCTTGATCTGGTCCCCATGCGCACAATCAGGTGTGGAGACAGCACTAATACCTGTGGTGAGCGTCGTGGAAGCATTGCACAAATGTACCTGTCATGGACAGAACTGGGTATTGTTTTAAACAAATCTGCATTACTGTACATTTGAGTTAGATCCATTTTAGAGTGGTTTTGCTTATTTTATATACTCTTAGAATTTACTGACTTAATATTTCTCATACCCTACAACCACAGATCAGTTTTGGTGCCTATTCTAGTGGGCAGGCACCTGATTATACAGGTAAAAGAGGTGGAACATGGCAAAGAACACGAGAGAGTGCAGTTGTGGTTGGGAAGGGTAGGTATTTTCAGTGTCTTTTTTTGGTGTCATTGTGATGTGCATACGGGAAATATAATGACAATACATGTAGGTAATACCAGTATCTTCTATGAGGCATTGTTTGTATTTGTTTTCTGTTTTAGCTCCTTAACAACAGTCCTGCATATTAAGCATATTATTATGTATATTTTGTCAATAAAGAAACAGAATGTCAGAAATTAATTTTGCTAAAGTTACGCGGCTGCTAAGTGGTGGAGCTGTAATTTAAATCCACTTCTGCCTATTCTTGAGTCAGTCTTTCTCCTAATCCACCTTAATGCTATTAAAACTCCTGATAGACTTGGCTACATGTGTATATGTTCTTTTATCTACACAAAATGCAAATTGCAACACTTTTCTTATCTGGAACTTGGTCTTTCATTTTAATTTCCTCTTTTTGGAGATATAAAATCTTAGATACGGGATATAGCCAGCAAGCAGCATTTTTGTATGACACATTATCTACAAATCTCAGTTTGTTCTTTCATTGCATTTTTTAAGTTATTCATTTTCACTCTAGAAGCATCAGAATGTTTTAAAGGCGTTTATCTTATTTACTTTCTCTTTCTGAGTTTTTAACCCTGCCAGGAGGGAGGAGGTTGCTCTGAATTTTTTTTGATCAAAGAGACTTTTTATATCATGTGACAATGAAAACTATTTTTAAGCAATTCCATTTTTTCTTTATCTGGTCATTCCTGTGCTAGAGTTCTTACCCCCTTCTAACCCCACAAAATTAAAAATAAAATATGAAGTTGTTTTGAGACATTTAAAATAAAGTTTCCAGTTGTTAGCCTATAACAGTTACAGTTTACAGTTGCAAGTTTATAGGAGTTAAGACTATATAATGGCTATAATTACCTTCAGGAGTTTAAAATGGAAAATCATGTTTTCCTGTTTAGTGATTTTTTCATATCATTAATTGAAGAAAGTATATCACTCATCCCAGAAAATCACTGCAGCTGCTGATAGACTTAGCCCCCAAAACATGGATTTCAAGAGGAGATGAAAGTTTAGCTCAGAGGTCAGAGGTCAGTGAGAGAAAATTCAGTTCATTGTGAGGTGTCATAAGCCAGGATTTGGTAGTTTGGTTCTTTTTTTTTTTTGTAACTAAAGTGGTTAGAAGTAATAGAGTGGAGCACGTACTGTGCTTCATATTGTGTCTCTTAAAGTTTTTTGTTTCCAAAGAATAGAAACTGACTTTGGCCAAACAACAAAACAAATTTATCAGAAGGATTTGAGGAACTCCTAGGGCTGATGGAAGACAATGGAAGTAGTTTTTTAAATGCGAGAACAGAGGCTACTCTGAAGAGGAATTATCTGGAAAGGAAGCAGAAGTTCACCTTACTCTCTTCAGGGAAGGCAGTTAGCTCTTAACTATGGGCCTTGGCTGGGCTGGGTGGGAAGAGGCAGGGAGCTCTGAAGATACTTCCTAGAAGAAATGAAAAATAAAGCTCAGAAAACTTGTGGTTTAGTTAAGGTCACTCAACTAGTTTATGACAAAAACCAAAAGAGATCTCACATCTGCTGATGGTTTAAGATTCTTTTATGTATTCATTTCTTCATCTGGTACTTGCCACACTCCAGGTGCTCTGCTGAGGGCTGGCATTTAGCCACGAGTAAGACAGATCTAAACAATTTATGGTAAATGCTACAAAGTAGTATAGGGTGAATGCTTTTGAAAGATGAGTAAAATGATTAACTAGGAATTAGTGGAACCTTATATTAAGTATATCGTGCTTGAATTAAATATTCTCACTAAAGGATGTGGTGACCATTGTTTTAGCCAAAAAACATGGACCTTTTATCAGATACAGATTCAGTACCTACTTGTTCTACTTAACTTGATAGGGAAAAAAATGACCCTCCTGCATTTGTTTCCTTCCTTTGAAGATTAATTAAGATGGTATATTGAAAAGTGCCTCAACTGTGTCTGCTGTTTGGTAGGCTCTCAATAAATGCTGGTTCCCATCTCCTCCTGCCTTTAAACCATAGCTAGAACAGTTTATGGTTGAAAGATATTTAACTTATAAAACAAACAGAAGCAAAATAGCTGAATTCTGAGCTCTTTTTCTTTATTCTGTTATGTTTTCTTAGAATTTAAGGTCTTCAGACATATCCAGTTGGTGACCCTTCAGCGTACATAAAGGCAGGATGCTTTGGCATTCAGACTTTTAAAAGGCTACATAAAATACCAGTCATGATATGGATCATGTTTTAGACAAAGTTTTTTTCTTTTAGCGTATTGTTTCTATGAGTTGCAAAAATTATTTCCTGAAGAATCAAATGTAGCTATTTGTCTGACAAACAAGAAACTTAAAAGGTATCAAAGAATGCTTAAGATATCTGAATACATTTGAAAGAACACGAATTAATTCAACAGATTTGAGCTGGAAGTAAGATTAGAGGAAAAGAAACATAAAGTCATACTATATTTTTTACCTATTGTTTAGTAAGATTTATAACTTTTTACCAGTTATCCAAAAATGTAGCTTATCGATTTTTTTTTTCTCTAGCTCGCAGAAAAGTTTGAGTGTAGGGATTTTTTGTTCTTCTTCTTTCATAGATATCATATAGTAGAATTTTCTTTAATGTCTTACATTTAGTCTCAGAGAAGTCTTGTCCTTGCAAAATGACCTTGTAATCACAAGAAGACATTTTCATATGCTGTTGTATAGTAATTCTCGCTTTTTGCACTCTTCGGTCCTTGGCCTTATAACGTATGAATTCTTTCACTGAATTCACACTGTCACATCTTGCACTTTTTGCACGCATTATTGAAGCCTTTTAATTTGCTTCACTCTGCTAACATAGGTAGTTGCAAGACCTGTAGAGGATTTTAAAACCACTTTAAAAAATACATATATTTTTATTCCTGACATCTTGTTGAGATATTCTTGTTTAAGTTGTTTAACCTTAATAATATTTGACACTAAGTCATCAGAACAGAACAGTCACAGGGCATTGCCATTAGGTGCAGTTTTGTCTCTTTCCGAGCTATGAATCTTCCTGCTACTGCCCTATATAAATGTCTCCCTAGACTTCCCAGTCCTGTCATAAAGGAACTTAGCATAGCGTTAAAAGTCCTTCCCAATCTGTCTACCTTTTCACTTTATCACCAGATACTCTCCCCTTGTACCTTCATGCCTTTGTCTCACTGCTGTTCTTTATTCTTTGAGAACATGGATATATCTATGAAGTTTTGCCAATGCTGTTCCCTATGCATAGGATACCCCTCCACATATCCAAGCCCATTTGTTTGGGCTCTGCTAGAATACTACTCATTCTGAAGTTTCCCTTGATTTTTTGACCTAGAAGTGTTTGTCTTCTATATATATTGTAATATTTTATTTGTACTTTTTATAAAAGTGCTTACAATTTAAATTTATACTTTACATTGTGAGTATCCACATGTAGTCTTTATTAAATCTTATGTTTCTTGAGAATAGGGTCGGCATCATATTACACAGTAACATAACTACCGTTTATTGAGCTCAGCGATGCCTGTCTCCAAAGTCCGTGTGTGCTTTTTCCAACCCGTCGAGCTGCTGCTTAGAATTATTATGTGTTAGGGAACATTGAGAGCATGTTGTAAGCACTCGGTAAATTCTGTTCAATGAAAGAATAAATGTCTCAATTTCAGTGGCATCTCTTTCTGCTGATCACCTCTTTTCCACTTCCTTTTTGTTTTTTAGGTGTATTCTAGATGTATTCTGTAGTAACCTCTAGCCACATGAGGCAATTTAAATTGAAATTAATCAGAATGAAATAAAACTAAGAATTCACATCTTCGGTCACACTAGTCACCTTTCAAGTGCTCACTAGCCACGCATGTGGCCAGTGGCTGCTATATTTGACTGCACAGACATAGAGCATTTTTGTGATCATAGAAAGTTATCTTGGACAGTGCTGGTCTTCATGTTTTGATTGCCATCAAGGTCATCACTGCACATCTGTGGTATGACTGTGTGATGTACTTTTAGGACAGGAATAACATAGTAGACAAAAGCGTCATACAGAAATATACTTGTGTATAATATAATAAAACACTTTTCAATGTTAGGTTATTCCAGAAGTACATTTTTCTGTAGACCTTGGGCACATGCACAGTTCTCTTAACTGCTTTAGGGAAACTGCTTTATCCAGTTGCTACTGTCACGGCACTATGGAGGGAAGCCAACATATTTTTTCCCTGAAGCTTTGAGCTTAAGAGAGCTAGCCAGGCTACAAAAGGCCTAACTCTGTAGCCTTGGTTTAGTTGGAAAAGTTCCCTGTAATGACCCTTGTTCTGTAACTTACATCTGAGGATTAAACGTGGCCTCCTGCGTTGGAATTGCCTTGGGACCCTTGAAATGGTCACACTGACACAGGAGTAGCTCTTTCATGTTCTGAAAGTTTTTTTGTTTTTTTTTTTTCTTCCCCCATGAACTCATTTAGTTCCACCTCAGCTAGTGAGGTAGTAGGTGATCTTCATGTTACAGATGCGAAGCTGAGTCTCGGAGAGGTTAAGTAACTCACCCAAATAAACCCAAAGTATAAGTTATGATAGTAGAGTTCTGGAACCTCCAACTTCAGGTTCAAAATTCTTGTAATTTTACCACGTCCATACCCTTGTCAATGGTAGGACTGCCACAATTGATTGGTTTTCTGAGTCAAGAGAATTTGGAGTTACTATAAGGATACTTTAGTCTTTTTTTGTGATCAGCATATTTAATTCTAGTTATATTCATATTTAAATTTGTATTACCTCTTATTAGCTCTCATAAATATGTAGAACTGAAGGGTGCAGTAAGTTAGAGTTTGTTATGTGTGGTTTCCAGAAATGACACTTGAGGTCTGCTGTTAATCACAACTCTAGAGGTAGACCTCAGCTTGCCTAAGCGATTGTCAAGGGGACCGAGAGCCTTCTGACTTGCTTTTTGCTTTTTTCTCAGTGTCATACTGTAAGTAAGTGCTGGCCTGTGATTTGAATGTATGTTTTTATTAGTTTTTATTACTTCATGTCTCACTAAATTAAGCTCCTCTTTCCATATCATTATTAATTTTGACTCTCTTACTGCAGGTGTCAAAAAGCTAGACAGTTGTGCTTGTCTGGAGGCTGTAGGTTAATATGCTGTTCTGGGAGTGCCAAAGCAAAAACAGGTGACAAAATAGCTCGTTTAAACGGTCACTTAGGGCTATTTTTGCATTTTCCTCTAAGGAACTTAATTTTACGTTCATTTTATGCCTCCTGTTTTGGCTTCATTTGTTCCCAAGCTTGAAATCATGGAATTTAACTTGGCTGGTTGTAGCATTTGTATGTAATACCTGTAATACAGTTTCTTTGTCAGAGGCATAATTAACAATATGATTTGTACATCTACTGCCTTCTGGTATTCACAACAGAGTTTGTAAACTTAATTAGTTCTTGGAATAGCAAATGTTTTGAAGATGATAAACACTTTCCCTCTGAATAATGTGTTGAATGGTTATATATTCATAGAAATTTACTCTATGCTACTCAAATTAGAATGCTGATAGGTATGCTTCTCAAGGTAAACATCACCTGCAGTTGCATATTCCCAGATTATATTGTCTTCCTGTGCATTTCACAGGGGAAATCAGACATTTAGCTCAGATAATTTAGCCTCCAGGAATATTCATTGTGGCTTCATTGTAGAGAGAACATCTATGCTAATGTCATTACATAGATGCCATTTTCTCAAACTTTGATGGTGATCATGATGATATATAGTAGGGGAGGAGTGGGTAATAACCAGGCACACCACTATAGCAGTACTTCACTTATTCTCTGCTCTCAGCTCTTCAAGATGTAGTCGAGACCAAAGAAGTAGCAAGAAAGCACTCTCAGCAGCTCAAAGAGATGCTGCAAAAAAATATGCTGATGCCCAGGAAAGCTTGTCTCGCCTTTTCTTTAGGGCCTTATTAACCATCAGTACATCACAGTTCTTAAAAAGTTTAGCTATTTGGTTTTCCAAAAAGCAATATTGAAGTAGAGGGAACAAATTAGAAAGACCTCAATGCCATTAGATTAGTGTTTTTCAACCCTAAGAGTTGGAGATGGGTCATACATGCCTGCGTTTTCCCCCATTTTTATGCATGGAGAAACTAGAGCTCAGTGAGGCCAAGTGATTTGCCAGAGGTTCTCTAGTGCTGAGGCTTGGTCTGTCCTCCAAAACCTTGGCCTGTCTACCACTTCCCTGCCCTGCTTGTGGTCCCTTGGGACCCTTGAGAGCTCTCCTTCAGGGCTAGCGTAGTCTCTGGCACATTGTACTTAAGACCTCCCGCCTGCTGATTCCCAGGTACTTTCCACTATACTTCAGGAATTTACCAAGAGGGTGTATCAATCAGGTAAACAGAAATCATGCCAGATATTTTAGCAGAGAGGATTGAATAGCAGGAATTGGTTAGACAGGTGCTGGTTGACCCAAAAAGCGAATGGGGAGTACTGAAGTGATACAGAAATAGTAACAAAAGGTTAGCAGCAAGCCATCACCCTCAAGGCTGGAGGAG
This sequence comes from Homo sapiens, assembly GCF_000001405.40. Lineage (NCBI taxonomy): Eukaryota > Metazoa > Chordata > Mammalia > Primates > Hominidae > Homo > Homo sapiens. The sequence goes on from NC_000008.11 coordinate 135,505,679, forward strand.
CAAAAGAAGTAATTTGGAGGAAGTAGGACCAAGACCCTGTTAGTATTGTTACCTCAGGAGCTTGAAGAGGGTCCTCACAGGGCTGGGACTCAGACCTCCGAGAAATGGGTCCTGGCTTGCTGAGGAGGTATGGTGAGCGTGCTTCTGGGAATGTAGGGTAAAAAAATCACTGTAACTGCTAGAGTTTAGAACCATCACTCTGATCTGCTGCCAGGAACTGGAAACACAGTGGGAAGGAACAAGTCCCCTACCTCACATTCCCGATTCGCAGAACCTCATAGGGAGCCACTGGCAGAGGAGAAATGAGGTTTTCCAAATCTCTACCCAGCATTCCAGGACAGCGTATAGGCGGGTAGGTGTGGAGCTAAGAGACCATAGCTTAATAACTGGCATAGATGGCTTGTTTGTGGAAATGAAAGATGACTTCCACTTTTGTTAATTCAAACCTTGAGTATTCTTAAACGTTCATCAAGTCTCACCATGCTTTTTCATGAAGAATATCATCATTTATTCACTTGTATTCACTCAACAAAAATTTCAGAATGTGTGTTCTATTCAAGGTGCAAAACTAGTGACTGGGGATAAGATGATGAATAACACAGTTTTACCTGTCAAGCTAGTCAGCAGGACAGATGATAAAAATGTGTGTAACTCTCAGGGTTGAAAGGAACCTCCAAGTCCAACCTTCCATCAGATGATTGGATCCTTCCTTCTGTAACATTCCTCTTTTTTTTTTTTTTTTTGAGATGGAGTCTTGCTCTGTTGCCCAGGCTGGAGTGTAGTGGCGCTGTCTCGGCTCACTGCAAACCCTGCCTTCCAGGTTCAAGCAATTCTCCTGCCTCAGCCGCCCAAGTAGGTGGGACTACAGGTGCCCGCCACCACACCTGGCTAATTTTTGTATTTTTAGTAGAGACGGGGTGTCACCATACTGGCCAGGCTGGTCTCCAACTCCTGACCTTGTGATCCTCCCGCCTCAGCCTCCCAAAGTGCTTGGATTACAGGCGTGAGCCACTGCACCTGGCTGAACTTAAAAATATTTTAAAGACAGTTAGTTCCATCCTTGGTCAAATTTATTGTTAGAATCTTCAACTCAGTAATTTGTACTGGACCTCTTTTCTCTATAATTTCTATCTTTGGTCCTAATTGTACCATTGTTTTTTTTTACTGACAAATCTAACCCTTTTTTTACATAATATACAAAACTACTTTTGTTATAAGTTTGATTCTCTCCTGAATCATTTATCCTGTAGGATAAACATTTTCGTTTATTTCAGCTGGCTTTCCTAGGCAGTGCTCTTCAACTTTTTTCTATTATTGCCTCTTTTATGGAGCCTTTTAGACATCTTTTTTCCTAATTATCTGCCCGCCCCAAATAAATAGACTGCAGATATATTCTATATTTGTTTATGTATCATGGACCTTTGGTGAGCTGGCAACCGTAGTTCCTATAATTATTGGCAAATTCTTCAAACGGATCTAGTGGAATGCTTTTCTAGATTCCTGGCCCTGTTATTAGTCTTAGTGTTAGTATCTTAGCTAGTCATGTGTAATAAAGATCAACGAATTATTCCACCTCCTGTTTTTAAGATGAGAATAGAAGACAGTCAGATATCCATCTAAGGTACTTATTGTTAGTTTTAGTCAAAGTAAAGGTCTGTATTTATTCTTTGATTCTGTCTCATTTGCCCAGACAGGCAATGTGAAATGACTAGGAATCTGTATATTCAGCCCTAAAGTAGATCAGTCTGTTTTCAGTAGATTTGGCAAGTGGAACCCTCTAGAATGCGTAATTTTTTAACTAAACACTTTATGGTCGAAGGACAAAATGAAAACAAATGCCATTGACTGGCCATGGTGTACTTATTTTTTTTTTAACGAAATCCCTACGTTTTTAACGTGTAACTTGCTTCAGCATGTGAATGTCTGCATTTAACTTGACAACCTCCCTTAAAGGAAACCCCCAGTGGGAATGTCCTCTGTGAAGAGATAGCATCTGACTCTAGGCGGAGCAATATGTAAAATGTGACTGGAGAGTGACCTAGTATGCATAACACTCCCTGTCTTTAAATTGATATGAGAAGACAGGTCTCATTTTCAGTAATTCTGTAGCTCTATGCTGAGATATTTCATTTCCACAGAGGCTGTGACTATTAAAGTCTGTGCAAACTGATTTTTCATCAGTGTCTTAATTTTCTATCATGAGTAAATCTAAGTGACAGGATGTATATTTCTGCTGTAATTGTGTTTTGCTTTTAAAAAGTGTTTTATGCCTGTTTGGCCGTTTTCAGTTGGCTTAGAAAAAAACATTGAGTATGAGTAGAATTCTTTATATAAAAGTGACCCCCTTTAATATCATCATACGGAAAATATGATTTAATGTCTTAAGTTTCTTTTCCCGCCCTGAATTTACTCTGAGCCTTTACTGTGTAAATAGGGACTGGTTCAGAAACTGATGTAAAAATGTATGGACATAGAATGATAAATCCTATTTTGAATTTATTTTAAATAGTGTCAGTGTGTTATGGTACATCTAACCAACAGAAAATATTCGTTTTTTGTTCTATTAGATATGAAAGTAATAGAGAATAAGGTGCTTGTATTATATGGTTGTTATAGAATATCATTAGTACAGTCATATTTCTATCTCAAAGTGTGATAATGCCAGCGGGATAAATGAGAAAGACATTGAATCTTCACACAAAGGAAATGGGTTTTATAATGAGTGCAGTCTGAACAGAACTAATCTCTTTCTTGGATCATTACTTCACCTAATCATAAAACCTTTTTTAATTCAGATCCTTGCAGGATTCTAATTGGTGACCTCTGGAGCCTGATAATTGTTTAAGGTAGCTGGTCTTTTGCAGTATACTTAATGATGTTTGCAATTAAAAGTGAGAAATGTGATTTAACCCATAGGTGTAAATAAAAATGTAGATTTTCCTTTTTCAGTCTTTAATAGTTACTCCCATCCCCTCCTTCCCAAAGTTAGTGACTTAAGTCATTACTAACTTGAATTAGTCCGGTGCACTGGTTACCTCGTTTAGTCTGTGGACTTACTATTTATTTGATAAATGCATTGGGTTATATTAAGAATAATCCTCAATTATTTAGAATAGCTAAGGGACTGGTCTGTTTGGGAAGACAGGAACTCCTAGCCTCTTTTTTCCTGTTGTTTAGGTATACTTTCCTGCTTGTCATTTTTGATTTAAGTAAAAACTTAGCCAGTCTTTCTAGCCAGTTTCCGTAAATATTTATTTCAGAACTTTCCTGACTACCAGATAAAAATGAGTCATTAGAAGAGAAACTCACCAGTATTCACCATTGGGACCAATAAATCTGTAGGTGAACCTCAATCTCAGTCATTTGTTGTCCTCACCACTGTGCATAATAGCATGATATAATTTAGTTTGTACTATTGTACATTTATGATGTTTTTATGTTCCTCTTTTACATATCTTAGTAAATGGGGGTCATTAAATGAATACAATTGACTATCCCAATAGAATTCCATATATTTGTTGGAGGTGAAACTTAATTTGTTTCATTGACTTGTTTCTTGGAAGGTTTTATTTTGTTTTGAAGCCAGCTCTTGTAATTTGGTATCTGGGGAAACAAGCAAAACCTTTGAGAGTCGGACAATGCTGGAACCGAACTTTAGTTCTGCCATTTATTAGGTGTGGGAAAAAGGGAGTGGTAATTTCTGTCCCGGCACTCTGAGAAGTTATGAGGACTGAATGTTTATAAAGCCTCCAGTATAGAGTCTAGAATATGATAATTATTCAACTTGTTAGATTCCTTCTACCAGTTTTAGGGAACATCCCATCTTCAATTTCTACTCTTTGGTCCTTATTGTTTTAAAATTTTAACAAACCTATGAAATTTACGCATGTATTTAAAATTGTTAGAATATAGTACCAAAATCCAGTAACCTACTCATTTGTGAAGACCTTTGAGTATTTCCTCTTGTTTAAGGATACATTTATCTCATTGAAGCATTGAATGACTATGTCTTATCTTTGTGTTTCTCTTTCCTGTCATAATGCCTTTCATTTTGTGAATGACTATGTATAATTAAGGAGAAATTAATGTGACAAATGCTACACTGGTAGCATTAGTTTTCTTAAGAATTGTACAAAATTTTAATAATTCTGAGTAGTGTTTGGAATTTTTAAATGTATCTGGATTTGGTTCTCTGGAATCATTTTGGTGTCACAAATTCTTCTTGAAATCCATTCTATAAGATAAGAGCTATTGAGAGATAAACTTAGGTACATTGAAATTTTCTTTCCCCCCCCCTTTTTTTTTTTTTTTTTTGCTTAAAGACCTGAGTCTCTCTCTCTGTGCAGGCTGGAGCGCAGTAGTGCAGGCATAGGTCACTACAGCCTTGACCTCCTGGGCTCAAGCGATTCTCCTGCCTCAGCTTCCAGAGTAGCTGGGACTACAGGCATGCACTACCATGCCTAATTATTTTTATTTTTTGTAGAGACATTGTTCAGGCTGTCTTGAACTCCTGGGATCAAGTGACCCTCTTTCCTTAGCCTCTCAAAGTACTGTAATTACAGGTGTTAGCCACAGTGCCTGGCTAGGCACACTGAAATTGTAATGCCTTTATTTGAGCAGACATGAATTGGGCAGCGTCAGAGCTCAAGTGGTTCAGCGAAGGAGAGTGAGGGCAGAACTTTTATAAAATGTTTGTAGAAACAAGATGAAGAAAATATTTGATTAGTTAAAGTGGAAAGTCCCTAGTTAGAGGATAGTTGATGGTGCTTTTTCTGAGACGGAGTCTCACTCTGTCGCCCAGGCTGGAGTGCAGTGGCGTAATCTCAGCTCACTGCAACCTCCACCTCCTGCGTTCAAGTGATTCTCCTGCCTCAGCCTCCTGAGTAGCTGGGACTATAGGCACACGCCACCATGCCCGGCTAATTTTTATATTTTTAGTAGAGACAGGGTTTCACCGTGTTGGCCAAGATGGTCTCAATCTCCTGACGTAATGACCCACCCGCCTTGGCCTCCCAAAGTTCTGGGATTACAGGCTTGAGCCACTGCACCCGGCCAGTTGATGGTTTTTGATTGGTAGTCTCTAGTTCCAGGTTAGTTGGTGGTTTCTCATTGGTTAAGCTTAAGTATTCTCTTCCTAGTCTGTGGTCATTCACTCTAAGTTGGGTTTCAGTTTGCTTCCGTATGAACCCAAAGCTCTGGAGCCATCTCAGTGTACTGGCCTCCTCTCTTCCCCCCACCTTTTTTAACAGTATAAATAAATCATCACAAATTAGGAATTGTATTTTAAATAAACCTATATTTGCTTTGTGTGTTGTAGTTTCAAAGCACTTTCATAGGCATTTCTTTTGATACTTGTAATAACTTGGTGAGTTTCCCCAAAATGTAATAATCCAAAACATTTTTTCTCACCCCAAATCAAGATCTCTCTGCTACAGTAATACTAAGAAAGTAGAGGAAGCATGGACATAGGAATCAGATAACTTGGGGCTGGAATCCTGAATCTCTGTTGGATGTGGGACTCTAGCTTAGTCACTGGATGTCTATAAATAGTCATCTCCTTTCTGTAAATGAACATTGTATCTACTTTGCAGCAGTGTTGCAGAGATTGACTACTTGGAAGATAGTCGTTAAATAAATTCCAGCTGCTAATATCATTGTAATATTTTTGTTAATTAGCCATGATGGGTAGAATTAATTAATTTCTCCTTCTCTCCATCCTCCTCATTATTATTCTTCCTTTCTTTTCCTCCTGTCTTCCTTTTTGGAAATTTGACTGTCATTTTCTCGTGTGTATGTTTTAATCTTATGTGTTGTATGTATATTTAAGGACATTTTACGTACAAATATTTGCTCTGTTTTTTTGTTTGTTTGTTGTTGTTGTTGTTGTTGTTTTTGGAGACAGTGTCTAGCTCTGTCACCCAGGCTGGAGTGCAGTGGCGCGATCTCGGCTCACTGCAAGCCCCGCCTCCTGGGTTCACGCCATTCTCCTGCCTAAGCCTCCCGAGTAGCTGGGACTACAGGTGCCTGCCACCACGCCAGGCTAATTTTTTTTTGTATTTTGAGTAGAGACGGTGTTTCACCGTGTTAGCCAGAATGGTCTTGATCTCCTGACCTCGTAATCCGCCCGTCTCGGCCTCCCAAAGTGCTAGGATTACAGGCGTGAGCCACCGCACCCAGCCCTGCTCTGTGTTTATAAAAATCAGTTTTCCAAGCATTTGTAATATTTAGAGTATCGAGTGTTTCTTTCTCCCTAGATGGTATATTTATGCGTATTTATGATGAGCTTATTTGTCCTTATTAGACTGATATGTGTCTCTACTCTGCTTTGCCATTTGTTCATGGAATATTACTTGCAAGATTAGGCACTGTATGAATCAATCTAGTTTGGGTAGTTATAGTGTGTTCAACTCTGGTTTGAATGTAATGAGGATTCAGTTAGGTTTGGATTGCTTAAATAAAATAATTCTTTAGTGAAAACATTTGTCATGTTGGAGGTTAAAAAATTCCTTTTCAGATTAGCAGCTACAGTAACATTTTAGTAATTTGTCCAATAGAATTTACGATGGCTGTAAATACTCTTTATATTTCTTTTAAAAACAATTTAAATACTCCAGCTGGACTGTTGTACTATTTTGAAATCGATTTCTGAATGTTGAGCATCTTATATGAGCTTCTCATTTTATTATAGATTTGGGCCAATGCCTGTCCTTTAATTAAACTTTACACAAGAGTTAAGGTGTTTGGAAAAGTCGGGGGGGGGGTAATAACTCTATTGATCTTATTAATTTCCACACTAGTAGGTCATTGTGCAGGCTGATTTGAATTATTCAGTTATTTTCTGACCCTTTTATGAACTTCTATTAATAGTTCTTATAAAACAAGTTACAGTTTTTAGAAGAGCAGTTTTCAGCAGTGACTGCTAGCTAACTCTTTACAAACTCACTATACTCCTTTAAATTATTTTAAACATTCATTCATTCATTTATTCAACCATTTAGTAACCATTTGTGCAGCCATTATCCTAAATCACTATGCTAAGTGTTAGAATATAACAAAAATGAATAAATAGATGTTCTTAACCTTCCATGAGCTTACCATCTTGTTGTTGGGCACAGGAAGTGTGAACAATGAGTATATGAAAATATATTCTGTTGTGGTACAAGTTTTATACAGCAAAACAGGTCATTGTGAAGGATATTATCAATTCATCTGTGGGGTGAAGGGGAAGTTGATGTTTTAATTAAGAGCTGGAGGCTAGGCGCAGTGGCTCACACCTGTAATCCCAGCACTTTGGGAGGCCGAGGCGGGCGGATGACAAGGTCAGGAGATCGAGACCACGGTGAAACCCCGTCTCTACTAAAAATACAAAAAATTAGCTGGGCGCAGTGGCAGGCACCTGTAGTCCCAGCTACTCAGGAGGCTGAGGCAGGAGAATGGCATGAACCCGGGAGGCGGAGCTTGCAGTGAGCCGAGATTGCGCCACTGCACTCCAGCCTGGGCAACAGAGCAAGACTCCGTCTCAAAAAAAAAAAGAAAAAAGCTGGACACAGACTTGCAATTTCTAGGTTGCTCAAGAGATATAAAGTTAAATTAGATAAAATCTCACCCCTCAAGAACTTACTGTCTAGTATAGGCATGTACGGTATTTGGCAAATGCCTATATAGAACTTAACTGGACCAGGTATTGTTGTTCTTTGCAAATATTAAATTATTTAATCCTCATAAAAACCCTATGGGGGGCAGGCGCTGTTATTTCTACATTTCTTTGATGAGGAAATTGTGACTTATAAGTTACTTTCTGACAGCCATATAATTAAGTACCATAGCAGGGATTCAAACTCAAGCAGTTGGAGTCTGGCTGCATTATTTCAAAGACTCTTACTCTCTGAGGTTTTATGTTTTTGTTTTTTTTTACTGAGAAAGTTCTTCTTATTACTTAGCCGTTAAGAATTCAACAATCAGCAGTGTTCAAAAGGTGTCTTGGATGCAGAAAGTGGACCCTTTTGCCATTATTTTTATCTCTTCAATTTTGGGGGCCAGAGTACCAATTTTTACCTTAACTTAAAACCATGGAAATTGACCGGTTACATTAGGGTATAACCATGCAGGACCTTGGAGTATTTTTTGATTTAATCATCTTAGGCTTCAGTGACTAAAGAGCTATAGTCATGTCTCCTCTGCCCCTCTTTTTTTTTTCCTTCATCTACTTTATGCAAAGATTGCTTCTGTTTGACTCCTTTGTACTCACTTAACTCTGTAATTTGCTTATTTTGATGTTAGTGGAATTTATATTTTCATTTGGATTTGGACCTAGAACTGTCTCCTGATATCACACAAAATTCCTTCAGCCGTTCCTTTAAGTCCACTTTGAGAGCTCACTAAAGATCACCAGTACTGAGGTTCTGTAATTTCAAGCTGTTCTCTATACATTGAAGCAGTGCTTCCCGCAGAATGACTTGGCTGTAGGAGAATAAAGTGAAGGGATAAGCAGATGTGGCTACATTAAGAACGTCCAATGCTTGTGATTTACAGCTTTAGAACATTTTCACATCTCACTTCAGGAAAGAAGGAAAAAAGAGATTAAAGGGTGTAGTCTTTAATTATTTACAATAGCTAAGAGGTGGAAACACTCCAAATATCTGTCAACCAATGAATGGATAAACAAAATGTGTTATATAGCTACAGTGGAATATTATTCCGCCTTAAAAAGTAAGGAGATACTGCCACATGCTGCCCCGTGGATGAGCCTTGAGGGCATTATGCTAAGTGAAATAAGCCAAGCATGGAAAGACAAATACTGTATGATTCCTCTTATATGACACAGCTAAGCAGTCACATTTATATAAACAAAATAGAATGGTAGTTACCAAGGGCTGAGGGGAAGGGAAAATGGGGAGTAGTTTAATGTGCATAGGGTTTCACTTGTGTGAGACAAAAAAGTTCTGGACATCTGTTGCACGACAGTGTGGATGGACTGAACAGCACACTTAAAAATGGTTGACTATAAATTTTATGGTTTTTTTTAATAACAGTTTAAAAAATAAAAGGTATGGGCTTGAAGTCAGATATATCTAGATTTGAATTCTGACTGTGCTATTAGCTCTCTAACCTTTGCAAACTTCTTAACCATTTCAGTCCTCAGGATCTCACTGTAAAATGCAGGCGGCAGATCATATATTTGTTAGCATAAAGAGATAATTTAAGTCAAACACACAGCCCTGTACTTCATGAGTCATCATCAACAAAGTAATAATTATAATTTAATTACTGCTGGTATAAGTGACCCCTAAAATAATTTTCATTATTTTTCAATATTTTGCTGTGTAAATTTATGTATGGTGAGCTCAGATGGATATTTTTGTATGTAAAGGAGGTATTAGAAATTCTTTTTAAAGATTCCTTGTGGGGCTGGGCGCGGTGGCTCACGCCTGTAATCCCAGCACTTTGGGAGGCCGAGGCGGGCGGATCACGAGGTCAGGAGATTGAGACCATCCTGGCTAACACGGTGAAACGCCGTCTCTACTAAAAATACAAAAAATTAGCCAGGCGTGGTGGCGGGCGCCTGTGGTCCCAGCTACTGGGGAGGCTGAGGTAGGAGAATGACGTGAACCCGGGAGGCGGAGCTTGCAGTGAGCCAAGATCACGCCACTGCACTCCAGCCTGGGCGACAGAGCGAGACTCCGTCTTAAAAAAAAAAAAAAAAAAAAAAAAAAAAAAAAAAAAAGATTCCCTGTGTTTGCTAAAGATGAGGGGTTGGAGTTTTATTGTTGTCGTTGTTGATTTTTTTTTGTTTTTGCCTTATCAGGTCCTCTTTCCACCCTTCCTACTCTGCTCTGTGCCCAGAGGCTGATATGCATGGTACAAGACCTGTATCATAGATATATTTACCCTCTGGCTTTGAGCTGGGTTAAGAGCTATCCACTAGTGGTCAATAGCAGAAGCTTGGCAGGAGAGAGAAGTGAGCTCAAAGTGTATATTTGCTTTGGCCCTTGCTGCTGTGTCACCACAAATTAACTGCTTTCCTGTGTGCAGTCTGTAGCCCCATCAGGCTACCATATTAGTCTGTTTTTCTTTTCCTTTCCTGGCCCCTGCATGCCATTTTAGATGGGTAAAATATTCACGTGGTTAAGAGATTTAAAGCAGTGCAAAAAGAGATACAGTGAAAAGTATTTCTGTACCCTATCTACTTTGTCCTCTCCATGCCAAATAGATAACTAGTTTCTTATACTGTCTTTTGTTGCTTAACCACAGGAATGTGTGTTCTGAGGAATGCATCCTTAGATGATTTTGTTGTTGTGGACCATGATAGATTGCACTTAAACATACCTGGATGGTGCAGCCGGCTTGCTGTACACATAGGCTAGGTGATATAGCCTGTTGCTGCTAGGCTACAAACCTAGACAGCATGTTGCAAAGCCAGAGTACATGTTACCATACTGAGTACTGTAGGCAGTTGTAACACAATGGTAAGTATTTTGTGTATTTAAACATAGAAAAAGCACAATAAAAATACAGTGCAAAAGACAAAACATGGAATACTTGCATAGGACACTTACCATGAGTGGAGCCTGTGGAACTGGAAGTTGCTCTGGGTGAGTCAGTGGTTGAGTGGTGAGTGAATATGAAGGACTGGGTCATTACTGCACACTTTTATACATCTGGCAGCATGGAAGGTTTGTTTACACTATCATTGCCACAAACATGTAATGCTTTGTGCTGCAAGGTTACCACAGCTAAGCCATTACTAGGCAGTAGGAATTTTTCAGCTTCATTATAATCTTACAAGACCACTGTCATATATGTTGACTGTAATGTCGCTACATGATGTAAAACTGTATATCAATAGGGAGATGTTTTCTGTGTGTATATAAGTAAACATTTGTTTCTTACATTGTGTGTGTGTGTGTGTGTGTGTGTGTGAGTAAACAGTGCATTTGGTACCGATCTTTGACTATCAGAACATGAAGTTTCCTCATTTTGTGCAGTAGCCACATGCTATTTTATTCCAGGGTGTGCTCTAGCCTACTTACCCAGCTCCTGTTGATAAGACATTTAGGTGGTTCCCAGTGTTTTGCTATTAAAGACAATGCAGTAGTGGATAATTTTGTGAGTAATATTCCACATCTATCTAAGTATATATGTAGGTTAAATTTCTAGAAATGAAGTTGCTAGAACAAAGGAAAAATAATCTGTGTGTTTGATTATATGAGAGAAATGAAGCTACTTTAAAAATTTTACATTACTAAAATTTTTATATTGGAAACTTAACTTATTTAAATGCAAAGATTATTTAGCTATTTTTAGAATATTAGTGGACTTTAGTATATCTGGTACCTTAAAAAGGAAAAGAGGCCATTGCTTAGGAAGTTCTGTACTAGACCAAAGCAAAACAAATGAACAAACAAAAAACAATACAGATATTATTACTGAAAACAAGAATTCTGCAGTGAGAGGTTTGGTGTACATGGTTTGAAAACATAGCATTTTAATCCCCTACATTATCTAAAACCTTAATCACACATTTGCTTATTATTTCTGAGCTAGGAGATGGTATTGGTACCTTAAGCTGTTTGGTACCAAATGTAATCTGGGGATTAGTGAAAGTCAAATCCCCTATGCATTCGTCCTTGAAAATCTGATTGGGTTTTCTCTATTGGTGGCCTCACTTTGCCACAGTTAACTAGAGGGTCACATCCATCTTGGTGGATCTCAAGCATCTTTCCTCCCTCGGGGAAGATGAGAGCGGTAGTAGCAGGGGTTTTTGAATATGCAACTCTCAGTTAGGGACAGGCATAAATCCTTGAGACAGCTGTCTCAAGATTTCGTAGATAATTTTGTGCAATTCTCCATTTTATGTATTTCTGGATTTCAAAAAAAAATTAAGCTACTTATAATGCTCATTCAAGTAGAAAATAAAAATTGTTGATTGAACAGCATCTGCTAAAAACAAGAAAAGTTTTAACCAGTTTTGAATTGTATATTGGAAGGCACAAGGGCCTGAGAAAAGTACAGCATTCATGATTTAAACCAGGTCTGTTTGACTCCCGCGATGGGGCTCAGGGCTCTTTGCATTGTTGTGTGGTGCTTTAGGCTTGTTAAATGCAAACCTATATGCTTCTGATATGGCATCAGGCTTAAAAAATTTAAAAAAAATCTTAAAATATTCCAACATCATTCAAAATTTAAGATAGAAACAGTGCATTCTAGCAACTTAAGATTTGTAGGATGCTGTGTATATGTAGAGAGGAAATTAGATATTTTATATAGATTTTCTTTCATTTTCCTTTTTAAAATAACAGATGATCTGAAACTGTAATATGTGATAAAATACTTAATTCCTAATTTTTAAAAGCTTACCTATATGATTTTCTTACGACAAAATGTTAAGTGACACTGACACAAGGGAAAACGTGTGGAATTCTGAATTAATGGATTTAAATATTGTACATCTGGTGTGAGTTTTCAACAATTACTAAACTACTTTGTTTTTTTTTGTTGTTGTTGTTGTTTTTGAGACGGGGTCTTGCTCTGCTGCCCAGGGTGGAGGTGCAGTGACACGATCTCACCTCACTGCAAGCTCCGCCTCCCGTGTTCATGCCATTCTCCTGCCTCAGCCTCCCCAGTAGCTGGACTACAGGCGCCTGCCACCACGTCCAGCTAATTTTTTGTATTTTTTAGTAGAGACGGGGGTTTCACCTTGTTAGCCAGGATGGTCTCAATCTCCTGACCTCGTGATCCACCCGCCTCGGCCTCCCAAAGTACTGGGATTACAGGTGTGAGCCACCACGCCCGGCCTAAACTACTTTGTCAATTGAAAAGGAGGCAGTTGAATCTATTTTGACACACATACACATACCATACAAAAAAAAATTTTAGGACGTTTCAGTGTACCTGATTTTGTTGAATCGTCTAACTATGCCAAAGGTATTTCTAATTATTGCATAAATAGATAATGAAGGGTGGGATTTATTTTCTTCTAATTAAAGCTGAAGTCATGAATTGTTATACCCGGAGCAGCTGATGTGAGACTTACTGCTCTTTACTGAAGAAAACAAAACCAGTGTAGCTCATTGATACCATTGGTGCTACAATTTTCAAACTGTGTGTGTGTGTGTCAATTCTATTCATGGAAAATTTCTGAAAGAGTATATAAAAACAGTTGATTACAATTATTTCTGGAGTTGAAGTGATAGGAGAAACCTTAAAAAAATTTTATATCCTGTCATATTGTTTTAAATTGTTACCATGTTCATGTATTATTTTTATAGAAAAAATCAATAAAATTAAAGGTACTCTTCTATTTCTGTGTATATTTTTCCTTTACAGGTTCCACTTAAAATTAATTTTTCAGGATCAAAACATAGTGTAGTACAAGAAAGCAGACAAAATGACAAATTCATTTATTTGGTGACTTAGTCTTTATCTCTTCTTGGAAGCTTTGATTAGAAGCTGCAGATATAATTTGCTATTTCCTTCTCTTAGCCATCCTTTCTTATCTTCAGTTTCTACCCTGCTTCCTTCCGTCTCCCCCATCTCATCGCTCTTAATCCCTATTGTATAGTGTTTTCAGACACTTACCAATTCTTTGATGCCAGCTGTGTATCCAGTGATTCAATTCTGAAGCTAACTGCGGGAGTTAGCGTCAGGCCTCCTCCCCTCCCCACAGATCAAGGGCTTAATCCCACAAGACTGCTGACACTTCAGGTGCCAGCCACAATGTAATGCTCCGGCTACCCAGATTTCTGCCTAACTACAAATTTGGAGGCTCCAGGATCCTTCCTCAGGTTTGGTAATTTGCTATAATGACTCACAGAACTCAGGAAAGCACTTTGCTTACTGTTAGTGACCAAAGTTTCATCAAGGAGTGAGAGGCTTTGTCAGCATTTGTAAGTCACATGAGATCCTAAGGTTTTAGAACCAAATCGTTGGATATTCTAGTTCCCTTTTCTCATTTTAAACTTGAAGAACCTGCATCCTAACTGATATACTGTTTTCTAATTGCAAAGACAATTATTAGCAGATCTGAGACGAGAATCTAGAATTTTTATGTCCCATTTAGTGTCCTTTAAATTGTAATAATTCTTTGTTGCTCATTCAAAACCTTTGTTTAATAGACAATCATTTAGTTCGAAATGGGAGGCTGCATATTAGGATGGAGTGAAAGCTCCTCCGTGGTATTATGAAGCCCATTGGCTGTTTCAGTGGTGACAGAAGCCCCAGGCCCAAAGCCTCTAGCTTAAATAAATCTTTCATTTATCCCAAGATACTGTAAAAATCTTTCTTACTTGTTTTTCTGATATGACATAAAAATGGTGGGAGAGACTGCACAGGCACCTTGTCTTTGGAGCCAAACAAATCTGAGGGTAAATCTTAACCTTTGCCATTTATTGTGAAGTCACCTCTTTGAACCTCCTCTTTGTCATCTGTCTTGAGGATTGAATTATGTCATGAATGTGAGATATGTTGTTCAGGGATGGCACATATTAAATTCTTAAATGTTCCTAGCTTAACAAGCAAAATGGATAAATACGTGTATTCCTTTGTACAGCTGATGACGTCTTTGATACCTTCTCCAGGCTGTTCTTTATCCTTCTCTGAACCTGGGTGTCTATAGGTTGGTGCTTGGAGGTAACAGTACTCATTCATTCAGCATTCATGCAAGCACCTAATTTTGTATCTCTTGTGCAACCAAATACTATGGGCCATAGGGTGGATGAAATTTTATGCTAAAATTTTCTAGGATCTGGAACTTGCTTAGTTTAAGATATTTAAGAGTGAATAAATAGATTTTTACCTAAGAGAAATTTATGTTCCAGAGGGAGAGGTAGCACATTTTTTTTTCCATCTAAGGGTAGCAGTAGAGTTGCACGTAAAGTGCTTTGTGAGTATCAAGGTGAGAGTGATTGATTCTTCCATTCTTGCCACCCCATTGAGGAAAGAAACACTTGCACAGAAAAGGAGATTTAATGTGGTTGAGTCTCGAAAGGAGATGAAGATGAAATCATCATAACAAGTAGAGCGAAGAGCATTAGTAAAGACATTAGCATATAGTTGATATGTGTCACATGCAAGGAGGGAAGATTTGATTGGGGAGGTGGGCTACTGGAAGGTTGTCTAGGGTGTTTAATGCCATCGTAGAATCAGTTCTTGGTTGTAGAAGCCTTGAAAAGCCAGGCAAGATTGGTAACTAGGGATGTTTCAGCACTTTGTATCACTGAACTGTGAATACTTAATGGCTTTTCTTCTTTATTTGATCAGCCTTATCTAGTTATCCAGAAGACCTGAAGTAACTTATTTTTGTGTTGTTTATCTGGTCTGTTTTTCTCCTCTGTTGGTATGAGCAGTTGAGATTTGACTTTGTAGAGCCATGATACATGCATTTATTCCATTTATGAAGAATCATTGATGAAACCGGAAATGTACTTGAAAACATTTGCCTCAATTTAATAGTCCATACTTCAGTAGTAGTTGATTTCATGCCACTACAGAGCTAACCAGAACACCCAGCCCCTGCATTTCTGAGTCATACACTTCATGGTTATCTTTTTGCCTCCACAGAAATAGAAAAGTTTCAAAAAGGAGAAGGCAAGGATGAAGAAAAGTACATCGATGTGGTGATTAATAAGAACATGAAGCTGGGACAGAAAGTGTTAATTCCCGTAAAACAGTTCCCTAAGGTAAGACAGTGAGGTCTACACTGCAGGTATTTTAACCTGAATCAAAGGGGAGCAGATGTTTAATTTATATTCTGTTTGGTGTTTTTAGAGATGTTTTCTCTTAGCATCCCCCTACACACACTTTTAAAGTTAATTAAAAACTTAGTAAATTTATTCATTCTGTCTTTTCCCTTTAGTGTGAGTTACAGATTCCTGAAAATATATCCTTTTGAGTCAAACTAGCAGTGTGACTTTGGGAAGCCTCTTCAACTTCTTTCCACTTCAGTTTCCTCATTTGTAATATGAGGTTGGATGGTTTAAAATTACATGAGATAATCTGTGTTAAATGCTTGGTACATAAAGGTTCAAAAATATCATTGTTTATGTTTTATTTAAATGCTATTTTTCTTTTGTCTTCTGAATGTTCATATACATGATTCTTGCATACTGTTGTGTGTATTAGTAGTTCATTTCTTTTTATTGATGAATAATAATCTGTTACCTGAATATATCATTGTTGTTTATCCATTTGTCTAGGCACTTTTAATTTTTTGGTTATTATAAATTAAATTTCTCTGAACAGTTTTATACAAGTTGTTTCCTTTTCTTTTTCTTTTTTTAACGTTGTATTTTGTTTTAAGTTCTGGGATACATGTGCAGGACGTGCAGGTTTGTTACATAGGTAAATGTGTGCCATGGTGGTTTGCCCCATCACCTAGGTATTAAGCCCCACATGCATTAGCTATTTATCCTGATGCTCTCCCTCCCCCTGCCCCCATGACAGGCCCCACTGTGTGTTGTTCCCCTCCCTGTGTCCGTGTGTTCTCATTGTTCAGCTCCCACTTATCAGTGAGAACATGCAGTGTTTGCTTTTCTGTTCCTGTGTTAGTCTGCTGAAGATAATAGCTTCCAGCTCCTTCCATGTCCCTGCAAAGGACATGATCTCATTCCTCTTTAGGGCTGCATAGTATTCCATAGTGTATATGTACCACATTTTCTTTATCCAGCCTGTCATTGATAGGGATTTGGGTTGATTCCATGTCTTTGCTATTTGTACAAGTTGTTTCATAACCAGATATGTTTGTTACTCTTTATTAAATACGCAGTATTGAAAATTGTTGTGTATTTAGTATTACAAGAAATTGTCATACTTTTTTCCAAAGCACTTATACCTTGTACCATTTCCACAAACAATGTGTGCAGGCTGTAGCTGCCTCATACCCTCATCAGTATTTGGTGCTGTCAGCCTTTTTTATTTTAGCTTTTGATGGTATATTGGTATCTTCCTGTGGTATGAAGTTGCATTTACCTTATGATTGATCATTTTGTGCAATTTTTCATATCCTTATTGGCTATTCATGTATTTGAATCTTGAAATCTTTGCCAACCTCAAGGAAATGTTAGAGTTCTTTATAAGTTATACTCTTCTGTATTTTCTCTAAAAGTGTTATTGTAGCTTTTACTTTTAGGTCTATGATAGATCTCAAATGAATTTTTGTATATGGTATGAGATAGAGGCTCAAGTTCATCTTTTTTCCCATATGGTTATCTAGTTTTTCTTGCACTATTTGTTGAAAGATGTTTCCCTCCACTGATTGTTTTGGTGCCTTTGATGAGACAATCAGGTGAGCATGTAAGTGGGGGTATATTTCTAAGCTTTTAGTTCACTTCTTTTAATCTATTTATGAATCCTTATGCCAGTACCACACTGTCTTGATTACTATAGGCTTTTACATAGTGAGACATGAGTTTAGGTAATGTAGTTCCTCCACCTTTGTCCTTCTTTTTCAGGATTACTTAGATACTTTAGATCCTTTACAATTACATATAAATTTAAGAATTTCTTTGTTAATTACTACAAAACCATCTGCTGGGATTAGAATTGCAATCGCATTGCATCTGTTGAGCAATTTGTGGGAGATTTGACATCTTAACAATATTGAGTCTTCCCTTTAATTTCTATCAACAGCGCTTTGTACTTTTTAAGATAGGAGTTTTGTATGTCTTTTGTTAAACTTATTCTTAAATATTTTGTGTTTTTGACACTATCGTAAATTGAATATTTTTAAATTTCTATTTTCCAGTTTTTTTTCTAATATAAAATTTTGTATGTTAACCATGTCTCCTGCTACCTTGCTAAATTTAAATTCACTTATTCTAGTAAGTTGTTTTGTAGACTTCTTAGGATTTGTCATGCACATCATTATACCATTTGCTTAAATAGTTTACTTCTCCCTTTCCAGTTTCTATGCATCTTATTATTTTACTTGCATTATTTTGGCTAATATCTCCAGTGTAATGCTGAAGACAAATGAGGAGAGTAGGAATTATTCCTGTTTCTAATCAAGGAGGAAAGCATGCAGTTATTTTAACATTAAGAACAATATTAGTTACAGGTTTTTTTGGTAGATTTCATTTGCTAGGTAGAGGAAGTTCCCTTCTGCTTCAGTTTTACTGAGAGTTCTGATCCTCGGTGGTAAATTTTTTTGAATGCTTTTTCTACATCTATTGAAATAAACACAATGTATTTCTCTACACTGTTTATATGGTAGATTTTAATGATTGATTTTTAAAACTAAAACCTTTGTATTCTTGGGTTAAACCCTACTTAATAGTGATATATTATCTGTTTTATATAGTGCTGGATTCGGTTGCATCTTATTTTAATGAGTGATACTGACTTATACTATTTTTTTTTTGAGACAGAGTCTCACTCTGTTGCCCAGGCTGTAGTGCAGTCACGCGACCTTGACTCACTGCAACCTCCATCTCCTGGATTCAAGTGATTCTCATGCCCCAGTCTCCCGAGTAGCTGGGATTACAGACATGCACCACCATGCCTGGCTAACATTTGTATTTTTGGTAGAGATGAGCCTTCTCCATGTTGACCAGGCTGGCCTAATGTGATTTGCCCACCTCTGCCTCCCAAAGTGCTGGGATTACAGGCAGAAGCCACCACTCCCAGCCTGACCTGTACATTTTTTAAAATAATATTTTTGTCAGATTTTAATGTTAGTGTTATGCTAGTTTCATAAAATGACTTGGGAAGTGTTTCTTTCCATTTTCTCAGAGAACATATATCAGATTGGTGTTACTTATTCCTAAATATTTGATAGATTCACCAGTGAAGCAATCTGGGCCTGGAGTTTGATAATGAATTCAGTATCTTTGGTATGACACTAGACAGATTTCCTATGACATCTTTCGTGAAAATTTGTTTTTAAAAGGATTTGTACATTTTATCATAATATTTCAGTTACTACTTCAATTCTTTTTCTGATCGTTTCTCCTCTCATTCTTTTGAGATTTCAGTTACACATATTTCAGCCTTTTGTCACTCTCACAAAAGTTTCTGTGGCTCTGTTTTTTTTTTTCCTGTCCTTCAGATTTTATAACTTTTACTGCTGTATCTTAAACTCATTGATTCCTTTCTGTTCTCATTTTGCTATTAACCCACCAAGTAATTTTTTTATATCAGGAATCATAATTATCTGTTTCAGAATTTACATTTGAATCATATATACATGTATGTATGTAAAAATATTTTTTTCTCTCTTGGGATTTTCTATTTTTTAATTCATTGCAAGTGTTATTTTCCTCTCTGTCACTGAGTACGGTTAAATAGGTCCTTGAACATCTCTGTCTACTAATTTCTAAGTCTTCTAAGTCTTGGCCATCTTAGATTTATTTTGCACTGGGAGTCTTTTATCTTGATGAAGAGCCATATTGCTTCAGCCCTTTGCATTTTGAGTAATTTTGGATCGTATGCTGGCTATTGTGAATGTACATTGTAGAAACCTTGGATTCTGTTACTTTCGCGGAAGAATTTTGATATTTTTGTTTTAGCAGCTAATTAACTTGGTTGGATTCAGGGTATAAACTGTGTCTATTGGGTAAGAGTTCAAGTCTCAGTTCATTTCTTTCCTTAGTTTGGCTTTTTGTGTCTAATTTTTGTCACGTGATTCAGAGGCCAGCCAGAGATTTCAGAAGATTTTATACATAATATTTGGTTATCTGCAACTCTGACCGTCTTTTCTAGTATTCCCCCCTCACATTTCAGCACTATGGTTTTCTCAGTCTCTGCCACTAAAGCCAAAAGCTCTAAAATGAGTAAATTCACCCCAGGGTATTTCCTTTGCTGAAGTCATAACTTTCTTTCAGAATCTGCCTGTTTTCGATCAGTCTTCAGTGCTTCAGACAGTTAACTTTTATATTTTGCTGTGAGTTTAGGAGTTTACAGTTGATATTTATAGGTGGGCAGCCTGTTAGGAATGTTCTCAGCCATACCTGCAGAACTCAGGGGAATATATGTGTCTTGTAAACAGAAAATTACGTTACAAACATTTCATAGACAGACTCATTACTCAAACAAAACATGACTGGTGGAAACCTTTGTATATTGATTCTTTGTGCTCAATATGCTCTGTATACTTAATATGCAATAGATAGAAAGATGACCAGATTATAGACCCTGTCTTTAAGTAGTTCATAGTCTAGTTGATGATGATTAACCTGAAACTAATACTTTGTTGTCTCCAAGTTTGTAAATGAAATAAAATAAAGTGCAGTCATGTGCTGCATAGTGATTTCAGTCAGTGATGGACTGCATATATGATGGTGATCCCATAAGATTATAATACTGTATTTTTGCTGTATCTTTTCTATGTTTAGAAATATAAATATTTACCATTGTGTGACAATTGCTTATAGTACTTAGTACAGTAGCATGAGGTACAGGTTTGTAGCCTAGGAACAATAGGCTATACCATATAGCCTAGGTATACAGTAGGATATGCCATCTAGGTTTGTGTAAGTGTACTCTTTGATGTTTGCACAATGAGGAAATCACCTGACAATGCATTTCTCGGAATGTGTTCACATCATTATTGACTCATAACATCAATAAAGTGTACGAAATAAAATCTCAAATATTGTTTTTCATTGTCAGCTTTGAGGTAAGGGAAGAAAAATTATAATATTTAAATTATAATTTAAAATTTAATTTAAGATTTAAATTATAATTTAAAAATTATAATTTCTGTGTTTGAGATTAGAGTCCATTTCAAGTACTTACAATGTCTGAAGTAGACCATTTAGAAGTTACTGCTTTCAGGATACTGAAAAACAATATTTCTGCTTAGCATAATGGAGCATACAGGTTTCAAGCCAGCCCTGTTTCAAGCTAATATAGCACTGCAATCAGTCCTAAGAAGAAGCTTTCATGCTTGTGTCAGTTAATAGAATGAACTGGAGGAAACGAAATAGCTGGAATAGCTGTGAGTAGAGAATAGTGTAGTGTGGAATTAATGCTGATGGTACACTTCCAGCTTCTGGGGCAAGAGAGAACTACTGTTTGTGAAACTCCATCTGATAAAGTGATTTCCATTAATTGAATAATTTCTCTTCTGTTAATGAACCATTTTCAACACTCTTTCAATGGCACAGCATTGGACACAGGAATCATTTAGTGTTCAGACCTTAATGTATATTCACTCTCTTGAGTTATGTATCTGAGCTTATAAAGGGTGAAATTCTAAATGCTGTTTTATGATTTTTTTAGAAGTTTTTTTTAGAAGCTATGGAAATTGTTCTCCATGGGTTTTTTTTTTTTGCAGATAAACCTTAACCTCTGGTGCTGATCAGCGCCAGCTTGGAACATGGTCAATATAAACCCCAAATCAACATTGGAACAAGGTACCCTGTCTTTGAGGACCTACAGATACATTATGGTTTAGGGTTTACATTTATTTTTTTATTCATTGGTTCATCCGTCAGTGGATCCGGCTCTGTCTATACCTAGCATTTATAAAGAGTCTTCTCTGAGCCAGACATTGTTCTGGGAAAATCGAAGTGGTTAAGTCATGGTCTTTGGGCTAAAAAACTGCCAGTTTTTTTTGGTGAATGCAGATGAATAAGTTAATATTAATAATACAGGTTGCCCTGAAAGAACAAAGAAGAGGATCCTGGTGATAGGCTCAGAGAAGGCTGCTCTAAGGAGGTTGTCTCTAAAGAGTCTGGCTGGCTGGGGTCAGAAGTGAGATAGTGAAATTGAAGGGTGGTGACAGAGGAGCACTATATTGAAGCACAGAAGGCATTTGGGGAATTACAAGCCATTTAATTTGACTAGACAGATTTTTATAGAAGACATAAATGAAGTTGTAAGGGAGCAGAATGTGGGTGGCATTGGCCAAAGGTCCTGCAAAGTTAAAGTAGAGAATGACATTTGAACTGTTTTAGACGATGAGGCTTCTCCAGGTGCTTAATGATGGCAAACTATTTCAGGAGAGGGAATGCCACATGCATAGTCATGCTGGAGTGAAAGAATGCTTAGGGACCATTTTAAAAAGTGAGTTGTAATATGACATTAAATACGTTATATCTCTATGTATAATGCTCTGTTTTAAGTGTCTGTGCTATAATATTAAGTGAAAAAAGAAAAGTCAAGATACAGAAAATCCAGAATCCAAGTTGGGGAATTATTTGAAAAAGCGAACCAGAATCTTAATAGCAGTTGTTTTCTGGAGTATAGGTTTTCGTGATATTTTTCTACTTTACACGTTTCTGTACATGAATGTTTTAATAACTTAGTGTAACCTTTATTAATATAAAAACATTTTCCATTTTTTGGGCAAAATGTGCCTGAGGTTTTTACTCAGGAGGTATTTTTGTACTGTGATTGTGATTCTCAAGGTTTAGTGTGCTATGTTAAGTCTATAAGTTTAAATTAGGTTTATTAAATTTATTAATTTGATAATTGTCCTTTTAGCCTCTAAGCATTCTCATCTGTGTACATACTATCTGCAGTAACTTTGTCTTAACCAGCAAAAGTTTCTTCTGTTAAAAGTTTTTCTAGAATCTGAATGTTGGGAATGTGATATATTTGTTCTCTTCATATAAATGGTTAGGTCAAGGATCTTTGAGAGATAAAACATGTCTGTTCCTGGTGTTTCAGGGAAACTTTCTTTTTTGAAGTGGGCTTGCATTTTTTCCTTGTAGTATGTCATAGACAATTTAAAACCCTTTAAATTACTACTTGGTAGAAGCCTATTCCATGGAAATCATCGTGGATTTACAGATTTCCTAGGATAGGGAATATTTTACAGTCATAGAGATATGTTAAATGTTGCCATTTTTGTTGCTCCTGTTTGATTTTCAGAGACATAATATTTTTTCAGATAATTTATGTGAAAATGATTTTTGATGTTCACGTGGTAATTTACCTCTAGAAATAAAGTGATAATGTACATGTAGGCTAGTTTTTTGTATCCACAGTGCCAAAATTAATTTGGTTGTCTTAGACCTTTGTGGTGCTATAGCAAAACACTGAGACTGGGTCATTTGTAAAGAACAGAAATTTATTTCTTACATTTCTGGAGGCTGGGAAATCTAAGATCAAGCCACCTGCATTTGGTGTGTGGTGGGGGCCCTCTTGCTGCCTCCTCGCATAGTAGTATGCGGAAGAGCAAAAAGAGCCTCAGCTAATTAATTACCTTAGCCCTTTTAAAAGGCTTGAATCCATTCATAGGGGCAGAGTCCTCATGACTTCAGCACTTCCCAAAAGGCCCCACCTCTTAATTACCCCCACAGTGGCCATTTTCAACATGAATTGGAGGGGAAACATTGAAACCATAGCAGCTGGCTAGTTGGGATTTTGAATCTTGTTGACATCAAGGCAGCCTGATATTAAAAATAATCACTTAAGGATACATTTAGTTACTATGAGTCACTCCTAGTATTCATTAAATCTTGGGCCTATGATAAAGTAGAAAGGCCACTATGGATTATATAAATTTAGAGAAACTGGTTGGCGCATAATGGCCATTGTTTTATGATGGACGGTTCTCTTCTACTTTCTCATTTTGTCAACCTACATCTTGTAGTGGGAACTGGAAAGAAGAGAACCGGTAAGCGGCAGCAGGAGGAGTAAATCTTCAGAAGCTACATTTGTCCTGTTCTCAGAGGCTCTGGACTTGGGTCTTGTGACACAGCCCCTGTCTGTGAGAATTGGGAAGTTATTTAGGTTGGTATTTACAAATATGACAGCATTTCAGATGTATTGTGGAGGGAATTAAAATCTTAACGTTTGCTCTCCTTACAGTGCTTGATTATTGAGGCAGAAAGCAACACTTGAACTTAAATTTGAAACTTAAAGTGAAAATAAAATTGAAATTTGAAAATAAAATTTTCAGTAAAATTGAAACTTAAAGTGAAATCCAAAAACAGCCAGGCATATATTGAGGGGTTCCTGAAATAATCTAGTGATATTGTTTGGGGGCATATTATTATCATTGGTGTTATTTTCCTGAGCCAATGAATAATTAAAAATTTGATTATAATCCTTATATATAGGCCTCCTAAAATTTTTATTACATTTAAAAGACTAGAAACAGTCTATTACATGTATGTTTGTCACAAAGCAGTAAATTTAGAAATTAAAGTGTGTGGGCTGGGTGCGGTGGCTCATGCCTGTAATCCCAGCACTTTGGGAGGCTGAGGCGGGCAGATCACGAGGTCAGGAGATTGAGACCACAGTGAAACCCTGTCTCTACTAAAAATACAAAAAAAAATTAGCCAGGCGTGGTGGCGGGTGCCTGTAGTCCCAGCTACTTGGGAGGCTGAGGTAGGAGAATGGTGTGAAACCCGGGAGGTGGAGCTTGCAGTGAGCCGAGATCGTGCCACTGCACTCCAGCCTGAGCCTGGGGGCACAAAGTGAGACTCCCATCTCAAAAAAAAAAAAAGAAATTAAAGTCTGTGATGAATTTTGTTATATTTAACTCTTTAATTACATCTCTGCTTACTTTGAGGGTACATCATAGAGGATATATCTCTATGTCTATTGCTGAACCAAAAAGCAAAAATATTTTTAGTGGTTTAGCAATATACTGCTGGGCTTATATATCTTGGATATTACTATACTGATTATTTTGGCTCTGGGCTCCATAAGGATCACCAAATTGGACCAACTGAAAATTGCGTGACTATACTGGTATTGGAGATAGGAAATGTGAACAGAACATAATCCCTCTTTTCTAGGATGCAGTCTTTTGGAGGAAAATGGCAAAAATTCATGCCGTAGATTGAACTATAAATTTCCATTAAAAGAAATAATCAATATGTAATTACATGAAAAATGGACACATAATACAAAGGCAGACTGATAATCATGGTTACAGAGAAAGAAGTCAGGCTTATGAGCCAGCCTGACCTGTGCTTTCTGGCACTGGGTGCATCACCTGTGTCTGTTCTGACTGTTAGACCAAATGGCCACTGAACGCTTCCACTTGGATACCCCACAAACATCTTAGAGATTTGCCATGTCCGTATCTGAACTTCATACCTCCTCTTCTTGGCCAACCTTGACTTTTTCCTGCGTTTTTTACTTGAGTAAATGACAGACAACAGTGTATTTGAGTACTCATGCCAGATACCAGGACATAATTTTTGTCTACGCACTTCTCTCTCATTGACCTGCTTGCCTCCATCCTTCAGATACCATTCATTTACTTTCTAAATTATCATCTATCTCTCTTTACATTTCATTTCACTCCTTAATTTAGAACACTATCACCCCTTACCCTATCGATTGCAATAGATTCTTTGCTGTATCAGTTTCTTGCCTTTGATTTTAAATCTTTCATATCATTCACCCCACTTGTAGCCTGACTTTTGTAGTCTGGGATTTTCTGAATTAACGGTTTCATGTTTATGGGCTTCATAGCTTGTCCTCCACACACTTCCTCCTGGAATATCCAACCTTAAGCAAATGCAGATAGCAAGTATGTAAGTTAGCTTATTTCAGATTGTATATTACTTGCGTGTGCCTGTGTGTGTGCATGTCTATGTTTTTTTTGCTCATATTATATTCTGGAAAAGTTACTTGTACACTTCATTGATCTTTAGAATTATTAACGTCTAAATAAGTTGGGCTGTTTATCATTTAGAAATGGATATTAGGTTAAAATTACAGTCAATGGAGTAACACCAAATAATCTCAACCACTACTAATAATACCTAGTGATCTGTAGTTGGAAAATTAATATATTTAAATAATAGTATTTATAGCTTTAATATAGTAATCTCTGCAACAACAAAAAAAATCAATAAAAACCTTATTGAATAGTGCTATTCAATTTGGAGAAAAATAAGCTTTAACTCCATAAGTATTTATTGAGAAACGATTATATACGAAAAATGCTTAATTAAATGTGGGTCCTACTTGCTCTCAAATAATTCATAATCTAATAGGGGAAAGGATAAATTTTACTAAATAATATAGGATAAAGATTGAATTAATATTACAAAGGTAGAGGCACAGCATAGAATTTAAGGACATGATGGAGAGTTATTTCTAGAGAAATAATTATGGATGAAATTAAATTTAGTCTTTAAGAATAAATTCAGGACATTAACAGACATGAGGGAGAAAGGTAGAATAACTGTTGGGCTAGAATGACTTCATTATGGGGAATAGTGGATCATAACATTCGTGTAAATCATAAGGAATATATTCTGGAATGCCTTCAGTGCTTTACTTGGGCATGGAATTGTATATATCTCGAAGAGAATCCTGAAATATTTGTGATATTGAAATAAACACCTAAACACAAGTTTGGAATGACTTATTCTTAGGACATTAAAATGCCCACGTACAAAGTGATTGTTATTTTCAGGGGTGATTATCAGGATCTTGAAAATGATTATCAGTAATGCAAAGCTTGACTCAGTTAGCAACTATGCTAAGAAACAAGTGTTTTGTTTCTGAGGAGGCTACTCCATTTCATGTGAATGCCATGGTCCCAAGTCCATTGTTAGGTTTACTGTTGTTTAGAGTTTGGCATTTACTACACTGATATAATTCAAATGAGATCAGAATCCTGAATACTAAGAATGGGGATTTATTTAAGTAATCATTGTGTTAGTGGTCAAATTATTAAACTTAAAATGTCCCATTGAGCTAATAAAAGTATCGATCGGTTCTTTCAAGAGGATAAAGGGAAAATAAACCTTGTTTGTTCTCCCTTTGTATTTTTGTCCTTGGGCAGGAAATAGGTAAGTGTAGATTATAAACTAAAGATGTTCTTTGAAAGCTTTTGTTCTCCCCAGTAAAGTACAGAAAGCAAGTGCTTGAGTGGTGTTCTCCAAAGAGGAGTGCGTGCTAATACATTTGGGTGCTGGGAAAATACAGTAGAACTTCTATTTATGTGTAGACTTCTGTTATGTGTGTGTACACACACGGAGTGGTTTTTTGTGTGCGAGGCATTATTCTAAGCACTTTACTATTAACTCATTTAATCTTTATAACATAAGATAGACATTATTATTTCCTGTTGACGTGAAAAAAAATGGAAGAACAGAGAAGTTGAGTAACTTGCTAAAAGTTACTAAGTATCGGGCACTTGAATCCTAGAAGTCTGACTCCAGGGCCTATGCTTTTAAGAAATTAAACTTTATTAATATTTAGTGCATGGATTAGTACAGTACCCTTACATGATTCATCTAAGTCCAGTTATATGCACTTTGAGACAGTATCCTGAAGTGAAAGGGGCTATTCCACAGTGCAGGTCTCACAAAGGTATTAGTATTAGATAAACAATGTAAATTTATTTTGCTAGATGTGGGTCTGAAGTAGAATGTAAAACGGAGGATATAAAGAATTTTTTTTTGAATGTTTAGATACAGTGCAAGGTACAGTTCTCGATTTACATTGGTTGAACTCAAGATTTTTTTACTTTATGATGGCGTGAAAGCAAAACACCATTTATTAATTCATTTGCTTTCAGTGTACTGGGGCATACAGCTATTTATATGTGCCTGGTTGCAGATTTATGGATTATGTTAGCTAGTTTTAATTAAACATGTCCTCCAGTGGGCAAATATTACTGCAAAAGACACTGTTAATTAAGGGTTGTAGATAAATACAATTTAAATTAGTGACAAAACCAGAGAGCTGATCCTTCTTTTGTGCCTAGTACAACTCAGCCTTATAAAAAGATTAAAAACAACTATGATCCAGTTGGATATGACAAGAACAGTCTTCTCAGTTGGAGCTATTTCTCTACGTATGGTAGTGTTAATGATGAATCTTGGCCTAGATAAGTATTGCAGTATTAACCAGTGATAGAACAGGCTTATGATTTTTAGATAGATAAATGTGTGTGTGTATACACACACAGTACCCATTGAAGGAGCAAAGGTGTAAATATGGGTGGGGATAATTCTTACATTGCCTAACTTAAGACTGTGGAATATTTGAGGTAATAACCTATAGGTAGTATTTACATTTGCTGTCACCATGGAATGTACTGATGGACCTGCTTTATTGCCTTCCTCCTTTCTCACAGTTTCTTAGCTGTTAAACTGATTTGAGATATATACTGATCCTCGCTTACAATGGGGTTTTGTCCCAATAAGCCACTTGTAGGTTAAAAATATTGTAAGTCAAAAATGTATTTGACACACCTAAGCTACTGAACATCAAAGCTTAGCCTAGCCTACCTTAAATATGTTCGGAACACTCAACATTAGCCTATAGTTGGGCAAAATCATTTAACACAAAGCCTGTTTTATAATGAAGTCTTGGATATCTCATGTAATTTATCAAATATTGAACTGAAATTGAAAAACCAGAATGGTCGTATGGATACTGGAAATAAAGTTTCCTACTGCACGTGTTTTGCTTTCACACCATCATAAAGTCAAAAAATCCTAAGTTGAACCATTGTAAGTCGAGAACTGTCTATATCTTGTACTGTATCCAAACATTTTTTAAAAAAATTCTTTATATCCTCCTTTTTACTTTCTACTTTAGACCCACCTCTAGAGAAATAAATTTACATTGTTTATCTAATACTAATATCCTTTATTTTACAATTCTTCTCAGGTGTTTTTTTTTTAACATTTTTAGATAAACACTTAGAACTTAAGCTCAATTACAAGTCCTTGTTGGCCAGTTAGACCCCATATACCAAAAATGTGCTTCCTTTCATCTCCCTGTGTGGTATATTCTAGGTTTTGTTTTAATTAACATCTTGGGTAGTGATTAATACTTTCGGGGCATTAATTTCAGTTGGTATTTGTCATTCACTTTTGTATGCATGAAATATTCCTTGCCTGTCATAAGTTACATGCTGTTCTAGACAGTCATTGAGGTACAAAGATGAGTAAGACAGGGTTTCCGCGCTCAGAGAAATCACCATCTTGCTTCTCAACTTAGGAAAAAGAAGGCGACAGGCAGGTAGCTAGCCAGGCCTTAGAAAAGACCATAATGTTTGAGGGTATTAAAATTTGACTTTTTGATCAGTGACTGCTTTGTCATTTTTATCAGTGGTGTAGTGTATATATTGTGCTCTGCCCCCATGACCATACATGCAAGCCTTCAGGCCCTGCGTGGTGCCCTTCCCGGAGTTTGTCTGACTCTGCATCTCGCTTACCTGATTGCATGCAGCAGAATTGACACAATGCCAGCTCCAAGCCTGAGCTTTAAGAAAGACTTCTAGCTTCTGCTTTTCTCATCTTGGAAATCAGACACCATGCACAAGCCTATTCACGCTGAGGCTGCCATGGTAAGTGGAAGCTTAAGATACTCAGGTGAAGAAGAGTCAGGCAAACCAGCAGGAACTGAGGTCCCCGCTGACAGCCACCACTAACTCATGAGCCTGTCTGCCCCCAACAGTGCCGAAGTTGCTGAATTGTGAGCAAATAAATAAGATGGTTATTTTTCAAGACCATTCAATTTGGCAGTAGTTTGTTATGTAGTAGTGGATAACCAAGATAGCCTTAAAGTGGAACTTTTCTGTCCCTAATTTTCTAATTTGTGTGAAAATCAGTTAAGGTTGTGTGAAAATCATATAGTTTATACCTGTTAATATACCTGTTTATTATATTAACTATAATAAACTATTATATATAGTTAAACTATATATAAACTATTATATATAGTTAAACTATATATAAACTATTATATATAGTTAAACTATATATAAACTATTATATATAGTTAAACTATATATAAACTATTATATATAGTTAAACTATATATAAACTATTATATATAGTTAAACTATATATAAACTATTATATATAGTTAAACTATATATAAACTATTATATATAGTTTATACCTGTTACTTGCAAATAGGGACTCATAATTTCTGTAGAATATAGTTTGTTCTGAAAAAAGTTTTGATGTCTTTAATTGAATATAACATTATGGTCTTTATGGGATAGAACAGTTATTATATATTTATATGTGTGTTGGGTCAAGAAGTTTAACTCAATTGCAAAATGCTGTATAAGAAATTTTCTTTTTTTATCCTATGGGTCACTTAACTTTGTAGAATGTGACTTTTCTTTTTAAATACCAGAAGGTATCCCAGTCCATTTGTGCTGCCGCCATGAAATATTTGAGACTGAGGAATGTATAAAGCACAGAAATTTATATTCTCACAGTTCTGGAGGCTGGGAAGTCCAAGGTCAAGGCACCGGCAGGTTTACTGTGTGGCGAGGGCATGGTCCCTGCTTCTAAGATGGTGCCTTAAACACCGATTCCTCCTGAAGATTAGGCTTTGGTTCAGGAGAAGGACATAGGATAGGTGGCTCTGGGCAGATTTCAGCAATCCCTTATCCCCCACTATCTCCCCAGGGGAAGTGGTTTCTTTATTTTCTTTAATTTTCTCTGTGAGTGCCTGGGGGTAGGAGGGATTTTTTTGCAGATAAAGCTTTTAAGAAGGTTTCAACTTTTCTAATTGGGTGGTTTCCAGGGCTCCATACTCTCATGCTAGCCCACCCCAGATGAGCAAATGCTTGAGTTTTATTTCTCCCTGTAGATTCCTGGACAGAGATACCTACAGGGAGAAATAATTTTTGCCCATAGACTTCAGTGTTAATTTGCTTTCTGTCCAGTTTTTTTTTTTTTTTTTTTTTTTTTTTTATTATTGTTTAAAAGGTGGATGTGACGTTCCTTCCAACTCTGTACTTCTGAACTGAATGTGCAGTTCTTGGAGCACAGCAGTTTTGAGAAGCTGAAAGAAATCCAGAATGGCTAAAATTAAAAGCAGAAATGTGGTGAGGCTAGAGAGGTGAGCCAGAGCTAGCATGTTTGGGAAGGGCTTTTCACAGCAGTAGCAAAACACTAGCACTCAGGTTCGCAGGACAGTCACATCGTTGTATTTTAAGCAGAGGTGTAATATGGGCAACTTGTGTTTTAAAAAGACCTTTCTGTTGATTGAAGGAGATGGAAGTGGATACAGAGAAAGGACTCTACAGTGGTCCAGGGAGAGCAGATGAGGGCCTAGACTAGGGTGGTTGTGGGAGGACTGAAGAAAATGGACAGATTTAAGAGATGTTGGCCGGGCGCGGTGGCTCACGCCTGTAATCCCAGCACTTTGGGAGGCCGAGGCGGGTGGATCATGAGGTCAGGAGATCGAGACCATCCTGGCTAACAAGGTGAAACCCCGTCTCTACTAAAAATACAAAAAATTAGCCGGGCGCGGTGGCGGGCGCCTGTAGTCCCAGCTACTCGGGAGGCTGAGGCAGGAGAATGGCATGAACCCGGGAAGCGGAGCTTGCAGTGAGCCGAGATTGCGCCACTGCAGTCCGCAGTCCGACCTGGGCGACAGAGCGAAACTCCATCTCAAAAAAAAAAAAAAAAAAAAAAAAAAAAAAAGGAGATGTTTAGGAGGTAAAATCATTAACATATAACTAATTAGATCATTAACATGTATTAAACGCCCTCTCTATTCATGTTGGAGAGATAAAGCAGTGAACACACAGGCCTAGTCAGTGCCCTCGTGCAGTAGGTGGCAGGCTTCAGGCTTGAGTTACTGCGAAGACAGTGGCACCATTTGCTGGGCTAAGGGACTCTGGAAGAAGAGCATGTTTGAAGCTATGGTGGCGGAGTTTCCAAGTTCAGTGTTGAGTGTTGTGTTAGAGGTCAGTAAGATATCCCTTTATTATACTAATCAGCTTTTTGGTGAGCACTCAGTTATGGGAAACCTTTTAATGGAGACCGTGACAGGTTCTTGAGATTTAGTTGTTTATGAAATGACAGCTTAACTGTAATTGCTCCCCAAGGAACAGTGTCATGTCACAATTATAGTTTAGATCAATTAAAGCTAGTTCAGAAAGGCGCTTGGTCTTTACCAGTGAATAATATAATTATTGTAGCTTATACATCATGCAGTGAAACTCAGATATACTTACTATATGTTGTTATACCATCTTCATAATCACTTGAAAACCAACTCAGGGTATGTGACTTTTCCTGATTAGTGGAAACAAGCAGTTCAGCTAATCTTTAATGGAGAAAATAATGGGACTTTGGATGGTTTGTGTTTAAAAATGTAACATTTGTGTGTCTGTGAGAGATACAATAATTGACATCTGGAGAAAAATTATTAGTCTTAGGAATGATAATTTGTAAATTTGTAAAATGATAATTTCCATGTAAGTGAACAAATAAAATTATTAATGAATATTAATATTAATGAATATGTATTAATGGACAAATGAGGTTATTTATACAAATGAATATTAAAATGTATTTGCTTATTTCTTACTGTCTTGCAGATATAGTTTTTAAAATAAAAAATCAGGACATGGATAAGGGGAGATTTTATTTGAAAAGGTGACTGCAAGACCACAGAAAGGGACTATTGGCAATAGGGAGAGGGGATATTAAAAAGGGAGAAAGCACTGACCATGAGAACTGTAAGTTATATCTCAGAAGTCAGGCAGAAAAAGGCTTTCCTTTCATGAGTGAAGTGATTGAGGCCAGAACGGTGTGGGGCAGTGCGATGAATGGGTGGTAGTGGCAGGATGGGACAGTGATCAGAGAACACTACCCTGAGCTTGGCCTGTTTTCCAAAGGGGCTTTTGGGTGGAGCTTGTCTGCTGGTTCAGATTGAAGATGGGTCAAAGTTCAGGGGTCTGGACAAAGGAGAGAAGTGGAACCAAAGTTTAACTAACTCAGGACATATGTCTTTTTCTGATTGACCAGTGGAAACAAACAGTTCAGCTACTTTTTAAGGGGCAAAATAATGGGAATTTTGAGGGTTTGTGTCTGTCCTTGCTGTAGGTAAATAAAGGATCCTCTGTGAGTCTTATCTAAGTTATGTGGGTAAGAGTGGGCCTTTGCAACAAGCACTTTCCAGAAACACAAAAGGGTGGGGAGATTTTGTAATCATCACTGTTTTTAGGTGCACAGGGCTGCTCAGGTAAAATTCAACATTGTCACCGTGCTTAACACTTTATCTGATATTTTATTCTTCATAATGACCCTGAAATGTAATGACTTTTATAAGCCACACCTGGTAAATGTGAAACTGAAAACTAGAAATGCTGAGAAACCTCTGTGTTCACATTGCTGATAAGATGAGGGCACTGTATGATGACACCCCTTCAGAACCCATAGCAAGTGGGACATCAGGAGGTGTTATGGGACTAATGGCAAAGAAGACAACTATGCCGCTTTCGTTGTTTATTATTTATATCATCCAGAAAGTCCAAAATACATACTCAGTCCATCTATTAGTTAGGCCTTTTCTTGTTGCGAATACCGACTATGACTAGCTTGAAGGATTTTTTCTTTAAAAAAAGGAAAACAACAAAAAACAACAACAAAAAAAACCTACCTTAGGGTGTCCTATAGAATGCATGGAGGAATTGAACTTGCAAACTGAAAAGACAGTAATAAGAGCTTTAAGCCTAAGAAATTGTCTCTGGCTTTTCCCTCTAGCAGTATTTTTTACCTGGGCCACAATTGACATTTTAAACAGGACACTTTGGTGAAGGGCAGGACCATCTGTTTCTGATGCCTGACATAGGCCTTTGCCCCTGAGTCCCAGTAGTGACCCTAGTCATTGTGACAACCAAATAAACATGCTAAATATTTCCAAGTGTCCCACAGG
Source organism: Homo sapiens (assembly GCF_000001405.40). Lineage (NCBI taxonomy): Eukaryota > Metazoa > Chordata > Mammalia > Primates > Hominidae > Homo > Homo sapiens. Next base: position 135,539,240 of record NC_000008.11, read on the forward strand.
GAGGTGATGCAACATCTGCAGTTTGAGAACCTGCCGGAGCAGCCAAGCACATTACCATTATTGTGACTCAGCTCTCAGGACATTCAGTATCCACATAATCAGTTCTAAATTTCAGAATCTCTTGATTTCCAGTCAAAGGCCAATTCCTCGGCCGATCTGGGTGGCCTGGGCCAGGTCATGCCATTTTCAGTGTGGTGGCTCCCTTGGTAGCCTTCTCCCACTTGCCATAGGTTCTGAAGGGGATGCAGTTCCACAGTAGGTGGGTCTTGTTCAGATAAAATTGTATATATCCACAACAGTTAAATTCATCTATTTATTACTTACTAATTTGGCATCAAGTATACGCAATCTGCTGGCTGCTCTCTTAGGTGATTTTCGTATACTTTCTTACTTAATTCATGCGACCTGCACCCACAGTAGGTAATATGGTCTGTGTTTTGTGGATGAAAAGTCTGAGACTCAGGAGGGTTAATTTGACTCAGGAGATAGAAGTAACTTGACTAGGGAGATACATGGTTGAACAGAGTTGAGAGGAAAAAGAAGGGAAAATAAAAGTGTTTCTGGTTGTCACAGTATTCATTTATGTACTTTTTGTGAACAAAACACTAACAGAAGTTAAGTGGAAAAAAGAAACCCCTAAAGGTATATAAAAGTCAATAAAATGCTTTTTCTTTTTACCTGGAATGCTGTCAAGTGACCTTTAATCAATCATGTCTTTCTATGGACTTCAGATTCTTCTGTATAAAATTAGATGTTTGGATTGGATGATTTCTAAAGCCTCTTAATTTTTATCACTTGGGAACTATTTGACCTAACTTAAGATGCAAGATAAATATGACTATTTGACTATCAAAATTTATTTTTGCTCCATTTTTGAAACCTATTAAAATAAATATAAATGAAATAAAAAGGCATAAATTTATGAAGATCACAAGAATGGGAGAGTGGGACAACAATAGGCAAATGATGTCTGTAAAATTTTGGTGCTTGCAAAATAAATAGATAAATGGTAACGGAGACCAGAGAAAGCAGAACCCTGAGCTGGCAGGCAGGGAAGAATTCAACCAGAAACATGTTCATTACTGTGGGAAAACTCGAGAGCGCTCAGGAATTGTAGGTAGCAATTACTGTAAAGGTGGATTTATGGATTAGAACTGACAAGAGTAGACTTGGTTGAAAGGTATAAGGAGTAGTTAGATCACAAGATGTTCTCATCTTATAAAACCAGGCATCTGCCCCTCCACACTCTAGCAAAAGACCAGAGGTTTCCTGAAGAGGTTGAATTGGACAACTGTGAGGCTCCAAGATACAGACAGATACAACTGAGGATGAGGGTGAGATATCACACTGAAAATGAGGGAATTGTTTCCTTTAAATAAAAGTGTGCGTGCTTAGTGATGGGATTCCCAGTATTCTGGCAGCTGGGCTTACACCTCCTCTTAAGAGATTGAGGAGTTTCTCTTCAGGGAAGTGCCTCGCCCAAGTGAAACGAAATACAGATACTGATATTTCAGTAGCTCTTGATAAAATAACTCAGCTGCCATATTTGCAATGAAGACTGCTGTTGCCAAGTCCCATGTATGAAAACAGAACTTCCAGTCAGCAATCCGGAATTTTTAAGAACAGATAGTAGAGGATTACCAGACATCTGAGGAAATCCCATAAAAGAGAAAGAGACCAGCTCACAAAATGGGGAAGGGGAGACTCTTGGAAGAAGCAGATACTTTAAACTCCAAGGCGGGGACAGGCTGCTGTCATCAATATCTTCAGAAAGGATGAGAAATTTAATTGTTTCCACAAAGTGTAACAAAACACCATAAAGAAGAAACAGCTGTAAGACAGTCGTATTCGTAAATATTTGATAGCAAAAATGAAGGAATCAGTAGGTATATAGGAAATGTATTTAAATTCTCCAGAAAGTAAAACAGAGAGACACAAACAATAAAAGAGAAATTTAGAGATAGCAGTCCATCTCAGGATGTCCAATGTCCAAATAATAGGATTTTCAGAAAGATAATAAAAGTAAATGGGGAGCTAGAATCAGGTGGGATTGTATGGGTCAGTACCCAGTCCCATTCTTGCTCCCCATTTACTCCACTTTTTCACTCTGTAGTAGTATTAGACTTTGTAAACTCTGCAAGTATAACTTTTATGTTTAAAAATATTTTACTGAAAATGGCATTTTAACAAGCAAAAAATAATTACATGCAAAGATTAAAAATATATATTTGAGTTTTGGTTGAAGACCAATAAAATTAAAAGTTGGAAGGAAAAAATACCACTTAGATTTTTTAAAGTGCTAAGTACTTATTTCAGGAAAATTACTTCAATTGCCATAGTTAGGTAAATTGAGGAACAATTTTCTCTCAGAAACAGCAGCACAGCAGTGGCATGGATCACGGAAGAAGTGGCTGCTATGTGAGTTTGTAATCAAGCATCTTGCCAAGGCGAACAGCTTCCTCCCTGCTGATTTTCTATTTGGTAGCAAGAAGTAGTCATGATTTACCTTAATTATAGCAAGGCTTTTAAAAATTGTGTGAAATTCCTGATTTTTTTTTGTATTCAAGATGTATGTATTGAGTGTCTGTTATCTGGCAAGCATTGTTTTAAACAGTTTATTTATATTGACTTATTTAATCCTTAGAACAGCCCTATGAAGGTAGGTCTTGTTGTCATTCCTATTTTACAGATGAAGAAACTGAGGTATAGACAGGTTAGGTAACTTGCCCAGGTTTACTCAGCTGGCAAACAGAAAAGGCTAGGTTTTAAATCATGGTAGTCTGGTTACAGAAGGCATACCCTTAATTAATTCATTACTATTCTGCTTGTTAAGGAACCACAGACATCTAAGTTTAAATAAATTGCCCACATTCCCATAGCTAGTTATTTTAGAAGCAATGAATTTTATTGTAAAGCTTCCATCAGCCACCGAATGCTTAAGAACTCATCTAAGCCAGTCCTCTCATTGATTGAATAACTAGATCCAAGGGCTGACCGGGTAGAAGAACCAGGTATTCCACAGTGACCAGTCTAGTGCATGTTAGAGACACCTGGTGTCATTTTTTCTCACCTACATTCTCATCCTAGAAGTGTTCATTCATGGTGATATTTAACGTGTGCTGAAACTGTTAGGATAGCAACCGAGGAATTCTGGGAAATTAGCTTCATTCACAGTTGTGGAATATAGCCATCACTGAAATAAATATAAAGAAATATATCAGGGTTTTTTATTTTACGTTTAGCCCCGTTTTATGTGGTGTGTGGGAAACATCATATTTTAATGCATGTAGCAGGAGCTTAAATATTTGCCATTAATCAATGATGTGTAGCACACTACAGTGTTTCTTAACATTCAAGATTAAGAAATTGCTTTCACATATAAATGCTACAAATTTGGTTGTTTATTTTTCCTAGTTCAACTTTGTGGGGAAACTTTTGGGTCCACGTGGCAATTCTCTGAAGCGTTTACAAGAAGAAACCTTGACAAAAATGTCCATCCTTGGGAAAGGTTCCATGAGAGACAAGGCCAAGGTAATATTAATTATAGAAAACGGCTAAGTTGTGTATCATGTTATATTATGTGCTCTTATATTATCCACTGTATTCATACATAGTTACATAAGGGGATGTATTTGTGATACTGTTTAGAAAATTGAGTCACTCTGGTCAGCTTCAGAATATGTAGTAACTTAAACCTGCATCTGTAACCTTTATAGTCATACATTAAATAAAAACATAATACTTAAAGTTTTGATTGCAGTTGTAATATGTCACCTTGTAGGAAGTAAAGTAATATTAAAATTATCATGAAAAGAAATAAAAGCTATCTATAGTCTCATCATTACTGTTTGCATTTTAGATTAGTGTTTTTGGAGTCTTTTTTTCTGTGCAGACCTTACATATAGTTGAGTTTATAATGTATATGCTTTTATTTCTTCTTTTTGTCTTTTATTTGATATTGTGTGCATTTTAGAATGTTATTAAAATTGATTTTAAGTGTAGTAACTGCTTATTGTTCTAACACATAATTGTTCTACTTAGATGTATTCACATTAATAGTCATGGTTTTTAACCAGCTAAAAATAGTGTTATTTTTATTGATCATTTTCTTAAATATGCCAATTCTGAAAATTTTCTCATATCATAATGTGTGTCACATTGTTTTCTAAAGACACGTGTTGTTTTCTCATTATTAAAAGATTTATATTACTGAGAACCAAATCCACATTGAGTGATCACATACCGTGAAATGTTGAACAATGATGTTTTAAACACAGGTGATTTAAACACAATCCAACATCCTCACAAAAAAGCTATCTAAACAATAGCTTTTATAATACAAATGGCCAGTATTTGTTTATTCAGCTGCTACTGTGAGTCAGGCGCTGTGTGAAACATGTTACATGCATTCCTTCATGTTATCCTTGGAAAAATGATGGGAGATAATATTTTCTTCATTTTACATGTAAGGAAACTGAGATTCAGAGAACTTGAGTATATTATCTGGGTTAATTTGAGAATTTTTTGTTTTTGATTAACACAGTTAATAAAACCATGGTTTTCTGACAACAGCACCCGTATATTTTCGACAGCATTGGAAAACATGACATGTTTCAGATTTGTGTGGGATACTGTTTAAAAGTAGATTCCCATACCTCTACTTGTTTAGGGTAGAAACTCAAAATGAATTTCAGTAGGTGTTTGAAATGATTCCAGTGCATGGCCTGGTTTTTTTAATTACTCACTAAACATTGCTCTCTTAAATTATGACTTCAATTCTCTGACTCATCTATTCTGGCAGTAGGAGAAAATGAAAACATATATTTGGCCAGTTGGTCAGAAATTATGTGTATTTTGCAGGAAAGTACTCTACCCTTGCTGATATCTTAGTTCACGCTCTAATAAGGCCATCTGGTAATGGGCTGCACGATATGAGCAGTGAAACCCACAAGCAGGATTCCACTGTCCCACTTATTTAGTTTGTTGTTAAGGGGGTTGGTCAGAACCACTGCTTGGTCAGAAGCAGTGTTTTGTAGCATACAGTGGTAGTTATCAGGGCATCCACAAGAATTTTACAGGTAGAAGGGAAACAAGGAAGGCAAAGCTTTATCTGGATTGTATGCCCGAGTTAACAGCAAGTGCCTGACTACCCATATAATGAAAGGGATCCTAAATATTATCAGCTTGGTGTCAGGGCTTGGTGGGCCTTCCAGATGATATTGTCATATCAAGGCTGTCTGCTGTTGGCATATTGGACACACAGCATGTCAATAGCCAGTGATCCTTTTTGAGGGGAGTCGGTGTTATGAAGTAATGCATGACTTCCCTCCTGGCCACCGTGGCCATTTTGCTGATGAGCACCTTGAGTTGCATGGAGACTGCTGGGGATTAAGGTGCTCTAGCATCTGCTGCAATGAGTCCTCTTGACTACCTGGCTGAATGCCAGCTCTGCATTTGCATGGGACACCCTGATTTTACATGATTGACCCTCTTTTCCAGATCACCCATTCACTGGTTCTTTCATTTCTATGTCTTTGGAAATCAGTATGGTGATTCTGCAAGTGGCTGATTGTGTATATTTCATCAAGGCACTCAGGAACCAGGGAGGGGAGTAGCATACATTGTGGATTTACAATCCACTGAACCCACTGTCAGTGGACTGAGACCAGAAGTCTCCTTACCTTCTAATCCCATAAGCCCCACTCTGCTTGGTGGCCCTCAGTGGAGTGGCATTAGGTCAGAATCAGTTCTGTTAATTCTCAAACTGTCTAAGTGTTTCCTCTGCTCGGTGTAAAGTCACTCTAGTAAAATGTCCGAGATCCTTGCTGGGATCTGAGATTCAGAGAATTTGAATATATTATCTGGGTTTATTAGAGAGATTCATTGTTTTGGGAGGACTAGGAGGAAGCTCACACACTAGGAAATATCATAGTTACTGTACGCAAGCAGCCTTTCCCCTGGGTTTAACATAGCTCTCTTATTCTCTGCATGTTTGGTTAAGCAGAGATTGATCGTAGGCCAGGAGATGATAAGGAGGAGGAGTAGTGAAGCATGAGAATTGTCATCTCCCTTCAAGGAACTACCTCGGCTGTGTAAGCAACATGGGAAAAACATCACCAGGCAGGCTTTTGCCGTGTGGAAGGCTCTGTGGCATTTCAGTATTTGAGTACTCAAAGTTATTTGAATCCTCCCAGACGTCAATGTGTTCTCAGGTTTAATTTATTCTTAGGTTTTCACTGTTATCCAGACACTGTCCTGAGTCTCACATAAGAGACGGCTGAGCATCTGTATTGTTATTCAGCCGCACACAGACTTGAACTCTGCACCTGTTTGTTGGCCCTGTCAACCTGTGGCTGCAAGCGGTGCACCCTAGCTTACTTCTGGCTCTTTGGGCTTGAACTGATAATGTAAAGCCCCAGTCTGTCATTTTCTCTCTAAACTCTTTTCCACCAGTTTTGTCTATCTCTTGTCCACCTGTACTCCTCTCCCCATTTTTGTCCCATACTGCGCTGTAGCCTCTGTCACATGATCCATCAGTCATTCTTTCAAAAGCATTTTACTGAGGGTGACCACAGATGATCATTTAAGTAACAGGTTTGCAACTTAAATGGATACTGGCCAGTCATGGTGGCTCATGCCTGTAATCCCAGCACTTTGGGAGGCCAAGGCGGGGTGATCACCTGAGGTCAGGAGTTCGAGACCAGCCTGGCCAACATGGTGAAACCCCATCTATACTAAAAATATAAAAATTAGCCGGGCATGGTGGTGCACGTCTGTAATCCTGGCTACTCAGATGCTGAGACACGAGAATTGCTTGAACCCGGGAGGCAGAGGTTGCAGTGAGCTGAGATTGAGCCACTGCACTCTAACCTGGGTGAAAGAGCAAGACTCTGTCTCCCAAAAAAATAAATAAATTAAAAAAAAAAAAGATACTACTAGTATCCCATCTGCTGTATTATAATCAGATAGTCACTGCCTGAATTCTTGAATATTGATTTCAGTTGATCCTTTTTACTAGTTTTAGTTTTCAGAAGTTATCAGTTAATATGTTTATTTCTAAAGAGATTCCCATTACTTATTATTTTAATCTCATCCATTTAGATTTTCAAAGTGTTCACTATTAAAATCTAATGTGAATATAATTTTTCTGCATTTATTTGCTACATTTATGAAATTATGGGAGTCATTATTGATGTATATTAGTTGGTTACATAGCATAATAATCATGACAGTGCTCCGGTCTGTTGAGCTTTCAGCTTGTGCCAAACTTCATGCTGGATGTTTTGCCTGCATCATTTATACTATACAATAATAGAATAAATGATAGTGATATAATAATTATCATTACTATATTTATCATTTACTGAGCGCTTATTATGTGCAAGGCTTCATCCTAAAGACGTTTTGTTTGTTAACTCCTTTATTACTATAACAGCCTTATGAGATAAGTACTGTACTATTATTTTCCCCACTTAAAAATCACCCCTTTAAGATGAGGGTAATGTAATCTGCCCAAGTCATACAGTTAATGTTGAATTAGGGGTTTAATGCAGAATTTCAACATCTGTGTTTTTCTCCAAATAACACATTGCCTGTCATCATTAATCTGTAGAGTAGTTTGGTAATAACTCCCCTCTCTGTGGGATTGTACCCTGGCTACAGCTATGATAAGAAATCCTCTCTGTCCAGCTTAAGTTTGTGATAGAAATAATAATGCTTGAATAATAATGAACAATTATAATCTTTCATTAACATCATTATTTTGATACTCTATTAGAAAAGGATAAGTGTTTGTTTCAATAATTTGTGCTTTCAGGGATGAATTGCTGTACATAGAATGCAATTTTTAAAACTTGAGCAATGAGAGAGATTCAGATCAGATGGTTGAAATGTTCTGATTAGAACAATGAAGAGTTGGCGTAAGATAATGTTTTGTATAGTCAAAACAAATTTCAAAGGAAATTTATAGAATATTATGGCAGCTTATATTTACATATATTCCCTTATATTTTTTCCTTTCATTCAGTTTCTGGCCTACTTCTATTAATGTGATGGAAGCTAGCATGTATTGGTGCCTATTATATGTTAGGCAGTGTACTAGGTAGTATATACACTGTCTCCTTTCGCCAGCATTTATATAAAGCTGTGCCTTGTATTCTCAGTAGTTCTGCATTAATATACATGTGCTACCAATAAACAGATTTTGCAAATTAAGTATTGGATTACATACAGTCTGTCTAAACTCACATGGCTAGTGACTGGCATAGCTGAGATGAAATTATAGGTGACTAAATCCCATGCCCATTTCCCGCTCTGTGTATTAGTCTTTCTTTTCTTTGTAAGAGTTCAAATTAGTCAAGTAACAGAAGTTGAATCCTTCAAGGGTGAAGTCAAGGGCTATGTGCCTCTAGCATTTATTTTATTATTGGCCTCTTGCTTAATTGTGAAATTAAAAGGTGGTATTGCCAGGAATTCCTGGGGTTCTCTTGGTTATGGGATAGCCTTTTTGAGAGACTAGAAAGATTTCTTATCTTTTGGAAATTAGCCTCAGATTCCTGTTAATCTTAATCTGTCTGATACTAACATTGGAAACAGAGACTAATGGAAGACCCAGATTCTGAAATCAGGACCTAAAATTGAAGGTTAGTTAGGAAAAGGCAGTGGAGCAAAATCAGTAGTTCCTTAACGATCTGTTTTTTTCTCCTCCTAATTTTCGTCCTGCATTTCCTTATGGAAACAAACAAAGATTAAAAACTTTGTCATAATTATGTAAAATAACGTAATAAAGTCTTTCATTTTGTTTTATTCACTGTTTTATTCTCAGATAGAATATAGTGCTTGGTATGTAGAAATGTTTTTTGAATGAATATGCGAACGAGCAAATTGACATAGCAATGAATGAATGTTTAATCATTCATTCAACGAATCTTTGTTGAACATCTGTATACCAAGCACTTCTCTAGACATGGAAAATGCATCACTAAGCAAAGCAGTCACAGTGTCTGCTCCATGGTAATCACTTTTTACTAAGAGAAGATAGAAAATAGACATGTTTTTAAAAATAAGTTATTTCAGATAGTGATAAGTGCCTTGTACCAGCATCACAGAGACGCACACAGCCAGTGTAGAAGTGAGCACGTGAGCTCAGCCAGGTTGAGAAGCACAAAAGAAGTGTGGGCAGTGGCTGCGGAGGGTTGAGCAAAGGAGACTGGAGAAGGTGAAGACACCCTAGCAGCGGAAGTGAGCAGATGATGGGGCTCCTACAAGTCAGCGTCTGGAGTGGGACATTATTCCAGCAGCAGTAGGAAGCCTTTGAGTGTGTGTAAAAGCCTGGGAATATCAGGATCACATTTATAGCTTAAACCTTCTTTTTTAGAGTAGTGTCTACTGTGACAACCGCTTGCCAGATGGATTGTTTTTATTTTGGGGGTTAGTTTTTATTTATTTATTTATTTATCTTTCATTTCTTATAATGACACGTTTTTAAATGTGATTTCTTTTTTCCTTTTTCCAGGAAGAAGAGTTGAGGAAAAGTGGAGAAGCGAAGTACTTCCATCTCAATGATGATCTCCATGTTCTCATTGAAGTGTTTGCCCCACCTGCAGAAGCTTATGCCAGGATGGGACATGCTTTGGAAGAAATCAAAAAGTTCCTCATCCCTGTTAGTACCATTTTTCTTGATAGTTAACTTGTACTTTAAAGTCTTTGCTTTAATCCTTGATACTTCTTGTCTGTAACTGTTATTTGCATAGCTCCTTTTCTGCTGTAAAGCTGTATGGACATCACCTCAAGTAGACCTTACATTGTCCTTGTAAATTACTGGGCATTATTCCTTATGTATATATGAGGTGTTAGAATTTCAGGAAGATTTAATAATATGGCCAAGGTTACATGGCTAAAAAACTTGCATAGCACAATCACTAGTTCAGGTTTTGAAACGCTTTTCCTACGATTTTATGTGACACTGTACAACTTTTTTGTTCTCCAACACAAAACCATTAGTGCCTCTGTGTGCCATGCACAGTGCTTGGTGTTGGCATGCAGACTTGAATAAAAGCAGTCCCTGCCCTCATTTAGTATAATATAATACGTAATTTAGAGGAAAAGAGAAACATCAACAGATGATTTCAGTACAACATGATAAATATAACAGACATAACCATAATGAGCCCAGAGGGGATGGGCTATTTAGCTAGCTTCTGCCAAGTATTTTGGATGTTTTGTTAAAAATTGACTGTCTGTTTTAACCCTTTCAGACACCTTCACATTGCTAAGGATGTGACAATTTAAAGGGAATACATCTCTACCTCTGTTACGAAAGTTGATTTAAGTCTTTTGTGTGATTTGTATGCTCTTGATAAAAGGACTTATTATGTCATTTGCATGCTCTTGATAAAAAGAATCGTAAAGCATCAACACTTTGGCTCTGCAGACAATTTATTTTAGAGAAGCTGACACATCTGCCAAGTAGTTCTCTGGATAAGACTGTCTTTGGTTATCCCAGGTTAGTTTGGTGGATTGACTTACATACTACAGCACATGTACTGTGATTATATTATCTGTGAGGAAAACAATTATTATATTTATAGGGAAAGGATATTTAAATCACTTTTGCCTTTAAAAAGCCAGGACATAGAATTGCATTAAGTATGTAATAACCTGGGAACTGAAATGGCTAGTATTTTCTTTAGTTCCCATGAGCAAATATGACAATCTATTTCTTCTTTTAGTTTAAAAACAAAATTTCTAAGGGCTTACTATGTGGTAGGCAGATGTGAACTAATAAAATACATGATCCCTCATGGAGTTTAATGGCAAAGAGTCAGATATGAGTCAGTTTTTCATATAAATGACTACAAAATTGAAACTATGGCGAGACCACAGCTAAGGAGAGGAGTAAGTTTTGGTGATCATGCAGTGTGGACCAGGCAGTGCAGATCTAGCCAGGTGAAACAGATTCTCTTTTCCAAAGATGGCTGCAGTAGCACCATTTATCCCATGACCCTTACGATCCTTCCCCAGAGGTAGACTCTAATTTACCTCACACAGAATCTGGACTGGCCAAAAAAGTCTTTGCCTAATGAAGGTCACCAGGATTTTCTACTGTTTTATTTTAAAAATTTTTCAGTATTCTTTCACTTAAAATACATTTTGAGTTAATTTGTATATTTGAGGTTAGTCTCTAAATTTATTTTTTTCTAGATGGATATCAGTTGTCCTAGCACCATATGTTGAAAAGACAATCATTTCCTCATTCAGTACCTTAGTACCATTGTTGAAAATTGACTAAACATAAATGTAAAGGTTTATTTCTGCATTCTCAAATTCTTTTTCATTGATTTGTATGCCTACTCTTAATGCCAGTAGCATGCTCTTAATTACTTTAGCCTTAAGTAAATCTGGAAATCTAGGTTGTGTAAATTGTCCACCTTTGTTCTTTTTCAAACATTTTTTGGCTTTTCTGGCTTCTTAGCATTTTCATATGTGTTTTAGGATCAGCTTCTTAATTTCTATTAAAAAAAAGCTGGCTAGGATTTGATAGATATTATATTGAATCTATAGATCAGTTTGGGGATAATTTTCATCTTAACAATTTTGAGTTTTCCAATCCAGGAACATGAAATGTTTCTTCACTTTTAAAAAAGATATTTTAAAATTTTTCTCAACAGTGTTTTATAGTGTTCAGGGTGTCAGCCTTTTCCTTTCCTTTTGCAAAATTGATTTGTAAATATTGTATACTTTTTGATACTACTGTGAGTGCAATTTTTAAAATTTCATTTTCAGATGATTACTAGTGTATAGAAATGCAATTGAGTTTTGTATATTGATTTTGTATCTTGTGATCTTGCCAAACGTGTTTATTAGTTCCAGTGTGGTGTTTTTTTAATAGAATCACTACAATGATTAAGTGGAATCCTAATTAGTGGAATACAGGAGCATGTCATCTGTGAATAAAGACAACTTAACTAGTTCTTTTCCAATATGGATGCCTTTAATTTTTTTAATGTAATGTTGTTATTCTATTCTATTCCATTCCACTCCATTCCGTTCCTTATGACACTGACTAGAACCGTGAATGCAGTGTTGTTTCTAAAATTGGAGGGGAAAGCATTCAGTCTTTCACCATTGGCTATAGGTTTTTTTTATTGCTACCCTTTGTCATGTTGAAGAAGTTCTCTTATATTTCTAAAGGATGAGAGTTTTTATCATGAATAAATGTATAAACATGGGTATTGAATTTTGCAAATCTTTTTCCTCCTGAGATGATTGTGTGGTTTTATTCTCCTTTATTTTGTGAATAATAGTGTATTACATTAGTTGATTTCAGATGTGAAGCCACATTTGCATTCCGAGGATAATTCCCACTTGGTCATGGCATGTAGTCTTCTTTATGTGTTGCTAGATATGGTTTACTAATAGTTTGTTAAGGATTTTTACATCTGTAATTATGAAGGATATTGGTTTGTCGCACAGTATTTTTCTGGAGTCTTTTATATTAACTTATACTATTTTGGGTGCCCTTCATTTCTTCCTGTGGATAGAGCTGCCATATGGTATTATTTCTTTTCAGCCTGAAGGTTTTTCTTTAGACTTTCCTGTAACCTAGGTCTGCTAGCAAAAAGTCTTTTGTTTTTCTGGGAATGTCTTTATTTTACCTACATCCTAAAAAACAGGTTATATAATTATTGATTGATCGTTTTTGTTTTTTGTTTCTCCAGCACTTTGAATATGCTACTCTGCTACCTTCTGACCTCTGTTATTTTTGATGAGAAGAGTCATTAATCATTTTGCTGTTCTCCTGTGTATAATCTGTTGTTTTTCTCTTGCTGCTGTCAAGATTTTTTCTGCCTCTGGTTGTCAGCAATTTGGGTGTGATGTATGTTTATCCTATTTGTTGGCTAAGCTTTGTGCATCTGTAGGTTTATGTTTTTCATTAAATGTGGAAAGTTTTCAGCTATTTAAACTTTTTCTGTCTTTCTACCCCCCACCACACCCCCTAATTCCAGTTACGTGTATGTTGATACACATGCTGGTGTCTCATGGATTTCTTACATTCAGGGTTTTTCATCCGTTTTTCTCCATGTACCTCAGACTGGATAATTTTAATGGACTAGTCTTCAAGTTAACTACTTCTGCCAGCTCATAGCTGTTATTGAACTCCTCTAGTGAATTTTTCATTGTTGGCAATACGCTTTTTAAATTTTCTTTTGTTGCAATTCCAACATCTGGGCCCTCTCCAAGACAGCCTCTTTGTACTGCTTTTCTCCCCCTGAGTATAGGTCACGTTTTCCTGTTTCTTTGCATGTTTCTTAATTTTTTGTTGAAAAGTCTGTATTTTCGATAACATAGCAAACCTGTAATCTGATGTATTTTCTTCCCAGAGGAGTTTTTGTTGCTGAGGTGTTTTTTAATTTTTTTTATTTTTTTGTCTTCTATTTCTTTAATAATTTAGTTGGAATAAATTTGCAGCCTGTCTTCCTCATAGTTACAGCTAATAATATCTCTGTTAATGTGTTTTTTTCTTGCGTTTATTTTTAAACCTGGCCTGCTAGGGATGTTGTCTGTGTCAGCACTGCTTAGTGGACAGCCAAGGGGAGCTCGTGTTCAGACAGCTGTGTAAGTGAGGTTTCCATCCTCCGATGATGGAGCTGTGTGTGTACATAGGGGAGTGGATCCAAGAAGACTCTCGCCATGTCCACCCTGGCTTTTCTGTTGCTCTGGGATGCCTCCTGTCTCCGCTGCATATATGTGCACTCACCTTCAGGAAAGGTTGTATGGAGAGCTTTGCCTCACTCTCTTCTTGCTGTCCATGCATATAGCCTTCCATCCAGCCAGAGGTGTGTGGCGAGCTTTTCAAGACTGTCTCATTTTCTGAATTATCTGTCCAATTTCTGGCTAGCCTGGTGGTCAGTTTCTTGACGCAACCCAAGATGGCAATACTAGGTGCATCCTTAGGCAAGCAGGCCAGACTCTCATATTTCTTACCTGAAATGTAGCACTTTTTAATGAATAAATATATTATATTTTCAGTTTATTGTGTACCATTAGTCAGTTTTCAGACTCCTAAAATGGTTACTTTGAACCATTTCGTCAGTTTTTATTTTGCTTTTTATGGGGGAGGCTTTGCTGAGCTCCTCCCTTAGCTGTACCAGAAGTCGCATGTCCTATTAGTACCTTTTGTTTTTAACTTACGTGATTTTGGACCTTGTTCCTATGAGCATATGCAGTTTTATTTCATTCTTTTTAATGTCTGCATAATATTTTATTATATGCATGTTCCAGAGTTTATTTAATTGGCCCTCAAATAATGAACATTGAGGTTACTTCTTATAGATCACAATACAAACAGTGATCCTAGGATTAACCTTGGACATAACTATTGGCCTATTTTGGCAAATATAGCTGAAGAGTAAATTCCTAACAGAGAGCCCACTGAATTTTTATGAGTTACTTTTAATGATTTCATTTAAAAACTTTTTCTCCATTCTTCAGGCTAACATACATTTGAATAGATTGTAAGCTCACTGGGTAGTCAAGTCCTGCTTACACATATTTACTCAAAATTTTAATGGCTTTTCTGCTCTTTACAATTCATGATGGTGTTAATGTTGTAATAGTTTCACTTTTCAGACGGGGAGTTAAAATGATAATTTAAAATGCAAAATTACAGAAATAAGTTAGTCTGTAAGCTACTATGAATGATTTGCATTCTCTACTAATTTAAAAGCATTTTTCAAAGACCAAGAAACTACTAACTATAATGGTTATATCAACAGTGTCCATTTGACACCAGGAGAAACAGTCACCTAGAATTTTAAAAAATTGTCTACAATCACATAGCTGTTAAGTTCAGGTGGTTAAATTTAGTCTTAGCCTCAGAAGTGATTGACTCAAATTCCATATTTCTTTCCCTACTACACTATTGTTAAATGTAGTTTTTCAAAGATGATATCTTAAATGGACGTTATAGTTTTTGTGATACTGTTATAATCACCTAACCTTACTTAGAACAATACTTTTTAATTTTTAATTTGTTTTTGAATAGGGCCTTGACTGTGTTCTTTTTGCATGAATCTATTTTTAACTTCATACAATTTAGTATTACACCTCCTAACACTTTTCAGCGGGTCAAATATTTACCATTTATATAGCACATTATATTTAGAGCTTTACAAATCACTTATTTAGAATGTGTTTTACAAATTATGTATTAATCTTCACACATTTTCAGTAAAATGGCTGGGAACATACTAATAGGATTATTTTAGAGAGGTTGAAATAATGATGGAAAGAATCAGATGTTTCCCCTGAGGTCACAATACCTGAAATAAGTCAGGGAAATAATTTATATTTACAATAAAATATTGACTCCATTCTTAATTTTTCCTGTCAATCACAGTTACTTGTATTGGTCATTATTTGCCTTCTCTTCTTCCTGCTTTGCAAGTGTTAGCTGATTATGATTTTAACTTTCTTTTTGATTGGTGTTCATATATTTTTAATTCCAGAATGCCTTCTACTACAAGTTTCAAGTCATTTTTTGCATTCTGCTTTTGAAAAATTTTTTAAAATAAATATCCTGAATTTCTTTCAGGTTTTTAATTCTAAATAATAAATAATTCAGGAATCTGTCTCCTCTAAATGTTCTATTTACACTCGAATATGCTCATGTTTCTTCTGTCTTAAAATCCTCTGTTCCTCCCTGCAAACTATGATCCTTTCTGTCTCGTTTTCATTGTGGCCATACAGCTGGAAGTAGCTGCCTGCCGTTAATTTCTGTGGCTTACTGCTATTTATTATTTATTCCACTGAAATGGATTCCATCTCCACCTTTCACCCAAACTATTTCTGATAGTAGTGGCTTTACTGTTAATGAATCCCATAGAATTAGGACTTGCTGTTTTGGCAGAATGTAAATACAACACTGACTTCCTGTGGCTTTTATAATGTAATATCTTCTTATCCTCCTCAGTTTCTTGCCACACCTTTTCAGTATACTCTGTGAAGATTCACTCCTTATGTTTTCATCAAAGACAAGCTTGTCCAACCCACGTGCCACATGTGGCCCAGGAAGGCTTTGAATGTGGCCCAGCACAAATCCGTAAACTCTCTTAAAATATTGAAACATTGAGATTTTTTTTTTTTTTTGGTAGTTCACCAGGTATCATTAGTGTTAGTGTATTTTGTGTGTGGCCCAAGACAATTCTTCCAGTGTGGACCAGTGAAGCCAAAAAAATTGACCCCCCAGAACTAAGAGTTGTATAGTTTTAGTTATTTACAGTTAGGTCTCTTGATTCATTTTGTTCTAATTTCTGTGTATAACATGAAGTATGTGGGGCTCTCACTTTATTTTTTATTTGTTTATTTGTTTATATTTATATGGCTTTCTAGTTATTGCAGTACCAGCTGCAGAAGAGACTACTTAAAAAAGCAGTTGACTGTAACTTATATCTGAGCTCTCACTTCTATTTCATTGATCTTTTTTAAAGATCTTTTTTAAAATTTGTTTTTTATTATACTTTAAGTTCTGGGTTACATGTGCAGAACGTGCAGTTTTGTTACATAGGTATACACGTGCCCTGGTGGTTTGCTGCACCCGTCAACCCGTCACCTACGTTAATTCTCCAAATGTTATCCCTCCCCTAGCCCCCCATCCCTCGACAGGAGCTGGTATGTGATGTTCCCCTCACTGTGTCCATGTGTTCTCATTGTCCACCTCCCACTTATGAGTGAGAACGTGCGGTATTTGGTTTTCTGATCTTGTGATAGTTTGCTGAGAATGATGGTTTTCAGCTTCATCCCTGTCCCTACAAAGGACATGAACCCATCCTTTTTTATGGCTGCATAGCATTCCATGGTGTATATGTGCCACATTTTCTTAATCCAGTCTATCATTGATGGACATTTGGGTTGGTTCCAAGTCTTTGCTGTTGTGAATAGTGCTGCAGTAAACATACATGTGCATGTGTCTTTATCCTAGAATGATTTATAATCCTCTGGGTATATGCCCAGTAATGGGATTGCTGGGTCAAATGGTATTTCTAGTTCTAGATCCTTGAGGAAACGCCACACTGTCTTCCATGTAGTTGAACTAATTTAAACTCCCACCAACAATGTAAAAGCATTCCTATTTTTCCACATCCTCTCCAGCATCTGTTGTTTCCTGACTTTTTAATGATTGCCATTCTAACTGGTGTGAGATGGTATCTCATTGTGGTTTTGATTGCATTTCTCTAATGGCCAGTATGATGAGCATTTTTTCATATAACTGTTGGCTGCATAAATGTCTTCTTTTGAGAAGTGTCTGTTCATATCCTTTGCCCATTTTTTGATGGGGTTGTTTGCTTTCTTCTTGTAAATTTGTTTAAGTTCTTTGTAGATTCTGGTTATTACCCCTTTAATTCTCATCCTGAGGCAGGACTTCTTGTAACAAACTTACTATTTCCTTTTTGATCCTTTAGACCTGAACTTTCCCTTTTTTGTAAAATAGATTACATTTAAATTTACCCATGTCTTAGCTGATGATTGTTGAATGGAGTTCAGGGTGCTAAGGAAGCAGGAGAAATCAAGGACCACTCCTAGAGTTTCGTAGTTGAATATTTTGATAATAATTTAAGATGAAAGAGCAAATTTTCAGGAATAAGATTATGTGTTCAATTCTGAAAATGTTGAATTTCACAACTTGTATAATTTTCTACTGGAAATGTACAAAAAGCCTGTGTCCCTGTGGTTCTTAACTACATGAAGGCTATGCTGTTGTGTATGTATATATATCCTTCCTCTTTGCTAGAGTGAAGTCCTTGGGTGCTGGGCTATGGCTTAATTCCTCTTTGTTTCTCTGTTACTTGGTTCATTATAGATAATCAATACCTGCTAGTTGAATTGAGTTGTAAATAACAACACCCATATATCAGTTTTATGGTATTTTAATTTTATTATAAATGTCTCACTTGCAAAGTATGCCCAGAGAAAGGTTAGTGGCTGATTATAGAAAATTTTAGCTTGAGGAAAAAATGCTGTAGTTTTTTTCTTCCTTTTTTACAAGAATTTATTATCACATTTTTATTTTAGCAAATTTGTATTTTGTTTTGTAAATTCAACTATTTTCCTAACCCTTTTTTCTATTAAGAATTACTTGCTTTTTGTTCTAAATATTTTTGCATTTCTAATATGAAGTGAATTTTGCTATCTTCTGTCTTTTGTGTAGGATTATAATGATGAGATCAGGCAAGCACAGCTCCAGGAGTTAACATATTTGAATGGTGGTTCAGAAAATGCAGATGTTCCAGTGGTTCGAGGGAAACCCACCTTGCGTACAAGAGGTGTACCAGCCCCAGCAATAACCAGGTAGGTGTAAATTTTTTTTTAGGTTAACATACCGTGGCAGCAGTTTTAATATTTCCTTTATTAGTAGCCAAAACCAGTTCTATCTGAACAAAACTTGTATTCATGTGGGCATGGTGGCACATGCCTGTAGTCCCAGCTACTCGGGAATCTGAGGCCAGGAGTTCGAGGCCATGGTATGCTACGATAGTGCCTGTGAATAGCTGCTGCACTCCAATGTGGGCAACGTAGTGAGACCCTATCACTTTAAAAATCATAATCATAACTTTTTTAAGCCTATGGTCAAACAATGTGATGTCATATTAAGGGGATTTACTTTGGAGTGAGATATTCCTGGGCTTAAATATAACCTGTGACACTTATTAGCTGATGATTCTAGGTGAATATTATTATTCACTGTAATATTACTTCTTAAATTTTTTTAAATGAGACTTGTTTTTTATGTAAGTAATCGCATTGATATGAAGATTGGGCTAGCAGTCACTTGTGTTTTGCCATTGAGTAAACCATCAGGCTAGTTCATTGCAACATCACCAATCCTAAGCACAGTGTGAGACACCAAGTCAGTGCCCACATGCTTGTTGTAATTTTATTCACTGTAAAAGCTCTGTGGCATCTGTAAATTCCTGAGCTGGTCTAGGCACACACATTTTTTATTTCTCTCCTTGGATTGGTGATTAATGTTAATGGGAAAATGTTTTGAAGAAGTCATAAATCTGATATGACTATCTCAAATTTATTTGAGAATTATTTTTAATTTTTCAATCTTTGAAGTCAGTGGAAAGAATAATGCAAATTTTTCAATTAAACTAATGACTATGGATAAATTTTTATTTTAGATAGAATTTTGCATGAAGTAATTTAAAATAGCATTCTTGTATATCTCTAAGTTTATTTGGGAGAATAAAAAGTCACTTCCTCAATTATGCATTGCTGATTAGAGCAATGTCAGAGCAGTTATGCAAGAAACATAGATATGGGTATGATACCTATGGATTTTTCTCTATTAATAAAAAGAGCTAATAGTAATAGGGTTGCTATTGATGATTTTATGAGATAATTTATGTAGGTACTCAGTAAATGGTAAATCTCTTTCATTTCTATTTTTTCTACCATTAAATTTACTTGAAATCTTAGGAACTTACTTACCTGCTTCATTATTTTCATGTGGCTGCTGTGACAAATTACCACAGATTTTTTTTTTTGGCTGAAAATGATAGAAATGTATTCTCTGATCGTTATGGAGGCCAGATGCCAAAATCACTATCACTAGGCCAAAGTCAAGGTGTTGGCAAGGTCGTTCTCTCCCTGGAGGCTCTAGGGGAGATTCCTTTCCGTGTCTCTTCCAGTTTCTGATGGCTACAACATTCCTTGATTTGTAGGCACGTCACTTTAACCTCTCCGTCCTCACACTGCCTTCTCTTGTATCTATAATCTTCTGCCTCCCTTTTACAAGGAGACATGTGATTATATTTAGGGCACACCAGGGTAATCCAGAGTAATCTTTCCATCTCAAGATCTAAATCACATCTGTAAAATTTCTTCTTCTAGATAAGGTAATGTAACTAGATAAGGTAACCTTGTCTAGAAATTTCTTTTTCTAGATAAGGTAACCTTGTCTAGAAATTTCTTTTTCTAGATAAGGTTCCTGGGATTAGGACAGCATAATTTTGAGTGACCTACTAGTCTAGTTAGTTTTATCTTTGCTGTGATAGGAGCTTGTACATTTACAAGCCAAATACAACAAAATATATTTTATTTTATTTTGTTTATTTATTTATTTTTTGAGATGGAGTGTTGCCCTGTCACCCGGGCTGGAGTGCAGTAGCACGATCTTGGCTCACTGCAACCTCCACCTCCCGGGTTCAAATAATTCTCCTGCCTCAGCCTCCCGAGTAGCTGGGATTACAGGCACCTGCCACCACACCTGGTTAATTTTTTTGTGTGTATGTATTTTTAATAGAGACGGGGTTTCACCCTGTTGGCCAGGCTGCTCTCTAACTCCTGACCTCGTGATCTGCCTGCCTTGGCCTCCCAAAGTGCTGGGATTACAGGCGTGAGCCACCATGCCCGGCCAACAAAATATATTTTAAAAACTCTTCTGAAAGTCTCCAAACTTATCCCTACATTACCAGTTTATGTTTGTTTGTTTATTTGTAAATGCAGATAAATAGTGAGTGTTCATTCATAAGTGGCTAGTTGCATTATTGATGCCATTGCAGACAGCAAACCTCCCAATCAAGAAATTATCTCCTACCCCTTTGAAATAATAGAGACTCAAACATCTGTCCTCAAATCTCACCCAAAAAGTGAACAGAAAATGCATATAGATAAGTAAAAAGAGAAACAGTCCAGGCACAGTGGCTTATGCCTGTAATCCCAGTGCTTTGGGAGGCCAAGGCAAGAGGATTGTTTGAGGACAGGAGTTTGAGACCAGTCTGGGCAACATAGCCAGACCCCATCTCTGCAAAAATAAAAATAAACTAAAAAGAGAAACATAAGTCTCCCACACATGACATTTATATGTCAGCATTCCAATCTTCTTAGTGAAATATAGATAAAAAGGTATCTCTGTATATATATACAGTTTATTTTTAGTGATATATATATATCTCTTATGATGAACACTATATGTAGTATTCATCATAAGAAATTATTTACCTGGTATATTAGTTTCCTGTGGCTGCTGTATATAACTTTATACAAGTAAGAGTAGTACACAGAAAAGTGCATGTTACAACATTTATTTTATATATATACTTATCTTTATATATATGTGTATGTAATAAAATTAACCCAGTGATATTTCACTTAAGATTAAATTACTCTTACACCTTTTTGCAGAATACCAGCACAGAATGAATATCCCCTCCAGAATAGAGTGTGGAGAATCGAGCACATCCGCTGCTGTTGTTTAGGGGATACTGTGTTCCTCACACTAGATCTGCCATTTTTACTGAATATAATTTATAATTCAGTTGTCGGTTTCTAAATTAAGTTGTTGAAAATGTTATGAACAGAGGAGGAAGACAGAAGTAGTTTTTTTGTTTATTTTGAATACAGTACCTGGACAGATACCTCCATCTGCACAGATGAAAACTCATCCCTCGTGATTACAGCATATGCATTGCTTGTCATTTAAAGTTGTTTTAATGTCTTGATGGTTAATATTCTGTGATAGCATTATTTTTAAGTTCAAATTTTAGACCCTAGTTTCAGTTTGTGGTGGAGTAATGATTGGTTCAGTGCCAGAGTTAAATACCTTTATTTGCGTACTTACGGTTACCACCTGTGTACTTGAAATCATAAGCAGCTCATATGCTAGGCACCAGCAGGGCACTGAACACACAACCCACTTTACTTCCTCCATATTATTATGGTCTTCCTTGGTCCCAAGTCCTTTAAACACCTTGTTTCTACAGTACAATGTTTATATTCATACGGCAGGAATTCAAAGCCTTCTTGGTACGTGTTTTCTCAAATCCTTTGTACAGTTTAGTCTACTGATTATTTTGCCATATTTCCTGTGTATTTAACCAACCCTAGGGTAGAAGCTTTGTTTCATAAAGTTGGTGCTTGTATTCTTCTATATCTTTGCTCACTTGTTTCTTCTGTCTCGCCTTTTCAAAATCATTATTACCTTCAAGTCTGAATTGAAACTCATTTTAACAAACACTTATATTGCAGCTACTATTGGTTGAGTACTTTTCTAAGGACTTTACAGATATTAACTAAGTTATGCCTCATCATAGTCCGATGAGGTGGGCACTGTTTTGTTAACATTACCATTTTTCAAATGAGGACAGTGAGACCAGGGAGGTAGATTCTTTGCCGAAAGTCATGCAGCTAGTGGTTGGTAGAGCCGGGTGGAATCCAGGCAGTGTGCTTTCATAATCCAAACCTCTCCTCTCTGCTTGGTCCTTCCCTTGTGTTTTGATCCAGAATAAGTAATAAGTTTTTTTTTTTTTCCCATTCCCTTACTGTAGTTCTCCCAGATAATTTTCATTCTAGCACTTTTATTGTGTTTTCATTATGGCTCATGATCACACTTTTAATACAAGATGAAAAGACTTAAATAGTCATGCACCACAAAATGACATTTTTGGTCAAGGACGGACAGAACATGTAACAGTGGTCTCATAAGATTATGAAAGAACTGAAAAGTCCCCGTTGCCTAGTGACGATGATGATCTTGATGATCTTGACCCTATGTAGTCCTAGGCTATAGGCTAATGTGCGTTTGTATCTTAATTGCATACGAAAACAGCTTAAAAAATAATTTTAAAAGTTAACAGAAGAGTACTGATAGGATAAAGATATAAAGAAAATATTTTCGTACAGATTCACAGTGTTTGTGTTTTAAGCCAAGTGTTGCTAGAAAAGAGTCAAAAAGTTTAAAAAAAAAAGTTAAAAGTTGACAAATTTTAAAAAATTACAGTAAACTAAGGGTAATTTTTGAAGAAAGGAAAATATTTTTAAAATAAATTTAGTGTAGTCCAAGTTTATAATGTTTATAAAGTCTACAGTAGTGTCCTAGGCCTTCACATTCACTTGTCACTCACTCAGTCACTCACCCAGAACAACTTCCAGTCTTCCAAGTTCCACTCATGGTAAGTGCCCTATCTAGGTTTACCATTCTCCATCTTTTATATTGTCATGTCTCCATCTTTTATTGTGTCTCCACTGTACCTTTTCTGTGTTTAGATATGTGTAGATACACAAACACCTATCATTGTGTTATAGTCACATACGGTATTCAGTACAATAACATGCTGAACAAGTCTGTAGCCAAGGAACAGTAGGCTGTATCATATAGCCTAGGCGTGTAGTAGGCTACGCCACCTAGGTTTATGTAAGTACACTCTGTGATGTTTGTACAATGACAAAAACACCTAAGGAGCTGTTCCTTAGAAGGTATCCTCATAGCTAAGCGACTGTATTTATTTACTCCTTTTTTTCATGAAATCACATGCGGTAACTAATGATAGGTGGTAACTAATGCCCAACTAATATAGTCCACAGAATAAAACTAAGGTAAATATAAATTGATGAGCAAATTAGGGTAGAAAATTACAAAAACCCAAGGGTAAGGTCAGTACACAAAAACGTACGTATTACAACATTCCGTAGTGTTGGCAGAATTGGTCTTGAAATTATACTTTGAGTTGCCTTGTGGCTAAAGATGAGGGAAATATGGCTACAGAATTCAGTGTCTAAATGTCCAAAACCAGTCACAATACATACAAAAGAAAAACATACTTGTTGGAGCCTATGAATTTCTACTTAAGACTTGTGAGAAAAATCTCCAATGAATAGCCATAAATTGGCCTTCATATGATGTGATAATATCTTCAATGGCATTCTTGTTTGCCATATTCAGTTCCTTAGTAAGTCATTTTTCTTTTGCCTTTAAAATCAACCTGAAGTCATTTTTTCTTTAATCATCTCTGCCATCCTTCCCAGTCTAATCCACACTACTCTTCCATTTTCAGTCACAATGATTTTTTCAAATTAAATGTGATCTTATATCTTCCATACTTAAAATCCTTCAGTGGCTCCTTTCCAGTTAGAAGGGAATCCACACTTCCTCATATGCACTTACATAATCCAGCACTTGGCACTCTCCTCCCCTATCTGACTCTATCTTATTCCACTTTTCCATTGTCTTAACTCCAGCGTTACTGGTCTCCTTTCTGTTGCTCCTTAAATAGACGAAGCTCATTTCTTTCCCAGATCCTTCACATTTATTCTCCTTCTCGTTGAAGGCTTTGTCTCCAGGTGTCTGGCCGCCTCCCTCTCAGCATCGCATCCTCAGCATACACGGTCAGAGAAGCCCTTGCCGAGCACGCAGTGTGAAGGGTCCTTCCTCTCAGCCAGAAGCTGGCTCAGAACCCCCTGTCCTGGTGGAGTAGTATCATTGGTCAAGCCAATTTACCTTATTTATTCACGTTGTCATTGGTTATTCCTTATGGGTAATGCAAATCCATAAAGACCCATGTGTCCCTCGTACCTTGCATATAGTAATTGCTCAGTAAACAATAATGTGAATAAAGTGCTGTAGCACATTCTTTAGCCTCTTTCTGATCAAGTGTTGACCACTGGAAATATTCTTTTGCTAATGCTGATCTTATTTGCCACAGGACTGGGTATGTGAAGGTACTGGTTTTGTCTGACTCAACAGTTGTGAGCCGTCCAGGATGCTGCCTTCTGTTCCTCTCCTAACACTCGGTGGCTTCTGTGCTGCTTTTCCATTGACCTTTGCTCTGGCTCTTCTGGCCCTTTCTTCCACGTAGGAGCAGTCCTACCTTCCCACATTTGATACCAGAAGCAGCAAGAAGAAACATGAACAAAAGAGATTATGCCCTCTTTTTAAGTATTAAGTGCGTGTTCCCAGATATTGGTGCTTAATGTAGTGGTTTTGTTTTAAGTGAGAACATTAGGCTAACCCAGTCACCCAGGGTCATTTATCAGTTTTCATCGAATCAGGGAAATTTTCAGCTACTGTTTCTTCCGATATTTTACTTGCCCCTTTCCCTGTTTCCACACTATGGGAACTGTCAGCTTAAGATAATCCTTTATAGTTTCTTTTGAGCATTAGATCATATGTTACTGATTTTCATGATGTCACATCTTTGTGACGCTGGTATTTTACCAGATGCTGTGATAAACAATAAACATTATCTGAAAATAAGTGTGGATCAGGAAATGAGAGTGACAGTGTCCCATCTGATCCCATGGTTTGAGAAGTTACGTAGCACCCAATATGCATAATTGCTGTTATTTAATAATGAAATAAAATATTTCCTTTCAATTATGATACATCTTATAAAATAATGTGTATTATTTTTCAAACAGCTGCAATGTTGTTGAGAAATAAATATGTAAGTTGTTTGGTACTCACAATTTAATTACCAAATTTGTTCCTTATTGGTTTGGCCTGGGGCAAATATCATGAAAAAATTACTGAAACACTAAGGACATTGTGAACTGAGAAATTTGGGGAAGCGTCTTTATGATATTGTCCTACAGGCTGAGTCTCTGCTCATTTTTCATTATTTTTTTGTCTGTTTTCCAGACTGGTCTATGTCTTGACCTAGCCTCAAAGTTCACTGCCTCCTTCGTTTGTATTTTGAAGCCAATCCGATGATATTTTCATTTCAGATGCTTTATATTTTCAGATATAAAATTTTCATTTGATTTTTAATAGTTTTTTATTTGTCTGCTGAAATTTTATATCTTTTTGTTCATTAGCAGGATCTTTTCTTTTGTAATCACACCCAGGTTTGGCTGCTGGCTGCTCACTGCTCAAAAGCCAGACACAAGACGCAAACACAGGAGGTGAGGGTTGATGGGAAGAAAAGCAGGTTTCATAGCGTTCTAAATGTTAAAATTTACCCTAGGGTTTTTAAAGGGAAACTTGGTGTGGGAGACACGTGGGAGTGCTGCAGAGCGTAGGGGCTGCGAGTCTTGTTCCATTGGCTGTCGTGGATAATCGCCTACCCGGAGGCCTGGCTGGTGTCACCTTGACTTCAGACCAGTGGCGGTGGACTCATTGTTCGTGATTCCCGCTAAGTGGAAGGATTCCAAAGGAGCTTCTTGCCCGGTTTAAGATTAGCCTCTGGAATTTCTTAAGCAAGAACATGATTTGATAAGCATGCATTGCTGGAGGGGAGTTTCTTTAGAGGGAAGGAATGAAGAGGTGAGAGGGGAGGGAAGGAAGAAGAAGTGGGTGATTTTTGAAACTGAGATCCCTGGTTATACTTTTACACATTATAAATTTTTGAGAGTTTTGTTTAATTCCTTGTCTGCTAATTAATCTGGTTATGTTAGAGTAAATATTGTGCTTTGAAAACTCTAGAATTTGCTATATTCCTCCAAACAGTGTTGCTTTTATTTATTTTTTTAGACTGTTTAAGCAGATAGCTTGATTGAACTCTAACTGCAGACTGTATCTCTTGGTAAGCAGCTAAAATCTCAGATGAGCTTCTTCATCCTTTTCAGGGATACTTGCAGTCTGCCCTGTGCACTTGTGGTTCAGTTGTCACTAGAGAGTTGGTGAGAGTTCATACACAGAATCTGTGGCTCCCTATCTCTGGCTCTCTTCCTTCTACAGTTCCTTCCTCACTTTCCAGCAGCTGTGGTTGCTGGAAACTTTGGCCTGTGATTCTTCAAGCGCAAAGACTCAGAGCCTTCCATTGGAGTCTTGGCTGCTCAGCATGCCCCCTGCAGCCTGTCCTCATTGGAAACACCATAAGAAGTCACCTCATTCAGTTACCTTTCTTCAAGCGTCATAACCCTTTGGAATCTACCTAGTCATTACCCAGTAACTTCAAGTAATTGCTTTTTGTATTTTATCCAAAGATTAGTTTTTTGCCTAAGGTTTGATTTGGTTTAAGCTTATGTTGTTACACCAGAAGTAGAACCTTGTGTGTTTTGAGAAAACACATGTGCCAGAAATTTCATATCTGTGGCTCTTCAATGCCTCACAACAGCCATGTATAAGCGAAATATTGTTATCTCTATTTTATACATGATGAAAGTAGACTACAAATGTAGAGTTATACATCTTCAAGTGTTAGGCAGTTAGTTGTTAGTGGAGTCAGGGTTAATACCTAACTCCCTCGATTGAGTTGTTGCTCTCCTCGGTTTCCTCTGTAGTTTTATATTTGAAAAATAATACTCCCAATGTTTGCTGAATATACTAAATTTCTTATTAGCAGGCATTCTCTCTGAATATAAATGTAACGTTAAAGTCGAAGTTCTTCACATTAGAGGAGGAACTTGATTTTTTAATGTTGAAATGTTATAATAAAGCCAAAGCCAAAGTATTATAATAATATCTTCATAATTCAATCAAACACGGTACATTCAAGCCTCCCAAGAATGTAAAACTAGAAACAGTAGAGGATGAAGTAGATCAGTTGATGAAAGAAATGCCGAGATAGAGAGGAATTAACAACGAAACCTTCATTATTAAAGTTTTATTTTGGCTGGGCACCATGACTCAGACCTGAAATCCCAGCAGTTGCGGAGGCCAAGGTGGGAAGATCACTTGAGCCCATGAGTTTGTGACCAGCATGGGCTGTATAGTGAGACTTTATCTTTACAAAAAAAAAAGTTAAAAATTAAAAATCAGCCGAGTGTGGTGGCACATGCCTATAGTCACAGCTACTCAGGAGGCTGAGGTGGGAGGATCGCTTGAGCCCAGGAAGCAGACGTTGCAGTGAGCCGAGATGGTTATAAAAACAAAAAGTTCTGTTTGAATATTCAAACCTAGTAGTACATCATCAATTGTACTTAATCCAGACATGCATATTACAAAGCCCCTGCTTTGGCTGGTAGAGCAATAAACAGTTAATAGAAGAAACAGTCACATTTACTTCTGCTAAATAAAACAGCACAGATCCTTTAATGGACCCCAAGTGGTGGCAGTCTTCATTGACTGCATAATTACTCCTGAACGCCTCTGAATTAACTGCCTGCATATTAACGCCCTTGGACACATCTATAGCAGCTGAGTGGGGTTGGAGTTGACCACTTGTCAGGATGATGAGGAACTGCGTTAACTGCTGTGCCAAAGAGCTTTTAAGCTATTCCCTTGTGATTGTTAATAGCACTATTAACAATGGTTTGGGTCAGAAAACTCTGGGTGCAACTCAGTAAAACTTCATCCTAGATACAGAGAATAAAGGCGTTCTCAGATGTGGAAAACACGTCAGTTCACACTTGTGTAAGCACTTCCTGAAGGCCCCAGAAGAGAGATTCCATCAGACATTTTCATTAGTATATTTTCATTAGTATATTTCCCCTATGTTTAATTATTGAAATGTACTATTTCCAGAAGTATGGAATAACTCCAGTTTGGGTATTATACATCTTTTCTGAGCATGTAGCACCCCGTGCTATACTTTGCTGTTACTAGGACCATATGGCAAAGCAATTACTAAGTGTGTTAATCTCCAGACTAGCTTGGGCTCATAGTAGAGAGGGAATGTGCCTTTTGCCCTTTGTATTGTTGGGTCCAAGCATGGTGTTGAAATTCAGTGTGTGCTCAATAACTATTCACTGAAATAGTAAGTGGAGATCAGGTTTTTAAAAGCCTGAGAAATCCGTAACTGCTTCTATGTCAGGATTACATTTACCACCACCCCAACACCACAGATTATATATTCCATGTGGCCTTCCCATTACCCAAAAGACTAAGAGCAAAGTACTATGAATTTAGCCTTGGACTGAATACATGTTTAACCATTTAATTTGCAGGCCTATTGCCTGCTGGAATTAAAAAATTTCTTTCTTTGCCCCTGAAGGGTAGCACATAGAAAAGAAAGCTTTAGAATCAGACCTAAATTCAAGTGTCACCACCACTGCTACTTAAGGGGCACAGGAAGGCTCCTTCTCTACACTTTAGTCAGATGGGGGCAGCACTGCCAATATTACAAGTTTCCCCTGAGGAGTCAAAGCATGCCCTGTGTAATGCGGTTACTGCCTTACTTGCCACACACACAGCCCCAAACAAAAGCTGCTTCCCGTCTTCCGCTTCCCTCACCCAACTTTAATTTAAAGAATATTAAAATACTTTAATTCCTTATGCTGTCTCCATTCTGGATATTATATATTTTCTTTAAAATTTTCAAAGCCTAAAACCATAACACCATTATACAATAAAAACTATAAGCATGATTGGCTGCTAAAACTGAATTTATTCTAAAAAATAGGGTAACTCACTGGTTTTCAATATAGAGCTTTTTCAAAAAATAACTAATCAAGAACCTTACTTTCAGAGATGCTTATTCATGTACCCTCCTTTCCCCTAAATTCCACTAAATGAGTGAAAAAAAATGTTTTAAAATCTGTAAACGTACTGGAAATTATTAAATTACTAAATGTAAGACATTTCTGGAGGAGAAAAAGTGATGGGACTAAAATGACAAGAAACATCGAGAATAATGCATTATAAAAGGCTGCCAGGGAGTTAAGAGTGTTTATAAAGAAGCCCAAAAGAAACTCTGAGCTAAGAGAATAAACACGGAGAAAAGAATTAAAATGACAAGTAAACAAATATACGTAGCTGTCAAGTCCAAATATAAAGATTTGGAAGAACTAGTGAAAGTAATAAACATGTGCTCTCTGAAACAATCAATGGAAACCTGTTTCTTAAAACAATTTAAGACGTTAAAGAAGACTGACCGGTCATCTGAATTTGTAGGAATTCTCTTTTCCAGCCCATTTGCTGACCAGCTTTTGAATGATCATTTTCCTGTGCTCTGCTCTTGCCTCCCCCTGTAACTGGTGCCTACATTTTATAGTCAGTTTTGTCTACAAAGCAGCCTTTCATTATCAGTTTATATTGAAGAACCATGTTAAAATCTGGGCTTAGATTTTTTTGACTTCACATTTTTTAAATTTTGTGTTTTTATTCGTTTGTTTAAACAATGGTGTCTTCTAAATTTTATGAGACAATTGAGTTTTACTCTTTGGAAGACTAAACCAATCACCATTAGGAGCCCTGTAGTTTAAAAAAAAGCAATAATGCCTCAACCGTTTTTATTCATAGTTGGTTTCATTAAAAAAAGAATAGCAGAATATTTTAGGAAGAAGTTTTCTGAAATTCATAAATTATTTCATCTTTTGAAATATAATGCAGTACTTAAGAAATACCAAACCTGTATGTAATTCTGACGTGCACTGAAATGAAGATTTAGAATCATTAACTCTAGGCCTTGAGATAGAGAAATGCACATTTCAGGATTCAACATACATAGAAAAACTAGTGTTAAATTGGCTGCTATAAAATTACTGGGCAAATTGGCAAGATAATTATAGAATTGTCATTAAGCAAAAACTTTAGGTAACGACCAGGTAAGAGGTTTTAAATTAAGTAGCAACATCAAATTCACCAGGAGTTTTTCTAAGTTTGGATTGTCTTGAGATACAAACTAACTTGAGAGTTAGTAATTTGAAATTATAACAAAAAGTGAACACTTACAGGAAAGTTATACTTTCCTTCCTTGTAATTTCCTGGAAAGAAAAAATATATATATTTAACCTACTGTAGAACGTGTGAATCTACTTAGAAGGTGAGCCGCATGGTCTCTGGGCGACACTCCTCTCTTGGTTACTGTTCCATTCCCACTGCCCACAACAGGGCCTGCGGCACAGCAGTCACCCAGGGCAGGTTCTGTGGTGGAGATGAAGGAGTGAATGCTCTCTAGGAGGCCTTGCTCAGTGCGGAGTGCCAGGCTGCAAAGACCTTGTTTCCTGTTCCCCCTTACCCAGCCTGGTCCCCTCTGTCTTTTTACTCCTAACACCAAACCCAATTCCATACAGTTTTTTAAGAAGAAAGAAAAACAAAAACAAAAACAAAAAACAAAACCTCTCTGCCTCTTACTTTATTAAAAAAGATAATTTTTGTCTATAATCTTTAATAATCTGTGATTCTTATAAGGCAGCCTTACGGGGCAATTCTGTATCTGTTGATTATGAATTTATATCTCTATATATGTAGACTAGAAGGCAGAATGCACTTATTTTGGCAAAACTTTCTTTTATGCATACACATTTTAGGAATTTAATATTGTGTTATTTTGATAATATAAAAATAAATGTCCTTAACTCCACTGCCATTTGGAATGTTTAAAGCCTTCCATTAAAAAAAATCTTTATTTTTAGAGGCGTAAACACCAAAGTGTTACATACTGAATAGAAAAGTTACAAGATATTATCTTTAAAATTGATTAAGAATATTATAGATGCTAAAGATTATCTTCATAACTGCAAATGATGTACTTTCCTTCTATAGTGTATGAAGTTATGAGAAATTTTATTAGGAAAACTGAATAGTTAATATTAGGGCCATAAATGTTTTACCAGAGTATGGTATGATTTATATTAATGTACCAATCAATATTAAAAAGTCCTTTTTTTATTAAGGAAAGGGTAGATATAGGAAAATGGTAATATATTTCCTAACTGGATAAAATTATGGAAATTTTAAATAAAAGAACACTCCATTGGGATGTTATTTAAATTGCTTGTTTCTCTACCGGGTTTACCTGCTCAGGCCATTCTCCCATCCAGTCACCCTCTTCTCCTTCCTTCCAACTCTGTGCCTACTGGGTAGTCTGTGTATTTAATCCCAACTAGGCTTGTTACCTGGCATGAGTACCCCACATCTCAGGCAGAAAACTGGACGACTTACCATGGAAATGAGTTTCTGTGCTTTTTCTTGCTGTAAGGTCCACCGAATTCCTTCTACTGAAATCAGCCTTCAGTATTCAATTACTTTTTATTAAAGCACTTTCTGATGGTGTGTTAATGAGCAACCACACTGGAGCTGATGAAGGGGAGACAAAAAGCGGAAAATCTTTGGTTTCTTTTAAAATCACTTGCATAGGCTTTGAGAAGACAATAACAGAGGCAAATAGTGTTACAAATTGGGTAACTTCTGACAAGAACTTGTAGTTGAAATGCTAGCCAGGGATGAACAGACAAGAAATGCAACTAGGCACAGATTCTCTCAGTTACAGCTCAGCCAGCACTTTTACATGTCCCGTGCAACATAAAGCTGGAGAAATGTTCTGCGCCTGCTGTAGACATCACCAACGGGAGGAAGCTTGACACCTGGGTTGCCAACTTATTTTTTCCTAAAGTTTAAACAAGATCCACTAATAAGCTAAGACAGTTTAGGGCAAAAGGAATCCAGTGAGTATGTTTATGTACTTTGGCTCTCTCTTCCCTACCACACTTTGGTTTTTCAGAACTTGTAATAGTTTTACTCAAAACCTCTTTGAAAATCATCTGTTTCTGAAGCTAGGTCATTAGTATCACAGATTTTCCTTAAATCCTTTTTGTGATAAGAGTTGAAGTTCAGCAATGAGGAAGTCATTGTATTTACCTGAGTAAGTCTAGAGTTTAAAAGGGGAAAATCAGAGACAAACAACTATTACAGAGTGGTTATAAATAAAGGAGAAGAGACATGAAGAAAAGAGTGCCATGAAAATACAAATGACCATGCAAGTAATTCCGCAGGGAGAGAGCGGATATGAACAAACAGAAGAAATCAGATGGGATAGTGCTGGCGGGAAGTCATCCCAGTTAAGGGTGCAAAGGCTTGGAGGCAGAAGAGAAGCAGGGCGTTCGAGGCTGGGGATTAGAGTTGGGGGAACTCTGGCACTGGGGAAGCCAGAGTTTCCAGAGTCACCCCTAACTCTTACTCACTGTGTGGCCTTGGGGAGCTTGGGGTTACTTCTCTCTAAGCCATAGTTCTTTCTTCAATAAAATGGAGATAGAAAGATAAGCACACACTTCCAAATCCTACTTAATTTTTAAAATTTCCTTTTCAAGGAATCAAACTGTGCTGTGATTCCTTTTTTGATTACTCAAAATAATTCGATACTAAAAACTGAATTCCTGTAGCACAGATACTTGATCAGCCCCTCAACAGAGGACCGTAGGCAAATTACTTCTCTGTCTTAAACTTATCTATTATCAAATGGATCATTGTTTCCAGAGAGGAAGGAATTTTTTGCTGCATAGTTCCAAAAGGCAGTAGAGCTGATAGTTAGAAATGACAGAGAAAGATTTTTGTTTTTAAATGAAGGAAAAAAGTAAAAGCATGCTAAAAATCAGAATTGGAAGACAGTGGGTGATACAGGCTTCAAAATAAATAAGGAGCTCTCTGTTATCAGAGACTTCACTGGGTACAAAGAGAAGAAAAATAACTCTCTTGCACTTAAGAATGTACTTCCTTATACACTGTCTTATTTGTCAATAATTTTACCAGGAACCAGTTTGTAACTTGTTAAATTGTATCTTGTAAAGTGCCTTGGATTTCTTTTATACTCTATACAATGTAGGATAAGGAAGCAGTTGCTCAATTAGTTTTTTTTTTAATTGCATTGAAGATTGGATGAAACACAGAATAAAGAAAAGAAATAACCAATAACCTGCTTCATAAAAGGGCTACAACCTCTGGATCTAAGACTCAGCTCATCAAAAGATGGTTTGCAGACCAGCAGCAGTGCTTGAGGGCCTGTTAGAAAAGCAGAATGTAAACCCCACTCTGGCCTAAAACAAGGTCCTCAGGCGATGTGGATGCGCATGAACGCATGAGATGCGCTGCCCTAGAACCACATTTCGGGTGGTCTCTAGAGTTGCTCAGAGTGAGAGCTGCCAACATCATCTCTTCAAAAGTTTTAGTCTTCATCAGCTCTGACAGTTTCTTCCCTGTGTTGTAAGAGACTATAACTGTAGGCTGTTTCGCCTTTTCCTTTTGTCAGCCTTCTCATTTGCATAGCAACCTTAGGCAAGGAAAACACTCTTAGAATGATTAAAGTTTATTCTCAGAAAAGCTCTCTCACAGAAATGAAGCAAGATTGTCAAATGTATTAGGAATGTTATAGGAAAGATACAGTTACCCCTCAGGTGCTTATTGTATCAGGACACAGACCTCAAATGGATCTCTGGGAAGGTTTTTCTCACTGTGACCCCTGATAGAAGACTAAGGCCCTGTCACTAGATCTTGCAGGCCCCACTCTGTAGTCAGCATGGGTCCTGCTGCATCTGAGTGAACTGGAGTCAGCTGTGTTTTCCCAGGTCACCAAGTTAGCAATGCTGGAGCTCGCTTAAGCAGTCAGGGCATCTACCACTGAATTCATTGTTCTACCTGCTGTACGTGGCTGCTTCTCATAAAATTTATAGACAAAAGCCAAAAAATTTAGTATGTGTTTACAAACTCTTATCAGACCACATTGCTGTTGCTAAATGTGTAAAATGAGAACTGACATGAGTTGTACTTTCTGTCTCCTTCCCTTATCTTTCACTAAACAGCCAAAAGGAAAGTATCAGGACAGAGTAGAAGCAGAAGTCTGTGTACTAATTACCACTTACTACATGCCTGTTTTAGGCTATGCACTTTACATACCCAGGGTGTAAACATCGCAGCTATTCTGCCATAGGATTTATTAACCCCAGTTTACAGATAGGAAAACTGAGGCTTAAAGATCAAATGACAGAACTGCATTTGAGTATTAATGTGTTGGAACCCAAAGTGTATGCTTTTTCATTACATCTTAAAAGTTTGTATTAGTCTGTAAACTAAATAATTCATTTCTGAGTGACTGTTTTTTTGTTTTTGTTTTTGTTTTTGTTTTTTTGGTATTTGTTCATTCAAAGCATTCTTCCCATGGCAGCTCACTACAAAAGCCTTCCTGGATTTTTTTCATATCTGAGTTTCAAGACCAGAAACCGTGTCACCCTGCTGAAAAACCCAAAAAGAAAGAATTATTGCATTGTAGACCATCCATTAATCTGCTTTCAAAACTCTATGCAGATGTGTTGTCTTTTTGCTCTTCTGTTACACTCAGTTTGTGGTACCCTATTCCTATCAATTTGGATCTGCTTTTCTGTTTTTAAAAAAAGTGTCATTGATTATCAAGTTCTCACTAATAGATGCTTTTTCTCTTCTCATCCCCATGTTATCAATCCAGCTGTTCAGCCTTGCCCTGAATGTTATTTGTAGCACTCAGTGAAAACTTTGCGATAAGACAGGATTCTTGTGTTAGCACGTCACCTCCATCATGTTAGCACGTCACCTCCATCATGTTAGCACGTCACCTCCATCATGTTAGCACGTCACCTCCATCATGTTAGCACGTCACCTCCATCATGCCTTTCTTCCACCAGTGTCATCTAAAGCATTGTTAATGCTATTGCTGCTTAATACCACTCCTGTGGAATTTCAGCACCTAAAAAACTAATTTTCAAAATATCTTTTATAGATAAGCGTCCAGAACAACTAGATATATATCAAATGACTTGTCTAAAATTGCATAGCAGATAAAAATGCCATAGTGTGATTTCATACACGAGTGGTGCATAACCAACAATGTCAATGATCGTGGAAGAGAAGTGTGGGCTTCTTGAATATATAAATGTATGTCTTTCAATTTGATGAAAGGCATACATTTATATATTCAAGAAGCATATTGAATATTTTGTAATTCATAAAGTACCTTGGATGGCAATCATGGATATTGGATAAGGAAAACAGGAAGCATTAATTAGTTTAAATATACACTAACTAATGAAAATGTCACAAAGGAGTTAGATGCACTATAGCTACAAACTACTCTTTAATCATGTTAAAGATTTCTCTAGATATATATACTGGAGATATACAAAGATGGGTAAGACACTACAGAAATTATATCACCATTACCGTTCAGAGTGATTGAAGTTTAAATAAACTGTTGATTTTTATTGAGTCAGTAAAAATTCTAACCACTTTATGTGCACTGTCTCATGTTTCTCTCCTAATAACACAAAAGTGGGCTCTATGTTTAGCCTCATTTCATAGTTGAGGAAACTGACCTGGACAGTTCAGACCCTTGATTAGTTTGAGTGCTAATTGTCAGGTAGATGTTAAGCTAGTAAGTACATGAGGAATTGAATCCTGATCTGATTCCAATGTTTTTGCTCATGACAACTATTTTTACTGTACCAATTGTTATGGTCTAGGATTTTAAAGAAAAAGCCTAATTTACAATAGTCATTAAAGGTTTACCTGAGGGTGAGCTGACGAAAAAGTGTTATTTTTTTCTTTTTACTGCATTAGACATATTATATTAGGATCAGGTTCAACTGCGAATACCAAATATGCACCTGTAGTGGCTTAACCCAGTAGAAATATTACGTCCTTCTCCTGCCCCACTTAAAACCTGTACAGTGGTGCCACACTGTCCTTCCCCAGCTCCATAGAGCTCGTGGCTCACTGTGGCTCCCCACTTAAAACCTGCACAGCGATGCCACACTGTCCTTCCCCAGCTCCACAGAGCTTATGGCTACGCTTTTCTTAGCCTTTCACTTTTTCCCTCAAGCCTGCTGCCCTTACAAACATGTCTGCATCCTATGCAGGAAGAAGAAAAGAGTGAAAGGGAAAAGAGAACGCCAACTATGTAATTTTAAAGAGTTTCCCATAAATCTCAGTCAGTGCTAATTAATATCTTATTGGCCAGAATTGGATCACAGGCCACCATAGCTGCAAGAAAGCTGCAAAATTGAGATTTTTTTTTTTAATGTACTTAGTATTTTAGAACAGTTGTGGCTTTACAGAAAGATTGTGAAAATAGTACAGAGAGTTTTCGTATATCCTGCATGTGGTTTTTCTCTATTATTAACATCTTACATTAGCATGGCTCACTTATTTCAGTTTATGAACCAATATTGACACATTGTTAACTATTATTGACAATACTGGCACAGAATTAACTAAAGTCCATTTCAGGTTTCCTTAGTTTTTACCTAGTGTCCTTTTTCTGTTCCAGAATCCCTGGAATACAACATCACGTTGAGTTGTCCTGTCTCCTTAGGCTGCTCTTGGCTGTGACAGTTTCTTGGACTTGTTTGTTTTGATGATCTTAACAGTTTTGAGGAGTACTAATCAGGTTTTTTTTAAGATGTTTCTCAATTGGGATTTGTCAGATTTGTTTTCATCATTAACCTGGGCTTATGAGTTTGGGGAACCAAAACCACAGAGGTAAAATGCCATGTTTGCCACATCATATCAAGTATACGTACTGTCCACATGACTTATGCTCATGTTACCTTGATAACGTAGCTGAGGTCATGCTTGTCAAGTTTCTCCACTGTCGAATTCCTCATTTTTCTTTCTTTTCTTACTATATCCTTTAAAAGGAAGTCACTATGGGGAACCCCTGATTAAGAAGTGGGGAATTACAGTTCACTTCCCCTAGGTGGAATATCTACAAAAATTATCTGGAAGATTTGTGCCTTCTCCCCTATTTATCTATTGATTGATTGATTCAGTCATTTCTGTCAGTGTGGACTCATGGATATTAATTTTATACATTGTGTTACAATTCAGTACCACTGTCTTTTCTTGCTCAGATTGTCTCAGCTTTGGCCATTGGGAGTTCTTTCAGTTGGCTTTGACACATGCCCATAATTTGAGGGTTTAATTCAAACATAATTTGAGGGTTTTTTTTTTAACACTTTCTTACTTTCTGGCACTACACATTGCTCCAGACTAGTCTTAGATATTTCTACCTCCAGTCCTAAAATCAGTCATTTCTCCAAGAAGCTCAGGTTCCATTTATTGGAGTATGGTATTAGAAACCAAGGTCAGGCTGCTGGCCCGCTTGTTGTTTCTGGGATGTGCTGAAGTCTGCGCTTTCTCAGCTGACATAGAATGGACATATATGTGTATGTACTAACCTATGTATATACACATATTTATGCATATTTAACCATCTGTAAATATATTAAGCTAAACATGAGTTCATAATGATGTCTCTGATTTTAATCTGTTCCCACATTGACCATTATAGCCTCTTCCCTTTGCTTATTACTCCACTCCACCGTGAGAAACTGGCTCCCACCATTCTTTTATTTAATTGTTGAGTTCCAGGATACATGTACAGTGACATCAGAATGGTTAACCTGTACTTACACTTCTTCCTGTAGAAAGTAACTTCATCAACTAGAACAGTGCTTATTTACGGTTTTTTTTTTCCCTTTAGTCTAACAGACTTCTCTCATTTCTAAGTTTACTTTTCTCCAATCCCTTCAATAAAATTGTTTTCATATGCTTTAACCTAGTTAAAATGTTTGTTCACATTCAGCATTGCATCCTGAGAGTCTCCTACTTCCTCAATAATATTGTGGTTTTTAGTGTGCAAACATGAAAATTCACTCTCTGTGCTGTGAGGTTGTTTGGGTTTTGACAAGTGCTTTGTGTCATGTATTCACCGTCATTTTGGTATCATACAGAATAGTTTTATCACCCTAAGCTATAGTTATTCAACCTTCTCTCCACCCCTTAAACTGTGTTAACTACTGATTTTTTTTTTATCATCTCTCTAGTTTTAGTATTTTCAGTATGTCATACAGTTGAAAGCATATAGTATGTAGCCTTTCCAGAGTGGCTTCTTTCACTTAGAAATGTGCATTTAAGATTTATTCCTAGTTTTTGTGGATTGTTAGCTCATTTCTTTCTACTGCTGAATCATTTTCTACTGTATGCATGTAACCCAGTTTGCTTATCTGTTCATCTATCGAAGGGCATCTTGGTTGCTATGAATAAAGCTGCTGTAAACATTTATGTGAAAGTTTTTATGTAGGCATACATTTTCAGAACCATTGGGTAAAAACCTAAGAATACAACTGCTAGATTGTATAATAAGGCTATGTTTAGCTTTGCAAGAAATTGCCAAACTGTCTAAGTGGCTGTATATACTATGTTGCATTCCAGGCAGGAATGAGAGTTTATGTTTTTCATATCCTCACCAACAATTGGTATATTCAGTTATTTATTTTAGTCATTTTAATACGTGAGAAGTGGTATCTCACTTTTGTTGTAGTTTGAATTCCCTAGTGACAAATGATGTTGAACATCTTTATTTGGTTATTTGCCATCTGTAGATCTTCTTTGGTGAGTTGTCTGTTCAAGTATTTTGCCTGCTTTTTAAGTGGGTCATTTGCTTTCTTATTGTTGAGTTATAAAAGTTTTTTCTGTGTTTTGGATACAAATCCTTTATCAGCTAACATGTTTCCCAAATATTTTCTTCCTTTCTGTGGCTTGTCTCTTTATCTCTTAATAGTGTCCTACACAAAGCCGAAGTCTATAATTTTAACAAAGTAGAACTTACCAATTTTTCTTTCAAGGACTTTTTTGATATTGTATCTAAAAACTCATCACCAAACTAATATAATACAGATTTTCTTCTGTGCTTTCTTCTCTAAGTTTTATGTTTCATATTTGGTTTTAAGATACATTTTGAGTTGATTTTTGTGAAATATGTCTGTGTCTAGGTGTCTACTTTTTTTTTTAGCTTATTGATATTCACTTGTTCCTATACCATTTGTTGAAAAAAAACATTATTTTCCATTGAATTGTCTTTGCTCCTTTGTCAGTAATCAGTTGACTGTATTTCTGAGGGTCAGTTTCTGGGCTCTGTATTTTGTTCCATTGATCTGTCTTTTCTTTCGCAAATACCGCGCTGTCTTGATTGTAGCTTTATAATAAGTCTTGAAATTATATATTATGAGTCTTCTAACATTGTTTTTCTTGTCAGTATTGTGTTGTCTGTTCTGGGTCTTTTGCCTTTCCATGTGTACTTTAGAAAATGTTTGTCAATGTCTAAAAATATATCACTTGCTGAGATTTTGATTAGGATTGCATTGAATCTGTAGATTAGTTGGGAAGAACTGGAGTCTTAACAATGTTATGACCATGAACGTGGATGTTACTCCTTTGAGTTCTTCCATCAGAGTTTTGTAGTTTTCTACATAGGAATACTGTACATATTTTGTTAAATTTGTACCAAAACATGCAATTTTTTTTTGGCTTCAGTAAATGTTTTTTGTTCTTAAAATTCCAATTATTTATTGCTGGTATGTAGGAAAGCATTTGACTGGTAACCTTTTATTACCTTGTTTTACTAGCTTATTAGCTATAGGAGTATGTGTAGGGTTTGAGGGGTTTTGGGGACTATTTTTGGGGATTTTTTTACATTGCCAGTGATGTCACCTGTGAACAAAGGAAGTTTTACTTTTTTCTTCAAAATCTGTATGAGTTTTATTTACTTTTCTTGTCCTATTGAAGTAGGTGGGACTTCTAGCATAGTGTTGAATAGTAGTTGTGAGAGTAGACATCCTTGCCTTGTTCCCAATCTTAAGGGGAAAGCATTCAGTTGCTCACAATTCAATATGTTGCAGGTTTGCTGTACATGTTCTTTCTTTTCTTGAGACAGAGTCTCGCTCTGTCACCCAGGCTGGAGTGCATCTAGGTGGCACCATCTAGGCTCACTGCAACCTCTGCCTCCCAGGTTCAAGTAATTCTCATGCCTCAGCCTGAGTAGCTGGCATTACAGGCGTGTATCACCACGCCTGGCTAATTTTTGTCTTTTTTCAGTAGAGACGGGGTTTCACCATGTTGGCCATGCTGGTTTCGAACTCCTGATCTCAAGTGATCCACCCATGTTGGCCTCACAAAGTTCTGGGATTACAGGTGTGAGCCACCATTCCTGCCCGATGTTCTTTTTCAACTTGAGGAAATTTACTGAAAGTTGTTATGAATGAATGTCGCCATTGGCCGCATGCTTTTTCTGCTCTATTTATATGATCACATGATTTTCCTACTTTGGCCTTGTTGATGTGGTGGGTTACATTGATTTTCTAATATTAAATCAACCTTATGTACCTGGAATAAATCCTACTTGGTTATGGTGTATAATTCTTTTAGCACATTATGGAATGGAGTTTGCTAATAGTTTTGAGGATTTTTGTACCTGTGTTCATGAGAGATGCTGATTTCTAGTTCTTCACTTTAGACTGTCTTTATCCACATTGGTTATGAGGAGGCCTTGTTCTTGTTCCCCCTCAGACCACATCTCATTCTAAGGAGGTCACAGAGCATTTGGGCTGGTCACAAATCTGGCACCTGTTAATGCTTTTCCTCCCCATCTCTGGCCAGTTGTAGCCTCTGAGGGTGATTTAGTATTTTGAGAGATACTTCCTTTGTCAGGTCCCAACCAGTGCTCAAGAATAGGCTGGGGACAGTCACCTCTGGCCTCCCTGGCTGGCCCAGACTGGTCCCAGCCTCTGATGAGTA
The DNA here is from genome assembly GCF_000001405.40 of Homo sapiens. Taxonomy (NCBI): domain Eukaryota; kingdom Metazoa; phylum Chordata; class Mammalia; order Primates; family Hominidae; genus Homo; species Homo sapiens. Next base: position 135,580,218 of record NC_000008.11, read on the forward strand.
ATGTAGAAATACTTTGAACGAGGCACTTCCAATGACCAGCCCCACAGATTGGGTTAGGAAGTGTTCCCTCTGCTTTTATTTTTTGGACAAGATTATAGAGAACTGGTATCATTTCATTCTTTAATATTTGACAAAATTCATTGAAACCATATGGAGTTGATGCTTTCTTTTTTGGAAGATCATTAACTATTGATTAAATTTATTTAATAGACATAAGCCCATTCAGATTATTTAATTCTCTTTGTGTTGGTCATTATGAATCAGAATCAGTCACATTCATGTAAGTTAAAAAATGTGTGAGCTTGGAGTTGTTCATAGTATTTCTTCATTATTCTTAAATGTCCTTGAGGTCAAAAATAATGAAATCCTCTTCCTCTCTCTCTCTCTCTTTTTTTTTTTTTTTTTTAATTTTTCTGAGACAGAGTCACTCTGTCACCCAGGCTGGAGTGCAGTGGTGTGATCCTGGCTCACTGCAACCTCAGCCTCTTGGGTTCAAGTGATTGTTGTTGCTCAGCCTCCCAAGTAGCTGGGACTATAGGCACACACCACCGTGCCCAGCTAATTTTTGTATTTTTAGTAGAGATGGAGTTTTGCCATGTTGACCAGGCTGGTCTTGAACTCTTGGCCTCAGGTGATCCACCTGCCTTGGCCTCCCAAAGTGCTGGGATTACAGGCCTGAGCCGTCACACCCGGCCAAAACCCTCTTCATTTCTGATATTGGTGTTTGGGCTTTTTTTTTCTCTTTAGCCTGTCTAGAGGTTTATCAATTTCATCAGTCTTTTCAAAGTCCAGCTTTGGGTTTTGATAATTTGCTATTTTTGGAAAATGAGTCTTTAGCTGCGTATTTGCTATCCCAGACACACTGAAGAAGGAGGAAGCTGATCTGTAGGCAGCCAGCCTGCCAGCTGCAGTTCTTCCTGGAGGGCCTTATCCAGATGAGGTCATCATGCTGTGTCTGTATTCTCTGGGGTAGCCACACTTTTCTGTCCTTATGTTTTCTCAGGTTTTTGCTTCTGTGGAGCCATTCTTGATAGAGCCATCTCCTTCCTTCCTGACTTGAAGTCTTATGATTTACATTAGAAATACATGAATATGTTGAATTCTACCTCAGAAAATGCCTGTGTTTACTTAACCTAAGAATGTTGTTTTATTACCATGTGGTTGACACATTATTCAGGAAAGTATATTTTATTGTCTCTCTGGTGGAATTTTGGCATATATTTTGGCCTCTGGCTTTGCTCACAGCTGTTCTGAGACAGTTTTAAAATCTCTCTGAGCCTCAGTTTCCTTGTCCTGAGATAAGCAAGAAAAGGCACACCTCATAGTGTGGGAGTGAAGTTTGGGTGTAATCCTGGCATGGCATTATATAGAAGTCTTGGGTGCATGTGGCTTCTCCAAATATCACAGTTTCCTACTCTGTGTATTGACCAGAGATTAACTCCAGACTTCTATATTGTTGCTAGACGAACTGCCTAAATGCCTTAATTTCCTTTTGACAGACACCTGTTTCATGTTTGCTTTAGTTCTTTGCTTGTGACTTCCTTCTTCCTTTTTACAAAAATATAGAACATTGATTTTGTTTCTGAGGTATAAATATATGTGAATAACAGAATGTTAGAGACTATGATAGATACTGCTAATTTGACTCTCTTGGTTACAGGGGAAGGGGAGGAGTTACAGCCCGGCCAGTTGGAGTTGTAGTACCACGAGGGACGCCAACTCCCAGAGGAGTCCTGTCCACCCGAGGGCCAGTGAGTCGGGGAAGAGGACTTCTCACTCCCAGAGCAAGAGGAGTCCCCCCAACTGGGTACAGACCTCCACCGCCACCCCCGACACAAGAGACTTATGGAGAATATGTAAGTGAAGGTGTCAGACAACAGCCTTGTTCATCAGATTGACTTAATCCAGACTTAGCACTGGATATTGTACCCGCGTACGCTTCCTCACCTTGTTTTGGTTCTTGAGTATTCTACTTTGTTTCAGCAAATATTTATTGAGTGCTAAAGAAGTACTTAATACTAGAGGTATAAAAATGGCCTGATCTTTTTCATCAAATAGTTTAAATCTAAGGTATGGAAGAGGAGTTTGGGTGGTGGGGAGGTGTAAGACTAAGGTTCAGGAGACATATTTTCAAGCCCTTACAGGAATTTAATGTAACATTCTTGCATATTTCACTCCTGAATACTTCAGTCATTTAAAAAATAATTGCCTGCGTATACCAAGATGGTTTCCGCCTTAACTGTTTCCTTTTAAGCTACTCTGCTGAGTATGGATTCTTAGTGGAAATTCTTTTCAGTAAAGAAAACAAAAGTTCTCTATTTTCAATTAGTGCAAATCAGTTTTTCATTTATCATTCAGCGATTCTTTGATATAATTCATAGACTGACTTAACGTAAGAGAGAATAATAACCGTGAAAGTTGAGGGGGAAGGGAATTCTTTGATGTCCTCATTTACCATAAATGAAGAAAATAAGAAGCAATGGATAGGTGATTCATATTAATAATTGAAATTGTTAAAGTAAGTGTATGTGAACCATTGTCAATGAAAGGGAAGCAGTAACAATGATAAAATGCAAGTATCAGTAGGTTTTCATTGTTTTACTTTAGGAGAGATCTCTTGCTAGGTGCTCTGTGCCTCTTTGCATAGTTTCTAGAAGGTTGCAATAATCCCCTGGGCCTCAGACAACCTCTTCAACCTCATCTGTGTGGCCACTGGTAAGATCAAAGTCTTTGTCTTGGACATATTTAAGTTTTTGTAATTCCCTGAACATTCTGTGTCATCTTAGTCTTCCAGACCTTTGCTTATACTGCCTCCTCAGCCTAGAATGGTGTTCTTATGTTTCATTTGACTGTCTCCTTGTGTCCTTCTACACGTAGGTCAATCATTGCTAGGGAAATTTAGAGGTGGTAATAGCTAACCTGTTGAGCATTACTACAGTTCTTACATTTCTCTCTCCCACCTAGCTTGTGAACCTCTGGAAGGGCAGGAATGGATAGCTTTTATCTCTTTATACTTGGGAGAGAGTGCATACTGGGAGCCCACTGAATTATATTTTAACAAATCCCGTAATAGTTTTACAAGTTTGTTATTCAGCTGAGGAAGGATGTGTTTCCTCTCTTTGAATTCGTTACAGTTAAATGTGTTCCTACTTCCTAATAATCTTACCAGATGACAATAATAATTATGCCTCAGCTCTTCCATAAATGCTGAGTCTCCTGAAAGTATCAGGGACTCTAAAGGAGAGTAAATCTTAAATTCCTTTTAGGTAGGCCCAGTGTCTGTTCATTTCCACTTTGGCTTACATTGATTTCTTAGGTTTAGATTTAATACAGATGTGGTTGGATGATGTAGTAGAAATTGCCAGGCAGGTTGTGTGGGAAACCTGGATCCTATACCCCATTTTACCATAAATTTTAATATCGGGCAAGATATTTAACTTTTTGGGCTTCATAATCCACTTATTTCAGAAAGAACTATTGCCTTCATTACATGTATTCATCTTTCCATTCAATAAAGATTGGATTTCTACCGTGTGAGCCAGACACACATGTTGTCTGTCTCAGCATGTATACTCTAATTATTAGAGTCTGGAAATAAATTATATAGATTAATAAAACTGAAAAATTCTTGAAAGGTTAAAGTCCAAAGGAGGAAAAGCAAAAGCAAGAGACATTCAAGACATTTGGGTTTGCTGCTTGTACTTTTGATTGTTTTATTTATTTTTTATTTTTGTAAATGATAGGAAAGGCATTAAAACAATTGAATTGAGAAGTATTCTGTAGGATTAATTTACTCCCTTTTCCATCTGCTACCAAAGATAATGGGATAATGGCCCTGTAGAAGATTACCTGCGTTTTTCCAGAACCAGACAAAGGTTTAAGAGCTCTAAAGGAAAAAGTCAACCTTCATTGTTTGATTCCCACACTCACTCATGCCTGGCACTCTTCCAGGCACTGACTGTTACTGCAGCTGTGATTTCAACACAGAGCCAGTGCTCTTTCTGTCACATGGTAGCGTTGCCTTCAAATAACTGACGGTCATATCCGCCAGTGTTGTAATTTGGCTGGAATGCAGTATTTGCAATTTTATCAGCTTCATACAATTACAAGTCTTGCATACATAAAACAGCTGTGTGCTTTCCAGGTGTGCTTTGGGTGGTATAGTGGGACACCAAAGGAAAAGAAATACCATCATGAGTGCACCTCCTTCCCCGAGTTGAATTATCATCATGAAGGGTTCAGATTACAAACGTTATAGCTTTCCCACTTAATTTAGCATCTATTATTCCTGGCAGTGCCTTTTAAGATTACTAGTCAAGAGAAAAGATTTTCCTCATTTAGCTTAGCATTTTGTGAGCTGCCTTGGCACAGTTATAGTAAAAGCTTCAGTGGCTTTTTCAGTATAGTAAAAGCTTCACTGTATATAACAAACTTTGCTGGTACTTGGTATAAGGAGTAGATAAAGCCCTTCAGCTTGCTTACAGTGGCTTGCCATCAGTAGCACTGCCTTGCAGATACCCGTTTGACCTCATCTTCCTCCACTGACCCAGTTTTCTACTTCCAACTTTTCTAATACAGCTTGCAACCTCTGGCATAACTTCAGACCTTGGCCATTGGTCTCAACTGTTTGAAAACCTAAAGATTACTCACCCATCACGCTTAGTTTTGCAGCATGGTAGGGGGAATGGGAAGTAAATTCTTCTTAAAAAATTTTTTTATGTTGGGCTCGGCACGATGCTCACGCTTGTAATCCTAGCATTTTCAGAGGCCAAGGTGGGCACATCACTTGAGGTCAGGAGTTCAAGACCAGCCTGGCCAACATGGTGAAACCTCATCTCTACCAAAAAAAAAAAATACAAAAATTAGCCGGGTGTAGTGGTGCGCACCTGTAAACCCACCTACTTAGGAGGCTGAGGTGGGAGAATTGCTTGAACCCGGCAGGTGGAGGTTGCAGTGAGCTGTGATCGCCCCACTGCACCCCAGCCTGGGTGACAGAGCGAGACTCCGTCTCAAAAAAAAAAAAAAAAAAAGAAAAATCGTTTCTTTGTTTCTTGGATTTTAGATAGGGTGGGTGTATTATAAGATACCCAACTTAGAAAACCAAGGAGCTTGTAACACAAATAAATGGTTATTCATTCATGCATCAAATGGGAAAGTTGGCCATCTTTGAATATACTAAAATTATTACATGGAACTAGAACATCTTAAATTAGATTCTAAATTCCATGAGGGTAGGCACTCTCCCCCTGCCTCCCCTTCCTCCCACCCACCACACTTCACCTTTTTATTCCCAATAACTAGTATATAATGTCTGGCACATAGTAGGTCTTTAGTAAATATTTACTGAATGAATGAATGAATGGTCACAAGATGGTTTTTAAAAATTGTCTCCTGCAGAGAACCCACCACAGATGCCTTCTGTGTGATTTTTCAGTTTTATTCACATAGCAATTTTTATGTAACATAGTATTTAGTATATAGCTATGTAGAACAATCATAATATGTCCAGTTTTCAAAAGATTATTAACTTCTAAGGAAAAATTCTTTATCTCTAGGTTAATCTCTGGCTACTAGCTCAGTTTTTGGCACATTGTAAGCACTTAGTAAATGTTCGTTGGACTGAACCAACCCTATACAGAGACTTGATAACATTGTTCAGATGAAGATTACCATTGATTTTTTCTAAGTTCCTGGTAAAAGCATGTGATGGGAAGAAATATGATAGTATTTGAGAAAATAACTTTCCTAAGTTACTGTTGTCTTCTAGCACTGGACGGGTAGTCACAGGTTACAAATGAATAAGATTAATTTTGTTAGCTCCTGAAGGAAACAGAAAAACCTACTGTAAATCTCATCTCAGTATAAAAAGGGGCTTTAAAGAAGGATGTAATATTTGATGAGAAACTGCTCTCCACAAGGCACTTTGATATATGTCACGTTTTCCTTATAACCACCTACTATGATCTCTACTGTACAAATGAGAATTTAAGGTCAGGGAAGTTAAGTGCCTTGCCCAAAGTCACAGGACTGGTAAAGAAGGAGCAGATTCAGGATTCAAAGTTCAAGGCCTATGTTCTGTCTTGAAAAACCAGTGCTTTAAAAAACAAAACCAAAAAAAAAAACAGTGTTCCACTAGCCGAGGTTATAAATAAAATCTCTTCATCTTTGGAGAAAGTGTAACAGATGCTGCATGTTCCCTTCATCAGAAATGCCATAAAAGGGATTATAGGACACTGAATTAAATAACCTCTGTGTTCCTTGCAATTCACTAATTCCCTGGTTTTAAGCTACCCGAAGTAGGTAAATGGAAATGAACTGTTAGGAAGAAAGGGATGATGTTCGGATTAAAAAAATGAACAAAGCGCTACTAATACATTTATTGGCAAAAATAAGAATAACACTTTCATTTAAGAATTTCTCAACATCTGTACCTCTGAAAAGGGCTTGTCATTTCTTTGGAACTCAGAAACGTAATTTTTAAAAATCTCCTTGGAATATATCCAGTGATAAAGGTTTGATTTCTATACAATGTGTTTGGCTATATCAAACCAACTCAGTTTACTTTTCATCAACTTTCATTTAAAATTTACTATCTGAGGCCATTATTTCCAGAATAAAAGATGAAAAAAGATCACATCAGTGGTTTACTTAAACAAAATGAGGAAAATTCTATTTTTTAAAATCCTGCCACAATAGCTGCATTTTTCAGAAAGTATGCATTTCAATCTTTAAAGATACTCAGTGATTTTCAGATTATGTGTACTGCAAGTATTCTGATATAGTTTTAGGCCCAAGAAAAATTTAGTCAACGGTATCTGTTCTAGTTCTTTTTAAATACTTATATTATGCCCATTTTAGAAAACGTACTGTTAGCCAAAGTGAGAAAACTTGACAATTCTCAGGTATTTCCTTGTAAAATGTGCCTATTGAAATTCGTCTGATATTTCTCAAGGTGAGTTGGTGAAGATATTGGATCATTTATACTGTCATCTGAGCCAACTGTTCTTCATCGGAGTTACTGTAACAAAATATTCCCTGAGTGTGTATCATTGAGATGAACATCTGTTAGCAAATACATCTATTTGACTTTGTGATTATTATTACGGGAGTACGTATGACACAGCCATTTGAGTAGGATAGTCTAGCCATTGGTAACACCAAATCCATCTCTCAGTAATTCTCCTTTTCAGAATAACTCTCAAACAAGATAATTTAATGTGGTTAGCTTTTTTCCAAAATGAAGAAAACAGATAGTGGATGTTTTTTCAGTTATTTAAGTATAAATTTGGGACCTTCCGCTCTACTTTTAACTTAGTAAAATTAGATATAATTACAGTAACTCCTCATCTCTTTTTGGAGAACAAGAAGTGCCTTTTTTCCAAAATGACATTGATTTATTATTTATGTCCAAATAATTAAATAACTGACAAATTAATTAGGATAACCCAGTACACATTCAATGAGAGCACTTTAATAATTTAAAATGCTGGTGTAATTACACAGGAAAGCATGCCTGATGTGTCCTGGCGAGCCCAATTTATGAATTTCTAAAGTGAAACCATTTTTTATAAATTGTTTTAGGGTCAACATGCAAAGAAAACACACAATCTGAATAAATCAGCATCCCCCCTAACACTCAGTATGGTAGTTTTATCTATTATCTCTGTAAGATCTTTTTCATTTCCATTACTTCACCTAAACACTTGCATGTTATTAGCTACTGAAAGGAAAACTGTTTCCTCTTTACTGCTGCTCTCAATACGTCACTTTTGCACTGTATGTATAGGTTGTGTTCGTTCTCTGCAGACATCGACTGTGTGTCCTGCAGTTTAATTCTGACGCCATTTACCAGGAGTTAGCACAGACCCTACAGTTAAAGGCTTAGTCCCACTTGAGGTGCCAGTTGCAACTGGTGGGCCCCCAGGTTACCCACAACTTGTGTCAGACTTGGATGGAAATTGGAAATTCCCACAACCCCTTTCTTATGTTTGATAATTTGTTAGAACGGCTCAGAACTCAGGAAAGTAGTGTACTTACTACTGCTAATTTGTTATGAAAGGATACAGGTCAGGATCAGTCAGATGGAAGAGACACATAGGGCAAGGTGTTGGGGAGGGCATTCCACACCCTCTCCAGGCAGCCACCCTCGCGCGGCACCTCTGTGTCCTCACCCAGCCTGCAGGCGCTCCAAACCCCTTCAGCTGGAGTTTTTAATGGAGGCATCACTACATAGACGTACTTGATTAAATAATTGGCCATTAGCGATTGACTCAATCTCCAGCCCCCTCCCCTCCTTGGAGGTCAAAGGTGGGACAGCAAGTTTCAACCCTTTAATCACAGGGATGGTTCCCTTGACAGCCAGCCACCTCTCCTCTTTCCTTAGGGGCTTTCTGGAAGTCATCTTATTGATGTAAACTCTTCTGTGATGGAAAGGGGCTTTATGAATAACAAAACGCCCTCCTTTCACTTTTATTGCTCTTATCACTTAGAGAATTCCAGGGGTTTTAGGAGCTGTGAGCCAGGAGCTGTGGAAGACAATCAAGCTATACATTTCTTACTATATCATAGTATCAAAACTACCAAATCTAAATTTCTAACTCTGGTGTCATCTGTTCACGGTCCCCTCTCCCTGAATGCCCTATAAGCACTTTGAAAGCTGTGATATAGACCAACACAAAGGGCCTCATTCTTCCCCAGAGTTTCTTGTTAAGATGAATGGCACTACCATATAACCAGACTCCCAAGTTCTAATTCTTTCATCTTCCTTCTCTGTATTCAAATAGCTACCAAGTCTTTTCACTTGTTCCTCATGAATAGCTGTTTGATTTCAAGCTCATCTACATTGCCGTTGGTTTTGTTATGATGCTATTTTTGTGCACTATTTTATTCCCAGCACCTAACATATAGTAGTCACTTAATAAATACTGGTAGTTTGGATGGATGGATGCACAACAGACAGAGGTTGCCATAGCCTCCTCAGTTGCACCTTTGCTTGTAGTCTTGCTCCAGCTCGTTCCTTTCCTTAAATAATGTATTCTTCATACTACTTCCAGTGTACTTTCTAATATCTAACATCGGATATGCTACTGCCCTCCACCTCCCCCCATAAGGAAGAGAGCTAGTTGAAAATTCTAGAAGGATCTTAGTCTCTTCAGGATAAAGTTGAGACTCCTCTGCATTGTGTTTAAGGGCCTTCCTGAGACCTTTCATCCTCCTGTTGACTAACCCGACTGTCATTTTGCATTCAGTCTATCCCAATTGCCGTCCCTTAAACATAGCAGGAACTGTAAACTGTTTTCCCGAGCTCTTGGCTCCCTTTGAATGTGCTTTCTTATTTTGTCCATGCCAACTCTGTTTACTATTTATAGCTTTAGATCATGGAGCCTTCTGGACCTAATCAAGCATAGTTAGCAGCATCTTCCATGTCCCTTTAACAAATTATACCCACCTCTATGTTTACTTACTTGTCCTTGTCCTCAGTAGACTGCGGGATCCTTTAGGGAATGAACTATGTCTTTGTTTTATCGTAGTATACCCAGTCTCACAGAACCTGACATTTTGGAGATACTAAGTAAATATGCGGAGGATGGACAACATGACCTTTGTCAACGCCAACTAATTCTGTGTCGTGCCATGTGTTATGTATACTTTTCAGCACACTTAGTGCAATAAAATTGAGTATCTTAAACAAGTTTTAGCAAACATAACATGGTCCACTTAGTGAACTAATAAGTATGAAAGACAATGCAATTTAATATAAAGATTATTATTCTGAGAGGCAAAATACAGTCAAGTATCCCTTAACAAAGGAGATACATCCTGAGAAATGCATCATTAGGCGATTTCATCATTGTGTGAACACCATAGAGTGTTCTTAGACAAACTTAGATGGTAGAGCCCACTACCGCCTAGGCTATATGCTTTTAGGTAACAAACCTGTACAGCATGTTACTGTACTGAATACTGTAGACAGTTGTAACACAATGGGGCATCTGTGTCTGTAAACGTGTCTAAACATAGAAAAGATACAGTAAAAATGTGGTATTAAAATCTTACGGCTCCACTGTCCTATATGTGGTCCATAGTGACCAAAATGTCATTATGTGGTATGTGGCTGTACTTGGTTTCTAACCTCCTTTCTCTTCAGAGTGACCATCTGTTGTGTTTTTATGCAGACTATTTAACCTTTCTGGGCCCGAATTTTCTTTTAACCTGCAAAATAGTGGTGATGATACATAGGTAGCAGGTTAGTCTAAATGACGTTCTTAACCTCTTTCCAACTTAAAAAGTCTGCAGCGGTTTGAGTATGTTTGTCAAAATTTGGTTTCCACTCTCACCCTAAAGATGGTTTTTGAAATAAAAAATTGTGTTTTCATCAAATAGAAACCTTTAATTGAAAAGTAAGTTACAGAATAAACAAATACATGTTTTAATGATGGTAGAAACAAGCTAAAAATGAGTAGTTGTGAGCCTTTTGAATTCTAAAACATCTTGAAAAATGTTTTACAAAATGAGATTTAAAAAATACAGACTTGCCATCCCTTAAGATGTGTAAACTAAAATTGCCTTAGGGATTCTAATCATACTATTCTCTAAATCATTTAATTATGATTGCATCAGCTCTCTATTCATAGGAAGTACTTATTCACTAATATCTCTTGATATCTCAATGTTGTGTAATCAATTCTAAGCATTTGAGGCTGAGCTGATGGCTTAATCACCTTTAAAGGTAAGTATGGTAGGGCATTTTAAATGTAGTCATACAAGCTCATAAGAATACAAAAACTCCTTTCTTCAGCAGATATTTTTTATTCTTTGATTATCTAACTATAAGATGTTTGTTGAACAGAGTGTGGAATCATCCTTAAATCATCTCCTGAGGCTTGGTAGTGCCTACTTAAGAGAGGCACTAGGTACCTTTTCAAAGTCACACAGTCTATTAGGGTAGAGCTAGAATTTAAAGCCCAGCGTTCTGGCTCTAGAGCCCATGCTCCAGCACCCTGTCAATGTATTCTAATGGAGAAGCTAACAAATAAATGGGAAAAAATATTTAATCTCTTTGGACATAAAAGTTATTATACAGAATTTTGAGCAAGTGATACTAAGGAATAATTGGTTTTACCAATCCTTCTGCAACTACTGCAGGATGTCTTATTTCCTCATAGGACAGCTACCTTTGGTTAACTTAATCCAGGTTTAAAGAGTCAAAGAGATAGTTTTGAATAGGAGCAGAAATATAAACCTCCTGTTGTACGAGCAGGCCTCCCTTGTCTGTGTGTTCTCCAGCTTCATGACTCACTAAGGCTGTGTAAGATGAAAGTTGTCTTGAAGAAAACACTGTTGCTACCATAAATGGTGCCCTCATCTGTACATGGGAATAGAGGGACCACTGTTTTCTCTTTGTGATAAGAATAAACTCTTCTGAAATTTTGATGACTAGGAACATCAATGAAGGCCTTTAAGGGAAACGAAATGTATTTTTTAGTATACATGTTGTTATTTAATGTGGATTTTATTTAAGGACTCAGTGAAGTCATCCTTCTCACTTTTTTGAGAAAGCTAGAGCTCACCTGAAGCTTTAATTGTGACTAGTTTGGGGATTTTTATAGAGACGGGAGTTGTACTGACGGCAAATTTCCCCAATGCAGTGACTACTCACATAATTTTTGACAGTTAACTAATCTCAAAACTGCTTCAATTATCTTGTTTTCCATAGTGAGAAATTTAATTAAAACAGAGTACAGATTGTGAAAAGGTTATTTATGAAAATGCATTTTAAATGTGAATTGAAAAGCCTAGGGACACCTTTTTATTTTAGATAAAAAGATGAAGGTTCTATAATTTTTCATATTCATTTTACCAGAAGCCAGGGTAAGAGCAGTAGGCAATTTATTTGAAATGTCTTATCAGGAGCTTCACAAATCAATCTTTTGCCTAAATTGCTTGAAAGGTTGACTTATTTTAGGAATGTAAGACTTTAGGAAATAAGTTCAGATTTAAAATATATGAGTATGGAAGTTTTTTTTTTGGTTTTTGGTTTTTTTTCTTCCTACGTTAAAACAACAACAAAACACCTTATCAAGGAAGTGGAAAGCTCTAAAATGAAAATGTCATTAAGGCATGGAAAGCAAGTTGTGCTGTCATAATTAGGCTTGCCCGTCCAAGTTAGTTGAGCTATAATGGTTTTATGTGAGCTGATGTGACAGATGTAACATATCCCTCAGGTGATTTAGGGCTGAGGCAGGGAAAGGAACTTGTGAACCACTGGATTATTCCTTTGTTATAATGGACTATCTGCAAGAACCTGCCATGTTTGTTTTACAGTTTTCAACCAGCATTCATAGAACACGGTCTCTGCCTTTAAGTAGATAAGAGTCTAAGAAGGAACATAATGTTGGGGAGGAAAAGTAATTTTCTGTCTACCCTCTGAGTTCTTAGCTGGAATGTACCCAAAGGAAAAAAGTTTTTTGACATGCATATTTTATATATATGGGAGAGATACCCAGGGAATTAGTAAATCTCAAAGAGGGGGCTTCGAACTCTGGTTATATAGCATCTTCCATAAGGAACAGTAAATTTTTGCAGAAATGACTAGATAGTCTCTAGGGAGAGCAAATTCTGGAAAGGCAAATAAATGGAAGTTTGTTATGTAGATTCCTCTGTTGCCATCTCAGGCTAATAAGGGTCCAAAGTTATCTTGGTGGGCCTCGGTGTCTCACTCCTGTAATCCCAGCACTTTGGGAGGCCGGAGTTGGAGGTTTGCTTGAGGCCAGGAGTTCAAGACCAGGCTGGGCAGCATATTGAGACCCCGTCTCTGCAAAATTAAAATAAATTTAAGAAAATAAACTTGTGTTCAGTGATCAACCTTGGTCCCTCCTGGTAGATAGGGGAGGAGGGAAACCTTTGCCTTTATAAATTTATGTCTTGCTTTGATGCAGATATAAGAGGGCAGAGAGGGCAGAGAGCTTTTTAAATCTGCTGATTCTCAATTAGCTTCAGCTCAAAATAATCTTTATGCTAAAGTGGCATATTTTGGGTTGGCATGCCTGATCTCCTGGAGTAGTTGTCACCCCCACTTTGAATTCTTTCATATTTACTTGTTTATTTTAGGTGGTCAATCTGTTATTTGGATCCACAAGTATACATCTTATTTAAGGTACTTATCTTAGAGTAATGTAAGTACTTTTATTTTTCTTATTACTCTCCATTATACTTTAAGTTGTTAGTGGTAGGTAGGAGCTATGTCTTTTGATCTACAGGACCCAGTATATTTTGGTTGAGACAGGGTCTTGTTCTGTCACCCAGGCTGGAGTGCAGTGGTACAGTTAGAACTCACTGCAGTCTCAACATCCTGGACTCAAGCGATCCTCCTGCCTCACCATTCTGAGTAGCTGGCACCACATGTGTGTGCCACTTTGCCCGGCTAATTTTTTTATTTTTTATAGAGACAGGGTCTCACTTTGTTACCCAGAATGGTCTCAGACTCCTGGCCTCAAGCAACCCTCCTGCCTCGGCTTCCACAAGTGCTGGGATTACAGGTGTGAGCCACTGTGCCCAGCCTGGATTTCCTGATGCAGAGACGAAACACAGTTAACCTTGAGAATTAGAACACCTATAATTGACTTATGTACAAAGAATAGGGAGGAACAAACAGGAAAGTACAACTGCTTGATGGAATGTGGTAAGACTTTAGAGGAGACAACATTTAAACCAAACAGGAAGGGAATGAGTAGCACTCAGGTAGGAGGAACCAAGAGGACTCTGCGCAGACTCGATGTGATATTTAAAGGCATGGACACAGGGAGGATCTTAGTGTGCTGCAGTCAGCCAGAAGAATTTTGGTGATGTCCATTATTGATGAGGTTTATTGTCATCTTTATACATTTTTATTCTATTCATTTTGTTTATAGGTAGAATAGAGCATGAGGTACATAACAGGATGTGGAATAAGGACTATAGTGGTTAAAAGTAAATAAAATTAAAAAGCAATTTTAAAATAGAACTACATTGTTGGGTTGGGTGACAGAAGTGGAAGGCCAGTTGGCCATCTCGATATGTTCTTATAGTGTGGCATTATCCTGGAGGGTTCACTACAGTACAGGGTCTGGCCCTCAATTTTATAGGGCCAGACAGTATATCATAGGGGTTAAAAGCAAAGTTGGGAGCCAAACTGACTTTCGAATCCTTGCCCTGTCTTTAATTGCTATGTGACCTTACTCAAATTGCTCAACTGTTCTGTGCCTCAGTTCCTAATTCAAAGCTGGAAATACTAGGGCTTATCACATGAGATTGTTAAGTTATAAAGATGAGGTAAGTTGCCATGTGGAAAGTACTTGATACCTGACACATTAAAGGTGATAAATAATTTGTTTTTGGCTCAAAAATCTAATTCTTCAGTTTACCAATGTAGCTCAATCTTTCAGAGCATACTCTTGCTGTATATTGGACATTAATATATAAAAATTGTAATATCCAGTACTATTCACATGTGCTAGAATGACTAAAATTAAAAAGGTATTTTGAATTGTGGACTGGGATGTGGCACAATAGGAACTCTGATGCACTGCTGTGGGAATGTACACTGCTCCAGCCACTTTGGAAAAATGTCTGACACATTTGGCTGTCTGTTATGAGCACAGGCCTCCCCAGGACCTAGCAGTGGGTAATTCCTCAGCAGAGATGCACACTTAGATGCACTGGAAGACGTGTGTAAGAATCCTGTAGGCAAAACCTAAAAGAAGCAAAATGTCTATCAATAGTAGAATGGATGAACAAATTATAGTATAATCATTCAGTATTTTAAAGCAGTAAGAATAAACCAATTGTTGCTACACACAGCATTGATGAATCTCACAAACATAATACTTAATGAAAGAAGAATGGCACAGAATAGTAGATATTCTGATTTCATTTATATAAAGCTCAAAGCCGGCAAAACTCATTGATGGTGCTGAGAGTCAGGATGGTGGTTACTTTTGGGGCAAGACGGTGATTCAGAGGGAACAAAGGCAGCTTCTGGCAACTGTTGATGTCCCATTTCTTGATCTGAGCATTGGTTACTTTTTTACTCCTGCTGTGTGGCTTGGTTGTATTCACTTGGTGAGAATTCACTAAGCTGTGTACTTAGGATTCGTACCTTTTTATGACTTATTTTATGCTTGAATAAAAAGTTTAAAAATATGACCAATTTGTGAATTAAGAGAATTGATTAGACTAAATAGACCAGATGCTCTCATTTATAACAGAATAACACATCTTCCTTCAAGCAGATCTGTTATTAGACTATGCGATAATCTGAAGGTTACTCAGTAAGTCTAAAAGCAGATCAGAGAATAATCTTAATGCAAATATTTTAAAACTCTGATAGCTTGTTCTTAACATTTTCCCTGTATAGAAGCCTCTGCACTGTGAATTACATGTGCCTTCTGGTGGGCCAGTAGCCATTTCCCCTTCACAGTGGGACTAAAGACACTTGGCATCTCTCATCTGGCACATCATTCCAAGAGGGGCTGTTGTTCTCAAGGAAGAGCACTTGGAAGAATGAATGAATCCATATAAATCCATGACTGATTGAACGCTCACCCTGTGCCAGGCACTGGGAACACAGTGGTCGACAGGCAGATGAAGCCCTTGTTCTTGTGGAGACTCCATTTCTATTGGAAGACATGGACAATAAATAATACATATTGGGTATTGATGAAAGTCAGCTTCCAGACTCTTGCTGAGCATGACTACAAAAGGTGAAAGAAACAGTCAACAAATAAACCAAAAAATCTTTGAAGGCGTGAAAGCTAAAATGGTTAAAAAAATAATAATAACTGGGCCAACAGCTTGGGGGAAAATGAAAATGAAAGGCAATTTTCCTCTGAATCACAGAGAATGAAAAATGACTCATGTGACTATTTCCTCAACTGTCCTAAGAATGGTACATAGCTAGTATCATTCTAGATACAAAGGAAAGACATTAATTCATGTTATACACAGTGGATGTCTTAGGACATCAGGTTTCATTCTCTGGTGGAACCCTGGTGAGAAAGACTGCAATGAGCTTCTGCCAATTTCTAAAGAAGGTAGGTGAGAATGTGAACTGAGTCTTAAAAGAAATCTAGAGCCCAGAGAAGTTTTAAAAAATGGGCCTTAAGGGTCCACCCAGCTTAGGTGAAGGGACTGATAAATCCCCTTGGCTGTGGAATGGATCCCAGAGAAGCTATACTTCCAGAGAATGCACTGATGGTCAGCTTCCAATCATAGCAGTCCTTTGTGGGACTAAGGTTAACCTAGACTTACTAATTCCCCTATCCTGGAGAAATATAGCAACATAGTCCTGAAATTATTTTTTTCATGTGTAATTGCTGATATTCAATAAAAAAAATTACAGACATACAAGAAGGTACTATAATAAACTAAGGAAAAGTACAGAAGCAGACACAGTGGATTCAGATAGCAAACATTATACTCAATTATAATAAAGGAATTAAAAAATAAATGTGATGATTTAAACAGAACTGGAATGTATAGAAAAATAGACATTTTGTAACTGAAAAGAACTAAATGGATGGGTTCAGTAGCAGATTAGACAGAGCTGGAGAAAGAACTAGTACGCTGGAAGTTAGATCAGCGAAGCGTGAAGAGAAGAGACTGGACCACATGGAAAGGACCCTGAGCACAAAGTCTCTCATGTCCACCTTGCTCATTTAAGGCCCAGAGGTTCCACATGGTCTCGTCCCTGCACCTCTCTCCCAGCTCACTTCACTTTTACTTCTTGTCTTACTCTATTCCTGCTGCTATAATAAAATTATAATATTAATAAACTATAATAATTAGATGTAATTAGATATTTTAGATGGATAATTTATAAAAGAAATGTATTCTCACATTTTTGGAGGCTGTGCAGTCCAAGATCAAGACACCTACAGATTAAGTGGTCAAGACTTGCTCTCTGATTCATAGATGGTGCCTCTTGCAGTGTCCCCACAGGGCAGAAGGGCAAAATGGATGGCAGGGACTGGAGGGCCAGGCAGCTCTCTGAAGCCTGTCACGAAGGCATTAAACCAGTTCACGAGAGCCTGCATGTCTTAAGCACTTCGCAAGAGGCCCAACTTCTTAATTCCACCACAATGGACATTAAGTTTCAACATAAATGTTGGAAGTATACAAACATGCAAACCACAGCACCCCTCTACCTCATGGCCTTTATGCTTGCTGTTCATTCTATCTGAAATTCTCTCCCCCCTAGTCCCCTAAAATCCATGTGACCAGCTCCCTCACGGCTTTCACATTTGTATTCAAAGTCTTGTCTGTAAGGATTTCCCTGGCCATAGTGTCTAAAATCTCAAACCTCCCCAACACTCTCATTATCTTATATACCATATATTTTGCTTGGTTTTGTTTCTCTGCTTCCCCATGAGGACAAAGATACTTGTTTTGTTTTGTTTGTGTTGAATGCTATGTCCCCGGTGCTCAGCACAGTGCCTGACACCTAGTTGGCATTCAACAACATCTGCTTCCCAGGATAGATGGAAAGATGTCCATAAAAATCTGTAGCATGATGCAAGGTTAATATGGACCCAATGAAATTTAGTTATTCCTCCTTTTTCCTATCTTTGTGGAATTTCTGGTTTAATTTCATTTTCTTTAATTTTTTAATTTACAGTTAGTTTTCCCTTCACTTGTTTGTAGGATTTCTGACTTAACTTCATTGTTATTTTGTTTTTCTTTCAGTGTATTTTTCAGCACCTTGACAAATTAAACAAATGAAATTCTACCTCAGTTGGATATGAACTAAGAGAAGAGATCCTATGAATGATTGACACAGACATATTTTAAAAGGCTGTATTCAGATGTGGATAGAATAGCAGCTAATCTTTGTCAGTCATTACCTAAAAACCAAAGTAGTTAATACAAGTGATTGCAGGATGGAAATGTAGACATCACATTTTAGAGAAAGTTTTAAGAATTCATCATATTCTATAAAAGTCAAATACCTTGGATAGCTTTGATTTTTCTCTGATCTGACAGCTTGAGAGTGTTAAAAGGAATAGGTCTTCAGCTAAAACAAAACTACCTTTATTAGGTATGAACTATGCCAAACAATTTTCATAAATATTTTTTGGCTAATCTTCCCACAACCACTGGTAACAACCAGGAGGTATATTATGATTACCATTTTGCAAATTTTAAAATTGGGATTCAGAGAGATTAGTGACTTCCCCAAAGCCACACAGCTAGTAAGTGGCAGAGCTGGAATTTGAACATAGTCATCAGACTCCAAAGACTGATGCAAGGAAGTTGTATTAGTGTAGAAGTCACATAATATTTTCCTCACAGCCCTAAAATAAACAACTGGGCATGTGATTTAATTCTTAAATGATGACTTATTTAAATGATATGAGAAAGATTCTTATTTAGAATCATTGTTAATATGGTAATTTTTATCTTTAGTTGGCTTTGTGATATGCTCATAGTCTAATGAGTCTCAGAGGTGACACTGCATCGACCCGGATACTATTACCTAGAACCCCAGTGAAAACTGAATTTCTGAAAAGACTGTTTTCAGTTAATATTTGTTTTTTAAACTCAAATTATAAGACTAAGCTTTTAACGTTGCGTTTTATATGAAAACTTTTTACGTGT
This sequence comes from Homo sapiens, assembly GCF_000001405.40. Classification (NCBI taxonomy): domain Eukaryota; kingdom Metazoa; phylum Chordata; class Mammalia; order Primates; family Hominidae; genus Homo; species Homo sapiens. The sequence continues at coordinate 135,598,851 of NC_000008.11, forward strand.
TGAAGTGACCAGTTATTATCGCAATTAAAGTTAGATGTCAGATAGCATAATTACAGTCTTTTAAAATGACTCAAAACTGAAACAGTATTTTAAAAATCACTCTTTTGTAAATTCATCTGTTCACTTAAAATGATTTTTCCTGAGTTTAAATGTGAGTTTACTTGTAACAGAAATAGAATTAAATAGGTCATACTGTTTCCTTTATCCTGGAAAATCTCTTCTTTTTAAAGCAAGATTTCTCTGTTGTTTGGCCACGTGTCGGTTTGAGTTTTATAGGTCGGGAATGACAAATGAAGAATCTCCACCTGTGTAAGAACACATCTTCCCTTCCTGTAGCCTGGCATCCGCCAAGCAGACAGCTCACCCCTGCCAGCTCGGTGCTGTTTCGAAGCTAAAAAGTCAGACTTGATGAATAAGCAAGTCTTTTTAATGAGGCAAACATTATTTATGTTTATAATAACTAATTTCTCATCCATGTTTGTTCAGTTTTTAATAATGTTCTGATATCAAAAGTAGAATACAGAGTTCCACAGGCAGTTTTCTGCTGAGGGCAGGGAATCTAAGACTGATACTTAATGTTTGACAGAAAATGATATAGGTGAGTTCTTGTCATCAAATTTTACAGTATTGTAATACAGACTGCATTTTATTATACAGTATTTCCTCAAGTTGCATTCTTCTCAAAGAAGCACTTAACTACATTTCCTGCCACTTGTCATTAATTAGTTCTTTTCATCATTTATTCAACAAACATGACCACATGCCTCCTATGTGCTAGACACTGGGAATACAAGAGAAAGGGCCTGCTTTTTACCCTTAAGGACCTTACAGACTAGTGAGAGGAGAGGAGGCAAAGAAATAATTACAGAAGCTATGAATATACAAGTTATTGGTTATCATGGACGCAGGAAGGAGAGAGGGATAATTCAGCCTGGAGTCTTCTTGTTGGCTCACCAAAAAGGTGATGTCAGAGGAAACAGCCTGTGCGGAGGAATTGCGGGTGAAATGACACAGCTGCTGCAGGGCCGTCACGCAGGTGCTGAAGCACACAGCACCAAGCAGCAGTGGCAGGCACCTCCCTCACAGCACCAGGCAGCAGTGGCAGGCACCTCCCTCACAGCACCAGGCAGCAGTGGCAGGCACCTCCCTCACAGCACCAGGCAGCAGTGGCAGGCACCTCCCTCACAGCACCAGGCAGCAGTGGCAGGCACCTCTCTCACAGCACCAGGCAGCAGTGGCAGGCACCTCCCTGGGTGAGTTGCTGAGGGCAGAACTGTGAGAGGCTTAGGAATTTGTTCTTTATCTTGTATCTTTATTTATTGGTTAATCTTCCCCTATTGTTCTCAGGACAGAGGAGTGCAGAGTGGAGATTTTAAGCAGGGAGGGAAGGGGTACAAGTGAGGATTTGCATTCTAGGTGTATAATTTTTGGAGGAATGTTTAGATAAGGAAGCATTAGAAATCCAGGATCAGTTACGGTCTCTGACTAGTCCAGTTGAAGAATTCTGAATGATTCTGATGAATCTAATAATTCTGAATGAAATGATTCACATTAGGAATGTAGAGGAAGCGGGGATGGGTGTGAGATAGATTTAGGGAGATTAAAAATAGCCTCATTGGCTAGTTAGATGACAATGGGATGGTAAAGCAGAAAGCACTGATTTTTCTCCAGATGTTAATGCCTTCCTAGGTGTGTGTGGACTGATGGATTCTCACCACAGTATTAGAGACCTCTTGTATCTCCTGCACTGCCTTGCTCACAAGTGCACGGTCTGATTTTTAAAGTGCAAGAAAAGGGATAAAACATCTTTGCAGTACATTTTGACAACATAGGGATGCGTTATATATGTATTTGAGATAAGGTCCTCCTCTGTCATCCAGACTGGAATGCAGTGGCCTGGTCTTGGCCCTGCACAGCCTTGGTCTGCAGCCTCCGCCTCCCGGGTTCAAGCAGTCCTTCCAACACAGCCTCTCGAGTAGCTGGGAATACAGGTGCCCACCACCATGCCTGGCTAAGTTTTGTATTTTTTTAGTAGAGACCAGATTTCTCCGTGTTGCCTAGGCTGGGTCTCAAACTCCTGGGCTCAAAACAGTCTGCCCACCTCAGCCTTCCAAAGTGCTAGGATTAGTAAAGGAGCTTTATTTAGCTTCTTCCAAAGGAAATTCCTTAGGTTGCTTGTGACTTTATACTGCCAGGTTTCCTCACTTTTGATCATCTGATGAATGGCTAGAGGCTCTGGAGATACATGAACCAGCTGAGGAAAATTCAGGAAAGAGGTGAGAGGACTAAACAGAGAAGGATTTGGCCTGCTTTGCCTCTAGAGGCATTCAGTCCAGCAATGTAATGAACATCTTTTAAGTCCTCATTATGTTCCAGGCACTGTTGCTACTCTGTGCCTGGTGTGATAGTGTGAAAGAATGAATAAGACACAATCCATATTCAGAAAGGTAGGTGAAGCAAAAAGCAAGGCATATTGTATGCAGCCCAGTAATGGAAGTACATATATTAGGTCCATTGTTGGCATAACAAAGGTGTCATGGACGGTTTTCATGGGACTCAGAAGTTATAACAGAATTGGAAGCTCTCATTTGAGCTTCACCTTGAAAAATTCACTAGACAGAGCAGGCCAGAGACTTGCAGGAAACAGCACATGAACTAGAAATAGTCATTGCATGGGAGGCACAGGACACATTGCAGAAAAATGAGTCTGACATGTAGACTGGGGCTTGTCACAATGGGGTCCTCTAGGAGCAAATATGGAAATGTGAAAAATTACCCAAAAATTTCAAATATAAAGTAAACCTTTCAGCATATCTGAGCAGTGCCAGCACTGAAGTGTAGTGAGTTCCTCATCCCAGGTCTTGGCAAGCTTTTTAAGAGTAGATTCTAAGCTTAGATGTTTGCTTGATCTAAATCTTTGACATCCCCTTCTATACTTTGATTCCACTCAATTATCTGTTGCGTTATAGCAAATAATACATTCACTATTTTTTAAATTTCTATCTTAGCCTCAGAAACATCTACTGAAGAATTTTATAATATAAAACTATGTAAATGAGAAAAAACGAGCAACCAGTGATTCAGAACACTAGAAGATAAGAGCATGAGGGAAAAAAGGGAGGCCTGCTAAACGCTCAGATCACCCAGTCCTCAGATAAAAAAATCTTAAGGTTTGGAGGCTCTTACTCAGCTCCACTACTCTCTCCTTTTCCTCGTTTTAATCATTTGCTGAGTCATTTGTTTATTGGTTAATCCCCCTTCACTGTTGTTCTCAGCCAGTGACCTCATCCCCTACCTTGTGATAAAAATAGTAGATGTTCAACAAGAATTCCCTGTGCTCCCTACCTGGAACCTTAGACACTGATTTGCAGTCACACTCAGCTTTTCCTCCTTTTCTCCTATTGCACCCTGCTTCATGCTTCCCTATATGTTTCAAGCGTTGTCCACTGAACAAATAATACTCGTCATAATGGAAGTACAAAATATTCACCACCATGGCCAAATCGAACTGTGAAATTGAAATCCTCCTGAATGAAATCTTGTGAAAATTGCAAATTTAATCTCTTAAAATCTTCAGTATAAAAATATCGAAGTCAATAACTCAAAGACCTAAACAATTTGAAAATTCAGATAAATTGCTAGTATTGTAATATCTGACAGAATAATTGAGTAAGGAATGAGTGTCATAACTGTAGGGTTAAAACAGTATACTGCTTAATATTTTAGTTTTTTTTTTATAATTCTAGTCATTTACAATCTTGATTCTTCAAATAAGCACAGAAATAGAATTCTTTGAAGAAGCATATTCTTTTCAAGCTAACATTACTAAAGTAACCATGATCTTTGCATTTTGCCCAACTGTGTGCACGATACAGTGACCTGGTTGCAAGTCTCAACTTCATCTTCACCCTTTCTGTTTCGTGCCCTCACACCAAGAGATATTTCATAAACACAACATGAATGATGTCATCCAAATTTAAATCCTTATTCCTTAACTTGGTCCTTCATGAGCTAGTGTATAATTTTCTGGGTCTCCTCTTCCATTTGCACCATACAGAGGAACCATAACAAGCTATTTGATTCCTTGAATGAGCTTAGTTCTTGTCTTCCTGTACCTCCATTGTTTTTCACCTGCTGTTCATTCTGCCTAATTTTAATTTTTAATGACTATTTTAATGGAAACTTCTACTTTCTGTGCTTTGAAGCTAATTTCTAGCATTGATACACCTGGGAAATTTTCTTCCACTTTTCTCTTTCCTAACTGGGCTGGTCCATCCCACCTCAGTGCTTACCCTTGACATGGCAATTGACTTGTAGAATTATAGTTGTCTCTTTAGTTGTCTGTCAGCTGTCTCCCACTACACCTCATGTCATCCTACTTACTAGACTCCTTTCCAACCATGGTGTCTAGCAGAGTGCCAGAAATGGCATAGGTGCTAAGTGATGAAGATTTAATTTAATAGGAATTTTCCTTCCATTAGGAGCCTCCAGCTTCTTTTAATTCATAAGAATTATTTGTAATGTCTGCATTTTGCTACTTACCTGATAACCAAAATCATCTCAAAGTATTTGTTTGTTGTCTGATAGCTTTCTCTCCCTTGATTGACTATTGGAAGATCATACTCAAATTAGTAATCTGCCTTCAGCTACTATGAAGAACACTGTGGCTTGCAAATTGTGTTATAGTCATATTCATGACTTCTGTTATTCCTCTGCCCCCATTTAATGACTATCATTTTATATTATACATTCTCATCAAAGTACAAAACATATAGCTCTTTGACAAATATTCAGTTGCTCTTTTCTAAAAAAATTTTTTTAAATATTAGTGATCATATATAAATTATGTCTTACTCCTACAAAGACAGCACCATCCCTTCATATTAATATTTATTTTACAAAGTTGAAAGCTTTATAGTAGCACACTATTTTGATTACTGTAGCTTTATAGTAAATTCTGACTTGGGAAGACTTACGGTCTATCCTGAAGAATGTTTCATGCGCAGTGGAGAAGAATGTGTATTCGGTTCTTTTTGAGTAGTGTGCTCTATAGATGTCGATTAGGTGTAATTGATTTGTATTGTTGTTCAAATGTTTTTTTTTTCTTTTTTGACCTTCTTTCTAGGTATTCTACTTATTACTGAAAGTGTGTTGATGAAGTACCCAACTATTATTGTTGAATTGTCTATTTCTCCCTTTAATTCTGGTAGTTTTGCTTCATGTATTTTGAAGCTCTATTGTTACATATATTTTTTATATATGCATACATGTTCATAATTATTTTACCTTCTTGATGGATTGATCTTTTTATCATTTTTTAAAATGTCATTTTTCTCTAATAATTTTTGTCTTAAAGTCTCTTTTGCCTAATGTTAGTATTATAGCTACTCTAGTACTCTTTTAGTTACTATTTTCATGGAATATCTTCTTCCATACTTTTCCTTTCAACCTGTTTTTATGTTTGAACTAAAGTGTGTCTCTTGTAGACAGCATGTGGTTGGATCATTTTTCCCATAATGCTAATTTCTTCCTTTTAATAGGTGTGTTTAATCCATTTACACTTAATGTAATTACTGATAATGTAGGATTTATGCCTGCCATCTTGCCATTTGTTTTCTACATATTTTAGGTCTTTTTTGTACCTTACTTCCTTCTTTTGTGTTAAATGTTTTTTTTTTCACTGCACTGCTTTATTTGTTGTTTCTTTTTCTACATTTTTATTTTTAAATTACTTATATTGCTTTCTCAGAATTAAACCAACACAAAAATGCTTTTTAATAGCTCCATTCTCTCCACTCATTTTTGTCTTATTACTGTCATACAAATTACATCTTTGTACATTGCATACCCATCAACATAGATTTATAATTATTTCTTTGTGTATTTGTCCTTTAAATCAGATAGAAGGAAAAGAGTTACAAATAAAAAAAAAGCTTATACTATCTTTTATATTTACCTAAGGATTTACCAGTGTTCTTTGTTTTTTTTAATGTGGATTCAAATGACCTTTGTCTTAACTTCTCCTTCATTTTTGAAGGATAGTTTTGCTGGATGGAGAAATTTTAGTTGACAGTCTTTTTTTTTTTCTTAAGAACTTGTTAATATGGCTTCCTATTGTCTTCTGGCCTTTATAGTTTTTGTTAGAAATCAGCTGCTAATATTATAAAAATCTCTTGCATGTGATAAGTTGCTTCTCTCATTCTACTTTCAAGATTCTGTCTTTGTCTTTCAGCAGTTTGACAATAACCATGTCTACATTTGAGTCTCTGAGTTTATCCTTTTTGGAGATTATTGAGCTTCTTGGATGTGTAGATTACAGTTTTTCATTAAATTTTGGAAGTTTTCAGCCATCGTTTCTCAAAATAATCTCTATTCCTTTCTATTTTTTCCTTTGGGTCTGTCAGTATTTATATGCTCATGTATTTTCATACATTTGATGCTGTCCCATAGGTCTCTGATACTCTGTTCATTCATCTTTTTTTCTCTTCCTCAGACTGGATTTTCTCCACTCATCCATCTTCAAGTTGACTGAGTTTTTTCTTCATCCTAGTTCTATCTGCTGATGAGCTTCTCAAATGAATATTTTACTTTAGTTATTATACTTCGCAACTTAAGAATTTATTTTGGTTCTTTTTTATGTTTTCTATATCTATATTAATATTCTTTGTTTGATGAGACACTGTTCTTATACTTTAGTTGGTTAGAAAGGGTATTGTTTGATTCCTTGACTACACAACTATCCCCTGTGTATACCAAAATCCACACATAATCAAGTTTCATAATCAGCCCTGCAGAACATACATATTTGAAAAGTTGGTTCTCCATATATATGAGTTTCACATTCTATGAATACTGTATTTTTTTAGTTGAAAAAAATCTGCAGTAAGTGAACCCACACAATTCAAATATGTGTTGTTCAAGTGTCAACTGTATTGAAAATAACCAAATTAAAGTCTTTGTCTAGTAAGTCCAATGTCTCAGCTTCCTCAAGGACTGTTTCTATTGACTGCTTTTTTTCTTGTGTAGGGACATACTTTTGTGAGTTTTTTTGCGTGTCTCAGTTTTTTGTTGTTGTTGTTTAAAACTGAACATTTAATGTGTAAACTCTGGAAATCAATTTTTTCCATGGTTTCTTGTTTTTGTTGTTTAGTGACTTTTCTAAACTAATCTTATAAAGTCTCTATTTCTTGTGCATTGCTATTGAAGTCTCCTCTGTGTTAGTTTACTAGTCAGCTAATGATTGGGCAGAGATTTTAGTAAATGCCTAGAAACTTTCTAATCTTTGCCAAGGGCCTCTGGGTGCCTATTGGGACTCATGCTTAACCTCAAGGTCAACCAGAAGAGAGAGCTCAGAGCCCTCTCAGGTCTTTTCTGGGCATGGATATGGCACTGTGCATGGTCCCGGCCTTCTAGATTGCCAGGAATAATTCAGAGCTTTACAAGACCTGTTTTGGACACCTCATTCCCCACTTTTCTTTTGAAGATTTTTGATTAGCCCATTGTTTGTTCAGTTTTTCTTCACTACCTCAGGCAGCAGAAATGTCAAACAATTGCCTTTAAGTATTTTCTTCAGATACCCTGAGGAAAAAGGCATTTTGCAAGGGGTGAAGTCTGAGTCAGGTCAAATGAAGACAGTTCTCTAGGAATGGCGTTTTGTCAGAACTCCAGCCTTATTCTGCCCCCTCCAGCAGCATCCAGACTCCTGGTGATTGTGGCTGTTGGTTTTCAAGGTTCCTTCAGAGCTGGGGAGTGGGGCATGGGAATAAGACAAGTTAGAATAGCGCAAAGCTCACTGTTCTTACCAGGATTCAGCCATTTAAAAAAAAGAAAAAAGACAATGTTTTCTAGAGCTCTGCAATCTTTTGGTTAATTTCCAGGGTTCTGAAAATGGTGATTCTGACCATTTTTACCAATTGCTCTTTGCTTTTGTAGAGAGAATGTGTGGAAGTTCTTCACCATTTTCACTCCTATATTTTTCTTTACACTATAAGTAGACATATAATTAAATGCTAGCTGAATTAATGGAAATTCACTAAAAGCAGAATGCTTCTTTCTTTTTAGAAACTTCTCTGAATGTTTTTGTACTTCTCCTGTTATGTTTTAGGACTATGATGATGGATATGGCACTGCTTATGATGAACAGAGTTATGATTCCTATGATAACAGCTATAGCACCCCAGCCCAAAGGTAAGAGTCAGTCTTTATTACCAGACCCCACAACAGAAACCATCCCCTTCCACATTCATATATTCTGGGAAAAGTATGGCAGTCAGCTAGAGAGGGTAATTGGCTTGCCCTGTTTTTGTATTTGTTTAAATGGAGAAGCCCTGTCTGTTCTAGCAACCAGCATGTATTACCCTACCCAAGTTTACTATAATGTTAAAGAAATCAGGGAAATAAAAACTGAAATTTTAGTCTAAAAATTCAACTTAAATGTTCAGTATATTTTGAGAAGGAACAATGGCCTCAAAGTCTGTGACTATTTAGTCTTAAGGCCCAAAATTACATTGGAAATGTGTAAGTATCCTACATTGTCAGTGCCTGGAGAAGAAAGTGTCAAAAGTTTTGTTTCCTATTCATAGAACATTTCAATTTCTAAGTAGCAGCCTCTCCTGTTTTCTATCAACTTCAAACTCCTACCTGTGAATAATGACTTAGTTGTGATTTATTTTCCAAAGAAATATTTACCCACAAATAATTAAATGTTACCAGAGGCAAAACAGAGCTTCATACTTACCTCTTCTGATAATATTACCTTGATGTTCATTGATACATGAACTTAGTGTTTCTTATGTTGAGAATGTTTTCCTAAATATGTGGAAACCTTTTGTTTTATGTTTAAAATTCTAAGTGGAAGACAAAGGTAGATATACACATAAAACAAAATATTGGCTTTGTAGTGATTCTGAAGCATAAGAAAATATGGACTATGAGGTGATTTTGATGAAACACAAATTCACTTTTGAACTCGTCCAGTGCCAGTCAAGCTTTGCACACATAGGTTCTCTTTATTTGTTAACTCTGGTACTGAGGTAGATAGGGATATAAAAAAAACTCTTTGTTTTTGCTCATACCAAATTTTATTCTTCTATAACTTGTAAGTTTTGAGTAGCCTTCAAACTTTGACTCTCAACTGGTCTTTGTTGGTGGAAGCCTGTATATCGTGTTTGTGCCCTTTGGTGTGTTGAGGGTAGACCTAACACTTACGGAGCCCAGTGACTGGCATGTGGTGAATGCTTGATAAGACTTTGTATACACCGTCTCATTTAGGTATCCCAGCAACTTTATGAAGTATATGCCATTGTTTTCATTGTATACATGAAGAAAAGGAGCACAAAATTAAGTAATTTGCCAGAAATTGCACAGAAAGTGAAAAGATGAAATTCTAAGTCAGATATTCTAACTCAAAGATATGTACCCTTTATAAATAAGTCCTTCTCAGATTTTGTTTAAAAACATAAATATCCACAAATATTTCAGTATGTAGTCTAAATATCCTAGCAAAGCAAGTCTCCCATCCCCACAGCATTTGCTGAGTGCATACTATATTCCTGGCACTGTTTCCATAAGTTCTGTAAGGCCTTACAGTGTAGGTTGTCTGAACACATCAATCCTGACAACAGTACTATAAAGCTGATGGTATTGCTGTAGATGAGGAGATCACATAACCAAGAGATTCTGGCACTTGCTTGTGACCGAACAGCTGATAAAATGGTAACAGGTGTGTGACTGTCAAGTGCATATTCTTAATCCTGGTACATTTGTGTGAGAGGCTCACTGCACATTTCTGTTAGTTCTGTTCCCGTATCTGTTATGGGATGTATATACAGTTATGTGTCATTTAACGACTGGGATATGATCTGAGAAATGTGTCCTTAGGCAATTTTGTCATTGTGTGAACATCATAGAGTGTACTTACACACCTACATGATACAGCCTGCTACACATCTGGGCTGTATGGTCTACCTGAACAGCATGTTACTATACTGAATACTGCAGGCAGTGGACACACAATGGTATTTCTGTATCTAAACATGTATAAACAGAAAAACTTCAGTAAAAATGTGGTATAAAAGATAAAAAGTGGTATACCCATACAGGTCACTTACCATGAATGCAGCTCGAAGGACTGGAAGTTGCTCTTGGGTGAGTCAGTGAGTGAGTGGTGAGTGAATGTGAAGGCCTAGGACATTACCGCGCACCACTGCAGGCTTTATAAACACTAAACGCTTAGGCTACACTCAATTTATTAAAAAGCCTTCTTCTTTCTTCAATAGTAAATTAACCTTAGCCCTCTGTAACTTCTTTACGTTATAAACTTGTAGTTTTTATTAATTTTTGACTCTTGTAATAATACTTAGCTTAAAACACAAATACATTGTACAGCTGTACAAATACATTTCTTCATATCCTTATTCTATATACTTTTATCTATTTTAATTTTTTTTTTTTTTACTTTGTAAATTTTTTTTTCCCCTCTGTCACCCAGGCTGGAATGCAGTGGCGTGATCTCAGCTCACTGCAACCTCCTCCTTCCAGGTTTAAGGAATTCTTGTGCCTCAACCTCCGGAGTAGCTGAGATTACAGGCATGTGCCACCATGCTTGGCTGATTTTTGTATTTATAGTAGAGATGGGGTTTCGCCATGTTGCTCAGGCTGGTCTTGAACCCCTGGGCTCAAGCAGTGTGCCCACCTTGGCCTCCAAAAGAGCTGGGATTACAGGTGTGAGCCACCACACCGGGCCTACCTTTTTGAAAATTAAAAACAAAGACATAAATACACACATTTGCATAGACCTACACAGGCTCAGGATCTTTGAGATGTCATAGGTGACAGGAATTTCTCAGCACCATTATGATATCTTAGCGCCACCGCTGTACCTGCAGTCTGTTGTTGACTGAGACGTCGTTATGCAGCACGTGACTCTATTCCGTGTGTTGGACTTTCAAATGCAAGCATGTTTTTTGGCTTGAACAGTATCACAATATAGTGATGTTTATGGTTCGATTCATTCTGTGGAGAAAAGAGAAGCGACTTAATATTTATTGAGTTTTTAATGTGTTTCAGATACTATGCTAAATGCTTTTTGTATTTGATTTCAGTAGATCTTCACAGGCATCAACCCCGTCCTATACAATAAATAGAGTTTCCTCCAGTTAATAGATGTAGAAACCAAGATGTAACTTTTTTTATGAAGTATATTTACAATACAAGATTATAGTCCATGTGATCTTCTGGTTTTTGATATTTGATATAAAGAACCAAACTTAAAGCATTTGCCCTATTAAATGCTGTGATCTGTCAAGGAGAGTGATGTCAAAATGTGACTGCAGGTAAACTGATAGATCACTAAGGGGAGCTAGCATTTACTTAGAGCCTGCTCTAAATCAGGCATGGAATTTAATCTGTTACTTATGTGTCTTGTTTTAATACAAATGACAACAGCAAGAGTTAATATACATGATGAAACTGAGGCTCAGAGAAGTAGGTGACTAATCCCAAATGTGAACCCAGGCTTTTAAAGCTCATGGTCTTTCTACTTGAAGCTCTGATTATATATTTATATGACAGATGATAAGCATTTATTCTTTGGTTATTTATTCAATCAGTGTTTATTGAATGTCCATTTTGTGCTAGGCATTATGCTTGATGCTTGGAATACAAAGATTATTAAGACGGAGACTCTATCCTTGAAAAGCTTACTGGCTAGAAAAAAACAAATGTAAATATTTTAAAACAATGTAATATTCTAATTATCGTGAGCGGTCTGAGGAGAAATTCATTGTTTTCATAAGAAGACTATGCTAAATTCTGGTTGGGAATACTGTGGACATTTACCTGAGAAAGTGAAGGATAAGTAGTAGTCACCAGGTGACAAACAGGGAAGAGCAGTTCACAGAGTAAGGCCAGCAAGTCACAGAGGCATGAAACAGGGAGTTTTGTGTGGCAACTACACATAATTGTGTAGGGCTGAAATATGTGGCACACAGGAGCTGTGGGGAGAGAGGGGCCAGGAGGAGTGACAGCATGTTTCCTCCACAGGGAGCTGAGACAGTGCCATTGAAGAGTTACATGTAAAGGTATGATGTGTTTATACTTGAATTTAGAGAAATTAATTAGATGACAGTTGTGAAGGCTGGATTGGCAGATGGTGAGCCCAGAGGCAGAGACTAATTAAGATACTGTTATGTTATAAATTATAAGCCCTTTAAATATCAGGAAAGATTCACTAAAAGAAGCATCTTTTGTGACAGCCAGTCTACCTTCTTTGAAGTGATCTTTTCTGTGCTACAACTTGTCTTACCTGAAGGAGTACAGAGAACTGTATGAGAAGTGCTCACATGGACAAGTACAGAAGCCACTGCTAGATACTCTTGAGTGTTCATTTAATCCTCATAACATGTCAAATAAACATCTGTCCCTTTTAAAGAAGAAAACAGTGGCTCACACAATTAGATAACTTGCTTCAGATCGTACAGTTTACACAAAGGAGACAAACTTTGAACTGAGGTCTGACTGTAACTATATATTAGTATCTTTTCCACTACAGCACTCTTAGCTTACACTGAATAACTGCTCTGCTATAAATTGAAAGGAAGCAGCTATATATAGTGTGGGGTGAAGAAATGGTTCTATGCACCATATTAGTTTACTATATGGGGCTGCCATAATAAAACGCTCCAGTCTTCTTAAGTCCTCTCTCCCGGGCTTGCAGATGGCTGCCTTCTCTCCATGTCCTCCCATGCTCTTTTATCTGTGCACTAACATTTCTGGTGTCTCTTTTTGTATCCAAATTTTCTTTTCTTTGAAGGACACCAGTCAGATTGGATTAGAACCCACTCTAAAGGCCTCATTTCAATTTAAATCAGCTCTTTAAAGGCATTGTCTCCAAATATGGTCACAGTCTGAGGTACTGGATTAGGGTTTCAATATATGAGTTTCAGAAGGCAAGGTACACAATTCAGCACACAAAATGCACATACTCTAACACCGGTTTAAGCACAACACTGCATGTTTCAGAATTAGGAACCTGATATGAACTAGTTAGGATAGCAGATTTTCAGATCATCCCCAGTATCGAATAGTAGACATTAACAAGGAAATCATCACGGCCATCATCTTAGGTTTCCTTTGTGCTTGGCATTATTTCATCTACTTTACATAAATTATCTCCCCTCTCTGCATCCCCTTCGATATTGCTAAATTCAAGTTTAAAAATGTTATTCCCAAATTCAGAGAAGTGAAGTTCCTCATTTCCAAATTCAGAGAAGTAAAGCCCAAAGAAATCACCTCGGTGCCAAAACATTCTCTTTTATACTGTCTCCATTGCCTTTCAGCTCTCCTTTTGTCATGGTTTTGATTACAGTTGCTGGGACTCATTCCTGTTTATATTTCCCATATACAGTATTCAAAAATGTAATACTTTGTGATGCTTTAAAATCTCTTAGGAATTCTGCTTCAATATGCACTAGAAGTTTTGCCTTATCAAATTTAGACTACCTTAAGCAAATAGGGAATTTAATTTATATTAAATATACATATTACAGTCGTAGGCTTAGACTAGTGAAATTAAGAAATTTGTTTTTCCACTTTTACATGAGATCCCTTCAGTGAATAGCATTTACTGCCACTGCTGTCAAGGAGCACCCAGTTTTCAGATGCACTGGTGGGCAGTGCCATGTAGCACTTGATGTCTTATCTAACATGTCTTGATTTTGACAATTCAGGTTCCATAAGATTTCATACGTAAATAGTTCTCTCAATTCAGAATTTGAAAGTACGTGCAATGCTACAGTTATAGTTCAGTATTAGTGAAGAATTCTTCACTTGGCCTCCTTTTAGAGTACAAAGCTGTTCTGCAGATGTTCTTTGACGTTTTATGCAGTAGGAGGGAGCACAGAGCAGAGGTAAAAGCTGCTCAGTCCCCCATGGCAGCCACTAGACATGGAGCTGTGGACCCTTGACCCGTGGCCAGTCCAGATTGAGATGTGCTGGAAGTGTAAAACTCACACCACATTCCAGAGACTTTGTATGAAAAAAAGAATGTTAAAAAAATTATTAAAATTAATTTCACCTATTTCTTTTTACTTTTTTTACATGTGGCTACTGGAAAGCTCTCTATTACAGTGTCTTCTCATAGACAGCACTGAGTTAAATGATTCTGGCTGTGTCTGTCTCTGGCACATACTCACTTATGGGTAAGCAAGACAGCAAGACAGTCCACAAGCCGCAGAGAGAGAACTGGAAAGCGGCCCCTCATATTCCTACTTTTTAAATTCCTATTTTAATGTTTGTATGTTATTTAAAATATAGCTTAGTAATATTATAGTATGCATAAGCACATTACAGTTACAAGTTCAAAAACATTTTTATTTGTGCCGATGTATTATCAGAAACAGAGACCGGTGCCACAGTGGTTAAGTCTGACGGACCTATGGTCAGACGCCAACTTTAACATTTACTGGCTCTGTAATTTGAGGTGAGTTATTTAACCTCTCTAAGCCTCCTTTTATAAAATGTGTAACTGTTTCTACTTGTGAGAACAGTGTAAAAAGATTCTCGTTTAGAGGGCCGGCCTGAAGGCTGAAAGAGACAGGAAAGCACGTAGTCTTTGTAAACTGTGTAGAGGGAAGTCTGTTGTCCACTCCGTTGTCTCTGCTTGAGGACTGAATGAGATGGTTTGCATAGGGAGGTAGCACAGTGTGAGCCCGAGTTCCTGCCATCCTTCTGCAGCTCTAAATTCCTTCTGCTTGTTGTTTCACACAAGAGTGGCTACGAAGAGCAGGTTCTGGGAAACCTGCAAGGACTGTGCGAGCAAATGTTTTATAGTGAGAGAGGAAACCTTGCAAAGGGCTTCTTTCCTGTGGATGGTCAGTGTCAGTATTTCCTGTGCACTGAGAGTCGGTAAGGTCAACAGCCATATCCTACCTGAAAACAAACTTGAGTAAGACAGCAAGGCGGCCTGGCTACCGTTGGGTATGATCTGTTGTGTGGAAGGGCTTCTTTCCATAATGACTTTTAAACTCCTGAGGTCCTCATTATTATGACACTCTTGTGTTACAGAAACAAGTTTATCTTTGGAGGTTTTACAGATTAGGAATTTTTTTCTTCCAATTTTCAAATACCTTGCATTCAAATCAGAGTACAAATGAGAATTCCCATAAAAAAATTCAGTATAGTTCAGGTACATTTCCCCATTGATTTTTGTAATGACCTTGATAATGCTAACATTACAGTATAAAACAAAAGTATCGTTTATCTAACTTCACACATTTAATGAGTAACAAGATTTTGACACAGTTACTATGAAGAGAAATATAAACTATTCTTTACAATATTGGAATTATTCTAATACACATTGGCTCAAAAATAGATGTTGATTACTTCCTGTGGATACACAGCTTCGGAATAGCTAGTATAGTGAATCAAAACGAATGGGTGATAATGACCTCAGCCCTCAGAGCCCTTCCTCTGCCCCGACATGGCTTGAATCTTCACAGACCATTTCTGCCTCCTGGAAACCCCTTGTAAATATCTTTATTTTATTCTAAGCTAAGTGGAATTAGTTTATATTTGATGTCTTATTTACAATCCTAATAACTATCATAATATTTTTAGTCTATGTTTCTGAAAAAGTATAAATTCTCCAAAGAACTGTTTGGCTCCTAGAGTGATCATAAACTAAATAGAACATAAAGGGTCTCAAAAAGTGCTAATAGAAATTGAGCATTATAAACTGTCAACAAAAATACTTCTAACACAGTACTATGTAGACATCAACAAAAAACAAGGGATATCAACCCAAATTACCCCCATAGACCCGTAAATACTTAATTCCCAAGACCCCATGGTAAGGGAAAAAAAAACAAAAAAAAGAGTAGAGACAGGGGTGAAAAAGTGAAGCTACAACCCTGTAAAGAAAAGAAAAATTATTTGGTGACGCTTGTTAAAGCACAGTAAGGCGGACTTTATTCAGGACCACTGCAGTAGATACGTGGACCACTGCACTGGGACTTTGCAGTGGGGAAGAGAGACCGGGCTCCACTCTGCATCTAGCATTGGCAAGTGGGAATTCGTAGCCAAGAAGTCGGGCTAGGGTCAGGAGATAGAAAATTACTGAGAGGAAACATCAGTGGTAGGGGGGATTTTGGCTGAACTGACCTAACAGGATTCTTGCCAGAGGCAGGCCAGAATGGTCAGACATCCCCTCCCCTGGGGAATGATGGAGGATAAGGAACCTGATCAGATACTGAGGGTGATCAGATATCATGGGTGGCGTGTTCTTGCTAAACTGGCTCAGCAAGGTTCTTTTTTAAAACTGGATTTTACAAGGAGCTCCACAGATGGGCCTAGGAGAAGGATCAGGAGGCTGACTAAAGTTTAGCCAAGCAGAGAATCTTTGTCAGCTCTGACAGGGAAAAGGGAAGGAACAGCCCAAGACTGAATGTTAGCATGTGTAAGTATTGCTGTTTATTATAGTTATTATATATTGACCATCTGCTGTAGTGTATCAGACACACACACACACACACAACCACCCTCTGATCTTAATTTTAACCTTAAAAGGTGGATATTATCCTCAATTTATTATTGAGAAAACTGAGACTCAGAGTTTAAGTAGCCTGAGTGACACTCTTAATGACATTATTGATTTCAAGGTCCATTTTCATTCCATTATACTAGTGTTTTTCAAAGAGTAGTACCCATATCATTGACGTCTCACAATGTGATTTCAGATGCTACATGGGCAGACTTCTTAAAAAATTGTAATGATTAGATTATAAAGTTATTGGAAGAGTATGGTTAGCATATCAAACACATGATTTTATGATTATTGCTATAATTCAGTGATGTCAAGTTTATTTAAAGTAAAAGAAAATTAACATGGAGAGTTAGTATGAAGTCACGAACAGGATAGATGGCAAGTATACTGCATATCCTGAGAGTTGTCCCTGAATGGCTGGGGTTTGGTGAATGCTGCACTGAGCATTTGTGTCACCAGTCAGTGGACAACCTGAAACACTGCTCATACTGAAAGTTTGATTAGATGAGTCTGAGAAGCAAGACTGAGCTTCTCACTAAGTTACAGTGTCCTACCAAATTTGATGCCTTGATTTTATTGAAAATAAGAAGTTTTGTATCTTCACCAGGAATTTCTTTAGAATTAAACTAATAAAAAAGGAAAATGTTTTTCAAGATTCATTTACTTAACAAAGTTTGAAGGAATGAAATATCTATTGCGTACTTACCAAGTGTGAGTTACTATGTATCTAGGTGCTCTCATACATATTCTGTCATTTAATTCCTAAGAACTTCTGTAGGATTGTCATTCCTTAATTTTACAAAAGGAGTTGACATTCACAGAATTTGAGCTTGACCAAAGTCACATAGCTAATTCATATCAGTTAGTCCTCATACTGTTCTCTTTGAGATCAAGCTTACATTCTTTTGCCTAACTCAAAAGCAACTAGTAAGGGGGAAAAAAATTAGGTTCCTATAAATGTAGAGAAGACCACCACATGGGATCTTCATGCATGATCTCCACAAGTGTATGACAACACGGTAGTGGGGCAAAGGCAAGCTAGTGGCAATAAATCAATTGCCACTGTCACTTTACTCTTTAATGTTCTTGAGACTACATGAGATTTATCACTAAGGAATTGTAGAATAATGGTAGTAAATGAAAACAAAGTCCACCAGGGAGATGTACTACATCATTTGGATTTAGCGCTGCCATCTGCTTAATAGCATTGAGAAGACTGCAACAGTACTTACGATCAACCATTCATAGCAATGACAGATGCTGCAGAGAGTGAACATACCAGGGAAGCAGGTTCATTACTAAAATGTAGATTATGTGACAGGGTTTCTAAAAAGCGCTTGTGTTGATGACCAAACCTCCAGTTTTAAATCTTCACTATAGAATTTTAAGTCTGTAAGATAAAGACCTACTCTAAAGTCTTTCTATGTTTCATTCCTCGTGTTTCATACATTCTTAAAATGTATTTATTTATTTTTTAAATAATTTTTTCTACAAATCTTGCATATATAGTCTCTTTTTGATGGAAGAGAATAATAACTTTTGTATAATTTCTGACTTTTAAAATGAGGTAGCATTATTGTTAGTAAAAAAAGACAGTGACTATAAATCCACAAAAGCTTGGACTTGAATGTCAGCTCTACTACTTTCTTAGCTCTACGACGTTGACTAGGTTGCTTCTTTGAGTCTTTTCTCTTCTGTAAAATGATGACTGTTTGACTTACAACATTGTAATTAAGTGAGATAGCAGATGTAATATACATAATAGTTCAATAAATTTGCTGTAGTAGCCTGTAGTAGGTGTTTACCATTGTAAGCATTTTATGGCCTTTTTAGCTACTTTTATTTTATTTTATTTTATTTTATTTTATTTTATTTTATTTTATTTTATTTTATTTTATTTTTCAGAGACAGAGTCTTACTCTGTCTCACGCTGGCATACAGTGGCACCATCTTTGCTTACTGCAACCTCCGTCTCCTAGGTTCAAGCGATTCTCCTGCCTCAGCCTCCCAGGTAGCTGGGACTACAGGAGTGCTCCACCACACCCAGCTAATTTTTGTGTTTATAGTAGAGACAGGGTTTTGTCATGTTGGCCAGGCTGGTCTCAAACTCCTGACCTCAGGTGATCTGCCTGCCTCAGCCTCCCAAAGTTCTGGGATTATAGGCGTGAGCCACCACACCCAGCCAGTAGCTACTATTATTATACCATTTTATGGATGAGGAAATTGTGGCACAGAGACCGTGGAACTTCCCTGAACTCATGGAGAGTGAGTGCTAGAGCTGGCATGTGAACCCAGGCAGTCTAAGCACTCTGCTATACTACCTCTCTATGTAACTGTTGTTATTATGAGTTTAAGTATTATATCCAGAAACTATTATAGTCTTTTCTGAGAACGTCTCCAGTCAATAAAATCCCAACAAATAATCTGAATAAAATTATGCATGCCATTTTGATACCTTATTTGTGCAATAAAAAGTTGTTAAAGGCTCATTTAATTTAGATTGTTTAGAGTCCTAAAATGTGTCAGAAGCACAGACTTGAGGACAGAGCTCTAAGTTACTTGTTGCAGGTTGACTTGTAATGGAGAATGTCGGTGCCTGAATTCCCCAGAATCGATTCATACCTCATTGTTAGACTCACAGCTTTAGAAACTGAAATAATATTCAGACATGTTGTGGATCATATTTTTCCCTTGTATTTGTCATCATGAAGGGATATGTTCCTTTTGGAAGGTAATTTATGAGTGTGCATTGAGAGCCTTAAAAATATTTGTGACTTAGGAGCCAATATTTTTGCAATAAGTGCCTGAACTTACAATATAACAGTGAGTGTCTGACAGTGCGAATATATTTAAGAGCCCTTTAATTGAAAAGAGTAAGCAATTTCTGGAGGAGTTCTGGGAAGGAGGAGGTTAGGTGATAAATTCAGTTTCTCAACCTGTTGGATAGATAGTAATATAATTAATTTAAGTGGCAGTGAGATTTAGGAAGAAGTTAATAGGTTCATTTGGGATGTGTTGAATTTAGGTTGTCCACAGAATTGTAACAATTACATTAATAATTGATATAAAAATGGTTTACATACTAATAAGTCATTATATCAATGGTAACTATATTTCTCTCCTAGTTTTTCTTAGTAGTTACAAAATGTATTATGGTTAGATTTTTACCCCAATTTTAGTAAGTAACTGAGTTGTAGTTTTATTTTTTGTATTCTCTTTCATTGATGTCTTAAAGTATGTGTACCCAGTGTTTTGACATGGTTAATCTCCCAGAAATTAGAGTAAGATAGTCAATTCCAAAGTATATTAAACAAGATAGAGTGAAAATATTATATGATTAGGAGTCAGGCCGACCTGACCTTTCCACTTCGCTGTGTATGTGATCTTTCACTAACCCTCAATTTTCCCACCTACAAAAACGTAGTGAGAGAATATACTTGAACAGTTTAGTGTGGAGCCTGGCACGTGGCACTTGGAATTTGTGATTGTGTTTTATGTGTCTGTCACTGCTGGGCATTTTGCTGGTGCTCTGTAAGTAGTACTGACTGTGGAGGGATGATCATTGGCACCTTCGTTATCACCAGGTGATAGATTGCTTCCAGCTCACCTCATATCTGCTCATTTTCTGTGCAGAGTATCACAAACCTAACTTGGAGCACACTGCAAGTGTAAAGGCATAAATGCTTTGCTTTTTTGTTCGTTGTTTCTTACTCTGATGCTTTTTTGTTCAGTGTTCTGTAAAGGACCAAAAAGTAGGCATATACATTAGAAAGTAGGAAAATAATCATTAAAACTTGCATGTATTTCCTTTATCTATCATTTATAAGGATTGCTGTACCACATGAAAATGAATTTATGTTGTTTGTAAGTTTATAAAATAGAAGTATTTCATCCAATTGCAACCTTTTTGAAATAGTTTATCAAAAGTATTGGATATAGTCTTAAACATTGCTAAATTTTAGAGACATTGGAAATAAAAAATACATGTAGGTATATAGCCCAATAAGACATCTTACATAGAGGAAAAAAAAAAACTATCCATATTGTCTTAGCCAAAGTAATATAATTAAAACAGTGTCTCAATTAAGGCTGCATAAAGATGTAGTAAATTAAAGTGTGACCATGGGCAAGTTATTTAACCTGTGCTCTAGAGTAAAATGGGGATGACAATAATAGTACTGACCTCATGGGGTTGTTGTAAAGTTAAGCGAAATGGAAAGCATGTCATATATGGAAAGCATATCACACATCGTAAATGCTATCAATAGCTATCATTAAAGTCCTACAATTCTTTATCTAAAACTGTCGAAGCTAAATATGTCTTACATTCCAATTTTTGGAATTTTGGAAAAACAATACAGGATACATACACATACCATATGTTAGTACAGCTCCAGTGGAGCCCTGCATGTGCTTCTCCAGGATAATGATTGCCCCTTGGATTCTTTGAAGTTTATGGTCAGGGAAACTGGTTACAAAGGGGTGTAAAGCATATGTGGCAATTTGAAAACGAAGGGGATTTCTTAAGGGAGCAGTGTGGCATTCAGCCTTGGCAGTTTCTAATCCCACCAAATATAGCAATATTGCTAGTGCTAGCAAGTTATTTTTAAACAGAGTGGATTAAATAATTGATACAAGACTGTTTCTTCTATTAGAAGTCATCACTTTAGCAAGGCCTTTTTTTTTTTTTTTTAATTGAGACAGGGTATCAATCTGTCGCCCAGGCTGGTATATAGTGGCGTGATCTCTGCTCACTGCAACCTCCGCCTCCTTGGCTGAAGCGATTCTCCATCCTCAGCCTCCTGAGTAGCTGGGACCACAGGCACGAGACGGTGCCACTGTCACTTTACTCTTTAATGTTCATACTCAGCTAATTTTCGTATTTTTTTTAGAGACGGAGTTTTGCCATGTTGCCCAAGCTGGTCTTGAACTTTTGAGTTCAAAGCGATCTGTCCGCCTCAGCCTCCCAAAGTGCTGGGATTACAGGTGTGAGCTACCACACCCGGTAGCAAGGCCCTTCCTGACCTGGCCCCAATTCCTTCTCTGCCTCATCTCAGGTCACTCACTCATGTAATGTAACCTGATACTGAGTTTCACAGTTATGGCTCATTTATACTTGACTCAATAACCTATTAAAATGTAAAGGCTAACTTGTGAAAGTACATTGTCATCAAAATCTTCATGGCTCCTTAGTTAATCTCAAATATACCTTTTGAAGATATTGTGGTTTTTAGAATTTTCTAAAATGGTGCAAACAGGACAATTTGCCTTTCTTTGTATTTTAGTCTTTGCCAGATTGCTTGCAACAGAGCTACCAGTTTCTTGGATGAGTAGTTACACCATCCAACAACCCTCGGTGATTCTCCTCACCTCACATCCCATTCTTCCATGTCCTATAAGTACTAAGGCTTCTGTGTTTCCGCAATGCTCTGTGCTTGCTCTGTCCTCCAGCGGAACCTGCTGGACTTGAGAATCCATCTCCTTTTTATAGAGTCCTGCAGCAGCAGGGACCCTTTTGTACTCATGTTTATATCACCAACACCTAATGCAGTGCTGATCAGAAAGGTGATCTATGTGTGTTCTTCAGTTGAATTGATAACGTGTAAGTTTGCATCTGTTTTAAACATTTCTTTATTAGAAACCCAGTAAGAAATCTTGTACCATTGTAAGTCTAATGTGAAAATTGATGTAGTCTTCAACTCTGGCTACGTGGAAGAATCACCTATGCAGCCTTAAAAAAAAGGGGGGGAGGATGGGAGGGTGCCAAGAAAATCACCTGTTATTTTTTAATCTGAGTCTTGGTGTAGAGCAGCTACTATAAATTCTTTAAACTCTACAGATAATTCTGATAAGCAGCCAAAGGTTGAGAACTGCTCTTCTTGAGTAATAAGTACTATATAAATTAGATAATATGTGTAAAGCACTTTGCACAGTGCCTACCAGTTAGTTGCCAAGGAAATACTTGTTTCCCCCAAAAATAAATTGTTGGCCTTTCTGTAATGTCTTCCATACATTCATTCTGCAAACAACTATTGAAACCTTCAGTGAGCCAAATTGTTCAAAAATACCTTATTCCAAAGGGAAATTTGATGTTTTCTATTAGAATATAAGTGCCTAACATACTTAAAACTGTCACTATTCGAATGTAAGCTCTGCAGGGGCAGGAATCTTCATCCTGTTTTGTTCATCAACACTTCTTAAGCACCTGAGATAGTGAGTTATTGTTTAGTGGGTAGATTCTAAACTGTTGTCAGTAATAGATGACCATTCTACCAGGCAAACCAGAAGGAAGTTTTTGTGCAGAAGAGCACAAAAAAAAAAAAAACGTGCAGTGGTCCTATGAAGAGATTGACTTGGTGTGCATTGGTAGTGACCAGTTTTTCAGTGAAGCTGCAGCCTACGGTGCCTAGGAAGGAAGGTGCACTAAGTGTCTATAGAAAGATCCATAGAGAACATTTTGTGATGGACCTTCATACCAGGCTCAGGAGTTCCACAGATTTTTTTTTTGTTTTGGTTTTTATCAATGAAGGTGCTCCCCATGCCCGTAACCCCCACACTGGTCCAAGTGAATGTCACCTTGCTTGTGGAGCACCCGGAGCCTGGCTGTTGCTTGCCCCACCTCCACTCCACTCCTGAGCTATCATGTCTCCCTACTGCAGCCCACGTGATATTTTCCGTATAATTACATGCTCTCATAATACCCAGCAGTTTTCCATCATAACTGCAATTTTATATTGAAGTGATTATTTGATCAATGTCTGTCTTCTTTTTTCAATCTATTCACTGTCCCCTCCCCCAGTGCCTACCACAGTGCTAGAACATACGTAGTGCTCAATAAATATTTATTGAATAAATATAGAGAGGTAGAATTTTACTTTACATCAGTAATGTTAAAACAAAGTAGGTATTCTTATCACAATTTCTTATCTGATTAAAATACAATACTATAAGTGTCGTAGTTTAAATTCTTTTAATGCTGCATATTTGAAGAGTGAGCCTGTATAATTTGATATGCAGATTGATGTAAGTTAGTGTGCCACCAGATTCCCCAGAAACACTAAAAACCATTTGCTGCCCTAACATTGTGTCAAAGGAAGATGCTGACAATCCCATAAAAAATCAAAAGGTATAATTATTTCACATGTGTAAATATTGCAGATCACAATCAGTGTTTTCCTAAAGAGTAATAGATATGGCTTTGAAATCTAAATATCAAATGTGTTTATCAGAAATCTCCTCAAAAAGATATGTTAGTATACCAGATGGAAGGATTGGCTGTAAAAACAAATGCAAGATTCACAAATGATCCAGAGAAATACTGTAACCTGGCTCATAATATGTTGATGGACCATTTCTAATGGTATCGGAAGAGCCAAGTAATCCAATACCAAAAGATTCCATGCCTTGACACCCAGTGTAGTTGGACTTGGGGAATCAAAAACAGAAATACAAAAAAATAGGCTTAAGGAACCCAACCTTGATCTTGGTCTTTCCTCAAAGTTGTATATTTTTTGAACTTCTAAGCACATATTTCATTTGCGGCAGCCTTCCCGGCCTTCCTGCCACTTGGTAACCAATCTGTGACCCCTTTTCTACTCTCCAGACCTTCCCCGGAACCTCAGTCTGTGCTAACAGTTCTCCTTATTACATGTCCCCAGTATTTCAACCTGGTTTTTCAATGTTAGGTTCCATGAAATTCTAATATGTAGTTTCAATACTTCATGCAAAGAATTGTCATTAAAATTACTCGTGATGTCTAGTGACAGTATCTGTAATTGATAGTATTTTGTAAGTCATCCTTTGCCAGAAAAAAATAAGCGATAAGGATCTGTTCTCTTGTGTGTCTTCATAAGAAATCTTAGTTTTCTTGTTAGCGTTTCTGAGAAATTAATTGATGTTTGAAATTAACAAGCTACAGTAAAAATACTGAAGCTTGAGTCAAAAGACATGTCTGAATTTGAATCCTGACTGTCATGTAATGTGTGACCTTGAGCGAGCCGCACAGTAAACCTTATGAAACCTTACGCTTAACTAATAAAGTGAGTAGGCAAATTAATGTTCACCTTCCTGAAAGTTAAATAAAATTATGAAGTTGCAGAGTACTAAGCAAACAAAGGGAAACTGTTGTTGGTATTTATTTTTTTAGGGTTGTGTCACCAAAGCTAAGTTCCTTACTTTTTTTTTTTTTCTCTCTTGAAATACAGAATTTTATTGAGAAACTGTTTAAAGTAGAAAAAACCCTGTCAAGAAAGACCAGGTGGAAAATGGGTTCCCAATAAAATGGAATTTTAGGGCAACAAAAGTCTAAAAGGCCGCAAAAGAGAAATAGCACCACTGTCATTTGAACAATGGCTAGTTACTCACAGTTTTTGGCATTGTTAATCACTGAATCTGGGTTTTCCTCTGAATACCACACAGCATGCACTACACAACAATTTTATCATAAAATACTTGCTTTCTACACACATTTTAGGACAAGCTACCACCAGAAACAAATCAATGCAAATACATCAGGGGCTGAACAAACTCAGTAGTGAGTGAGACACATTTTGCAGAGTCCTGCAAATGAGGGAGAGTTAAGGAATGAAATATTTTAAATATTAATTTTTAGACACGGTGCTATATTTTCTGCAAAAGAAAATTAACATTTAGCCACACACTAATGCATTTTATCTCCAAAGAAACTAGTGTACTGGCAAAGTATTCAGATTACAGTGGACAGCAGATACCGAAAATACCCCAGCCTTGCAGATCCCAAGGTAACAATGGCTTTCACTGACCACTCCCTTTGCCAGAGGTCCAGAAAGAATTGCAGCATGGTCACCTGCCTGCTTTACTTCCAGCTCTAAGCAGCAAACTTCAAGGAGCCAAAGAGGAGTCCCCAGTGGGCAAAGGGAGCAGAGAAGAGAAACATGGTAAATGTAAACCTAAAAGACAGTAAAATGGGATAAAATCCCCATTCAAATCCCAGAGATGTGGGCAAGTCCCCAAAAGTAGTTGTTAGATTAAAAATCTGGGCACACCTCACTTCCCCAAAAACATAATACATAGAAATTTTGGGGATAACTGGAAAAATAGAAATGCTTAATGAAAACCGAGCTCTTCAACTCAAACATCTCAAGACTAAAACACATCCTCTGTTATATCCAGGCAATGATGCCGCTTGCTTTTTAGCACGGATGCAGTTGGCCAATGACACCAAATGGCTTCATAGGGCAACTTTTTAGACCAAAGTCTAGGCCTGTGAGGCTTCAAGCAGCCCTGTAAGACAGAAGTTTCCAAAGGTTTCAAGGTCTGGCCCTTCCTTCCCCAACACAATGTCAAACACAGTATCTCCTGTCATGTTACATTTTATATTTTGAAATATGGAAGCATATTTTAAATACTCTTAAGGCATTTATTTTTCACAACATTCTCTGATTTCACATTAGCTTAAAATTCAATTCAGTCTTTACATTTCTCCACTGAGGTCGCCACGTCAGCATATTATATAACACCTTCTCCAGCACTCAGTGTGACCCGCATCTGCATGGTGAGCCCCACGGTCAGCCTCTTTGTTTCCCAGGTGAACCAACTAGATGTTAATACTGCTCTGCTACAAGGTAAAAGCTCCTGACTCAAACTTATTGGAAAAGGAGTGAAACGTCTGCAAAATGCACTTTAACAAGAGGCACTTTTTGCTTATGAAAAGAAACCAGTGAGTCCTCTAAGGATAATAAAAGGGAGTATTTTACAGTTAAGCACATGATTTGGAGTGAAGAATTCAGATGTTGCTCTGCTGGTCCAGGCTGTTAATACTCTTCTTGCTCCTCCTGTGGGCCTCCTTCATCAGATGTCACAAAGCCTTCATCTGTGGCATACAGAATGTCTACAATCCTCTGCAATACAGGGTCATTTTCCCCCTTGTTCTCCTGGCAATTCAATGTTCTATAGCTTTCCGAAGTAGAAATCCCTCTCTTTCTCCAAGTCTTCAACGGTAAGTTTCAATACATTGAGTGCTGCATCAACTCAGCTGCCTCATCGTGCCCATTGCGCACACCAGGGTCTTTCACACCACACCAGGGCAGCCTTAGGAGCCACAGCAGTTCTCTGTGTTGAGATGGGCCTCAGGGGAGCTGCACTGCTAGAACTGAGAGGTTTCTTGGGTGTATTCAGAGCTGGAGCAACGAGAGAGGGAGCCACTGCAGTTTCTTGACCTTGTCTGGCAGCCACAGGGTCAGTCTTTTCCATCATAATTTGCATCAAAAAACTTCTTGAAACACTGAACGAATTCAAAATTTTCCTGAAACTTTCCTTTTACTAATTTGTCCACAGGAATTATTTTGTCAACACCCATCCTCTTAAAACCTACTGGTAGTATTTTGAAGTTCTGGATGCACCCGTGTTCTAGCTTAGCTTAGAATTTCACTTTCTTCAAGGCGGTGGAGCCAGGGAACAGCATGTCCATAAACTGACACTAGGCAGCCCCTGAGCACAGCTGTTCGATCTTTGTCACGTTCAACTGCAGAGACTAATTGATCCAGGCCAGCATGTCATGTCGACTTAGATTATCACTGGTCACTGACGTTGAGTATACGTTCACTGCCATCTTCGGCTCTTGGCGGAACCGTGTCCACTGCCCGCACCCAGCTCCGGTTCCAGTTCCTTACTTTTTAGGCAAGAATGAATGTTTGCTGAATAGATTGTATGACAACAAAAATAAGGACTCATTTAAAAAGGACTTCTGCTTTAATATCATTAACAGCTGTCCTTCATATATGTATATAACACATTATTTCATTTAAACTTTACAACAGTCCTATGAAAGATTTTTTTTAAACTTTTACAGATGAGAAATTAAATTAACTTTAAGCTGACAGAGAATAAATCCTAAAGTCTAATTTCTGATATTTGTTTGGCTTCAAAGCCTGATTTTTAACTATTCTATGCCAGCTTCTAAAATGATTACAGTAAGATGGAGAAACCTGCTTAAAAATGAAAACCTGAGCCTATAAAAGTAAATATGGCATTGCACAGACCTCTCACATGGACATCAGCATGTCCTCTGTGAGCTGCACGCCTGGCCATTGCTGAAGCTTCCTGGCATGGTGGACTTGGGTGTGTTGGAGGAGTAAAGAGGCACAGTGGGGGCCGGGCGCGGTGGCTCACGCCTGTAATCCCAGCACTTTGGGAGGCCGAGGCGGGCGGATCACGAGGTCAGGAGATCGAGACCATCTTGGCTAACACGGTGAAACCCCGTTTCTACTAAAAAATACAAAAAATTAGCCGGGCGTGTTGGCGGGCGCCTGTAGTCCCAGCTACTTGGGAGGCTGAGGCAGGAGAATGGCGTGAACCCGGGAGGCGGAGCTTGCAGTGAGCCGAGATTGCGCCACCGCACTCCAACCTGGGAGACACAGCGAGACTCCGTCTCAAAAAAAAAAAAAAAAAAAAAGAGGCACAGTGGGAACTGAGGCAGTTCTCATAAGGAAAACATTATTCTCCTTGTCTCCTTTTTCTTGGAATCTAATAAAAATTAATAATTTTTTTTCAATTATGTAGAACCATCTGCAACCTTTTAAGCAACTTTGTAGTAGGAAGGAGTAGCAGGACATTGCCGTTTTCTGTTAAAATAAGAAAATAAGGTTAGCTATCTCTATATCAGAAAAATACAGGGATACTCACACGCCTTATTTCCGAATGCATTGCTGTGGCTTTTAGGGACGGGTTAAACTCTGAATTAATCATAAATTCAATCAAATTAGATGTTTTAGTTTTCTCTCATGCAAGGATGTAATCAGCTCCAAGCTCACGTGACAGCTTTCTGTAGTTACTAAGAATCCAGACTGCTTCTGCCCTTCTCTTCCGCACTCCTTCACCCTGGCTTCTATCCCAAGGCTCTTCTCATTCACAGTGGCTATTATACTTCCAGCTGCCAAGCTGAGGTTCAGGCAGGAAGAAGGGGGAAGAGTGGAAAGCCATGCCTCCTAGGTGAGTTGGCCTTCTGTTAGGAAATTTCCTGGAAGCTTCACTCCATAAATTTTGCTTCTATCTCATTGTCTACTTCATCTGCAAAAGGATTGATACATTATCACTAGCACCCAATCCCCAGCCTTATAAGGGATCTGTTGGTAAGAAAGAAGGTGAAGATGCATGTTAAACAGGCAGCAACAAATGCCTATTGGTTCTTACCTTTTAACATACAAATTAGGGATTTTTCTTTTAGATTTTTTTCCTTTTACTGAGATATAATGTACATACAGCAAAGAGCATAAATTTTTATTTATCTGAAAAAAAATAGTTCAGTGAAAGTTAACATACGTATACACCCACATAACCATGAGGAGAACATTTCCAGCACCCCAGAAGTTTCTCTGGCTTTTTCTCTTAGATGTTGCCTATCAGTTATCTTACCTCTAGCCATCTCCTTTTGATTCTGAATTACATGGCTTTTTTTTAGAGTACCCAAACATATCTCTTATTATTCTGAGAATGTAGTGATTGACAGTTAAATTAGATGGTAGTGAAAAACAGGTGGTGTTGAAAAAAAATCTACACTTGGCATTCGGAGTAACTAGACTTCTATTCTGATTCCATGTATTCTAGCCATGTGACTTAGACAATGTCTAAACTTTATGCCTCTGATTAGCTGCTTTCTTATTACTAAGCCAGAATGAATGCTGTTGTTCTGCTTGGAATGATTTTTTTCTTCATCTTTGTCTGGCTTTTCTGTTGTCAATTGAAGCATTTCTTTTTTCAGGAATCTTCTCATGTCCCCCAAAACTGGTTCAGGTATCCCACCTCTGAGTTCCTACAGAACTCTGGGTTTCTCGGTATCATCATGTTCCATTCCCCGGTTGACACTTGTCTCACTTGTACACTAGACTCAACATGGTTTATCACAAAGACCAAATCTTGTTGGCTGCTGCATTCCAAGGCCCAGCATATAGTGGGTGCTCTGTAAATATCTGCTGAACAGATGTCGAATGAAAAAGATGGTCTCTGAACCTCCTAATTTCATACTAAGATTATTCCACAAAACACAGTAGAAGTGGTGAGAGCTTGTTTTCTTAAATGGCAGAAAAATGTTGTTTTTAAACCTAAATTTATGAAATAGACATAAGAGCTTTATTGCAACTTTATTTTAAAGACGAAAGATAAATTGCATAGAATACATGGCTTATAATAGGTATTTGATAAGTGATATCTATTATTAGTGTGATATTAAATTTTATTTGCATGTCTTTGTGTCTCATGTGACTGTGACCTCATTGTCTCCACATGCCCATCATCTAGCATCAGATAGTAGTAGTTGCAATAGGGTCATTTCTAAATCAGTCTTGCCAGAAACTTCCAGGGCACATGCTTCCTTATTGCTTCCTCTGAGTAATCTGTCTTCCTGAGTTTTCTTACACAGAAGGTTGTACTCAAGCTTTGTGGAGAATAAAATAAGAGAAAAAGGATTCTGAGTGTCTCATGAGAGATTAAGGTTAAACACAAAGCAAGAACTTTCTGGCAGACCTGTTCGAGGGTATTACTGTGACAGGTTATTCAGGTTTCATCCCTAGAAGTCTTTGAAAGTGGAGAGATAATCATTTCTCTCAGATGATTAAGACAGTTTAGCCTGAAGGCCAGTGGTTGGGCCACATGACCTCTGAAGATCGATTTCTTCCCTTTGATTCAGCCAAGTACCAGTAAGTTCCTGCACTTTGTAGTGGAGATAAAGTTTAGAAGTATTTCATAGTAGAAAAGGGAAGGGACCAGCTGTAAAAGACAAAAAAGTTTGTGTCTCCAATTCTCTGGCAAACCTGTGTTAGCATTTGAAATCCTTTTATTTGACAAAGTGATTGTTATATCTGAGGTTTTGCAAACTTAGTTACAATAGGGTTAAGGATAATAGTCACCATTTATTTTGTACTGACTAAATGGCAGGCCAGTGACTAGTGTTTTGTGTAGGTGAACTCATTTAATTATTACTCATTCATTATCAGCCTGGCTGTAAGACAGCTGCAGCAGACACTTATTGAGCAGAAAGTATAAGCCAGATTTATTCATTCATTCATTCCTTCTATCAGTGTCTTTATTGAGCACCTTTTATGTCTGAAACACTTCTAGAAACTGGAACTTAAAAGATTTAACTGCCTGCCCGAGCTTACCCTGCTTCTAAGTGGAAGAAGAGGATTCAAAACTCAGAGAGCCTTTAATCCAAACTCTGGGCTCTTAATCATTACTGCATGCTAGGTCTCCATAACAATAATGGACTTTGTTCATAAAATGCTTTCACATACAATCGTAGTTGATCCTATAGCAGCCAGTGAAATACCTAGAATGTGAGATGGAGAGGCATTGGATTGAGGTGCAAAGAAATACTGAAGTTATTGATCGGGACATCTAGAATACTGTAGGACTGTTAGAACCCATGTTCTATGTCTGAGCTTGAATACTTCGCCTGATAGGAGAGCAAATGCTCCAACCCCAGTAAATTCAGTAACTCCTGTCAGGCTTCTGACTGTTTCATGGCAGCAGACTCCACCCATATAGTAACTTCTGGAAGATTATGGAAAAAGCCGAGACAATGGGCAGAAACACCTCCCGAGGGGAAACATTCTGCTGCTGGACCCTGTCAGGAGATGGTTTATGGTGGGAGTGAAGAGATGAAAGACAAGCCACCAGCATTTACAGCGACATGATCTGGGGCAGAGAGGGAGTAAGGAATGTCTGGTACCAAGGCTAGAAAACCTCCTGGAAGAGAACCTGGAACAAGTAATTGCCTATGGAGTCCCACCTGAGCTTGATGGAGCATCAATGCCTGTGCTTTCCTGAGGAAGGAGCCCTTGGGTCTGGAATTCCTGTGGTGGTCTGGGTTTCAGCAGACTGACTCCCTGGGGAGTATCTGGGTAGTCTAATATTGCTAATTTTGATAACATAAAACCTTGGTCTCAGAGAAATTAAGAAGAGCATTGTTGTATTTACACAGACCTTTGTTCTAATCCTGGCTTCACCACTTAACCAGCTATGTGATTTTAAATAAGTTTCTTAATTTACCAAACCTACTTTTTTTTTCTGTTTTGTGAAATGGGGTAATATCTACCCACAATGAGTTATAAAGTTTAATGTATGTATGTATGTATGTATATACAGATGTGTTGCTTAACAATTGGGATACATTCTGAGAAATGCATCCTTAGGTAATTTCATCATTAGGGGAACATCATAGAGTGACTTACTCAAACCTAGATGGGATAGCCTAATGCACACCTAGGCTAGATGATACAGCCTCATGCTTCTAGGCTACAGACCTGGACAGCATATCATTGCACTGAATACTGTGGGCAATGGTAACGGTGGTCAGTATCTGTGTATCTAAACGTATCTAAACATAGAAAAGATACAGTAAAAATATGGTATAAAAAAAGATGGTACACCTGTATAAGGCACTTACCATGAATGGAGCTTGAAGGACTGGAAGTTACTGTGGGTGAGTGAGTGAGTGGGTGGTGAGTGACTATGAAGGCCTGGGACGTTACTATGCACTATTGTAGACTTCATAGACATTGTATGCATAGGCTACACTGCACATATTAAAAAGTGTTTTTCGGCCGGGCGCGGTGGCTCACGCCTGTAATCCCAGCACTTTGGGAGGCCAAGGCAGGTGGATTGCCTGAGGTCAGGAGTTCGAGACCAGTCTGGCCAACATGGTGAGACCCCATCTCTACTAAAAATACAAAAAAATTAGCCAGGTGTGATGACGTGCACCTGTAATCCCAACTACACAGGAGGCTGAGGCAGGGGAATTGCTTGAACCGGGGAGGTGGAGGTTGTGGTTAGCTGAGATCGCGACACTGCACTCCAGCCTGGGCAACAGAGCGAGACTCCGTCTCGGAAAAAAAAAAAAAAAAAAAAAGGATTTTTCTTCAATAATAAATTAACAGCTTACTATAACTTTTTTACTTTATAAACTTTAGTTTTTTAACTTTTTGACTCTTTCATAATAACACTTAGCTTAAAACACAAACATATTGTACAACTATACAAAAATGTGTCCTTATTTCATAAGCTTTTTCTGTTTTTAAACTAATGTTTTGGTTTTTTTTTTAACTTTTTAAACGTTTCTGTTAAAAACTGAGACAGACACACACTACATAGTGTCAGGATCATCTACATCCTTGTCTTCTACCTCCACATCTTGTGCCTCTGGAAGATCTTTAGGGACAGTAACATGCATGAAGCTGTCATCTCCTAGGATAAGAGTACCTTCTTCTGGTTACCTGCTGAAGGACCTGCCTAAAGCTGTTTTACAGATCAAGTAAACACAGCTAAAACAGCTTCGGGCAGGTCCTTTAGGAGGTAACCAGATAGGTTTTCCTTTTTAATAAGTAGAAGGAATATACTCTAAAGTAATGGTAAAAAGTATAATATGGTAAATACACAACCACTGGCATAGTCCTTTAATTTTATTTTCTAGTATGATGTACCGTACATAATTGTATGTGCTAGACTTTTATATGACCGGCAGCACAATAGATTTATTTACACCAGTGTCACCAACACAAGTAATGCATTGCGCTATGATGCTACCACGGCTACAGCGATAGAAATATTTCAGCTCCATTATAAGTTGAAGGGACTGCCCTGGTATATATGGTCTGGCATTGAATGAAACATCATTATGCAGTGCTTGACTGTGTATATATACACATGCGCACACACTTCCTCTACAAAACCCAAAGCCAAAGTGTGCAAAAGTTGTCTCAACTCGCTGTCTTCACTTGATCTTCTTCTACTTTCTCTTGAACTTGATCTTTTGGTTCCCACGCTGCTACTGAAACAACTCTGTTCAGGTCCTCAGTGACCTCCTCTGAGCACCTTTGCCACACTTGATGAGGGAATCCGTCGTTCCTTCTGAAGAGCCTTAGGCCCTCACCATCTCAGAGCCTCTGGGCTCCTCTCTCTCTGGCTGGGTGTTCTCCATCTCTTGCTAGACCCTCCTCTTCTTGCCCTCTGCATTCTGGAGTCAAGGGGGCTCACTCCTTTAACCTCTTCTCCATTTGCTCTCTTCTCAGTGGTCTCACTGTCTCAGGTTTTAACGACCAAGAGCAATGATGATGACTCCCAGATTTATGTCTGCAGGTCAGACCTGTCTCCTGACCCCTAGATTCTCTTTCCAGCAGCCTCCTCTCCAGAGGAGGGTCTCTCAAACCTAACGTGTCCCAAATCAAACTCCGGAACTCTCCCTGCCCTGAAAGCTGTTGCTGCTATCCTCTTCCCTTTCTCTATAAATGATAATTCTGTTTTTTTTCTTGGAACCAAGAAAAATTTCCCATTTCACTCAACCGGGATTTTAAAAACACACACATAAGAAATGAAAGCCTCTCAGTGGCCTGCATGACCCTGCATGGTCCACCTGCCTTCTTACTGATTCTGTGGCCCTCTCCCTTGTCCTCTCTGCTCCAATTGCACTGCCTTCCTTTCTAGCCTTCAGCTGTACCAAGAATGTGTCCCCTGAAGAACTTGACATTTGATGGTCCCTCTGCCCACAGTACTGTGCCCCCAGATAATATCTGCATATCTCCTCCAATTCCTTCAAATCTCAGCTCAGATGATACCTTATTAGAGAGAGTTCTCTGACTAAACTATAAAATAACAATCTTAGTTCAGTTCTTCCAATCTCTTAGCTGCTCTAACTCTCAGTAGCACATCTGATCATGCGACGTATTATTTATACATATATATAGTTTATTGTCTGTCTTTCCCATTAAAGACAGCTCCATGAAAGTAGTGAATTTGTGTTGTTTATTAAATATGTTTTAAATAACTTGAATCCATGCATGAATGAATGCATGCATGATATGATTGTCTCATATTATTTGATTTTGTGCATGGCCACTGCTGAAGTTGGTAAGTGGCAGAGCCAGGACTCAGCCTGGTCTCACTAGAGCAGGAGCTCTCTCTCCTGCACAGTGCGGTGTTCATGCCCTCACCTCCCACTGGGTGATGCAGAGATAATTAACAACAAGGCTTCACTGCTGTGCACCCCAGTTTGCATATAAATGCAAGGGTAAAATGGATAACTTTCTTCTAGAGCAATGGCAAGACTTAATAAATCAGGTGAGTCTGCTTTCCTCATAGAATTTATAGAAATATAAGCTCATGTTAATGCCACAATAAGGTTCAGATTTTAATAGTCTCTGTCTTATGAAATATAGGGACTGTTAAGTATTTAAATAAAACCAGTTTCTTTTTTTAATTACTAATTTATAAGAGGAAAGGATCTGTTTTCTCAGCTATCATTTTAAAATTCTGTTTTGTCCCTGGGAGATAAATTTTCAGTTATGACTTTTTTAAAGATTTTATTTTTGCCACAGTCCTAGATTCACAGCAACATTGAGAGGAAGGCACAGATTTCCCACAGGCACCCTGCCTCTACACGTGCACAGCCTCCCCATTATCCACATCTGCCACCAGAGTGGTGTGTTTGTTACAATCAGTGAACCTACATTGACACATGATCATCACTCAAAGCCCTTAGTTGACATTAGAGTTCACTCTTGGTGTTGTAGATTCTCTGGGTTTGCACAAATGTGTAATGTCATGTGTCCACCATGAGAGTATCACCCAGAGTACTTTCACTGCCCTGAACATCCTCTGTGCTCTACCCAGTCATTCCTCCCTCCCCTCAACCCCTGTCAGTTGCTGACTCAGTTACATGTGTATACACTTGATATCAACCCATTTCTTAAAATAGGATTCTGTTGTAAACTGGGATTTTTGTTAACTCTTAATTAAATGGGGAGCAGGAATGATTCCTCAAATTATTTTAAGTCCTACTTCCCACTGTTTTTCCCAAATCACATTTTATAGCTTGAGAAACATGGTGAAATTATTTTTTAAGTTTGCCCTTGTTTTCCCTCCCCTGTCAGCACTGTGATGGATGTCCTCCCGAGCAGTGAAATGTCTAACAGTCAGGTTCACAATATCAACTCTGAAAGCTCTATAATTTAGAAAGCCAGACCTTCAATTTTTGTAAGCTGATAGGATTGCTGAATCTTTCTCTTAGAGGGGGATTCTCTGATTAAACTATAAATTTGGTTTGGCGTTTTCAATGGAAAATTATGTAAATATTCCAATTATTGTCAAATGAATGTGATTTTTAATTCCTAAAGAAAATTATTTATTTGAAACTTAAGTTTGTTTCTCTTTTCTTATATTCTTGGCACTAGTAGATAAAACATGCCAGTTAGGGAACTGAAGCTATTCCCATGTTAAAACTGTTTGTAAGGATTTGAGGGTAATCTCTATATTTGCATTGCTTATTTGACATGCTAGTTTCTCTGACTTTTTGCTGTCTGCCCCAGAAGACCAAGCTTTGTAGTCATGGTGTTATGTGAGATCTGAGACTAAGCAGTTGTGACATCGGGCTCTGTCCTCTGGCTAACTAGTTAGTGAATACTTCCTCCCTCATCACTGCTGGACAAGGAGACAGTTTTCCAGATAAAAGAATAATTCTTCAGGCAAGCGTAATGCTCACTCTGCCGGCCTCCTGAAATTTGCTGAAGCCATGTGTCCTAGGCCAATGGTTCTGAAAGTTTTTGATCTCACAATCCCTGTATACTTCATACTCTTAAAAACTAGTGAAGTACATTGCTGTGGTGTGGGGAAAAAAATTACTGAGAGCCACAACATGCTTTAATGTATGTGGTTTATATATATTAATATTTATCATATTAGAAATTAAAACAAACATTTAAAAAATTTATCAATCATTAAATGTAACAGTCAACCCATTGCTTGTAATCTATTTTTATGAAAAATCTCTATTTTCTTAAAAAATGGTAAAAATTGTGGATTCTCATTTATGCTTTTGCATTTCTTCTGATGTGATATGTTGTTTTGATTGAAGTAGTTGGAACAACAGATGTGTCACTGGCAAGGGGAAAGCAGCCCTTTCAAATAATAGACGATATTCTTCTTTGATACGACATCAAAACTTGGCAGGTAGTAGTGTTTGTTTGTTTGTTTGTTTGTTTGTTTTTGAGACGGAGTCTTGCTCATTGCCCAGCCTGGAGTGTAGTGGCACGATCTTGGCTCACCGCAAACTCTGCTTCCCAGGTTCAAGCGATTCTCCTGCCTCAGCCTCCCGAGTAGCTGGGATTATAGGCATGCGCCACCATGCCTGGCTAATTTTGTATTTTTAGTGGAGAAGGGGGTTCACCACATTAGCCAGGCTGGTCTCCAGCTCCCAACCTCAGGTGATCCACCTGCCTCGGTCTCCCAAAGTGCTGGGATTACAGGCGTGAGCCACTGCACCCGGCCTGGCAGGTAGTAGTTTCTTAAAGATTAGTTGTAACGTAGACTCTAAAACCATACCAGTAACCTTTTCATACTCTGTTACATTAAAATACCTTGGTCTGCTGTATACTTGGGTTTTTTGGCATCATGCATGCATCATTTGAAAAATGTCACTTCGCTGCATTATGCGTATCTTCAAAGTGCTGTTAACACATTTCATTATGCAATATCAAAAAAGTCATATTATCACCACTGATCTCAACAGAGATAAGTATTGACTTGACCATCAGTTTACAGTAGCAAATATTGGTTTTCCAAAGCTGCAGTTTTTACTGGAAAGCTCAGATTCTGTCATTGGTAATAAATACTGTCAGTTGTTTTACTTAAAGTGACAGGCTCACTTTATTCATTTTTGAGAAAATGTGAACCAGATACCCAAGTCTGAGTAAGCCTAGTTCATTGCTGTGAGTTATTTCACGTAACAATGATGTTTATGGAAAAGGCAGCTAGTTGGCCTCACAATGTAAGAAATGGCCCCAGGTGCTTTTCCTTGAGATCACCCTTGTACTTCAGTGTGCCCCAGAATTGCTTTCAAGAGCACTTTTCCCGTCATCATACAGAAGTTAAGAGTGTCTTTAATAGTTGAGATTTAATAAAATTAGTAAATGTTTACTTCATCAAGGACATTGTTAAGTGAAAATTCCTTAAAGAAAAGAAAAAGAATTCTCATGCAGCTTCGTGCCACTGCCTTGACTTTTGGTCAACAACCACCAACAATTTTACCCACCACATAAAAGGTCAGTATAGTGAGAAAGACACATAACATCTTAGTGTTATTCTGAAAACATTTTGACTTGATGAAACCCTGAAAGAGTTCGTGGGTCACACTTTAGAAACCACTACCCTAGGCTATTTTGAAAACTAAGATGCAGTAACACTGTGGGAGAGGTGGGCTCGTGATGGATCCAGCAGCAAGAGAAGAATAAAGCAAGCTGTCTGAAACATTTGACACCTCATGCAGCCTTCCCGTCAACTGAATCGTCCTCACATTGTAAGGCCCTTGAGGGCAGAAATATCATCATTGCCTGCGGTCACATGGACAGCAGTCTGTGCATGCCAGGGACACCCACAAAGAGAGGCTGAGCTTCTGCCTTACTCATCAGAACTGGCCCCATGTAGCCTCGGAATTCTCAGGGGAAGAGGGACAGGCTAACCGTAATGTATTTACTCTGAACACATTTAACAAAACAAGACGAGAATGAAGTTAGTGCCATCTCTTTTTCCAGATTAGATGACAGTAGTCGTAGCAGTGGCATTGCCCTAGTAGGAGCACTAGTGAACAAGGACCAAGGAAAAGCCAAAATTCAGCAAAGTTGTGGTCAGGTGACTGGACTTTGGCTGTAACTCTTTTTCCACCCAACTTGCATAACCTAATTCTGGAGCATATTATTCAATACCCTCCTGGGGAAATATTGTTAAATGTTATAAAAGAACTATTAGATAAGTAAGGCTCTTATTGAAAGCAGACTGGAAATTTTTTAGTCATTTACCTTAAAGGAATTTCAAATCTTCAGTTATGTATGATAATGTGAAAACAAGAGTAGTCCCAAAGTTTATTTTAAATATTACATTTCATTTATTTTGCTTTATTTATAAAAATTCCTAACGGTTATTGTAACAAAGGCTCCTTCTAAATAGAAAGGAAATACAAAACTAGGTCAGTCTAGAGCAATTACCTGGATTATGCATGACTCTTTACATTTTTCCTATCACATAATAAGCAGTTAGTAGGTGTTAGCTGAAGTCTTAAATTTTATCATGACGATTACAGATAAGATTTTCCTTAAAGGAACGGGGCAAAATAATCAAGAAAAATTTTTGCATTAAATTTAAATAGTACAGAACTTAGTAATGTGACTTCTAAAGGAATTTACTACCCCTTCGCCCACCCCCACAAACTGTCACAGACACGGCAACAAAACATTATTATTACAGGCGAGTTATTGAGACATGGACAAAGTTTTCAGTCCCAGTGTTTGTATGAGCCATTCGTGTATCTGTTGGAATGCTGCTACATGCTAGATGTCAGCACTGTCCAGAACAAATATGAATGAGGTGTCATTCCTGTCTTCTGTCTCAGTTTTCTTACCTGTAAAATTAAATAATATGTCTACCTCAAATAATATATTTTGAGAATTAAAAGATTATCTAAGTGCATTGTAAACTGAAAAGGACTTTTAAGAAACAGTAGTTTGAATCAAGAAGATGGACTAAGAGCCTATATCTGGTCCACCCACCCCTCCTTTTTAAAATCCCATGAAGTGACAGAAACAAGTTTTGAAAGATTCCTGAGAAAGAGGAAGTAGATGAAACCAAACCTCTGAAAAAAACAAAACCACACAAAACCCCATTCAAGAGAAGGGTGCTACAATGGTAGAGTGGCTTAGGGAAGATTTAACCCCCACATCAATGGCTATAAAGGATAGAAAGAAGCTCAGGGTGTTCTCATAACTGATTGAAGAACTGTCTCTGAAACAGCAAGGCTAGTCTGCTCTGCCTCCAACTCAGTAGTTCTGAGTGCAGGGTAATGGTGTTGGATCCCAGAGTAAAGCTGTAACAATGCGAGGCCAAACCTCGGGTAGTCCCACCCTCTGGAGGACCCAGGAGCCCCCAGAGACAAAGCGTACGTTACTAGCACATCCCACCTAATAGTATATTGTGTCCTTCTCCATAGCCACCAGAAGAAGCCTGTTTTAAATAAGGGGTAGCTTTTATACACAAGCAAACTGAGAACCTCAAAAGCAAAAACTAACACATATCTAAAATTTATAAAGCATTTAAGAAACATCATACTCAACAAACTGGAAAACTAACACCTTGAATAAACAGCTCACAGAATAGAAAATGATTATAAAATAAGTGACTAAATCTTAGATGGATAGGAAGACATAGCGTTCATAAAGTCCAAACCAGTTATAGAGTTGGGAATTTAGAAGTTAGTAGATGGCTAGCTGGGCGCCGTGGCTCACGCCTGTAATCCCAGCACTTTGGGAGGCCCAGGCAGGCACATCACGAGGTCAGGAGATTGAGACCATCCTGGCCAACATGGTGAAACCCTGTCTCTACTAAAAATACAAAAATTAGCTGGGCATGGTGGTGGCACGCGCCTATAGTCCCAGCTACTCCCAGCTACTCGGACGGCTGAGGCAGGAGAATTGCTTGAACCTGGGAGGCGGAGGTTGCAGTGAGCCAAGAGCGCGCCACTGCACTCCAGCCTGGAAACAGAGCGAGAGAGTGAGACTCCGTCTCAAAAAAAAAAAAAAAAAGAAGTAGCTAGTGAGATAGGAAGGAAACCAGGAAGTATAACATCCTGGGAGCAAAGTGAAGAAAGTATGTCAAGGAAGAGGTGTAGTAATCAGCCACATCAGGTAGTTACTGATTGGTCACATAACATGTGGATGAGCATTGACCATTGAATTTAGCAACTTGAAGTTCAGTGGTTGCCTTGATAAGGGATGAAAAGTTTAAGAGGAGTAATGGTGGTGATTGCGATGAAGTTGAAAGGCTAACTGGTATAATCCTAGAAACTAAAAGAGAGGAAATCATAGAGAGTGGGATATATGAAGTTGAAGATTGAAGTTATTGCTAATGGCAAGATCCTAGAGTGTGACGTGGAGGGATTGGCTAAAGGAGGTCAGGTCAGTGGACAAGAGGAGCCAGAAAGTTGAGAGGCCTGCGTATTTGAAGGATCATCCTCCCATATGCTGAAATCACCAGGACTCAGGACAATGATGCTGTTGGGAGATTGAAAGCTGGGTGTTTGTTCAGAAGAGTGAAGCATGATGGTCTGGAAGAGGCAGAGGTGTC
This sequence comes from Homo sapiens, assembly GCF_000001405.40. NCBI lineage: Eukaryota > Metazoa > Chordata > Mammalia > Primates > Hominidae > Homo > Homo sapiens. Next base: position 135,639,526 of record NC_000008.11, read on the forward strand.
TGTACCTTAGGGGAGGGAGGAGTTAGCCACAAAAAGAAAAATACTCTCCTTTCCTCTAGGCCCATTGTATTCAAGCCATTTTTGCATTGCCGTAAAGAAGTACCTGGGGCTGGGTAATTTGTAATGAAAAGAGGTTTAATTGGCTCACAGTTCTGCAGGCTGTACAGGGCCTCAGGGAGCTGTTACTCATGGCAGAAGGCCAAGTGAGAGTGGGAGCGGAGAAAGAACAGGGTGGTGCCACAGGCTTTTAAACAACCACATCTTGTGAACTGAGCAAGAACTCACTTATCACCGAGGGGATGTTGCTAAACCATTCATGAGGGATCTGCCCCCGATCCAGTCACCTCCCACCAGGCCCCACCTCCAACACGGGGGATTGCATTTCCACATGAGATTTGTAGGGGGACAGACATCCAAACCACATCACCCAGTGATATCTCGGCTGTGGAAGTTAAAGAAAAAAGTGGAGAGGGTTGCTGGGGAAGAATTGTCATTAGAGGTAAATCAAGTTTTCATTGAGCAAGAAACTTTCAAAGAAGAGATTGAGACTATATAAGGGATTTTTGCTAGTGATGGAGCATGAATTCCAGAGGGTGCAGTGACAGAATTGCAGGGGAGGGTAGGAGATGAGGACAGATGGGGGTATGCAGAATTTTAGGTGTGCTAAAGACAAAGAGCAACGTAGTGATTTAGAGCTTCCTGAGCTGACATAAATACAAGCAAAAGGCCTAATGAGATAGTTCCAGTGAATTTAAAGTAGAAATTGGTGGAGAGGCTCAAAGAGGTTGCAGGAGTAGAGGAAAGACAAATGTCAGGAGTTTCTTCTTAACCCCACTCATAGAGGTGGGATGACCTGGGGAAGGTCGACTTCATCCCACTTGAGTCCTTGCTCAGGGTTTGTGGTCTTCCTGTTGACCTCTGTAGATGTAGGGTAGAAGGCCTAAGTAGACATGAACTTGGTCTCAGTGCTATGATTTGTTCCTTGACACCTATCAGGAGAGGGACAGAGGGACATGCTGTCTCCTGATGTTAGGGGCTATTTCTTGACTCAAGTTGATGGAATTGATGTAAACCTCTGGGAAATCCAGGAATGATGCTGAGCACGCCGGCTTCCTTTGACCCGTTGTAACGGGGTGGGTCATGGAGAGAGGGTAGAGACATGGTCCTGGTGCCAGGAAGGGAAGCCCCCCTCTTGATCTGTTGAGAGAGGGGCCTCCCTGATCCCTTTGATGGAGTTGAGAAGTATTTGGCCTAATGTGTTTTCTTGCCTGTTATCAATATGAAAAGTTGTGTCCATAAATGAAGAGATTTTTAGTGTTTTTTCCCTTTGCCATATGTTGAGGTTTTAGTTTATCGCTGGGAAATAGGACATGTCTTTGGTTAATAGACATTTGAGGTACAAGAAACGAAATGCTGTGAAAGCAATTCAGATGGAACTGACAGGTATGAGAATGGGGCCCAGCTGCTCCCAGCTCCTCGGCTTGATGACAGTCTTGCAATAAATAATCAGAAACTGGGTGAAATGATAGCAAATGTCAGTTTTAAGTTTTCACTTGTCAAAACTAAGATTGTCTCATCACCAAACCATTGCTGGACCTAATCCTGCTACCTTTTATCTTCTTGTGCATTAAAAAACATTCTTTACCCTCATTTTTATTATGCTGAACTGTGTTATAGCACCTCACAGTAAATTTCCAGTCTATGCTCATGTTCATCACTGCTCCCTTCATTTAATAAAGGAGGTTTAGTTTGGTCAGAAAGGAGTTGTTAACTCTTCTGTTTATTAGTCACAGGACCTGTCATTTACAGTTCCAAGTTAAACAATTGGGAACTGTCTCAGTCAAGGAAATCCCTTTCAGTTTTATGGTGAGGTTACTCATTTATCTGTGCAACAGAGATAAAATTCTCAAGAACATCAAGGTTGTATTTGTCTGAGGAGCCATTATGATGTAACTTCTGACCCTTGGAAAGAAGACTGAGGTTCATTTAATTTAGCACTGAGTTTCCAAGAAGCATTTGCCAGTTTATTTTCAACAAAATGAGAAATTATGTTGACTACTGTGGAGCTAGATGCTGTGAAAGAGCCATGGAAGATGTTAGAGCTGCCAGGAGACCTGAGCGGCGTCTAGACCAGCCCCTGATTTGGCAGATGAACAGGAAGACTCCCACGTGGAAGCCACACTCCCAAGGTGGCACTGCAGGTAAAGGCCCAGGCCTTGACTGACAGCTGGCAGACATTTTTGTCAAAAGCTTTAATTGAGTCTCAATTTCAATTCTCAAGACAAGAGAAATATTCTATTAATACTTTAATAGCATTCTCATATTTAAAGCTATCATATCTTAAGCAGGAAAGCCGTGTTTTTTCTTTTGTTGTTAGTTTCTGCTGGTTTATTATCTTTTTGAATATGAAAATTGATCTGCTCTCTTTTCAGTTAGTCCCTCTTCTTCTCACCATAACTGTATATTATTCCGTGAGGGAAAATTAGGACTACAGAAAGGAAGCCAGAGAGAGACTAAGGCAGTCACAGATCACTATGATCATGTGGCAGCATGTTTCATGTGGGCCCGACTTCTGTTTCTGAGCATGAGGAAGGATCATTAAAGCCCTAGGGAGAGCAAACAAGAGAAGTTCTGGAAGAGCAAAGGCCATGTCAAAGTGGGAACCAATCACATAAGGTGTCCACCCGTGGTGAGCAAAAGCCACCTGTAGCATTTGTGTTCAGCACATAGCAGTGGTAGTGTTCTGAGCTTTGAGTGTAGGTGCTGCCACTTATAAGTTGAGTGACCCTGGGCAGATGGCTCAGCTTGGGCCTCAGCTGCCTCGTCTATAAAAGCATAGAGTTTTTTTAGATTAGGTGAGCTCATGCACATGAGAAGTTGTCAGTAGGGCAGTGGTGTAGCTCACAATAGTTGCATTCCTCTCACACTCGTTTTTCTTCTAAATTTTTTTAGGAATGCCAGCCCTTAATTTGAAGACCATTTTTTAAAACTCTGTGGCTACATGTACCTCTGTGGAAAAATTGCACATTGCTACTTGGTATATTAGGTCAGCTGTAGTAGTGACTATTCTGTAATGTGTTAAGCCAGCGGAGCTTAACACAGCCCATTTCAGAGAGCTTATTTTATACAGAGAGCTCAAATCATAACCTCCGTGTTACACCGTATTTAATTAGCTTGTAAGGATATGATTAAGCCAGGATAACAAGGTGGGGCCTATATTCTATGTGTGGAAGAAGTATTCTAAGGAATATTCCGGTCCAGGCATTTGTCTTTTTTTTTTTTTTCTGTGATGGAGTCTCGCTCTGTCGCCAGGCTGGAGTGCAGTGGCACAATCTCAGCTCACTGCAACGTCCGCCTCCTGGGTTCAAGCAGTTCCCCTGCCTCAGCATCCCAAGTAGCTGGGACTACAGACGTCACCACACCCAGCTAATTTTTATATACTTTTTTTTAGTAGAGACAGGGTTTCACCATGTTGGCCAGGATGGTCTCGATCTTCTGACCTCGTGATCCGCCCGCCTCAGCCTCCCAAAGTGCTGAGATTACAGGCATGAGCCACCGCGCCTGGCCTGGTCCAGGCATTTTTCATCAATACTTACTATATTTGATTGAACTGCTTGTTGACACCTAGATTTTCCAACCTGTTTCCTGCCTCTGCTTTGCATATTCTGTTTCTTCTGCCTGGAAGACCCTTGCTGCCATTGCCTCTGTCCATTCCTTCTCCACCTGTCTTCACCTTCACCCTCAGAACACTGTGCAAGCACTGCATGCTCCAAGCCATTCATGACACACTACACTAGAGTGATGGAGGTGCCCCTTCTCCGTATACCCACTTAACATATGTAACGTGAGGGTCTCCTCCAGGCCAAAAGAATGAGAACCAGGGCATGCTGTCGTGGGAAACCAACCTCACTCAGGGATACCAGCAAGGTTCTCTTTGGAAGTGGCATTTAGGTTAAGGGCTTGAGTTGGAAATAGCCTGGAGGACAGGAGAGAAGGGCCTTCTGGCAGAAAGAGTAGCAAATATAAAAACTCATGCCCACATGTTTGAGATAAAAAGGAACATAGCTCCATTGCTTACACTTTTCTCATAGGAATGGCCATGCTGTGCCGTAGTCATTAAATGTGATGATTAGTCTCTGGTGTCATTTTCCTGAGAAAGAAAACGTGGGGGAAAAACTCCGTGTGGTTGTGACCACAAGTCTGGCCTGTGTAGTCACAGAGATTCAGTTATACTGTTCTCCATGCAATTTAGCCTGGCTTCTTAGCTCTTCTGGTCTGCAGTATCCTTATCTGTCAAATGGGTATGGCAGTTTTACTATCCGAGGCCGGGGGTGATGTGGGATCTCAGCGGCTGGTGTTCAGTAGACATTCACAGCAAGCATCTGTGCTCCTCAAACTGTGACTTCCTGAGGTGTTAAACATCTGAGCTGGATCATTTTCCATTTTGATTAGAAACCTCTTGATTGTATGAAATTGGAAGAATGGGGATGTTTATTTCCATGACAGTCTAAGATAACAAATTCAGGATGGTGGTTTCCCTACAAAATGGAGTGGGAAAGAGGAAAGCCTGAGAGGGTACATGGAAACTCTTTCTCAAATACTCAGAATGGTTATGGCTGAGTAATCTAGACTTTTCACAAGTCTATTCCTGTAAAAAATTATTCCTAGTTCAAATACATTGTATATATGTAGGCTGTTTTGCATCATCTGCAAAATGGCAGTGAGAACTCTTCCCTCTTGCTGTCAGTGATGGCTCTTTCCTCGTGCTCTCTCAAGGATGTTGTACATTGGAACGTGGATTTGCCTGTACTTTGAAAAGATCCTTGGCCTCATGTAACCAGACTTGTGACTGGACTGCAGAGATCCATTTCCCTGCTCTCCTGTCCCATGTGGCCATGGCTGCTGAGTCCTCTTTTCCCAGCAGCTTCCGGATGGTGATGCAACAGTGCCGGTCAAAGAAAACATTTCATCTGGGCATTTGTTTTTAATGTACTATAAAGTACAGCACCCACAATTCATGCAGCACCGGGTTCTCTGGTAGACGAGGGTGTAAGAAGAAATAAAGTCTTTGCCTTCTGTAAACATCCCATCTATTGGAAAGGAGGTGTTTACCTCCTCCCCCACTCCCACAGTGCCTTGCACAGGCCCAGCCCTAGCTCTTGGCACACTGGGCTAGAATTGTCCACACACATCCTCCCTCTCCGCAGACTCCCAGTCTTCCCAGGTCAGGTGCTGTCTTTGTATTCCCTCGTGCACTTTTAGGCACTTACTGTGTGTTGCGTGGCCAATTGTTGTGGTTAAAATGTCGAAACATATTTATTATGTATTAAAATTAGGGAGCTAGACAAGGGTCCTTTGATAATCCCAAAGTTGACACTTCTGCTTTAGAACTCTGTGATCTCGGTGGGAATTTCTTTGAATTTTCAGTCTTGCCCTTCATTAGTTGTCTTTAAGTTTTACAATACGTTATTGAATACTGTTGAAACTCACAGCCAGATGATTTTGTCCTTTGTTTTGTTTTGATCACTTGCAGTGGTGCTGATTACTATGATTACGGACATGGACTCAGTGAGGAGACTTATGATTCCTACGGTGAGTGACTGGCCAGAGCATGTGAAGAGAGGGAGGAGAGATGGCCGTAGAAAGACCTTAAAGATATTAATGGGAAGAGAATAAGGACATTTGGACTCTGAAACAGCAGCTTCCTGTCAATTCATTTGTGCATGTCTAGCTATTTTTAGGGCTCCTTTATTATATAAATATTTGAAGAGGACTAAAGACTTGCTGAAGATTGCATGAATCCAGATTCTGAACTTAAATTTTATGTTTGAGTTGGTCGCCGTGTGCTGATTTTCTCACAGAGTAGTTTTTCAAACTTCAGACACTTGATAGCTGGGTCTTTTTGAAGTGTCTTTGTTTCCTGACAGTGAAGGGAAATGAAGCAATTGAGACTACAGCTCTAAAGTGATTCTCCCACCTTCATCTTTATGTTTTAATTCATTTCCAATCTCAAACCCTCTGAAAAAAATTACACTGGGAGTCATTTCATAAAGGTTACAAAAGCACTGAGCCAAGGAGGAGATACAGGGTCTGTAAGCTTTACAAAGGGCAGCAGCTAAACCCCTCTTAATTCAGTGGAGCTGGTAGAGATGCTGGGGACTTCATGTCCAAAGTCTCACTATGCAGAACGATGACAGGTTTAATAATTAAAAGAATTGGCGGCAGCAACATAATGGTAGTAAGAAGAGCCCTTGCCGCAGGGCAAGGAGATCAGAGAACATGAAGCTTCAATCAGTTGCAAAGCTCTGATGAATCCCTGGTACCCGGTGCAAGTATATCAGGATTGTGGTTAATGGATGTTAGGACATTTCTCTTAACAGAACGGAAAAACCATTTTCCGGCGTTAAACCTTTTGAAGTGCATTTTGTTGTATCACCTGCCTGAAGCTGTGATGGCTGCACCTTGGATTTTTTTTTTTTTTTTTTTTTTTTTTTTTTGTTATCCGTAACAAACACTTAAGAGAAATATGTTGGTTTGCTGAATGCAGGCTACCTAAATTGATGCAAGTTAGCTTGAGGGAGTGACGTTGATTGCATGTTTTGTATCAAAAGAAGAGGTCATTTTAAGCATTTTTCCTTCACAGCTTTTTAAATTGGTCTCTGTGGACACATGGCTTTTAAATTGCTGTATGTTGCAGCAGGGATGTTAACTGTTTGATGTCCAAGACTTATAGATAACTCATTAAAAGTTATCTTCAGGCTGAACAGGTGTTTAATTTCAGGAGATAAAGATGATAGAATGTCCCTGGTTATTAATACCTTTGTTCAGTACGGATTTAGCATTATGATGAATGAAATCTGACATTATGTCGTTAAATTCATTTCATATTCATGAAGTGCTATTGAGAAGTGAAGTTCAACCCAATGCAACTTTCCTTCAGTCTTTCCGTGAAAGCGCCTGTGAAAAATGAGGTCATATTTCCCTTTCTCAGTCTGCCCCTTCCCGTTTTGCTCTCCGGTTTTCTTCTTTGTCTTCACAGATGTTTACCTATGTTTTTTCTTTGTTTTTGCTGTTGGAAGACATCTAAGTGATCCTTTTCCCATTCTCTTTTTCACTCATAAATGTCCTGATGTTTAGCAAAAGGCAGTTCTCTTTGCTACTTGAGCTTGTAAACTGTTGTTAAATGAGTAACCAAAAGGAAAGTCCTTGCGAAGTTGGTTACCATTTCAGATACAAGAACCGTTTATCTTCCCACGCTGACGAATTTTGCGAGTGAGATGATTATTTTTCCTTGTGTTTGTAATTTATTTAAGTAAATTCCTTGTTTGTTTTTCTTTTCAGTACACCAGGGGTATATATTTTCAATATGACATGTACCTTTGGTTCAGGGCTAAGTTAGAGTCTGAAAAATGAAGCCTGTGGGATTCATGGCAGTGATCTAATTGTGATTCATCTTACTGATTGTAGGGCAAGAAGAGTGGACTAACTCAAGACACAAGGCACCTTCAGCGAGGACAGCAAAGGGCGTCTACAGAGACCAGCCATATGGCAGATACTGATTGTACTGTCTGATGTTGTGAAATAGCCAATCTCCACCAGTCCTGTATACTGTTCAAAGTAATTTTTTTCTATGAACAATCCCTTTTTAAATAAATCAGAATGCTTAAAATCTGAATGGATGGAACTTAAAACTACTTTGTTGAAACATCAACCTGGGCAGAAAAAAAAAAAAAAAGACATGTAAAATTTTGTTATTTCCAGTCTGTATATGAAAAAATAGGTCATCAAAAGGAAAAAAAATAACTTTGATTAACTAGTGTTAAACAAAAAATAGGTTTACTAAATATGTTAATCTATTCTTTTAACATAAGCCTCACCTTTCATTTTAAAGGTTTCCATAGAATTTAGTTATTTTATCTTTCAGCCATATGCTAGTTTTTTTTTCTCTTGCCAACATGCGTAAAAAGGGAAGCCAATTACAAGTGCAAATAATGTGGTATTCTTTTGTAACTCAAGTCTTGAAATGTTCTGTAGTGTTAAGCAAAGTCTCCTCTTGCTTGATACTAAATAAACTTTTGAAAGAAATTTTGTGTGTGTGAGCTAACAATTTCATGGGTTTTTTTTTATTTAAAAAGGCCTTCATAAATAGTTGTAAACAGGGAAAGAATTCATTTAACAATGCTTGTCATAAAAGGGTCACACTAAACATTGTACAACTTATTTTAAAAATGGTATAAAATTAAATGTACCATTATATACTCACCATAGATTTAAATGCTGTTTAAAGAGTCCAAATGGTATCGAGCTGCTTGAGTGGCACGTTAAACTACGCAAAACCAAATCTTGTTTAAAAACTGGTTTTAAAATAACTACTGGATTTTCTGAAAAAGATGTGATCAGTTTTCATCTTGTTGAGCGTTTTTTCACTAGTGCAACTTTGGATTTTTTATGAGAATTTTGGTACCTTAATGAACACCTCGCTCCATGCTGGAAGCACTAAGCACAAAGCTTTTAAAGACTTTCTGGCTTGACTAATTGAGGTCGCACTCGCCAAGGCTGAGGATGTGTAACCCTTAAACGGTCTTCATTTTCAAAGGTAAATAAATCAAATAAGATTTTAATCTCACTTAATTTATCTTAATATAACTAATAAAACCAGGAAGATTACAACTTAGCAAGTTTCATTATCCATTTTAGAAAAGTTTTAAGATCACCTAAATTCTCATTTTAAAAAGTTTAATTTGTTTTAGTAATCTAAAAAGCCTTAGTTTAGTCAGTTTAATTGGGGCCAATTACTCCCTATTAAACAACTGTAAAACCTCATAACTAGTTATTTGTAATACATTATTTGGTTAGTAATTGAGGGCACTTCTTAAAACTGACAAATATTTAATAAAGTTTATTCTTTAATCATTAAGCTTTTTTAATTGTAGATTGTGTAAAATGTTTAATTTTTATTTCTTGGGGGATTTTTTTCTGTTTATGTTGAGTAAAAAGGTCTTTTCTTTTGTTAGGAAATGTCAGCCATCTTGGAATGTCACAGGAACTGGTTGAACACCTGAAGCAAACAAAGGTAAGTTTGCCTTTTTGTTCCAATTATCCTGACCTGTGTGGAAGATGAAGACAATTTCACACTTATCTGAAGTCACATGGAAAATTTCCCCTGCTGGTTTCCTAGTACAACACTAGTGATTGTGTCAGATTAACTCCAAAGGTCAGAAAAGAAGCTTCCTGAATGTAAACAGGTCAGACCCAGGAAGCTTCATTATAAGCGGCAGAGATTGGAGGCTCAGGTCATCCTGATATTTAAATATTCAGATTACTTTCTTCAGAAAATATCTAGCAGTCTAGTCAATAGCATGAAAAAAAAAATTCCAGATTATTCAGTAAAAAGAGCAGTTTGCCAAATTTAATATATAATATCCCAATTTTAGTTTTCTATGTGCGTGCATAGGCAAAAAAATTACACAGATATGCTGGAAATTTTTGACAGTATTTATCTTAGTCTTATGGAAACATGGTTTTCTGTGCTTCTGAATTTTATGAAACAAATGATAAGTATTATAAAATGTATTTTATAAAAATTACTTCATAAAATGTAAAAATCTGGGGACCTATAAAGGAAAAGTATTATTATTTTTGTCTCTCTTTTTACATTTTCTTGATTTTTTTTCTAAAGCATCAAAAAATACTACTTAGGCCCTGATCTTCCAGAGAGTCTTACTTTTTCAGTGTTTGTATTTGAGCTCTGCCACTTAGCAGTGTGACTTTGGGCAAGTCTCACTTTCTCCATCAGTTCAGTGAAAATGATGCTTATCCCATGCAGTTGTTAGAAGAATTAAGATAATATCATCAGAGTGTTTTGTAACCTGAAAGTGATACAATCATGTAAAGTTTAATTGTCAAAGTTGTATTCACATATTTAATATATATGAAAAATATGTGAGCTTGGTTTTTTCCCTAATAGCCAAAATTAGCCTGAAATAATTAAATTGCTTTTAGAAAGAAAATAATTCTCATCATTTTTGTAGACCAAACTAAGTTTATTGTATTTTCTGTTTGTTTGTCTGTTTGGATTTTTGTTGTTGTTCGTTTTTCTCTTGTACGGAATGGGAATGTGACGTCCACCACATCTCTGTAGTGTGTGATGTTATTGAAATTTTTCACAATTTTTTTCTTTATTAAATAATTTTTTTAAGGAGTTGGCATACAGAATAATAAGAATTATGGAGAGGTAGAGGGTCAATCCTCAGGTGCTATTCAGAGTTAATTAACAGGAAATACTGTACAATTTTATGTTTATTGTCATTTTTTCAAAGCTTCCATAGCTTTATCAGACTGTAAAAGGAATTGTGACCCAGAAAGGCCCAGATCACTATCCGACAGGAACTTTCCTACTTGGCCTTTGAGATCTTCTCTTATCTGGCTGATGCTCCACCAGACCTGATTTTTTTCTATTTCCATGGGAAGACCCTGCTATAGATAAGCCAGTCTTCTCACGTCTCTAAGAGCACATTTCATTGTTCCCAAATCGCTTCCCCCTAACCTTTGTTTTCACCCCCTTGGAATTCATTTATTTTCTCATATGGCAGCATATATGGAACATGAGCTCCATACTGGACACAACAGAGGCACTGGTCATACAAAGACTGATAAGACATGGAACCCGGTATTCAAATACCGCAAAACCGAATGGAGGTGACAGCCCCATGACACACAACTTTGCTATTGCCTGTATCTTTGCATGAAGAAACCATACCCGTCCTTCAGAACTCAGCCCCATGCCCTCTCTTCCATGATGTCCTCACCAGTTAAATCAGGCTGTGATCCTCCACCCTCTCTAAAGAGCATGCTTGGTTTATATTTCCTCATTTTAGTATTGGTATCATATGACACATATTGGTTGTAAGTTGCCATAAAAGCCAAGCATGTGCTTATCACTTTCTGTAGATTATTTTATTGAATCCTCACAGCCATAAGAAGGTATCATCTACATTTTTAAAAAGGAAGAAATTTAAGCTTCAGGAGGTGAATTTCACACTTATGTTGCTCATGTACCTTATAACTGGTAGAGCCCGGATTTGAACCGATTGACTTCAATCCAGAGTCTTTGATCTTAACCATGTTGTTATACTGTCATTCTTTATATTACAGTGGCTCCTCCCTTAGATTAAAGGCTCTTTAAGAGCAGAAGCCTTTAATTTGTGTTACCTTGTATCCCAGAGAGTATCTCACACAACACTGAGCATTGTGATAACTGCCCCCTTCTCTTTCTCTACCCCGCCCCTGCACCAGATTCCTTCATGGAGAGAGTCTTTCACTTGTTTAGGTTCTGAATCTTCTTATACTCAGGTATTCCAAGTCAAGTCAGTATCATTATTTACTCAGATATATTTCCTGAACACCTGCTGTGTTGCAGATGGTAGGAAGACAGTGATTAAAGACATCATTGTTGTCCTTGCAAGTGCCACAGTCTACTGGGGAAATGGGCAAAGACCACGTCTGTAAAGCTCTGACAGAGATACATGTGCTTTCTAGGCACATGGAAGGGAGATGTGTAACCCAGGCAAGTTGGTCAGAGGTAGCAGAAGGGGCCCATGGAGATATTAAGACCAATAGAAGATAACCACACAGGGCAGGTACTCTCAGAGCATCCATACTTCCGCTCTGCCCTTCACCCGCTTTGTGACCTTGAGTCAGTAAGTTAACCTCTCTAAACAAGAGTCTAAACTGCAGGTTCCCCACTTATAAAATAGACATAGTCTATATATATATTTATATATATATATGATATATAAAATATCATAGTCATGATACCTTAGTATTGCTGTGAAGATTAGAAGCATGCCTGGGACAAATAAAGGTGTTCACTCATTGGTTGCTATATGTAAATATTTGCAATTATAAGAAAACATGATCATTGAGGAAACTTCAGGTATATTAGATAATTAGAGAAAGTAAGAGACCATGCTGGCTGGGTAGGACAAGGGACATGTAATGAAGGGTCTTGTAGGTTCTGCTAAGAAGCTCAAATTCAGTGCAACCATTTTCAAGTGTAGTATCCTCTTTGCCTTTAAGCTTGGCCTACTCCATTCCCTTGGGCAGATATAGTGCCTCATTTAGTCTGTGTTCCAAAAAGAACTCTACAAGCTTCTGTTTCCACTGGTTAGTGATTTTACAGTGCCTTAAAAAATAGTTGCTCTCACTTTTTCATCCTCTTGTCCCCATCTCTTCACATAGTTATTTGACAGTGTAAGGGTTTAGTAAGTGAATGGTATTGTCACTGTGAGCAAGATGATTCCTAACAGGCAGTGTTAGGAACGGTTAGCCCAGACCCCAAAAAACCCACACAGTCATGTTAACGATACTATAATTTAGATAGTCTAGCTCCCTTGTTTAACTCAAAATGAAAGACTCTGGTCACTGTATACAGAGACAGGTTCCAGAATGTAAAACTAATGATTTGAAGAAAAAATAAAATTGTAGAGTCAAAAGTTAAATGAAAATATGAGACATTTTATAGAATATGTGACAAATTTAAGGAATAAAGTTTATTTTCTGTGCAAACAATATCTACTATTTATATTGATATTCAGTGTTTTGTAGGGACAGAAAGGAAAAAATCCATCATTATTTTAAAATAACAGTCTATTTTATGCCTGATTCTGTTTCTATTTCTGATTGGGAAAGGCTACAGATCATTTTTCAATCTGAATTTCACCCTCCCTTATCGATGGAAAATCCCGTCCAGTTGAAGTTGATTCTGACTGACATTCCTGTTTCAAAAATCTCAGTAATGTATTTCAGTGATTAGCATCCATTGCTGAAATCATTTTTCAGATCTTAATGTGATGAGTCCTTCGGTGACTTTCAGGATAATGCTCAGCCTCCTTGGCTCTGAACCTCAAGCCGTGTGTGATTCTGCTGCTGGCCTGCCCAGCCGCCTGGAGCACAGCATGCTCTGACCCCAGCCCACTGTGGTCCAGCCCTGATAGATTGAAAACCATCTAGAGCTTTTCTATCAGTGCCATTCTCTGCCTGAAGTAACAGTTCCGTACCCCACTCAAATAAATGCACACAAATGAATGAACACAACTCTTACCCAGCTCTTGGTCTAGCTAGCTGTTGCTGGCCTATCCAGACTTCCCAGTGGAGCTTGAAGCATCCCCTCACCCTGGAGGCCCTCCCTAGCCTGCCATCTTCGCAGCTCTACTATGGACCCTCATCTTGCTCTATGAATTCTGCAATACAGCATCCTGAGATTGGCTGTTTACCCTCCTTTCCTCCCACCAGATTGTAAATATCTTTAGGGCAATTACCATGCCTTATGCCTAGTAAGTGGTAAATGAACAAGTCGTTGGATGTATGAGTGAATAAAGTGGATGTGGTAGCTCAGTGGCTGATAGTACAGGACAATGTACTAGGTCTTGTTTGGCCTTATTCGATTAAATTAGTCATCCTTTCATTTGAGGAGAACTTACCAGGTTATTAAGTTCTGTCCTGTGTGTTTATCTCATTTGAACTGCTGCTGGCGGGATTTGTGTGTCTGCTGCCTAACACAGGTCCTAGTACCTAACAGACAGTCAAAACAAGGAGATAGAATAAACAAACAGGTACCATTGTGAAGTGTGCGGGGATGGTGGTGTTATCCTGAGGCTAGATTTCTGTTCTGCTTGTTGGTGGGTTTTTCTCCCTGACTGCAAGACTTGAAGTTCCTTAAAGATAGAAGAACCATGTCTTATTGGACTTGTACTTCCAAATCCTAGCACACTGCCTGGCACATAGACATAGTGGGAACTGACAGGGTGTTCAGTGAGGAACGAATGAGTGAACAAATGAACCTGTAATTCTTGAAACACTGACACTGAGCACTTTTCAGTACAGACAGTCCCTACTACAATAGTTTGACTTAGAACATTTCCCCTTTACAGTGGTGGAAATGTAGTACATGTTCAGTAGAAACTGTACTTCAGATTTTGAATATGTATCTTTTCTGCAGCTAGCCATAGTGGTATGATACTCTTGCCATGCCAGGCAATGGCAGTGAGCCATTTTGTTTTTCACTTTGAGTACAGCATTCAAAAATTACTTGAGATATCAAACTTTATTATAAAATAGGCCTTGTGTTCGATGATTCAGCCCAACCGTATGCTAATGTAAGTGTTTTGAGTATGTTTAAGGTAGGCTAAGCTAAGCTATGATGTTTGGTAGGTTAAGTGTATTGCATACATTTCCAACTTAATGTTTTTGACTTACAGTGGGTTTATGAGGACATAACCCCATCCTAAGATGAGGAGCATTTGTATTAATTTGTTTTCTTAGTGGAAGTGTGATATTTCTCTAACCATTAGATTTTTTTCAATGATAAATGCGAAGTTGGAAAACCAAAATATGCCCTTTATTTAGTCAGTAATACATGTGCTTGGTACAAAATATATACACACAATGGTGTTAATTCCCACCTTTACCCCCACACACCCACAGGTAACTATTTGTATTGATTTTCATGTATCTTTCCAGAGATAGTCTGTGCATAAGTAAAGCATTTTTTTAAATTATCACTATTTTTTACATAGAAAACAATATACCATTTTCTCCCCTTGTTTCACTTTGAAGTATGTCTTAGAGCTCATTTTCTGTTATTTTATACTAGAAAGCTACCTTTTTCTTTTTATTGGCTGAATATTTATATGAAAGAGCCATAATCCAAACAACTACTGACAGAGATGTAGTTAGTTTCTAATATTTTGCTCACATTAAAGGCAATGCAAGAAGCCATGTTTATAAACATCTGTGGAATGAATTTTTAAAGTAGACCTACTGGGCTTTTATAGATGTTTCCCATAGAGGTCATGGTGCATCTTCATATGCTTTTGTAAAAGAAACCTATCTAAATGCTACATGTATTCATTATGATCTATAAGATTAGCTCCTGTGGCCACACCAGAAACTCATCTGCTCAAAAGTTGGTTTAAAATGGTCTTTTATACACAGCATGGCGTCTGGCATGTGGCAGGCTGGTTACCCTGTGTGATTTAGCGAAGAGATGCAGGGCGTGCTGGGTCCAGTAAGGACACCTCCTGGACACTCGTCTGTGTCTTATGGGGAGAGCTGAAAGTCCTGCGACCCTTCCTCAGACTCCTGCTGGTCTCCTCACATTCCTGGAGCTTATTTACATCAGCAAGTGTATTGTTAAGGGCTGGCCCGTGGTGGGGCAGGCTTTGTGGAAAGTAAGGTGGCCACACCAGGGTAGCAGGAGAGGCCGACAGGCTCTCTGAGGAAACAGACAGGATCTCCTCTAGCACTCCCCTGCACGGGCTCATTGCCCACCCTCTCTTCTTCTCTGGTTATCCAGATCCTCCCATTTCTTCAAGATCTTTTATCTCTCTCAGCCAAAAGAGCCTTCTCTTCTCTCCGCATGAGAATCCTGGCTGAGAGGACTGGATTGGCAGATGTCTCATTCTGACCTGCCGGTTGATGGGATGGTGCTGTGTAAATGTCCTTCATCCCTTGTATGCTCCTTGAGGGTCACAGGTGTGTCTGTCACATTTTATAAACCTGAAAGCATTCAGCACAAGCCATTCAAGAAATATTTATTGGTTAATTAAGGCAATGCCCTCATCAATAGATTTACTGTATTAGATGTTTAACTTTTTAGAGGATTCACCTTTAAATAACAGTTTGCATCTGATTCATCCTAGCAGTACTGATGCTTTATGCAGGTGACACTGAGACGCCCACCGTGTCCCTGGCACTCTGCAGCAATAAAAGGCTAGAGAAGGGCAGGGATGGTGCAGAGGAGAAAGGGATGAACTTGCTCCGAGGACAAAGGAAGAAATAAAACCTGAATGGAGTTTTGAAAGTCGAAATCTTGCAAGCCAGGAAGGGAGGAGAAAATGTGAAGACATAATAAGCTAATACAGGTGGGAGAGGAGGGTGTCAACCAAGACATGAAATGGCGTCATGTGTTTTAGGAACGTATAAGCAGCTGCTGGAATATAACATGCTGGGAGAGAAATGAAAGAGATGCATCTGGAGACAGAGGAAGGGGCTGGGTCCTATGGAGCCATCGGCGATGTCCTGAGTTGTTTTGAGCACACTTTGTGGTATCAAACACTTACCTAGGGCCTGGGACTTGTATGACCAGAGTCGTGAGAAGTCAACATCACCACAATGGCCATTTCTCTGCTGCGATTGGGTTTTTTGTTTGTTTGTTTGTTTGTTTTTCTGATCACCAGCCAGTTTTTTAAATAACAGAGTTTTGTTTCGTATGACACATCAAAATAGGTTCTTTGGGGTTAGGTAATACAATTTAAAATATATCTGAAAGTTCAGTCTCTTATCAGGTGACAAGAATGCAAGGACTCTGCCAGGGTGGACCCCTAGGAACTCATAGGTTAATATTTGAGGTTTTATGTAAAACAAGGCATTGCCATGCTGAAATCACTCCATGAATATCATAATGGATAGTAGTGTAATCATCATTAAACCAGTTAATCATTTGTCTGTCTTTATTGAACACAAATATTTTATGTCCTTAATTTTAACGATTCTGTTTTGCATTGTTTTCCATAAACGTCCTTATTTCTATTAAGTGTCCACTTGCCTGAATCCTCTAAACCCTGCCATTCCCAACAGAGCATATGGTTATTATTAATTTCTTGATATATACAAATATATTTCATTTTCCTCTCTTTCAGGAACTTTCCTTCTATTTATGCACTGCTTAAGAACCGTCAACTCACCAACGTGCCTAGTCAGCAAATGAATCCACTTGGGAACTTGAAAAACATCTTAATTAATTTTTGTTTGCATAATTTTGTGTTCTGTGACATGTTTTTATTATATGGTATGCTTTTAATTTGGAGAACCTACTTTTTTAAAAAACGGAAAGAAAATCTATCTTATTTTGTTGACTCCCAATAACAAAAAGAGAATGATTTGTATAGTAGTTAATAAAGGCTGCCTATTGAAATCTCTTCTACTTTAAACCTAGAAAAACAAAGTCTTGTTATTTCAGCACAGCTCTAAATTGTATACACTTGAAAACCATGTACAGCTGCAACTCACTGCAAGAAGTCAAGATTCTACACATATTCCACATTTGAAAATGATTTATCCATCTCAGTTATGGACTAATAAATATGAAAGTATTATGCAAAAAGTATTCTGTCACATAAAAGGTTAATTATAAAGGCTTCTGCGGGAAGCAGAGTGGCACTGTCAGAATAGAAACATGATTTTCATGCCTCAGTGTAATTTGTTATGGAACATAAAGGTCATAATCCCTGTGGACAGTATTATTCTCTTCATTCTCTTTTCATCATTTACTAGTGCATTGTGATTTTAATTCAATATGCCCCGGGAGGATGTGTTGTATTTCTTCTGTTAGAAGCTCACACAACATGTTCCCTGGACTTGGAATTTTAAGAACTGTCTTGCACATTGTTAAATTGTTGCTTTCTTGCCTCAAAGACACATTTTTTTGAGGCATTCACTTTTTACAGCATGCCATGTTTGGAGCATTGTGTTAACGACAGAATGACTTCAAATAGCTTAGCTTTTTCTTATCCTCGTATGCATCCTAAAACATAATTCTTTTGTACCTTTTAGATGTGTCCAGTACACATTTCTCTCTCAGAAACGCGTAGAATACAAGCCTGTGTGTTAGAGCGGTGGCTCTCTGCGGCGAGTCGGGTGCGAGAGTGAAGGGTAAATGTCTGTCATGAGGGCGAGCTCAGGAGAGCTACGGACAGCTAGGAAGCAGCTTCAGGCACCCTTTGGTTCAGAATTAATTTTAAACAAATAGGAACTTTAGAATATAAGTCAGACTATGGTAAATTGAAAAGAATTTGAACTTTTTTTTTGCTTGCTTCCTTTTTACCTGCTGAGTCTCTAATACAATTCACAAATCTACAAGTAAAATCCCATGGATTCAAACCTTCTGACTTAACTTCCATCTGTCCCCTTCTCCTTGATCCCACTCCTACAACCTAATTTTGGCTTCTTACTTTACTGCCTACATTATTTAATTCATTAAGCACATTATTGAGAACTTAACTGCTGGGTACCGTCTAACATACTAGAGAGAGAGCGGAGAAAAAAAACAGAGGCGGTCTTACCCTGGAGAAGCTTAGATCCCCCTGGGAGGAACAGGCCAAACACCATGAGAATGTCAGGTGCTGACGGAGCCATGGAGAAAATTAGACCATGGTAACAGGAAGAAGTGCTAGACTTTAGTTTGAGTAGGCGAGGTAACATTTTAGCAGGGGCCATAAAAAGTAAAGAACTAAGCTACATTAAGAGACTAGCAAGTGCAGAGGTCCTGAGGTGGGAGCATGCTTGGGTACTTGAGGACCGGCAGCAAGGATGCCAGAGCAGAAGTAATGGAGTGAGCAAGGGACAAAGAATTAAATGAAATCAGTGGGCTGGTTGGGGGCCAGAGAATAAAGTGCCAGTGTTGAGCTTTAATGGGAGCTGATGGGCAGATGGGAGGAGGAGTTGACAAGCACAGGAGTAGTGTGATGCAATGTGCATTTTAACAGAACCACTCTGGCAGTGTCTGAGAATAGCCTATGGGGCAAGGTGGAGAGACCCACTGGAGGCCACTGCTATGAAGGTAAGAAGGAATGCTAGCATAGTCCGGGGTGGTAGGGTGTAAGCACTGAGAACTGGCCAGACTTCATGTGTATTTTGAAAAAGTAAAGCCAGTAAGACTTAGTGCACAGATTGGTTGTGAGATACAGAAATTAAGTTGGATGATCCAAAGATTTGGGTCCAGAGGCACTGGAAAACTAGAATTGCCTCTTTCTGAGATGGGGACATTTTAGGAGGACAAGGTGATTATGTTAAGTTTTGAGATACAGATCTGGAGGTGGGAGAGATCTCAGCTGGAGATAGAAATTTAAGAACCGTCAAAATATAGATGTCATTTAAAGCTGTAGTTTGAGTGGAGATCAGAGAACAGACCATGGAATGTCGCATCACTTGTAAGTCAGTGAGATGAAGAGGAACCAGAAAAGGAGACCAAGAAGGAGCTGCCATGAAGGAAGAAGAGAACCAAGAGTAATGCCCTGGAAGACAGCTGAAGAAAGCATTTCAGGGAAAAGGGATGTGATCCTTTGCTGCAGATAGATAGGTCGAGAGAAATGAAGAGTAAAGATTGGACACACACAGTAATAACAGAAAAGTCATCGGTAGTCTTGATTTACTTCATAGAGCGAAGGTTTGGAACAGATTCAAGAAGAATGGGAGGAAAGGAATTAGTCTAGTCAACTCTTTCAAGGATCTTACTTTAAGGAATTGTTGGAGAGGGGTATAGAGTTGAGAGAAAAAGCTTGAGTATGTAGGAGAGATAAGTGAGGGTTGCTGGAGAGATGTCCATGAGCAGGTCTGTGCGCACACATTTTGTGCACGCACGGCCTAGGTGGGTGCAGAAGCAGGAAGGTAGATAAGACAGAGGGCATAGCACTCATCATGCCAATAGGTTCCACAGTTCTGCTGCTGCCAAAGCTATATGACGTAGACATTAAATGGCGCATGTTCTACCATGACCAAAATACTTCAGAGCCTCCTACAGCTTCCAGGCTAACTTGCAGATTTCTTGGGTTATCACACACGTTCCTTCATGATTTTCCTCCTACCTACCTCTTTAGCCTGAAATTTCCACTATGGTAACTATCAGGTAAATTCTAACTTCTATGCCATCTTGGCATTGCTATCTGTCGTTTTATTCAAGATTTTCCTGCTCTCAATAGAATGAGTGATTTTCAACCAGAACATGGACATTTTAGGTATTAGGAGATTCTGGATCATATTTAGATGGCCTCCTTAGGGCTTTAGTGAGGGAAGGGAGGTGCTGCCTTGTTCCTGCCAGGTGGAAGGAGAAACGGTCCAGGTTCCCCATTTGGCCTCTGTTGACAAGGGGAGGGGGAAGGAGGGCCTTCTTGTTACTGCTGGGTAGGTTCCAGGTCTTAAAAAGCTGCCACTGATACCACCCTGACTCCACTGGCATGATATGTGGGTGTGTGATGGCCTCATTACCACTGAGCAGTGGATGATAAAACTGACTCTCCACTACGCCTCTCTGACACCACCCCAGCTGGGAGGGAGTAGGGTGTCTCCTTACTGCCACGTGGAGGTCCAAGTTTTTCCCATAGTGTCCATTGACACTATTGGGTATCATCACCACCAAGCCGACATGAAAGTCCTGGCTTTCTGCTTGGCGTCTCTGGCAGCAGGCACTGTTCCACACCCGCATGTATTCTTCACTAGGGCCACTAGGAGCGGCTTGTAGCTCTTCAGATTGGCTGATCTTTTTCACTTCTTCACATGTATCCTTTAGCTGGTCCACCTCACTCGGCTTCCTCTAACCCAGTGATTCCCAACTTTTTCAGGGCATGGCACGTAAAGAAAATTATAATATATACAAAACTCATTGGGGTGAGTGGAGGAGACCCAGAGCTTATTAACCCTAACCCAGCCCCAAGCTGCCCCAGAAGCTGAAGAAAATCAATGTTTTTGTACACCTTTCACCCATTCACAGCACAGTGAAGCTCCCAAGATTTTAGCCAACTCATTCTTCAAGACTTAGCCCCAGAAACTCTAACCCACAACACCCCATACCTATGTCATCAGACTATGTTAGAGTCATCCTAACAGTTTCTGTCCTCCCGCTAGGCTTTACAAGCCCTTGTCTCAGTCCCTTAGGGCTGCTATAACAACATACCTTAGCCTGGGTAATTTATTAACAATAGAAATGTACTGCTCACAGTTCTGGAGGCTGGGAGTCCAGAGTGCCGGCAGATACAGTGTCTGCTGAAGGCTTGATCTCCACTTCAAAGATGGCACCTTCTGTGTGTCCTCACATGGCAGAAGAGGATAAAAGGATGGGAGCTTCTGTGACCCTCTTTCATAAGGGCACTAATCCTGTTCCTAAGGGCAGCCTAATGACCTAATCACTCTTTTTTTTTTTTTTTCTGGATACCGGGTCTTTGCTCTGTCACCCAGGCTGACAGGCGGTAGTGCAGTCATAGCTTGCTGCAGCCCTGAACTCCTCAGGTCCCACCTTTCAATACTATCACATTGGATACTAGGTTTCATCATATGAATTTAGGGGGACATCAACATTCAGACCACTGCATTCTACCACTGGACCCCCAAAGTTCATGTCCTCACATGTAAAAATATTCATTTCACTCCAGTGACCCCAAAAGTCTTAACTTTTTCCAGTACTAACTCCTGAGTCTGAAGTCCACAATGTCATCTAAATCAGATATGGTTGAGACTCAAGGTACAATTTATTCTGATGCAAATTGCTCTCCAGCTGTGAAATCAAATGTGGTTCCAAAATACAATGGTGGGACAGGCATAGGATAGGCTTCCATTGCAAAAGGGAGAAATAGGAAAGAATAAAGGGGCAATAGATCCTGACCAAATGCAAAACCCAACAGGGCAAACATTTAAGGCTCCACAATAATATTCAACTCAAAAGTTCTACATTCTGGACACACTGGGGTAGGAGTTGGGCCTCCAAGGATCCACAGGGCTCTACCTCCATGGCTTTGCTGGGTGTAACCCACGTGGCAGCGCTCACAGGTTAGAGTTTCACGCCTGCGGCTTTCTCGCTGGAGTTTCATGCCGGTAACTCCACCAGTCTAGGGTCTCCAGAGTGGCCCTGCTCCCATGGCTACCCTAGGTATTGCATTAAAGGGGGCTCTCTGCTGTAGTCCTGCCCCCACCCACAGCTCCACTAGGCAGTACCACCTCCCAAGATCTTCAAATGCCTTCAGGGTCATTCTTCCATTGTCTTGATGAAATGCACCAGACTTTGCCCATTCATGCTAATCTCCTTATCAAGTGGTCTCTTTGCTACACCTTTGGTATGAGTCTCTCATGAACACATTTTCTCATTCTCTGCAGGCTGAGATTTTTCCAAATTTTTGTTCTGCTTCCCTTTGGATTATAAATTTCATCTTTGTTTCTTCTTGCATTTTACTATAAGCTGTCAAGAGAAGTCATGCCACACCCTCAATACTTTGCCTAGAAATATTTCTTCTGCTAAATATACAATTTGATCGCTTGCAACTTCTACCTTCCCCAAAACACTGAGACATGAACACAATTCAGCCAAGTTCTTTGCCACTTTGTAACAAGGATGGCCTCGCCTTTAGTTTCAAGTAATACATTCCTCATTTCTGTTTGAGACCATCAGAATGACCTTTTCCATCCATATTTCTGTCAACATTCTGTTCACAGTCATTTAGGTCATCTCAAGAGGATTGAGGCCTCTACAGCTCTCCTCTTCTGAGCCCTGACCAGAATCACCCCTAAGGCTCCTGTCATGGCAGTATACCTCAAAACTCTTCCAGCCTCTGCTCATTACCCAGTTCCAAGGCCACTTCACATTTTTAGGTATTTGTTACAGCATTAACCCACTTGTTGGTATCAATTTTGGTCTTAGTTTGTTGGAGCTGCCATAACAAAATACCTTAGGCTGGGTAGTTTGTAAACAATAGAAATGTATTGCAGTTCTGGAGGCTGGGGAATCCAAGATCAGGGCACCGGCAGATTCTGTGTCTTGGTGAGGGCTGCTCTCTACTTAAAGATGGCACCTTCTTCGTGACCTAACATGGTAGGAGGGGACAAGGGAGCTCACTCAAGGCCCTTTCAGAAGGGCACTAATCCTGTATGAAGATGGAGCCCTCATGACCTAGTCACTTTGCAAAGGCCCCACCTCTGAATACTGTCACATTGGGTGATCCTGACCCACAGCCTCTCAGGAGGTAGTAAACTCAACTGGGGCCGCAGTCATCTGAAGGCTTGGCTGGGGCTGGAGAATCCACTTGCAAATTCAGCTTCCACTCACAGGTCTGTTGGCCAGATGTCTCCACTCCTTGCCACACGGGCCTCTCTGGAGGCTGCCTGAGTGTCCTCACAACATGACATCTGGCTTCCCCAGAGCAGGTGTTGCAAGGGAAGGAGAGTCCATGTGAGGGGCACACAAGACAGAAGCCACAGACTTTTATACTCTCATTTCAGAAGTGACTTCACATCGCTCCTACCACATGCAATTTGTTAAACACCACTCCTGTGCCATGTAGGAGAACACAAGGGTGTGGATGCCAGGAGGCAGGGCCACGGAGGACTGTCTTGGAGGCTGGCTCCCACCTGGGCAAGGTACATTACATCTCTGTGCCTTAGTGTCCTCACTACAAAGCGGCGATAGTACTGCCTACCTCAAGGGGTTGCCAGAATTTAGTGATATGCCTGCCAAGCCCTTAAAATGAGGCCTGACACATAGTAAGCACTTGATACCTATTGGCCATTTCTATCAGGGTAATACTCCCGCACCACACACACACACACACACACGCACACACACACACACACACAGAACCAGTGTAGAATGTTGAAGCCATCCCTTCACCTCCTGCAGTTCTGCTGCTCCACTGATCCTCCATGCCGGATCCACATCTTCCCCTCTTTCCTGCCTTGGCTGGGGGCCACATCATTTCTGCAAGATGATTGCAGCATCAGCGACACTCCTCAGGTGTCTATTCCATTTGTAACCCATCTGTAATTTGCCCTTTATCATGCCTTCTATTAATCTTCCTAAAGTGCAAATCATTTTCCCAACCCCTTACACCCTTTTAATTGCCTCTGGGGTAAAGCTCAAGCTCCCTGGTTTGGTCCTCATGCCCTTCACCCTCTGGCCCAGCCTCCCTCTCCGCGCTGCTCCCTCCCCATATTCCATGCCCACTGGACTCACTGTGTTCCAACGCTGCAGCTGGCCCCACACACCTCCATGGTCTATTCTTACCCACGGCGTCCAGGTCCTCCTCACCTGCAGTGTCACTCGATCCCAAAGGCGTCCCTGACCCTGTCAGAGATATTCCTTCCTCTTCCCAACATGTGCCCCGAGAGCCCAGCCCTTCCATCTAGTGGGTGGTTTCACGCTGCGCGGAGGTGCCTGCCTTGCGTGTCTGCCTCTCCCCCAACCCAGCGCCTGGAACCTGGTTCTGGATGCCCCAGTGTCCCCATCCCCTGCATCTGCCTCCCTAGGTGCTTCCCCTTGTCCAGGCATAGAGAAAGGTAGAAATCTTGCAGGTGGGAGGGTGTAGTGAGGAGCAGGGAACTTACATTTCTCAAGCACCTCCTAAGACTCACTGAAGTCAGAGCATCCTCCCAGAACCACATAAGGTGGGTGTGTGTAGCCTGAACTGGAAGACGGCGAAACAGACTGGTGATGAACAGCCACCCGAAAACCTCACAGCCACTGCCTGTGGAGCTGAGGTCTGAGCCCCAGGCTTGCCGGCCACCGCACAGCCTTCTAGGAGTGTTAGGCCATCAACAGCAGTGCAGAATATAAAAATATAGAACACATTTTTATAGCACAAAGGAGTACAGTTTTATTAATTAACATCAGAAGATTTCATTGACAAGAGAAATGCTTCCCATGTTCCCTGAAGGCGTTTAGATAATTTTACAAATGGAAGAAATGTTGCAGTTTCAGATATTGGCGAAGCTCACTCTCTGCTCTGAGTCCCTTTCAAAATCCCAAACTCTCGTAGCCAGTGAGGGGCCCATTAAGAACGGTGCATCCACATAGCCAGCTCACCAGGAAAACAGGGACATCTGCTAACGAATGCAGGAAACTCAGAAGTCTCTTCTACTAGGTTGCATTTTTGCTATTTAGGTATCTTTCTTTTGAGGTAACAGACAAACAGAGATACAGAGATAAAATAGGTACATACATAAAATTGAAAAGGGTTGGCATCCCTCCATGTGCCACACAGCAGAGGCTTTCGCCGGTTACCACATTTCAGGAGCTACTTTGGAGTGGTGGGGTTTTCATGAACCCAGCGTTTGCACTGGGGCTAGAAATGCAGTGTCTGCTCGCCGGCACCTTGCTGGCTGCTGCAGAAGCAGCTGCTGCTCGGGGTGTGGGGGCCTGGCCTAACGTTCCCTATGGGCTGTCGGCTGTGGTTCTGCAGAAGCTCAGCATGGACTTGCAGGCTGCAGCTTCCTCCTGGCTGGCTGGCGTGCGTGGATCCCCTTGGCATGCCACGAAGACTTTTCCTTTTGGAAACTGCCCCTCCTTCTCTCACAGGTACTCTTTTGTGTCCCCTCTTCCTCTCCTGAGGCAGCAGCAGTGTAGTGCCTTCATTCAGGCACTCGTACTGCAAGACCTCCTCTGTGCTGACACGCCTCCCCTACGTCACACAGCTAGTGGGTGGCCCATCTTTGCAACGAAAACCTGGCATAGCACTGGCCTTTTGAGGCGTGTTCCCTCTAAGGCAGTGACCTCCAAGGGCGGGGTGAGGACACTTACACACCAGCAGGAGCCAAGCGAAATGCTTGCTAAGGGAGAGAATGTGCCCATGGCTTCTCCCCTTCCACCAGCACATGTGGCCAAGAATCTGCCAGCGGCCGCTCCTCATGCCTGGTGCACCTGTTGAGCATTTGCCACCACTTGTCATGCGAGTGAGTCACAGCCTGCCTGAAACTGCACTGTCTCTGCTGGGGCTTTACCCCGGTTTCCTTGGCTGGTTCTCCATCTCCCTACCTGCTGCTTCCTGAGCCCTTGCCCGCCTGGCAATCTTCCTAGCCTTCTTCCCTCCAGAGGATTCCGGCCCCCTCTGGAGCTGCTTACCAGCCTTGGTCAGCTGCCTAACAACAGGAACCGAGAGGCTGACCCCAGACACTCTTCTGCCAGTTTCTTCCAGTCTTTGGCCGCATCAGTGTCAGATACAGAGTGTGTCCAGGCCGGCCTCTGATGTCCTGTTACTGGATTGGTTCTCCAGAGCCAGGCTATGCTTTCAACTTCTTTTCCCATCAGTCAGCTAAGCAGCGTGGAAGATCCCTCTCTGAGCCTCAGTCCTTTCATCTGTAAAATGGAGATACTTCCTTACCTACTCTAGAACGTTACTGAGGGACTCTCAAAGCCTGAGATTGGTAAAGTGGGCCATGGGCAGTAGAAAAGTTACATGGAAAACAGGCAACTGTGCCTCACCTATTCATTCACCAAACGCTGATGTGCACCTCCTATGTGTTGGCCTCTGCTGGGTGCAGGAGATGTAGGGAGGAAAGACATACCCCATCCCGAGCAGCTCACAAACTCAGAGGGAGGGAGAGAAGAGGGGAAGGTAGACAGGAGAGTCACAGACACACACATTTTCTAAAAACCAAAAATCAGACAAAGACTGTTTAGCTCTCTAGTCTAATATGGTATGTCAGCTGAACAAAATTCAGGGTGATCTCAAACAAAATGCTGTGATGTGCTAATTTGTTCTCTACCCCTGACTTCCCCAAACCATGCCCCTGGGGAAGCAGCCTGGAGCTGTCTAGGGGAGATCAGCATCCCTGGCCAAAGAGAATTCATCCCTTTCACGAAAACACTGCGGACAAAGGGCATGGTTTCCAAAAATGTCAAAAGATGATCACAGAGGTAAGATCAGAAATCTTCAAAAGCAGGAAGCAAAAGGCAGCACAGCCCAGGCAGCTGAGGCTCCTGCTGCCTGGGCCTCTGGCCGCACAGCACCGTCTGTGAAGCATCCCTAGAGGAAGCTTAAAATCCGAGGCAGTTCCTGGAGTGCTGGGCAGCACAGGCCTCCTCCTGCGTACTCTAGGTTGGGAGGGATCCGGTGTTCATAATGGAAACCAGGAGCTTTCCACATGAAGAACACAGGCCGCATTAATCATTCCAAAGACCACACTGGCTTGATTGAGGTGAGCTGTTCCTTCCACCCCTTAATTCCTCCAGCTCAAACTAACCGCTGCAACTGTATTACAGGATATTTATTTCCCCAGATCTTTTTTTTTTTTTTTTTTTTTGCCTACACATCTATTATACTGAATAATTAAGGTCAAATTGTAGATACTTAAAAGAATTCTTTCCTATTCAACACTATTAAACAACATGCCTATTTCTCTGCTTCCACATAGCCAACAACATGTTGCTTTTGGGCCACACTGTGTTTTAGGTTTCATTTATTGCCAAACAAACACACAAACGTCCAGCTTTCTGGCTTCTCTTGGGAGAGCGGATGATCTGCAACTGCGGCCTGCCTTCCATGTGCCTCATGGGCGGCTGGGTGGCGGGCCGTGTGGCCGAGGCACAGCCCGGGGTCCCCCCTGTTCTCTGTTACCCCCAGCCAACCTGCTTCAGATACTTGCTGGTAACTATTCAGCCTCATTTTCCATTTGCAGTTGACGTCTATGGCCCAAGCAGTGAGGCCTTGTCCTATACATTGTTTTGTGGCACAAGGGAGTCAAATTAGCTAGAATAACTAGCAACCCAGTCCTGTGACTGTACCACAGTAAGATGGCTGCATGAACCACTCAGCAAAATGTCTGCTTATGCCCGTCTCCTAGTCCACCATGAGTGAATGGGAAGGAGGGGGGCAGGACTCCAGATGGCTGCAACGCCTCCACTAGGTTCCCTGGGTGGGCATCTGCCAGCCCCTCATTGATAACCTGCAGCAAGCCCGGAAGACAGAGTCATCCCCCACCTCCCAGTCCTTCAGGTGAGAAAGGAGGGGCCCTACCACAGCAGCTACAGGTGACAGGAGAAATCCCACACCTGAACAAGGGTCAACAAACAGCTGACCCCTCCCCCTAAAGCCCCCCCGCACCCCAGTCTCCCCCCAGTGCAGTTCTCCCTGCCCACTGGGCCTCAGGCTGTTCTGCTCCTTTCTCATCTTCACGTCTTGCGTTAAGGCTCTGATGGCTGCACTTCTGCGGATGCGGGACATTTTGGGTCTTGGGACCCTCCTCCTGCTGGTGCTCAGTCTCTCTCTATCCTTGCATCCTCAGAAGGCACAAGAGATGATTCCCCCTGCCAGAGAGCTGGCCTCTTTATCCAGGCTAAAGATTCCACCAGACACACAGCAGGTGCGCCAGGCATTCTCCGTGATCAAGGGAGTGAAATCCTGAGCAAACAGGCGTATCGTGGTGAGACAGGACCAAGATCCCCAGTAAGCCGGGACACCCCAAGGACACAGTGAGCGTGTGGCCCCCCAAAGCCCTGAGTTACAGACTCAGACCAGCCACTGCCTAAACCCTTCCCAACGAGTCATTTCCACCACACTGAGTACGTCCTTGTTGGTAATGCCTGGACAGGCGGGGGGATGCTCCTGGAACACAGCAGGTCCTCCATAGCTGCTCAATGTTCCTGGGAAGAGGAGGCCAGGGAGAGGGAGAGCTATGAAGGGTAGAGTCAAGATGAGGGCCAGCCAGAGGGCGGGACCCATGGCCTAATTCAGATTCAGACACTGCCTATGCTAGGCCTAGGTCACAGACATGCACTCAGGGAGGTCTCAAAGCACCCAGCACTCTGCCCTGTCTCTACTAAGAGCAGGGCCAGACTCCGCAGAGGAGAGGGAGATGCATTGCCTGTGAACCCAGGACCATGCAGGTACAGGCTGCACCAGGGAGATGCATTTCAGCTCAGGAGGAGGGCAGGAGAAGGGCGCCCCTACACTCCTGAACCACCCTTCCAGGTTCTGGGGTACATGCCCTTGTGACTGTGATGGGGTCAGTGCGGTGCGGTGGGCCTGGCTTTGTGATTTGAGGGCAGTCCCATAATCCTCTGAGCCTCTGTTTTCTCAGTTAACAAGTTGGGATGATAGCAGCAGCCTCATGGTGTTTGTGGAAAGAAGGAAAGAAAGAAAGAGAGAGAGAAAGAAAAAGAGAGAGAGAAAGAGAGAAATAAAGAAAGAAAAAGAAAAAGAAAGAAAGATGAAAGAAAGAAAGGAAAGAAAGAAAGAAAGAGAAAGAAAGATGAAAGAAAGAAAGGAAAGAAAGAAAGAGAAAGATGAAAGGAAAGAAAGAAAGAAAGAAAGAAAGGAAAGAAAGAAAGAAAGAGAAAGAAAGATGAAAGGAAAGAAAGAAAGAAAGAAAGAAAGAAAGAAGAAAAAGAAAGAAAGAAAGAAAGGGAAAGAGAGAAAAACCTGGGTAAAGCTGGCCCCAGTCCTCGCACAGAGCAGGCACTACCCCATGGCCTGTCTCCCTGTCTCTGAGAAGTGCCCCACGGTCCCCTCAGCCTATAGGCAGGGGTGGCAGGGGGAGTGGAGTGCAGAGAAGCAGAAAGGAGAATAAAGGAAAGCAGAAGCTGCCCCGACTCATGCAGACAGGCTCCTCGTCTGCTCCGTGATGACTTTCTATTTTTAGGTGACAGCGCTCTCTGTGACCTGCTTTGTAAATAGATGCTTTGCAGAAATAGATCGGGGCCATCCTGTGCGGGGTGAGAGGAGAAGTGGGCTGGGGACCAGGGCGCACCAAGGGGCTTAGCCTCCCTTCTTCCTCCAACAGGAGAACTGGGCCTTGAGAAATGAGAGCCAGGAGGACATCAGTTGTTGGACGAGGGTTACGGAGTGGCAACCCAGGCTGTGCCCCCTTTTCTGGGGCCATTTTGAGGGCATTCACTGCACAAAAGTTGTTTCCTTCGTTTTATCAGAATTGCAGTAAATTCAGCCGGAAAGAAAAGAGGATTCAGCTGGTCACAGCAAGCCCAGCATGATAAAAAGAGCATCAGCCCAAGATCCACGAGGAAGAGAAGGGACCTAAGCTCAGGTGCATTTCCTGCGGGAGGTGCTACACTAGGGACCCATACACGGGGAGTGTGGTCTGTAGTCCTGACAGCTGGGACCCATGGCCCCACTTGACTCCTGAGGGATACGACCCTCCGAGATTCTAGGGCTTGCCCGCGATCCGCAGCGGGAGGGGGCAGCGTTGGGATGGAGGGTCCCTCCGCCTGGCCCTGCAGCAGAGGCTGCTGTAGCTGCACCTCCCAGGTGCTCTCTCACTCCCGATGGGCATCGCGTCCCAGCCCTGGCCCCTGGCCCTCCCTGATGGCAAGCGAGGCCTGTGACAGACACCACCTCTGGGCCAGGTCACTTACAGATGATGTGCCTTCTCTGCTCAGCTCCTCTCTGGGGGGACAAAGCCACCTCTTGCACCCAAGGAAGGGGCTGAACAGCTGCCAGGACTCCCCGCAAACCCTCTGGGACCACAACACAAGTGGAAATAGTTCTTCATGAGGTGATCCTGGAGACAGAGGTCTTTTTATGTTTGGTTTTGCTTTTTGGATAGCCTGTTCTCATGAGTGCAGATTCCTGGGTCTATGTTTCTCCCCACTACATTTTGCAGTTATGGGTCCTAAGAAAGTTCTAGATGAGCCACATCCAACCTCTAAACCTCAGTAGTCTCATGTGGAAAATGGAAGGATTGCTATAAACCTGTCCCAATCCCTTACATCTTGTGGTTCTGGGTTTCTCAGGACCACTCTGCTTCTGGCCCAAAGCCCTGGATGGGCACAGAGAGGACACAGAAGGTGGGGCTGCCAGGTGGGTCGGGGCTGGCCCACCTCTCTCTGCGTAGGTGCCGGCAGCCCTAGTGGCCCCTCCTCACTGCCTTTCATTTCCTCCCTCCCTCTTCTGCCTCACATTTTAGCTACAAAGTCAAGTAACCTCTCCAGGCTCAGTTATCTGATTGAAAATCTAACAAACACTCTCAGTGTCCTACTGGACGCTCTCTCGGCCACTTTTGAGAACACCAGAAGCTTCTGTGGGCAACCCCTACACATGTTGGTGGCTTCTTGCCTCAAGTACTGTGGTTTTGTCTACCTCAGGAACGTGCTTGTGGAATGGCACCCCCAGAAGAAATGCTCAGCCAGTGAGAGAGGGCATCTGGTGGGTGGCACTTGAATGTCCTGGGTTCCTTGCCTCTTGCTGTGAGAATTCAGAAGCATGTTCCGCCCCCACTTTTCAGAGGGACCCAAGTGGGACTGAGCCCCAGGCTCCTGACCAGAGACTGCTCACAAGCACACCCTCTCTCGGCCTCTCTCCTGTCCCCCAGCCTCCCCACTGTCCCACTGTGCTTCCCCGGATCACCTCCCAAGGAAACGGTTTGTATCCTGTCTTAGGGGCTGCTTTGGGAGAAACACAAACTAGTAGACAGAATGATGTCCATGCTCTAATCCCTAGAAGCTGCAAACATGTTTTGTCACCCAGCAAAGGGGACGGTGTAGTTATGATTGGTGAAGGATTGTGAGATGGGGAAATTATTCTGCATGATCCAGCTGGGCCCCAGTGGAATCACAAGGGTCTTTCTAATGGGAAGGCAGGAGGGTCAAAGTCAGAGAGAGCAGATGTGAGTATGGATCCTAGGAGTGGAGTGATGTGCTTTGATGATGGAGGATGGGCCCATGAGCCAAGGAATGTGGGCGGCCTCTAGAAGCTGAAAGAGACAAGGAACAGAATCTCCTCTAGGGTCTCCAGAAAGAAACACAACCCACCCACAGCTTGGTTTTAGCTCAGTGAGACCCATACTGGACTTCTAACCTACAGAACTGAGAGAAAATAAACTTGAGTTGCATTCAGGCACTAAGTATGTGGCAATTTGTTACAGGAGAAATAGGAAACAAATACACAGAACTAAGACAACTTGGGCAGTCCTTGAGTGTAATGGGAAGAGCTCAAGTTTTGGAGCAAGGTGGCCTGCTTTGAATTACCTGGCTTTGCTAACCAGCTGGAAGGCTTTAGGTGAATTCCGCAACCCCTCTAACTCTTGATTCTCTGACCTGGGTTTTCTGACAGATTTCTGAGGTTGCTTAAGAGAAGACTCAGCAGGAGGTGGGTAAGAGGAAGAAGCCAGGGCAATTTATTTTTCATTTCCCTTAAATGCCAGCAACATTTTGCATTCTGCATAGAGAAAACATACCATCTCATTGCCTCTGAGGAAAAATATATTGCTCCTGTTAGTTACATAATTGAATTCATAGAAGTTGGTGGATTTTTATCATTTTTATTTACTTTCATGCGTTGTCTCACCCCTCATAAAAGGATTTGGGGATGGTTTCCAGCAATGCATGCATGCTATACATAAGGATGAAAGGAAGAGATGAGGACGTGTGGGAAAAAGCAACTGGGGTTGAGGAAATGAGACGCAGGCAGAGGAAGGTGGGATTGGAGGGCATCATGCATACCATAAGGCCTAAAATGGTCCCTTGAGCATCCCAGCAGCCAAGGCAAAAAGGACAGAGGATAGCTGCAAGGTTCAAGTGTCCAGAAGACACATCCTTTGGGGTGTGTGGAAGAACACACAGGAACACCCTAGCAGCCTGAGGAGGCAGGGGCTGGAGAGAAGGTCAAAGGCAAAGGGCAGGAAGGTGTCACCCAGGAACCTTCCTGGAAGAGGCAATGCATGCTTCCTCTTGCAGAGGAGAGTCAGAGGTTAGAGGAAGAATGAAAGACAGTCCAGGCAATGAGAGCAGTATGCCCCATGCCCTGGGAAGAAATGGAGCACGTATGCAGGGCATGCAAGCAGGCCACGCTTTGGGGGAAGGGTGGAGCTGAGGCTGGGAGGTAGCAAGGCCTCCATGTCCTGCAGCACTTTGCTGCCATGCTGAGGAGCTACAACTTGGCTTTCTGGACCGTGAAGGGCGCTTGGGGGTTTGAGTTGGAGACGCAACGTCATGAGATCCACATTTTAGAAGGAGCCAGCTGATATGTGGAGGGGATCACCGCAGCTGGAGGCAGCTCTCGTAGCAGTCCTTGGAGAGAGAACACATTTGTCGAATTCTCAGCTCGCTCCTTTCCCACTGCCCCAGGCGGTGTGGGGAATTGTCTAAGGGAGGTGCAGGAAGAATAGAGATGCAGGGACTGGCACAAGCCGGGGAAGCCAGAGCTCTCCCCTGACCCCATTCATCAGCCCTCCTGGCTCATCTGGTTTCTGCAGCCCCCAACCCGAGGGAGCAGATGAAGCCCAAAGCATATTCCCAGCAATATGGAGGCCACCTTGTCGAGCTGTGGTTGGTCCAAAAAGCCTGGGCTACTCTCAGACTCTAAACCACCTCATGCCTGGGAAGCTCCATCCATAGGAGCCCTGGTTTCCTGTGGCCATAGAAGTATCTCTCCTCTCTCCCTCCAGTCTCTGCAGGATGACCAGAGGTGCTTTTCCAAGATAGGCCAACCTGCACCAGCTGGCCCCACTCACTCTTAGGCACTCCTTCCCCCGCTCCTTCTGAGCACCCTCAGCCCTGGCCCCAGCCTGCCTCTCAGCCTCCACCCCATGCTTTGAATGCTGCCAACAAAGGAAGGTGGGTGGTCAGGCCCTAAATGGGAGATGAGCACGCTGAGGACAGCAGAGGGGCCTGCTGGCCCTTCCTAAGCAAGTGTGGGCTGGGGCCAGGATCTAAATTATCTCTAGGACTCTGCGAGCAGCTCTTTCTGCTCTCCCAGCTGACGACCGCTGCCATGCCCTGGCCAGCCCTGGCACCCAAAACAAAGGCAGCTTGTGATGAAGAGCGCAGGCTCCCGAATGGGACTCCAATCCTGGCTTCACCTCAGGGCTACCCACATTGCCTTGGGCAGGTTATGCCATCTCTGTGTCCTCTCGGCAGGGCAGGCTGCAAAATAGCAGCTCAGTCAGAGTTGGTGTGAGGATCAAATGAGAGAACAGGGGAGAGATCTCCGCCCTGAATCTGATTCTCCAGCCGGGGCCATGCTGGCTGCTGTTATCTTGATCATTCCCTTATCTGTTTAGCTGCAATGAGGGCTGTGGTGAGGGCTAAGTGGAAGCGCCCTGCAGACCCCAGAAGGGGAAGGAGAGCCGAAGTCTCAGGGGATCAGCAGTGTGCCCAGCACTTTGTGTTTGTTGAGACGGGACAGGCTTGCTGGACTCTCACTTTTCAATGCCGGTTTTGGAGATTTGTATCCGTTAGAAGCCTTTTGTTTCCAAGCCTCAGAACAACCCAGAACACGCTGGCTCTCAGCCAAAGGGAATTATTGATTCAAGTAAGCCAAAAAGTCCAGAGGATAAAGCTAGCTTGTCTCTTAAATCTGGTCCCTTGGGGCTGGTGCCATTCCCGGACTAACTGCTCTCTTCCGGTCTCAAGACAGCCAAGCCTTCTTCCAGGTGAGATCTGGTCACCCTTACCCAGCCAAGACTCTGTGGTGCATTCTGATTGGACAGACTTGAGTCACACGCCCCAGCCAAGACTCTGTGATGCACTCTGATTGAACAGCCTTCAGTCACATGCCCCAGCCAGGACTCTGGGATGCATTCTGATTGGACAGACTTCAGTCACGTGCCCCAGCAAGCCTCTATGATGCACTCTGATTGGACAGACTGGGGTCACTGTGCTAGTCCAAAAACAAATTGCTGTAGCCAGAGAATGAAGACTTTGAAGGGCTCCAGAGGTCTTGTTCTCCAGCCCTGGGTCTGAGGCTGAGGTGAGGATCACTTGTACACCAGAGGCAGAAATGGGGCACAGATGCCCTCTGGGTTGCTGCGGGCTGAAGTTAACAGGAAAGGCTCGGTGGAGGCCATGGATTTATGAAAAAGGCGAGGTTAGAAATGGACCAAAGGATGCCAGGGAGAGAAGAGAACATTGCAAACGGATGTTCAAATCACACCCCTTTCTCAAAAATCAGTGCAGCCCATCTGAGAGTTTGGAAATTTGGTGCCTCTCGGCTAAGGTTGCCGGATTAAGCAAATAAAAATATAAGATGCCCAGTTCAATTTGAATTTCAGATAAGCAACAAATAAATCTTTATGTATAAGTATGTCCTTTGCCATATTTGGGACATGTTTTACAAGAAGAAATAATTCATCGTTTAAAACTCAGATTTAACTGGATGTGCTGTATTTCACTGGGCAACCCTGCAATCTGCGCTCTCCCTTTGTTTTGAAGCATCCTCAGACCTTTCAAAGAGACTTGTTCTGTGTAAATGCTGGTAGAACTCACACTCCCTGGCATCATCCCCCAGAACGGAGATTTTCCAGCTCAGTATAACGTCAGTATCATGAGCAGCTTCCAGCAGTCAGAGCTGTCCCAGGAGGCAGAGAGTCTTCTCACAGTGGAACAGTTCTCTTCCCACTGCAAATTCCCAGGGGCAGAGAGCTCCCCTGGCCTTTGTCAGCTGGGCAGAGCTCTTCTGTTAGAAGATTCCATGTGCTGGAGTCCTCGCTTTTTTCTCATCTCTGGTTGGGACCAGAGGAAAACAGTTATTTTGGAGGGTGTGTCATCCTCATAAAACTAAACTTGCCCATGCAAGGGGTGATGGGGAGGGGGCTCTCTCAAGTTCTAAAGTTGGGTTATGGGGAGGGAAAAGTGTTGGCAAATCCTTCTAGCCCCGTAGCTAGGTCACATGATCCTTTAACCAAGCTTAATAATGAGCAGCAGACTTAGTTGCACGTGACAGAAAATTTCAAATAATTGTGATTAAACAATAGTTTGTTTCTTTCACATACAAATGATGTCCATAAATAAGTCAGATAATGCAGGGCTGATATGGGGACTCCACAGGGCCATCAGATCCCAGCCTTTCTCTCCATTACCTGAAATGCAGGCTTTCATCTTGAGAGTCACCTCACAGGCCAAGATGGCTGCTGGAGTTCCAGCCATTGCCTCCACATTCCATACCGCAGAAGGAAAGACAGAAACAGTACCCATCCCAGCTAAGTTAGCTCCTCTTGTACAATCTTCTTGGAAGTCTGACACTACATTTTAGTTTACATCTTCTTGGCCAATACTTGGCAACCACTTCTAACTGCAAGGGAGGCTGGACAGTGTCGTCTTTTGATGGAGAAAGAGAGAAGGAATGTCAGATGACCACAAGCAGTTTCTGCTATAAATAACAGAAGGTGCCATTTTGATCACTCAACTGACTTCAGAGTTCTCAATTGCTTCTGTTATCTTGGATGGAGCAAGGTAGATTTTTTGTTTGTTTGTTTTTAATTGAGACAGAGTCTCACTCTGTCGCCCAGGCTGGAGTGCAGTGGTGCGATCTCAGCTCACTGCCAACCTCTGCCACCCAGGTTCAAGCCATTCCCATGCCTCAGCCTCCCGAGTAGCTGGGAATCCAGGCGCCCACCACCATGACCAGTTAATTTTTTGTATTTTTAGTAGAGACAGGGTTTCACCATGTTGGCCAGGCTGTTCTCGAACTACTGACCTCAGGTGTTTTGCCTGCCTCGGTTTCCCAAATTGCTGGGATTACAGCTGTGTGCCACTGCACCTGGCCAAGGTGGGGTTTTATATCAGTTCCCTGAGCACACAGAAGTTCAAGCAGATAAGCTGCTCCCTCTGGCCTGGGAAGGGAGTCCTGCTTTTACTGATGGTTGTACATGGCCAGCAGTTTTCTAACCCTTTCTCCTAACAAAATCTTACCAGTATGAAGAACTGGTGAAATTGGAGCTGCTCCAGCTAGGACCAGGATCTTCCCCAGGACACCTCCTGGGCTGAGCCCTGGCAAACCCCCAGTTTATAAGGAACAGAGTTGGAAAACCACGAAACCAGCCAACCTTGCAAACCCCTTCCTGTTCTGAGGTCCTACTACTCTCAGGGTTGGTGATGACCACAAGGTCCCCTTTCTCCAAGGTGACCTCAGACACAGGCCTACCAGCTTTCTTGAAGATTCTATCATGGAGTACTCTGCTTAGAGTTAGGGAATCCCTTAAGGATCAGCTTTGGATTCAGGAATTCACTGTTGCCAAACTGTCATTAAAGGATAAGGCTCCAGGGGAGCTCAGGGCTCCCTCCCCTCACCCAGAGTCTGGGTCAAGGCCAGGCCAAGCTGAGCACAGCACTAGGGGTGGGATGGTATCTGGTATCTCTTCCTACTGTGAGAAGGGAAAGGACTTGGAGACTCAGTGTCAGCCAAGGCTCCTACTCATTTACGTCTCCTGCCTGCCCTCTGGGCAGCACCTATCTCCATGGCTTCCTCCAGCTTGAGAGAAGGTGGCCTCCTCCCCACCCCACCCTCTTGGAAACCAGTTAGGAAGAGGATGAAGACTGGTATGTCCCTTTGTGTCTGCTCCTGAATGGTGTATTTTGGGTCCTACCTAATCCAGCCCTCGGGTGGTGGTCCAAGCCCTCATGGGTGGTCACGGCTGTCTTCGTCAGTTTCCCTTGACCCTAGGCATGTCAATAGGCTGGTGACAGAGGTTTATGGAGAAGGGACTTGGGAATCCTGGAGCCTTAGCCATCTCTAATCTTTTCACCAGAAAAGACTCAGCAGGAGAACCAGTGAAGAATGACTTCCTCCCACACATGCACACTTCAGGAGAGTTCATCATTGAGGGGGTGTGGCCGCCTCCCCAGGGAGAGCCCCTCCTTCCTGTCTCACTGGGCTGCTGCCTTGTCTCTGGGGACCTGTGCGTCCTCAGGGCTGGGCGCACTCACACACAGCAGGGGCTTCATGCACACTGGGTGAGCTGAGGCCTGGAAGGGGCGAATGGTTGGGGCCACACAGTGAGCAGTGCATTTGCCATGAATGACAGACACCCACAAAGGAATGAAAAATTGCTTTAAAAAAGAAGCTGGTGTCTGCCTTACTTATTTAAATGTTTATTCATTTATCACTTACATTCTGTCTACCTCTTGGAAAGGATTTGGGAAGTCTTACAATATTGAAACACATATAAAAGAAGCAAAAAAAAAAACCTACACAAAATAAAGATCATATAAAAGAAACTAGAAAAAATATATATGTATAGACTACTTGTGCTGAAGTCGTTTCTGCCTCTGAGCTATTAATTTAGCTCCGAGGTGCCTGGAGGTAAAGCAGGAAGGGAAACATAGTCACATGGGCTGTTCAGCTCACCAGGTCGAGGGGAAATGACACTCGTTCTCCCTCACCTCTTCTCTCCCTCACTCTGCCTCATGGTGTCCACACCCGCAGCCTCCTCTTTAGCTTCATGAATAATGGTGAGGATCATAGCTTTGTCCACTCTTCAGCAGACATTAAATGCTCAGTCCAGCAGTTCTCAGCTGTTGTCACGATCAGCTAGGGGCGCATGTGACTGGTAATAGTTTGCATATCAAAGTATATGAATGTATTTGCTTGTTAAAATAATTAGGAATGGCTTCAAGAGCATCCCCAAAGCAGCTCTCAGAAGCAGCAGGGAAGGGAGGGGAAGCTCCAGCCTCTGCCAGGCCAAAACCCTTAGCCTCTGCCAGGCCCTTCCTCCCAGCATCCCTGGGTGTGCTGGCACTGGAGAGCTGCCAGAATAGCCTCTTCCCAAAGGTACAGCTCCGTGTGACAAGGAGGGTGAAATGGATGCCCCCTGTGCATCTGGGTGGGGAGAGGAGGAGGAAGGGACGGGGAGATGGTGAGGATCATCGCCACCCTGAGTGACGACCTCCAAGTGCTGTAGGAACGACCTTCTCCCCTTAAAGCGATGCCAGCCACACAGCTGAAGGAAAAATATGGGAGCCATTAGGACATCATGAAGATGGGGCAAAGGGTCTTGCAGTGAGGGGTAGGTGAAAGGAGCTCGCTGGGTCTGTGGAGGCCAGGTCTGCTTGCCAGTCAGTGGATGTGATTACTATGAAGACATGTGTGGGAGCAGGGATATTGCCCATTTTTGACCATAGCCCTTCCCCTTGGAGTGACCATGCTGGGCCAGGTGCAGTGGCTCATTCCTATAATCCCAGCACTTTGGGAAGCCGAGGTGGGCGGATCACTTGAGGTCGGGAGTTCGAGACAACCCTGGCCAACGTGGTGAAACCCCATCTCTACTAAAAATACAAAAATTAGCCCGGTGTGGTGGCAGGTGCCTGTAATCCCAGCTACTTGGGAGGCTGAGGCAGGAGAACTGCTTGAACCCAGAAGGTGGAGGTTGCAGTGAGCTGAGACAGTGCCATTGCACTCCAGCCTGGGCGACAGAGTGAGACTCATCTCAAAATTAAAAAAATAAGAAATAAAAAGAAGTGACCATCCTGTCCCATCTTCACTGTAAGAATACCACCTCTCTCCCTCCTCTCCTCCTGACAAATAGTTCTGATTTTGCTTGCATACTTCTGATGATGGGCAGCTCACTGTCTCTCCGAGGGAGCTCATTCCTTCTTAGACAGCTCTGACAAGACAGTGTGAAAAGCGTTAAAACAGAGGTTGACGTGGGAGATCAGGAACCAGAGGAGGGGCTCACTTAGTTCTGTCTTCCTCCACTGGACTGTGGGCAACTTGACTGCAGGGAGTGGGTATCATTAATATTTACATCTTCAGCCATGGGCACAGTGCTTAGCACACAGCACATGCATACTATACACGTGCAGATAGGAGTAGGCAGAGCGGAGATAGAGGGCAGAAAAAAATCAGGGAAGGGAGGATAGAAGAAAATTCATACTTGGCCGGGTGCAGTGGCTCACACCTGTAATCCCAGCACTTTGGGAGGCTGAGAAGGAGGGTCGCTTGAGGCCAGGAGTTTGAGACCAGCCTGGGCAACATAACGAGTCCCCCATCTCAGAAATAAATAAATAAGTAAGAAGAATTAGTACTTCCTCTTATTGATCTAAAGCTTGCTTTCCTGTTGCTTGTACCCACTGGCTCTTGCTCTGTGCTTTACATCATAGAGAGTGGATACAACCTCTCCTCCTGACAGCCCTTCCAGATATTGAAAGTGACAATCGCACTATGGCCCCAAAACACATGTTCCAGGCTAAGGATCTTCAGGCCCTCGATTCTTTTCCTATGCCTGAATTCTTTCAGTTCCCGGGCTGGTCAGGGGCAGCACAGAAACAACAGCGTGATAATAGCCCACAACCCCAACCCAGACAACGTGAGCTCATGGAATCCTCACTGCTCACACTCCATGCCAGAGAGCATGAGCTTATGGAATCTTCACTGTTGTCAGTTAGATTCCATCATTGCCGGCATATTACAGATGAGAGAACGAGGCATAGAGAGGATGAATGGGTGTCCTGGGTCACAAAGTGAGTAAGTGTCGGAGCAGGGTTTGATTCCAGGCAGCTGGGCTTGGGGATGGGTGGGCAGGAGCTGCTTCCATCGACAGGCACTGGGCATGGGGAAGGGCGGGCAGGAGCTGCTTCCAGCGACAGGCACTGGGCTTGTTCCTTCCACCGTGTCTTAAGGCCCCTGATACCCTGGGGTGAGCTGGAAACTCTCATTTAGAAGGTAAGGAACTAGAGCTTCTGAGGCTAAAGAACTTCCCAAAACTCAAAGATAGTGCTTCCTGGCAGATCTGGGACTTCTCTCTCCCTGCCCAGGTCAGGACCTGGATCCCACCCAAGCCTCTGACCCATGGTTCCTGCAGGGCCGAAGGTGCAGGCTGTTCATATGCACATGCTTTGGCTCACCCTGCAAGATTCGATTCAGTGTGTCTGGGGTAGAGCGCAGGGCCCAGGCATCCATATTTTTCAACAGTTCCCTGAATGATTCTGTATGCCGTCAGGTTGAGCATCCTTCTAACCAGAGTAGGGAATCCTATGATGCTAACTCTTTGGTGTTTGTCCAGTCTTTGCTGAGAAATCTCCGATGACAGGGAACTTGCTCCCTCTTAGATTGTCCAGCCCATCCCTGATGGTCAGCTTCCACTGAACTCACACAGCAGCTGTTCTCCTCCTACCCTGGATCCTTCTCCCCTCTGCTCTACCCTGCTCCCTCCCCCAGGAAGCTGACCTCTATGGCTTCTGGTTGGGTTCCATCAGTGGGGAATCTGGGTCAGACTCTGGGGTGTCTGCTCAGCGGGTTGGTCCCCACATTCTTTTGGGGCAGTGGTTCTGAGCACGACAGTGCTCTTCTGCCTGTGGCCACTGCTCCTGTCTGGCACCCTCATTCATGACTGTGCTTCTCACCAGGTTCTGGAAACCACCCTCTCCCCTGATCTCAGGCCCGGCTGGCAATGGCTTCCAACACTGCTGGTCTCTGGGGACGTCAGCAGCTTCTGCTGCTGCTCTTACTGTGCCCACATCTTTGCCCACAGTCCCTCTTGTGAAAGCTTGGAGCATCATTCCTGGCAGTCCACTAGAGGAAGTCTGCTGCCTCATCCCCAGGCAGCTCCCCAGCCATTTCAGAACAGTCTCTGTGCACATGGAGAACGCTTCTTCCCGCTGAAGAGCCGCCTCCGGCGTCTTCATCATCTCCCTGCTTCTTTTATTGCCGGGAGAACCTAGGCGAGGCTCACAGCATCCTCCACTTCCAGACAACTCAAGGCCCACCATGATGACTGGAGCCCCACTGTCTAGAAGATGAATGTAATATTGGTAAATTTAAAACCCTAGTATTCAGAAAGCACTCACCAATTTTACATTTTGAATGAGTTCCTCGAGGAGCTAAAGCTTTATATTGTATATTAGCCTTGCAGAAACTTGAAAAATGGGTTTAAACAAGTTAGTCTTTCATAGTGCCTTTCCTAGTGCTGACCCTGGAGGCCCTGGTCCCACGGTTATAACAACAAGCTCCAGAGAGCACCAGCTAAGCCTGGCACTGGGCCGAGTGGCTGATACCTAATCATTTAGTTTAATCTTTGGAACGAGTCTGAGGAAGGTAGACTCACAGCCCCACCCTGCAGATGAGGAAATGCAAGCCCAGAGAGTTTCAGGAACTTACCCAACACTGCACAGCCTTGTGATGCAGAGCCGGGGTTTACGCAGGTTTGGCTGCAGGTAGAATATACATGAGGGAGCAGAAAGAATGAGACTGAGAAAGGAGAAAAAGCAATAGCGTGTGTGTTATTGCCTGGGAGCAACTAGGGCTCAGTCTCTCCTGCGTCCCCCAAAAAGGATGCCTTCCAAAATTGCCTCCCCAGAGGCGGTGGCTGGACCTTGTGCACTGACACCATCCCCACTAGCTGGAGGTTGCCCTGCACTGTCATGTTACTCTAATCCAGCCAAGCAAGCTGGTAGAGGGCCCCAATCCTCCCTCCCTGAGAGGCTATGTTCTGGCGGCCTTGACCTCAGGTG
Organism: Homo sapiens; assembly: GCF_000001405.40. Taxonomy (NCBI): domain Eukaryota; kingdom Metazoa; phylum Chordata; class Mammalia; order Primates; family Hominidae; genus Homo; species Homo sapiens. The sequence continues at coordinate 135,681,236 of NC_000008.11, forward strand.
GCAGTCACACATTCCCTGCTATCTCTGGGTGTGAAGCATCAGGGGCCATCCCAGTGAGTCCCCTGAATTCCAGACATGCTTATCCCTTCTGCATCACATGGGGCCAACCCTACCTTCTTGTGTCATCAGGGTTGAGTGTCCCCACTACTGTAGGAACTCTTCTCTCTGTCTGCTGGCCCACCAGCTTGAGGCCCCAAAGTGGCCAGGCAGCAGGCACAGGGTTAGATTAAGGGTAAACTTTACCTGTGTCCTGGTGGGACCATCTTGTTCTGGGAACCAGGACATTGAACCCAGCACACACTAGAGCTGCAGGGACGGGAAGCCATTTTCTTTGACGAAGTCACCAGCAGTGACAGTGAGGGGACCAATCCTCCTTCCACCTCCTGTTCCTAGAAGTGTATACTCCAACTACCGGCTCTGAGTCCTGCACACTGACCACGGGCTCACTGCACACACTGCAGCCCCCAGGACAGAGCCCTGGCCTGCTGTTGGCTGAGCTGCCATCTCAGCTGAGCCTGCTGCCTCTGGGTGATGTGGTGTCGGGAGGAACAGTAGATCCCATGGTCCTGCATGCATGATTGTACTGCCTTGGCCTGTGCACCTATCTGGTTCTGTGTGGTGCACAAACAAGCTGTCCCCAAAGAGCCATCCCCAAACTGCACGTAAAAGAGCAAAATAAATGTTGTTTTAAGTCAGAGGTCAGCAAACTTATTCTGTGAAGGACAAGGTAGTAAATATGTTAGGCTTTGCAGGATATACAGTTTGTCACAGCTACTCAACTTGCCACTGTAGCATGAAAGCAGCCTTAACACATGGGCATGGCTGTGTTCCAATAAAACTTCATTGACAAAAACAGGTGGAGGGCCACATTTGGCCCAAGGGCTATAATTTACTCACCACTGTGTTGAGCCACTAAGTTTTGGTGTGGTTTTTTTGTGCCGCAGTCAGTGGCTGGAGCATCTGTGCCTTTCCTCCATCTACCTCATCTCCTATCCCCTTGTCATGGCAGTACCTATCGTGCGCTTGTTACTGCTGATCAATGAGGGACCCAATGCTAGAATCTCATCCGGAGTGCTGCCTCCCGGGGCCACTTTTGGTACCATCTGTCTTAGTCTGGGTTCCCCCAAAGCAGATCCCAAGACAGACTTAGCCACTGGCAGACTCAAGGGTGATCCTGGGAAAAGAAGTAAGGCCAGAGGGCTTGTGCACCATGGATGGAGAAGGCACTGCACAGACTATGCACTGAGCTGATGATGCTTGGAGCTGTGGCCATGTTTTGCAACTGTCAGGGCAGGGGGCTGGGCTGAGGCTGGGGCTGGGCCACAGACGCGTGCCCTCCAGTGGGTGAAGGTGGCTCCAGGGATGTGAATTCCCCCATACTCTGAACATCCCTGGGTGAGCAGCTGCGGCTCTGGACACACCCTGGGGTCAGACAGGCTGAAAGATGTGGCTGATATAGGAAGTGGGATGCTGCCAGGAGACACTCAGCCCAGCCACAGCTGAAACCCTAGGTGGGCTGCAGGGAGGGGTGGAGAACACAAAAAGCATCCCCTTCAGCAGTGGTTTTCTTTTCTTTTTCTTTTTTTTTATTATACTTTAAGTTATAGGGTACATGTGCACAACGTGCAGGCTTGTTACATATGTATACATATGCCATGTTGGTGTGCTGCACCCATTAACTCATCATTTACCTTAGGTATATCGCCTAATGCTATCCCTCCCCCCTCCCCCCACCCCACGACAGGCCGGGGCCTGTGTGTGATGTTCCCCTTCCTGTGTCCAAGTGTTCTCATTGTTCAATTCCCACCTATGAGTTAGAATATGTGGTGTTTGGTTTTTTGTCCTTGTGATAGTTTGCTGAGAATGATGGTTTCCAGCTTCATCCATGTCCCTACAAAGGACATGAACTCATCCTTTTTTATGGCTGCATAGTATTCCACGGTATATATGTGCCACATTTTCTTAATCCAGTGTTCTCAAACTTCAGCTGCATCAGAATCACCCTGAGGCTTGTTATAATGCAGATTCCAGGGAACCGTCCCCAGGGTTTCAGATTGATTTGGTCTGAGCGGGGCCTGAGAATTTGCATTTCTAATAAGCTTCCATGCCCTGCTGCTGCTGCCGGTCCCGGGTCAATATTTGGAGAACCACTGGATAGAGAGAGTGGATGCTGGGTAGGCAGCTGCCAGTCTCTCTCGTACTTATCAAGTGGGCTATCCTTTGTGCCTGCTAAGGGTGTGAGTCTGTGTGTTTGTGTGTGTGTGCGCATGTGAGAGAAAGAGAGAGGGAGAAAGAGAAGGGGATTGATAGAGCCTGGTGTATCTATCACTAACTAAAAGTGTGATATTGCTGAAGTCTCCTTGCCTCCAAGCCTCCAAGTTTCCCTACCTGTACACTAAGGCTGGGCTGCACAATGGCCCACGGCTCTTCCAGCTCTGATGTGATGATTGTTTACAAAAGGAAAGGGCTCAAAACCAGGCTTCACAGTACACTGAGATTCAAACGCACCTCCCTTTCCAACTTTTGCAATGGAACTATCTCCCAGAAATGTTTAAAAGTGCTTAGGGGATAAAGAGAGGAAAGAAATGGAATGAATTGCCCAGTGAAGGGAAATCCCCAGCAGGTTTTTCTATAGACAAGTGCTGCGCATTCCCACAGGGAGCTGCCACTCTCAAAATGCTAGCAGGGGAGGCCAAGGATGGGGATCCGCTCAAAAGTAAATGAGGTCAGAGGCTCCCAGGGCTGAAAGGTACTCCCGGGGCTCAGCCCCACAGGTTGGCTTCCAGTCCTCTCAAAACAGAAATTCAGCAAGGCCAAACACCCTGTGCCCCTCTACAGCGGCTCAGCTGGGTGTTTTGCAGAAACTTGGGCACAGAACCCACACAGACTTCCCTTTGAGTCCTGCCTCCGACACTCAGCACTGGGTGGCCCTGGACAAGCCACTTGGATCTGCCTGACTCGGGGCCCCGCGCATGCATAATGTGAATGGGAATGGAACCTCATGTGGAATTTACCCAAGAAGCATTTGTGGCACACCTGAGTTCCCAGGATTTTAAGGAAGATTCCATAAAATAACATGGTGGGATTCTTGTAACAATAATTGTTTTGTCAGCAGTAACATGGTCTACAACAGCTACCATTACCAATTTTTATCACTGTCGATTTTCTACTCTCAATCTGCCATGAATTTCTCTGGAGTTGTTCCGTTAGGTTTATCTCCACCGTGGTGTGGGAGGGACCTTGCTGTGTAACCTCGAGCAGGTCACCTCACATTTTTGAGCTTGTCTTTTCGTGAGTTACAGGGTGGCTAATTACGTTTATTTGCAAGATTGATGTGAGAACAAACTGCGAAGGCTGCTCACGTGAGGACATTTAATGCATCATCGGGTCCCCAGCAGAGAGGAAGTGCAGACGGCAGGATGGCTGTGTTCGCCGCAGGCCTCCCCGCCTATGTAGGCACTACATTTGTTTTTTCTTTGTTAGATAAAACTTGTTCAGCCCTGACTATAAGCCAGGCACTAGGCTAAGAGCTTTCCTTGAATTATTTCACTTGACCCTGATTAGTTTATGGGTTAAGTGTAATCATTATCATCCTCTTTGTGCTTGTGAGGAAGTCAAGAACCCAGAGCGGGCAAGTGGGGGGCGAGGCAGGTTCACACTCAAGTCCTGCAAATCCCCAGGCTTGTTGTGCACCGGGGGCCTGCTCCAAGGACCCCAGACCAAAGGCCCAGCTGTGTGCTCAGGGCAGAACAGAATGGATGGACTTGCCTCTCCTCGAACGAGGCTCTTTCTCCTGCCCGGTTCTCTCCACAGCCACTGCTCTGTCCCCAGGTTGTGAAGATGCATGGGCTTGATTAGGCTGGGCTCAAGCCCTGTTTATCATCACCTGCACACCTTTCAGAAAGCCCCTTGCATTTTAAGAAGAGCGGACTTGGTGTCATGCGGCATTGTTCTGATTAGAAAGAACAGGCATGGCTGTAGAATCGATTCAGGAGTCGGGAGTCCGGCTGCTTTCAGAAGCTTGCAGGACAGGGCCTCGGAGAGCAGGACAGCCAGTCTGTAATGACGAAGGATGACCCAGCCTGCGGCACTGAGCTGAGGGGCGTCTTCAGGGTCTGAAGGTTCTGGTCGGTTCAATGAGATACTGACTGCAGAGCTCCCTCCCCATGTGGCATCTGGAACTATGGTGGCATCTCAGAGTGTCAGGAGCAAGGATTCTGAATACGAGTGACTGTGGAAGAATCCTGGATTTCTCCTAGACTAGCAGCCATCCAGCCACCTGTGCCAGTGAGATCATGGTCAGGCATGGACAAGGCACATGGCATGGCCTGTGAGCAATGGTTCTTTTTCAAGAAAAGGCTCAGGTTTCATGGCTCAGCAGCGGATGTGCCCCACACGTGGGTGTGGACTTCCTCCCTTAGTCCTGTACTCAGGTATGCCACCTGCTCATGGGCTGTGGGTCCTGTGCCTATGTCACTCAGCCAACTCCGCCCCTTTCCCAGGAACAGTGAGCATGAATGAACACTTTAAACTCTTAGCTCATTTAATCCTTGCAACAGTTCTGTGAGGCAGATATTATTATTAGCCCATTGAACAGTTGAAGCAATTGAAGCAAAAGGAGATGTTGCGTCAAAGGTTACTCAGCTGGTAAGTGGTTCAGAATGGATTCAAGCCCAGGCCTCCCATTCTAACAGACACACTCCCTAGCCTCCTCTGGACTCCCAGGGCTTATTAGCTCAGGTGCCACCAGCTCCAGGAAGACCTCTTGGCCCTGCCAATGGAGTGGCCCTGCCTTGATTCCTGTTTTCCCCATTAGAATGACACGAGGCCCTTCTGTATCTGCCTCTCACATTAGACTTTCACCTCCTCTCGGGGGAAAAACTGTGTCTGGTGCTTCCCTGTTTTTAAAGCCCCTGAGCTGAGTCCTTGCCTGAGGCTGCAGCCTCCAGTGTTTATTGTAGCCTTGGGCTAGTTCCTCACACTCTTTCATCTGACTGTATTTGTCAAGGTTCTCCAGAGAGACAGGACCAGCATGATATAAATAGATATAAAAGAGGTATTTATCAGGGGAATTGGTCACACCATAATGAAGGCTGAGAAGTCCAATGACTGTCTGCAAGCTGGAGATCCAGGAAAGCCAGTAGTGTGGCTCAGTGCAAGTCTGAAAGCCTCAGAACCAGGGAAGCCTATATCATAACTCTCAGTCTGAGGCCAAAGGCCTGAGAATGGGGGTGATGGAGTGAGTCCTGGAGACTAACAGCCAGAGAACCTGGAATCTTGACATCCAAGGACAGGAGAAGAAGGGCGTCCCAGTTCTAGAAAACAGAGAGAAAGAATCCACCCTTCCTCTGCCTTTTTGTTCCATTAGGGCTCCCAGTGAATTGGATGGTGCCTGCCCACATTGAGAGCAGATCTTCCTCACTCAGTCAACCAGCTCACTAGTCACAGCTTAATCCAGTGAATTGGATACCTGAGGTTGACCTCAGGAGATGATGAGGGCTCCAGAAGATGATGTTTGCAGAATCCTCAGCACGTTGCAGGCAGCTCAGAGCCTGCCCAAGAGATGGATGATGCCCTTTCTAGCCCAGAGTTCCAGTTCCAGTTGATACCCCCAGGCTGGCATTGATGCCCACATCACACACGCATCCTCTGTGGGTGGGATCACACCAGAGCACTATTAAGTTGTGGGAAATTCACAGTCCCCATCCTGACCCTGGGCCTGGCTGGCATTCAATGAGTGTGCTACGAAGAGTTCCATGGGTGAAGGAGGGCATTCCTAAGTCAGTTGGCTGAGATGAGTTTTGAGCTCTTGAAGGCCCAATTCACACTGCACCATTTCAGTAAGCTCCAGCTGTTTACCGACCCAGTGTGGACGATGCTGCTAAGCATCCTGCATGCTGGAGGGCCCAGAAAGGCTGTGCCCCTGCCCCTGCCCCTGAGTGAGTGGTTCTAGGGTCTTAGACACAGCAAGAGAGGCCTGTATGCATGACCCTCCTTGACTATCACAGCAACCATGCATGATAGATACCATTATTCTCAACTAGCATATTAGGACAATTAGGCACCGAGAGGTTAAGTGCCCTTTTGGAAGTCAGAATTGGGTGCTGACCACTCCAACTGGGCTTCATACCAGCTACTCTCCAGTGGCCACTCTGCTGTATGCTCTTCACACAAACCCTCATTTGGAATTCCTATTTCCACTGACCAATGGACTCTTGGAATGCAGGGCTCCTTTGAGGCCAAAGGTTCCTTTGAGGTCCACTCCCTAAGAACAATCTGCAGGAGAGGCAGCATAGGGGTGAGGGTTGGAAACAGTGTGTCTAGAGCACGAAGTGGGCATTCCACAGACGCAGGCCTTTTAACGCAATTGTGTGTGCCACAGCCTAGTTCTGTGACCTTGGGGCTGTCTCTTCACCTCTCTGGATTTCCATTTCCTCATCTGTAAAATGCATGGAATTATATGATTCACGATTCCCTTCTGGCTACAACATTCCACGGGTCTGTCTGTCCAGTGGCACTTGGTCATCCCTGTAACACCAAAAGGCAAGCAGGGCAGAGTAGAATTGCAATTGAGTAATTAGAATCATCAGAATTGAAAAATCATCATCAAACCATGGAAGCTGCTTACAGAGTGTTCAGTAAATGATCTTCATTTATTGCTACAGATTGTGCCTTCATATAAGATTGGCAAAGCCCCCTAACAGCTTAATACTTCTAGAACAGATGTTGACAAACAATGGCCTGCCCCCTAAATCCAGCCCTCAGACTGATTTTGTAAATGAAGTTGCATTGGTCACACAGCCATGCCCATTTTCCTTCATACTTGCCCTGGCTGCTTTTGTGCTACAGATTGAGCGGTTGGGACAGAGACCATGTTCCAAAGCTTAAAATACTATCTGGTCTTTTACAGATAAAGTTTATTGATATTTGTCCTAGAAGATGAACAGTTAACTTAGCCAAATAAGTATCTAATATGTGAGATTGTGTCTTTTTGGCCTAGTCTCAATGGTGTTTTCTGACATTCCTCTACACATAGCTTAAAAGTTTCAGGTGTAGACCGGGCACAGTGGCTCATGCCTGTAATCCCAGCACTTTGGGAGGCTGAGGCAGGTGGATCATGAGGTCAAGAAATTAAGACCTGGCCAACATGGTGAAACCCCATCTCTACTAAAAATACAAAAATTAGCTAGGCGTGGTGGTGCGTGCCTGTAATCCCAGCTACTCGGGAGGCTGAGGCAGGAGAATCACTTGAACCCGGGAGGCGGAGGTTGCAGTGAGCCGAGATTGCGCCATTGCACTCCAGCCTGGGTGACAGAGCAAGACTTCATCTCAAAACAAAAACAAAAACAAAAACAAAAAACAAAAGAAGTTTCAGGTGTAACAACGTACATACTTTTGGTTCCTTGAACACTGAGATCTTTGCACCTCCTTGCCTTTGCCTGCGCTGTTTCCCCTGGTGGAAAGGCCATTCCTCCCAGCCTTCCCCAGCTCTCTTCCCACTTGGTCTCCTCTGTGAACCTTCACACACATCGCCTGGGCTGTTTTGAACCCCGGAGCCCACTGCTTGCACTTCTCTGGCATTTAAAGTCCTGCGTTCTTTGTGGAATCACCTGTCTCTCTCTTCCATTGGACTGTGTGCTCCTGAAAGACCAGGACCTTGCTTGTGTGGGTCACTGAAAATTTCCCATGCCCCAAGCAGGGTCTAGTGTGTGGTAAGTGCTCAGTAAAGATGATTGAGTGTATGACTAATGATAACCCGCCCAAACAGGAGCACCTGATTAATTCTAACATCTGTCAGTGCTTAAGTAGGAGCCTTACAAAGACCTTGTTATCCTTTTAAAAAGTTAAAAATATGATTGCCAGCAGGTTGGTACACATCTGCAAATAGCATTTCTAAGCAAACAATGGGAGTCTATAACAATTGCATTATACAATTGCACCGCGTGGAGAATTGGAAATGGCCTAGCCTTTATTCGGCATCAGGAGGACCTGGATGTACACCAGGAAGCTGGAATCTTAGGGGCCATCTTAGAAGTGTGGAAGGAAAGAGGAAGGGTCCCAGTTAATTCCAAGAAAGACTATAGCGCCAGTAACTCCTAACATCTAACTTCTTAAACTTTTGAGAATTTTAAAATCTTAGAATAGAAAATAACTTGGAGGGTTTTTAGTATTTTTCTTTTTTCTTGAGACGGAGTCTCGCTGTCTCCCCGGCTGGAGTGCAGTGGCGCGATCTCGACTCACTGCAAGCTCTGCCTCCCAGGTTCACTCCATTCTCCTGCCTCAGCCTCCCGCGTAGCTGGTGTGTCCGGAATTGGTGGGTTCTTGTTCTCACTGACTCCAAGAATGAAGCCGCGGACCCGTGTGGTAAGTGTTACAGTTCTTAAAGGCGGCGTGTCCGGAGTTTGTACCTTCTGATGTTTGGATGTGTTTGGAGTTTCTTCCTTCTGGTGGGTTTGTGGTCTCGCTGGCTCAGGAGTGAAGCTGCAGACCTTCGCGGTGGGTGTTACAGCTGTTAAGGCTGCAGGGCTGGAGTTGTTAGTTCCTCCCGGTGGGTTCATGGTCTCGCTGGCTTCAGGAGTGAAGCTGCAGACCTCTGTGGTGAGTGTTACAGCTCATAAAGGCAGTGTGGACCCAAACAGTAAGCAGCAGCAAGATTTATTGCAAAAAGCGAAAGAACAAAGCCTCCACACCGTGGAAGGGGACCCGAGCATGTTGCCACTGCTGGCTCTGGCAGCCTGCTTTTATTCTCTGGCCCCACCCACATCCTGCTGATTGGTCCATTTTACAGAGAGCTGGTTGGTCTGTTTTACAGAGAGCTGGTTGGTCTGTTTTACTGAGAGCTGACTGGTCCGTTTTGACAGGGTACTGATTGGTGCATTTACAATCCCTGAGCTAGACACAAAAGTTCTCCACCTCCCCTCTAGATTAGCTAGATACAGAGTGTGGACACAAAGGTTCTCCAAGTCACCACCAGAGTAGCTAGATACAGAGTGTCGATTGGTGCATTCACAAACCCTGAGCTAGACACAGGGTGCTGATTGGTGTGTTTACCAAGCTTGAGCTAGATATAGAGTGCTGATTGGTGTATTTACAATCCCTTAACTAGACATAAAGGTTCTCTAAGTCCCCACCAGACTCAGGAGGCCCAGCTGGCTTCACCCAGTGGATTCCACACTGGGGCTGCAGGTGGAGCTGCCTGCCAGTCCCGCGCCGTGTGCCCTCACTCCTCAGCCCTTGGGAGGTAGGTGGTACTGGGCGCTAGTGGAGCAGGGAGCGGCGCTTGTCAGGGAGTCTCGGGCCGCACGGGAGCCCGCCGCGAGGGGGAGGCTCAGACATGGCGGGCTGCAGGTCCCAAGTCCTGCCCGGGGAGGAGGCAGCTAAGGCCCGGCGAGAAGTCGAGCACAGCAGCTGCTGGCCCAGGTGCTAAGCCCCTCACTGCCGGGGCCGGCGGGCCCGCGGAGCCCACGCCCACCCAGAACTCGCGCTGGCCCGCAGGCACCGCGCGCACCGCTGGCAGCCCCGGTTCCCGCCCGCGCCTCTCCCTCCACAACTCCCCGCAAGCTGAGGGAGCCGGCTCCGGCCGTGGCCAGCTCAGAAAGGGGCTCCCACAGTGCAGCGGCGGGTCGAAGGGTTCCTCAAGTGCTGCCAAAGTGGGAGCCCAGGCAGAGGAGAGAGGGCTGCGAGGACTGCCAGCACGCTGTCACCTCTCACTGAGACTACAGGTGCCCACCACCACGCCCGGCTAATTTTTTGTATTTTTAGTAGAGACGGGGTGTCACCGTGTTAGCCAGAATGGTCTCGATCTCCTGACCTCGTGATCCGCCTGCCTTGGCCTCCCAAAGTGCTGGGATTACAGGCGTGAGCCACCGTGCCTGGCCGGTTTTTAGTATTTTTAAGTGGTGTCATTTATCTGCTCCCTTCCAGCTCCACGAAAGATTAATCCTGGCTAACAACCCCCTCCCTGCTCCATTCAGGTAAATATGCTCATCTTTCCTGCCCAAGAGTAACTATTATCATGTGTGTGTATTTGTGTGTGTGTGTGTGAGAGAGAATCTTTTTGCATTAGTTTATACTTCCAGTAACTTATTTATATGTCTCCAAACAATATATTGCTTAATTTTGCCTTTTTAGAAGTTTTACGTAAGTGTGATAATATGAGATATATTCTTCTGTAACTTGCTGCTTTCACTCAACAGTGCGCATTTGAGATTCATTTGAGTGGACCTGTTTAGCTACCACACCATTATTTTCTCTCCTGGATATTCAGTTATTTTAATAAATCAAAATGTGTTTATCTTTAAAAAATAAATCAATCTCATCGGGGGCATGCTGAACAATTTATTTGCCCAAGTATAAAGGAAGTGATTACTTAAAAAAAAAAAAAAAAGAAAGAAAAGCCCATTTGAATCTCTGAAAAGACTGGCAGTGGAGGCATGGCCTGTGTCTTCTTATCTTCTGTTTATACTACAAAGTCTTCCCTAAGACCCAGTCCTGCCCTGTAGGAGCTTAATGTCTACGACAGATCATCAGCCCATGTGGTGCCCCAGATGCACTCAACTGCTTCTATTCTGAGCTCTCTATGTCTTGGAGAGTCTTAGAATTTTGTGCAAACACTTGGGAACAGCTCAGAGAAGGGTGCACAACACCTAACTAGAAGATGAAAACTGTCCTTGGAGGAATTCCATGGAGAATTTGTTGCCATCATTATGCTGCCCCATTTATTCTCACATTATTCTCTCCTATTTCATTCCAGTCTGGGTTTTTTTTTTTTTTTAAATGCACAAATCTTGACTTTTCCTCTAAGAATGCCCACGTGGCTCCCCACCCTGGCATGCTGAGGGCTGCCCTCTGAGACCCTCACTGTTGCTCATCTCTGCTGGAAATTTACTTTAGAACTGGAGTGGCTGCCATGGAGTCCCACTTTCTTATGTCACCAATGGTTTCAATACATCATCATTAAATCGACTGACTGTGAGGTGTGGGGTGGGGGCAGGTGAGAGAAACTCATCAAATGCTGGTTGTCAGGAAATGTAGGAAAAAAGCACATCAGCAGAAGTGGCCAAGGCACATTTGGGAATTGACTTTTTTATTCTTTCTTTTGCTTAGCTCTGGCTTGAATTTCCAAACTCACTTTTGAATTTCAATCTCCATGTTAATTGCAACATACAGGTTGTAAGGAACTAAGGGGAGAGAAAGTCAATGTTCAATCAGGTTTCTCTGTGTACGTGTGCTTTTATTTTAAAAAATGATAAGTGCACAAATAGAGGGAAAAATAACAAAATAAGATTGAATTTTTGTTTTCGGCATTGGACAAATATGTTGGGAATGAATGGAGATAATTCTCAGTATTGTTTTATTAGTCATGCTGGGCACGTCACACTTGGGGTTTTATTACTATTTAGAACTTTTAAGTTGAACCATATGAAAATGCTGGCTTTGGGCCGGGCGCGGTGGCTCACACCTGTAATCCCAGCACTTTGGGAGGCCGAGGCGGGCAGATCACGAGGTCAGGAGATGGAGACCATCCTGGCTAACACGGTGAAACCCCGTCTCTACTAAAAATACAAAAAAATTAGCCAGGCATGGTGGCGGGCACCTGTAATCCCACCTACTTGGGAGGCTGAGGCAGGAGAATGGCGTGAACCCAGAAGGCGGAGCTTGCAGTGAGCTGAGACTCCGTCTCAAAAAGAAAAAAAAAAAAAGGAAAGAAAGAAAATGTTGGCTTTGTAAGTTAAGATGACCTAGCACTGGCATTTTCATATGATTCAAATTAATATACATTGATTTGCATTGCTACCTGATGAATGTCTGTTTCCTGCACTGATCTGAGAGCTCCACAGGGACAGGAGCCATGTTTGTTTTTTATACTAGGACTACCAGGATGTCTAGTAAACAGTAAGTGCTTGTTAATTATGTCATTGAAAAAATGCAAAATGACCCAAGAAAGGGGAATCACAGACGTGTGGGCTATGAGTAGGGGCCTCGCCCATTTAGCTGAGGCTGAAGTTTGTGTGATGCCAAGTGTCAGAACGCCAGGATGAGTGTGTCAACTGCCAGCGGGAGGCCGGCATCTCAAATAGAAAGAGGTCCTTGGCATCAGCATTTCAGAGGGACAAATGTAGGAGATTCCTGCAGGTATTTCAGGGCAGCTTCTTTGGGAAGCAGACTCTGAGATGGGCATGCACATGCAGGAATTTATTAGGGAGTGCTCTGGAGGTCACTTCTATGGGAGTAAGGATAGGAAGAAGGGTTAGACAGTGGGAGGAGTTGAGTGGTGCAGCCCCAGTAAGCCTTCAGCCAACCCCACCAGGAGCTCTGAGGCTGGGATGGCCCTTCAGAGTAGTCCTGAGTTGGAGGAAGGGGACTGTATCTATTCTTGACCAGTTATTGAATGTGGGCTCACCAAGAGGGGGCATGACCTTGGATGAGGTAAGTCAGCACTTGCAGCAGCTGGGGGAGTAAGTCCTTTCATTCTGAAGGGGGATCTTGGTGCATCACAGCATCCATTACAGGCATAATGAGACAGTGAGAGTCATGTGGAATGGATGGAGGAGAAGTACCTGCAGCCCACAATGTAAGTGCTGGGGGAAGTGGAGAACCTGGATCACAAGCGGTGCCAGGGATGCCTGAAGCTCCATAGAGACCTGAAAATCCAGAGGCTCTTGGGAGCATGGTGGAAAAGCTCAATGGATGAAAATCCCAGGACTTAACTCTGCTCTGAGCAGGTTAAAATTGGTCAGAGTTGCAGTTCTAGCACTTCTGGAGGTAGGGAAAGAGCCTTAGAAGTTCTCTTTTGGTATTTTTTCATAAAACCTCATTTCATAACAGGTAAGTGTACTATGAAACATGACAAAGTTACAATTCTGTATTTATTTTTCATTATGAAAATAATATGTCTCTGTTAAAGGAGGTCAGAAAAATACAGAGAAGAAGAAAAATGAAAATCAGTTATAGATCCCCTAATCAGAGATCACTATGAACACTTGGAAATATTTTCTCCTGTTTGCTATCATTCTCCTCATAGTTACCTTTGTTGAGTTATAATCAAACTGTTCTTGTAATTTTATATCTTGATTATTTACTCTAACATAATAAAGCATTTGTATTGGCCATATCTTATTTCCTTGAGTACCATAATTTGCCTATCCAATTTGTTTTCATATTCCTCCTATTGTAAACATTGATATGTTAAAATTTTGTATGTCAATGTCCACATATTCATCATTAATTACATTACTAGAAAAGCTTTCTAATATGGAATAACTTGATTAAAATATGTGAATATGTATTAGTCTGTTCTTATGCTGCTGATAAAGACATACCAGAGACTGGGTAATTTAAAGAAAAAGAGGTTTGATGGACTCACAGTTCCACATGGCTGGGGAGGCCTCACAATCATGGCGGAAGGCAGAAGGCGCATCTTACATGGCAGCAGATGAGAGAATGAGAGCCAAGAAAAAGGGGTTTCCCCTTATAAAACTATCAGATCTTGTGACACTTTTTCACTACCATGATGACAGTATGGGGAAAACCACCCCCATGATTCAGCTATCTCCCACTGGGTCCTTCCCACAACATGTGAGAATTATAGGAGCTACAATTCAAGATGAGATTTGGGTACGAATACAGCCGAACCCTGTTGGAATATTTCTACTTTCTTTGATTGGAAGAGGCTTTGCAAGATACTGATTTATCTCCACCCCCCAGCAGCACACTGAAGGAGGGCTGTGGTTGGCATCACACAGGCTGTGCCTCATTGTGTTCATTGCCTTTCTCCCGGCCACTCCCTGAAGTTCTCATCATCTCACAAGGCTCAGCTCTTGACTTAGCCCTGTCTCCTGCAAACTGAATTGGTCTAGCCCTTCCCCAGAACACCTATCAACTTTGCCTGACCTCTTCACTGCCCATTCCCTGGTCCCTGTCCTATGGCAACAAAGAGTAAGCATGTGCGGGCTTTGGTCTTTACATTGCTCACCAACCATGGGGGAGACCCATACACAGAGTATATAACAATGTTCTTAGTTGCCTTTCTATGTTAGTGAAGTTACTTTCCATGTTCTAACTATCAAAAAATAATGGAATGGACATTTTCCTTGGTTTCCTAAATCACCAATATAAAATTCTTCATGGAGGTTCATTTTGTGTGTGTGTGTGATATGTTCCATGCAAGCCTGAAGACCAGATGGTGTTCAGAAAAGCTGTGTGGAATAAATGAATGAGTAAGTGAATGCTGTTGGATGGTTATTATTTTGTACGGTTTTTTTTAGATTTGCCTATATATTTACCAATGTAGTTGCTCATTCTCTTTTCTGAAATCCTTTTTTTTTTTTTTTGAAATGGAGTCTCTGTTGCCCAGGCTGGAGTGCAGTGGCATGATCTCTGCTCACTGCAACCTCTGTCTCCTGGGTTCAACCGATTCTCCTGCTTCAGCCTTCTGAGGAGCTGGGAGTACGGGTGCATGCCAACATGCCCGGCTAATTTTTGTACTTTTAGTAGAGACAGGGTTTCACCATTTTGGTCAGGCTGGTCTTGAACTCCTGACCTCGTGATCTACCCGCCTCAGCCTCCCAAACTGCTGGGACTACAGGCGTGAGCCACTGTGTCTGGCCTATTCTGAAATCCTTTAAGCCTTCAGAGGATGATTTTTCTTCTGCCTGGAATGTTCCCTTCAGATTTTTTTTTGCAGTGAGAGGCTGTGGGTCACAAATATTCTCAGTTGGTAATTGTCTTTTATTGTGCCCTACATCTTTATAGATTGTTTTGCAGAACGTACAATTCTAGGTTGACATTTATTTTTTTCTTCACACATTGGAGACATTTTACTGTTTTCTGGCTTTGACTGTTGCTATTGGAAGTCAGTTTTACATTTATGGTTATTCCTTTAGAGGTAATCTGTCTTCTGTCTCTGGATGCTTTTAGAATGTTCTCTTGGTTTTTGGTATTGTTCAGTTTCTTAATGATTGGGATGGTCTGTTTGTGATGTGTTGGGCTTCCTGAATCCTGACCTGTCTTTCATCATGTCAAGGAAATTCTTTGAAATGTCCTATTCACATGTTCCCTCTTTGCCATTTTCATCATTTGGAAATTTGATCATAAAATGACAAGCCTTTTCACACTAGTCCCATTGTTGTTTTATTGATACATAATAATTGTACATATTTATGGGGTATATGTGATATTTTGATAGAGGCACACAATGTGTAATAATCAAATCAAGAGTGAGAATATTCATCACTTCAAACTTTTGTCAT
Organism: Homo sapiens; assembly: GCF_000001405.40. Lineage (NCBI taxonomy): Eukaryota > Metazoa > Chordata > Mammalia > Primates > Hominidae > Homo > Homo sapiens. The sequence goes on from NC_000008.11 coordinate 135,696,487, forward strand.
TTCTTTGTGATGAGGACATTTTAAATTATTCTCCTCTAGCTATTTTGAAATACACAATATATTACTGTTAACTATAGTTACACTACTGTGCTATTGATTACTAGAACTCATTTCTTCTATCTACCTGTATTTTTGTACGCATTAACCAACCTCTCTTCACTGCTCTCTCATTCTTCCCAGCCTCTGGTAACTATCATTCTAGTCTCTACATCCATGAGATCAACTTTTTAGCTTCCACATATAAGTGAAAATATGTGATATTTTTCTTTTTGTACCTGGCTTATTTGATTTCTGGTTTCATTCATGTTGCTGTAAATGACAGGACTTTATTCATTTTTGTGAATAAATAGTGTTCTATTGTGTATATATGCCACATTTTCTTTATCCATTTATTCATCGATGCACACTTAGGTTTCGTTTTTTGAGGAACCTCCATACTGTTTTCCACAGTGACTGTACTAATTACATTCCAATTAGCAGGGTACTAGTTTTCCCCTTTCTCTGCATCTTTGCCAACATCTCTTATTTTTTGTCTTTTTGATAATATCCAGTTTAACTGTGGTGAGATGATATCTCAACGTGGTTTTGGTTTGCATTTCCCTCATAATTAGTGATTTTAAGTATTTTTTCATATGCCTATTGGCCATTTATATGTCCTCACTTGAGAAATATCTATTCAGATCATTTGCCTATTTCCTAAAGGATTATTCATGTTTTTTTTCCTATTGAGTTGTTTGACTTCTTTATATATTCTTGTTATTAATCTCTTGTTCAGTAGTTTGCAAATATTTTCTCCCACTCAGTGGGTTATCACTTTACTCTATTGACTGTTTCCTTCACTGTGCAGAAGGTTTTTAGCTTGGTGTAATTCCATTTGCCTATTTTTGCTTTGGTTGCCTGTGTTTTTGAGGTCTTACCAAAAAAATCTTTGCTCATACCAATGTCCTGAAGCATTTCCCCAGTGTTTTTATTTTTCACTACTTTGATAGTTTCGGGTCTTACATTTAAGTCTTTAATCCATTTTGATTTGTTTTTTGTAGATGGTGAGAGATGGGTGTTAAATTTGATTTTAGATATCCAAATTTAGATTAGATATCCAATTTTAAATAATGTATGTTTTAAATATAAATTAAATATAAAAATTTAAATAACTTGAATATTTTGCATTTAGGTATTTCATTTTCCCAGCATCATTTATTGAAAGACTGTCCTTTCCTTGATGTACATTCTTGGCACCTTTGTTAAAAATAAGTTGGGCATAAATGCATGAATTTATTTCTGAGTTTCCTATTCTGTTTCATTGGTCTGTGTGTCCTTTTTGTCTGCCAGTACCATGCTGTTTTTGTTACTATAGCTTTGTAGTATATTTTGAAGTCAGGTCGTGATGCCTACAGTTTTGTTCTTTTTACTCAGGATTGCTCTGGCTATTCAGGGTCCTCTTTAGTTCTAAATAAATTTAAGAATGATTTTTTCTATTTCTGTAAAGAATGACATTAGTATTTTGATAGGGATTACATTGAATCTGTAAATCAGTTTTGGTAGTATGATCATTTTTACAACGTTAATTTTTCCAGTCCATGAACATGATATATCTTTCTATTTTTGGGGTGACTTCTTTAATTCTTTTCATCAGTGTTTTATAGTTTTCCTTGTAGATATATTTTAGATCCTTGGTTAAATTTATTCCTACGTATTTTATGATTTGTAGTAGCTATTGGAAATGGGATTGCTTTTCTAATTTATTTTTTCACTAGTTTGCTGTTGGCATATAGAAATACTACTGATTTTTGTATGCTAATTTTGTATTCTGCAGCTTTACTAAATTCACTCATCAGTTATAAGAGTTTTTTGGTGGAGCTTTTAAGGTATGTGTATGTATGATCACTTCATCTGAAAACAGGGACAATTTGTCTTCTTTCGTTCTGTTAAGTGAAAAGGTCATATACACAAACTGGCCCCCAAAAGCTGAAGGGGCAGAGGAAACAAAAAACAAAACAGACAAATCCAGTTTGTCTACAAAGTGTGTTTTATTGGGGAACTTGCAGACAGAAACATGGTCTGGGTTGCCACAAGACAAGTACATCACTGCACTGTTACTCTGCAGACTCAAGGCTTATATAGCATAGGAAAAGGTTAAACATGCTCCAGCAAGACAATTAAAGACAACCCTCCAGAATGGGCAAAATGCTGTATGTGTAATAGCCTATAATTTGTGCAGTAATATCAAGGTTGACATACTTAACACTAAGCACAGTAAATAAAGTAGAAATCAGGAGGCTTTCACACGACTGGGGCTATTCAGAAGTCAACATGGCAGATTAGCATCCGAGATGGAGTCACTTTTTTCTTCCCACTTTCCAGTTTGGATGTACTTTATGTTTTCTCTTGCATAACTGTGCTGGGAAGGACTTCCAGTTCTATGTTCTAAGAGTGGTGAGAGTAGGTATCCTTGTCTTGTTTCAGTTCTTAGAAGAAAAGCTTTCAGCTTTTCCCTATTCAGCATAATGTTAGTGGTGGGGTTTTCATATATGGCCTTTATTATGTTGGAAGTATACTTCTTTTATACCTACTTTGTTGAAGGGTTTTATCCTGATACAATGTTGAATTGTATCAAATGTTTTTCTGCATGTATTGAGATGATCATGTGGTTTTGGTTCTGTTCTGTTGATGTGATGAAGTATGTTTATTAATTTGTGTATGTTGGACCATCCTTATGTCCCTGGGATAAGTCCCACTTTATCGTGATGAATTATCTTTTTAATGTACTGTTGGATTCAGTTTGCTAGTATTGCGTTGAGGATTTTTGCATCTATGTTCATTAGGGATATTGGCTTAGAATTTTTTGATATTGTTGTTGTTGTGTCCTTGTCTGGCTTTGGTATCAGAGTAATCCTGGCCTCATAGGATAAATTTGGAAAAACTCCCTTCTCTTCAATTTTATGGAAGATTTTGAGAAGAATTGTTGTTTGCACTTATTTAACTGTTTGGTAAAATTCATCAGTAAAACCATCAGGTCCTGAGCCTTTCTTTGATTGAAGACTTTTTGTTACTGATTTAATCTCATTACTCATTATTAGTCTGTTCAGCTTTTTCATTTCTTCTCAGTTCAGTCTTGGAAGGTTTTATGTGTCCAGGAATTTATCCATTTCTGTTAGGTTTTCCCATTTGTTGGAGTATAGTTGTTTTCAATAGTATCTAATGATTCTTGATCTTTCTGTGGTATCTGTCATAATGTCTCCTTTTTTTGTTACTGGTTTTATTCATTTGGGTCTTTTCTCTTTCTTCTTTGGTTAGCCTAGCTAATGGTTTGTGGATGTCATCATTTCAAAAAATTAACTTTTTGTTTTGTTGATCTTTTGTATTCTTTTGTCTCAATTTTATTTCTGCTCTGTTCTTTTTTTCTTTTTTTTCCCTTTTTCCATAGGTTATTGGTATACAGTAGGTATTTGCTTATATGAGTAAGTTCTTTAGTGGTGATTTGTGAGATGTTGGTGCACCCATCACCCGAGCAGTATACACTGCACCCTATCATAAAAGACCCTATGAGTCTTTTATACCTCACCCCCTTAATGGTGACTCATAAATCTTTCTTCACTCTTTTTTATTCTAATTTCTTTTTTTTCCCTCTACTTGGGCAATTTCAAACAACATATCTTCAAGTTCATTGATTCTTTCTTCTGCTAAATAAAGTCTTCTATTGAAGCTCTCTGTTATATTTTTATTTCATTCAATAAATTCTTCAGCTGTGGAATTTCTGTTTCATTCTTTTTTATGATATCTCTCTTTGTTGAATTTCTTATTCATATTATGACTTCCTAATTTTGTTGAAATGTCTTATTTGTATTTTTGTATATCTTGTTGAGTTTCCTTATGATCATTATGATCATTATTTTGAATTCCTTTTCTGGTAATTCGTTGATTTTATTTTTACTGGGGTCTATGACTAGAGAGTTATATTCTTTTGATAGTGTGATGCTTCCTTGCTTTTTCTTGCTTATTGTGTCCCTGCATTGATGTCTGTGCATCTGGTGGAACAGTCACTTCTAAACTTTCTAGAGTGGCTTTTGTAGAGAAAAACTCTCACCCACAGTTGGGTCTTAGTATGTCACTTGGGAAGGGCATGGTGACTCTGTTTCTGGGTAGGTGAAATGGTACAGTCTTCATGCCATTTCTTAATCTATGTTCAACATCAGCAATAACTGTGGGCACCTCACTGTTTAGGCTATAAATGTCTGTGGTAGCAGTGGTGTTAGCATAGGTGTTTAATGTCCTCAGTGGCAAGGGCTTTTAGACTTCTCCTATTCTTATTTTTCCCACAATGGGGAGACGTAACTGAGGGGATCCTTCTTGGTGTCTGGCCTCATATGGTCTAGAAGCAGCTGCTGTGATTCTGTGTTTCAGGTACAAATGCTTGGAGTGGCTGTGGGGCCAGGGTCCCAGTCTCAGGTTCTCAGGAACTTATGTGGCACCTGAATTTTGGGGTATAGTTTTGCTCTGTGGCATGGTTGAATGTAGCTTGCCTGCAGCACTAGGATCTGTGAGTCTGAGATACCACCTAGCAGTTTGGGTCCAGGCGGTTGGTTTGTAGCTATGATTCTACCCTGGCCCAACTCCAGGGAAGAAGGGTTGCTCTGGAAGTTTGAGCCCAGGGTGCAGAGTATGGCTGTAATTCTGTAGCCTGAGCCAATAGGGCTGAGTAGCATCTCAGGTCCTTTGGGATGAGGCATTGTGTAGTGGTGACTCTAGACCCTGAGATGGTGGGGCTCAGCAATATCCCAGACCTTATGGAACCAGGTAAAGCAGCAGAAAGTTCCCCAGAGTGGCCAAACACAGCTGTCATTTGGACTCCGGAGGACAGGGAACAGTATAGTGATGACTCACTGCAGAGAGAGGGGTGTCTCAGTAGATCAGACTCTAGAGTGCTAGTCCAGCTCCAGGGAAGCAGGGTGCTAGAGTTGTTTGGCCTGTAGTGTGGGGTGTCTCAGCTCAGCCACTGCTCTGTTTTCCTGAGATGCAGGGTACTATGTCAGCTTAGCCCTAGGATGTGTAGCTGCTCAGGTCAGCGAAAGCAGCAATTTCCCAGAAGGTGATGTGCCTCTTCAGCTCAGGCCTAGGAGTGCGACTATTCTGGATGGCCCAGATACTGTTTCTCTGCAATGCAGGGCTTTTCCAAGGCACCATTTCCTCAGGAGGCAGTGTGCAGTTTCATCTCAGAGCACTTAGGGACAGGGCACAGCTACAGTTGAGAGAGGTAGATGGAGCTGTTTTGCCACAGCACCATTTACCCAAGAAGATCTAGCCTGAGGGGGTGAGAGTGGGGTAAATGAAGCAATTCCACCTCTACTTGGCCCCACGAGGAAGGGAGTAGCAATTGCTTACAGCTTGGCTTGGGGATGGGTGGCCACTGGGTGGGGGTAGTTTGATGGCAGTTTAGCCTCAGAGATGAAGGGGTACCATAGCTACTCACCCTCAGAGTAAGACACATTCCAGCAGTTCTTCTAGTTCCTAGATGGTGTAGCACAGTAGCAGATTAAACCACATGAGAGGGGCACAGTGCCAGCTCCTTCCCTGAGGGGACCACAGCTATGTGGCCTCCAGGAAGCTTCCCATCTGGGCTTAGTGCCTGTGAGGACTGCAGGGGACCCCAGCAGTGAGGTCTGAGATATCCAAGGTGTAGGTGGGGGCTGCTGGGATCCTCTTGCCTACCTTTCACTGTAGGGAGCAGTTCCTCCTGGTTCCCAGCTGATCCTGGTTGAGGGATGAGGTGGTGTCCTGGTGTTTCCTTCCATTCTCTGTGTGGCTGTCCTGACTTTCTGTGCTCACCAAAGTTTCTGTTACTCCTTTGACATACTCCAGTGCTCTCCTTTAGTTATTTTTGTTAAAATATCATTGTTTATTCTTTGTTCTGGTTGTCTTTGTAGAAGGGTTGAGCACTAGGGGCTTCTAGTCGGCTCTCTTGCTGATGTCACTCTCCTCATTCATTCTACTCTCCTTGATTTTTAACCTTGTGTTTATATTTTTCCAGCTTGATGTCTGTATGTTACACTCAGGGTAATTTCTCTAGAATCTCTTTCATGAATTCTTCCTTTATCTGTAGCCAGTCTGCTCTTTAGCCTACACATTAAGTTTTAAATTTCAATTATTTTATTTTTATTTAGAGAAGTACTACTTTTTAGGTCTGCTTGTTTATTTTTATCTTCTCCTATTCCTTATTCATGTAGTTTTCTCTTTTTTATGTTTTTAAACAGTAAATGTACCAATTTTATATTGCATGTCATTATTTCCACTTCTGATTCCACATTCACAGTGTCTTGTTTCCTCAAGTGTTTTGAGATTTAAAAATATTGTTAACTCATTTTCCTTGGATATTTATCTGCAGGAATTCTTTGATTACTGGAATGAAGTTGTATTCTTTTAGAAACAATTTGTATTTGCGGCCGGCCGCGGTGGCTCACGCCTGTAATCCCAGCACTTTGGGAGGCCAAGGCGGGTGGATCACGAGGTCAGGAGATCGAGACCATCTTGGCTAACATGGTGAAACCCCGTCTCTACTAAAAATACAAAAAATTAGCCAGGCGTGGTGGCGGGCACTGGTAGTCCCAGCTACTCGGGAGGCTGAGGCAGGAGAATGGCGTGAACCCAGGAGGCGGAGCTTGCAGTGAGCTGAGATATCACCACTGCACTCCAGCCTGGGGGACAGAGCAAGACTCCATCTCAAAAAGAAAAAAAAAAAAGAATTTGTATTTGCTTCATTTTAAAATAAATGTCAAACTTTGAGTCTATTATGGATTGAATATTTTTGTACCCTCCAAATTCATATGTTGAAGTCCTAACCCTCAATGTGACTGTATTTGGAGATAGGTCCTGTAGGGAGATGGGTAAGGTTAAATGAGGTCATAAGGGTGGGGCTCTAATCTAATATAATTTATAAAAAGAGGAAGAGACACAAGAGCACTCTTTCTGCATGCATACACAGAACAAAGGCCACGTGAGGACACAGAGAGAAGGGGCAGTCTTCAAGCAAGGAAGAGAGACCTCACCAGAAAACATCCCCGCTGGAACCTTGCTTTTGAATTTCCAGCCTCTGGTACTGTGAGGAAATGAATTTTTATTGTTTAAACTGCTCAGTCTATGGTATTTTGCTGTGGCAGCCTGAGCAGACTAATACAGGGTCTTTTAAACAACACTAAGAGTAATAATTTATTCTGTAAATATGCATGACAGCTTTCTAGTGGCTATGAATTCTCAGGGAGGTATTGTTTCCATCTACACAGTTTTGAGGTAGCGATGGGGAAATTTTCCTGTTGCTTCTATGCAGGTTATGTTTTCCGTTTCTTCCCTCATCTCTCCTGTTCACACTTATGGAGTAGATTCTAGTCCTTTGGGATTCCAGCTTCATTTGGAATCTCCTGTTGGACTTCCTACCACTGCCCAGCTCCATTTTTATTCTCCCACATGGAATGTGGTCATTAACACGGAAGCTCAGATGCACCAGGGCCCAGCAGAGAGCCCTGGTGAAAGCAGACTTCCCACTGCCTATCTCTCTGGCTTCCTTTTCCACTTTGATTTCTGGCCTCTGAGAATTGTTCTAATTTTTTTCCAAGTTTGGTAATACATTGAAAACATTACAAAACTGTCTCCAGCATCTGTGGTTGTTGTCCTGTGAGAGGATAGTTTGGGGTATTCAGTCTCCAACACTGCCAGAGATAGAAGCTCACTTAGTTCAGGACCATGTCCAGTCAATTTCTTCCTGGTGAGGCACTGGGGAGGGGAAGAACTCGTCTGTTCTGTGGGGATAGTGAATGTGGCAGACAGGTACATGGATGTCCCCTATGAACTACACTTCCTGGTATTCATTTCCTATCTGACATTGACTCTGAGTTTGGCCATGTGGCTTGCTTTGGCTAATGGGACATTAGTAGCCATGATGCAAGCAAAGTCTTTAAAAGTGTTCAGGTATTGGGGCTTTTCTTCTGGGAATCCAGTTGCCATGTTCTAAGGAAATCTAGGCTATGGGCTGTCAAGGAAGCCACGTGAAGGAGTTGTAGAAGATAAGACACCACAGAGAGTCAGGTTAACTGAAGCTCCTAGACAAGCTTGCAGCTGAATGCAGTGGCCTGGGTGAGCCACAGAGACCTGTAGTGCTACCCAGTAAACCCAGAAATAGAACCCCCCCCTTAGCCCAGGGCCAGATATCATGAAACTCTGTGCCCCAAGCACGACGAAGCCCTGGGCCAGGCACAGAGGGAGATTCACGCAATGCATGTCTGTTTGGTTGTGGAGGAAGAATGATGAGAAATAGTGAATTGATGCTATTTTAAGGCACTAAGTTTTGGGGGAAGCATACGCAGCATAAATAAACCAATGAGGATTGACCTGTGTCTCCAGTTTTCCCCAGACTAGGGACACACATGTAGGAGAGTTAAATCAGAGAGTCTGGTTGAAGAATTTCTGTCTTGGCTTTTTTTTCAATCCTCGTGTTTTATGTAAGCGTGAAGGCTGTCACACATTCCCTGGGGGATTTGGTGCAGCATCATCCTCCCTTGAGGCCTCATTTTCTTCATCTCTGACATGAAGGGCTTGGGCCACTGGTTCCTTGAGTTCCTCAGGTCCTTTGCAAATCTAGGTTTCAGTGTTCTATGTATACTGAACACTGGTTTGGATCTGTCTTCCTACTAGGCCCTCAGGGAGATAAGAACAGAAATAAAAAGCACCACCTCTAACCTTGTGAGTTTGGATTCCCAGTGGGGAACACGCCTTATAGACACATCCACTAGACTCACATGATGGCATAGAATCCAGGAATGCCTTTCAGGTTCTATTGCCTTTTCCTGTGGACTGGGCCCGCGGTTTGATGTATGAGTCAGGCAATAGGTATCCACTGCTCTCCTCTATCTGCCTGGATATAAGCTAGATTCTTGTTTTTTAAGAGACAAGGTCTCGCCTTGTTGCTCAGGCTGGCCTTGAACTCCTGGGCTCACGTGATCCTTCTGCTCAGCCTCCTGAGTTGCTGGGACTACAGGTGTGCATCACTGTGCCCAGGCATAAGTTAAATTCTGTAATCAGAAGCAAAGCGAGTGGGCAGGTCTCTCTGGGATGGTGCTTTGCTGCTGAGACCTGTGGTGTAAGATGAAGTTAACCCTTAAACAGCCAGGAAGTTTGCTCCAGACCACAGGGCCCTGCACATAGAAAAGATTTGGTAGTTTCAGGAAGAGAAGGAAAGCCACTGTGGCTTTAGACTCAGTGAAATGGGGCTGGGATTGGGTGAGGTCAGAGTGGCAGGCGGGATTCCACGTCATAAAGGGTCTGATAAACCATGGGGAAGAGTCAGGACTTTTCTCTTGATGGTGAAAAAGCAATGAGGAGTGGCATGGTTGGTTTTATGTCTTTGAAGATCCCTAGTTATTGCTGTTTGGAGACAAGCTTTTCGGAGGGAGGAGTTGGGGCTGGGATCAAGAGATTCAAAGGAAGCCAGGACAACGGCAAATGAGGGGCCTCATTCAGGCCTCGAAATCAGGTCAAGTGTCCACCCCCACACCAGTCAACTTCAGGCAGGCAAATGGAGCCTCAGCAAGGGTTTCATCAAGGAGTTTAAAATGGGAATTAGGGTGTCTGTGGATGTGGGGATGCTGGGGAAGCCAGGTCTGGAAGGGGATGTCAGAGAGTCACCCTCGGGGACTAAACAAGTTGGAGCTTGTGGGAAATGCAAGAGGCCGAAGCTATCTGGCCCCTAGACTGTGGTCATGGAGGGAGAGTGTGGGGGAGGGCCATGGAAACGCTGCTGTTAGGCAGTGTTCCCCCTCTGGTCACCGCTGCCTCTGTGACCTTCATTGCCTCTGTGTGCCTGGTGGGATCAGATGGTCAGCAGGGCTAGTGGTCAGGACATGAGCAAGGATGGCTGGGGCCCACCAGACAGCTCTGCACCTGCTCATACCGGAGAATGGCCTCTGCCTCCCTCCTACCTCCCAAACTACACACAGGTCCTCCCTTCTTCACCTCTATCTGAGAGCCACTCAGGAGGGACTTGGGGGGTGTAGACCTCTGCAGGCAGGAGCACAGTGCCAAGGTGACAGCACCCAGCCCAACCCCTGCTCCTTCAGCTTGCTAGAATTATTTTCATTTGCTGAAATTGGCTTTCTTCCCACAGTGTGAATTTTGTCTGCTTTCAGCCTCTTTGTTTCATATTCTGTGGACCCTTTACCTGAGAGAGATGAAGTCTTGTTTCAGTTGAAAGTTTCCGGGAGAAGAGCTCTGATGAGGCTGGATCTAGTCAGCTTCTCAGGCATAGAAGAGGGGGTGGGAGGGTCTGAGGAAATATGGCCCCTATGGTGACCCTGGAGAGGGATTAGGGGTGGGATGGGCAGTTTCCAGGGGAAATGGGTAGGGGTGTCCTAGGTAGATATCACAAATCTGTTGCTATGTTTTGCATGTTTGTGTGTCTCCAATATTCATGTTGAAACTAAATGCCCAACACAACAGTATTACGATGTGGGGCCTTTAGGCCCTGAGAGCTTAGCCCTTGCAGATGGGATTAGTGATCTTATAAAAGGGCTTGAGGGGCGAGTTCACCTCTTTCATCCCTTCTGCTCTGTGAGGACACAGCGTTCATCCCCTCCCAGGATGCAGCAACAAGGTGCCACCGTGGAAGCAGAGTTTGGGCTCTCACAACCAAACCTGCTGCTTCCTTGATCTTGAACTTCCCAGGCTTCAGAACTGTGAAAAATATTTTTTATTGTTTATTAAGTACCCAATCTGTGGTTTTTTCTTTTAGCAGCACAAATAGACTAAGACATCAATGTATCACCATTGAGCCCAGGTTACTCAGGCTGGGGGAGGTGGGAGGTGGTTTCCCTGGGAACGTGGGGGCAGACAGACTCAACAGTGACTTCTGAGAAGGAGAGAGAGAACTGAAGGTCTGATTTGGAGAGGCCACAGATGTTATCAGCCTAAGGAGCAAAGCCGAGAGCAGGCTTGGGAGAATGGATGTAAGTTGGGAGCTGAGTAAATACTGGAGGGAGCTGGAGATAAATGTGGATACCAGGTGAGGGGTCCTCAATACATGCCTCTTCATAGCAGTCTGGGTGGTCTGACTCAGATGGTCACTGCTGTAGCAAGCCTGGAAGGAAGAGGTTAGTTAGTTGTTCCAGAGAAGCTGGGGAGTGCTTCCTGGAGGAGGCAAGATTCTTCTGTGTTCCTCATCATTTTACTGAGTTGAGTCTGCTCTCCTTTCCTCTCTTGATTCACTTCCCCCATTTTTGGTGTTTATCACCTCTGCTTATAAGAGAAGTTAGGACTGGGCGTGGTGGCTCATGCCTGTAATCCCAGCACTTTGGGAGGCCAAGAGGCCAAGGCAGGAGGGTCACTTGAGGTCAGGAGTTCAAGACCAGCCTGGCCAACATGGTGAAACCCCATCTGTACTAAAAATACAAAAATTAGGTGGGTGTGGTGGCACATGTCTGTAATCCCAGTTACTTGGGAGACTGAGGCAGGAGAATCACTTGAACCTAAGTGTCCCTCAATGGATAAAGAAATTGGGAGATAGATAGACAGGTAGGTGGATAGATAGATAGATAGATATTAATAGATATTAATAGATGCAAATATATAATGGAATATTGTTCAGCCCCAAAAAAGAAGGAGATCATGTCATCTGTCATTGGAGACAGATGCTTCCATATCTTGGCTATTGAGAATCATGCTTCAATGACCAAAATATATAAGGAGTTCATATAACCCAATAGCTAAAAAATAACCCAATTAAAAATGGACAAAAGACCTGATATTTGTATCATTACATTTATTTTATAGGAGAGAAAACTACGTCTCAGAATAAATCAGAACTTTCCCCGGGCTAGCTGACTAGTTAAGTGTGGTGACAATTCACAAGCAGATCAGCCTGTGCTTGTACCTCCTCTCTGTGTTGCCACTGACTGGGGGTGGAGACCATTTCTCTCTCATTGTTGGGAGCAGAATTTTGCCTTTCCCTCTTGGGACTAGAAAAGCTTGCAGTCATTGCCGCAGGTGTGATGTTGTTTCTTAGCCCATGTCAAGATCAATTAGCCCTTCTCCATAGCTCCGACTCTCTGAACACTTCAGCCATCTGGCAATTATGAAGTCTTTCAGCCCGGCAGTTATTTCTTTGCTGGCATCTTGAATTTCTCCAGTTCCCCTTGTGACTTTGTTAGAGGTGTGGATGAGGTGACCCACAGTAATGTTAAATTGCATGTCTCAGGAGGCCTGGGCAGGTCGATTGCTCAGTGAAGCTCTTCGAAGTGTCCTTTTGCCTGGTACCCACAGGGAAAGTCAGGCCAAGGTATTTCAGGGACCCTGGGTGGAAGGCAGCAGATCTCGATCTGAGTCCCTCTTACTCTCTGCCTCTTAATCTCAATGGACATTTCCTCACTTGTGAAATGGTGATGACAATAACTCCGGAAGTTGGGTGGAGCTGAGGAGGTGACAGCTGTGGAGTGGCAGTAATAAGTTGGGAGCATTTCTCAAACTTCAGTGGGCATAGGGTCTCTCGGGATCTTATAAAAATGAAGATTCATTTGAAGCTATTAGATCTGGGATAGGGCCTAAGACTCTGCATTTCTAATATTCTCCAGTGATGCTGACACCTGACAGGAGGACCACACTGTGTGTAGCGAGGGTGTGAAGCACTGGGCAGATGGCAGGGATGAGGGTGGTTATTTGTCTAGACAACGAGATCCCAAACACAGAAGTTTACTAACAGAAAACCAAAATCACCAAGGGATCCCACAGTGGTAGAGAGAGTAGAGAGAAGCATGGCATCTCAGGCTCAACGCAGGGAGCACACAGGTCCATGGGCTGGGGTGGGTGCCCACACTTCCTAAGCTTGTACCCTGGTATGCATCCTAAGCACGTTCCAGGGGCTGTGGCAGGTGGTGCACAGTAGATGGAGAGGGAGATGCTTTAGTTCTGTTTCACCAATGACCAAACTGATTCCGTAGAGATTAGATGCCTTGCCCAGAGTCACACTGTAACAAGGGATAGAGCTGGGATAGGAGCACCCAGGCTGTCTTGCTCCAAGCCCATGGCCTCTCCTTACTGAAGGGCAGAGGGAGTTGAAGGGGGTGTATGTGACAAGAGGCTCTGACACTCCTTGGGACACTGGGGGATGGGAGCCCACAGTGTCCAGTTGCTGTCCCCGGGACACTGGGGGATGGGAGCCCACAGTGTCCAGTTGCTGTCCCCGTAGAGCACTCTCTTCTCCTACTCTGTCCCAGAGACTCACTCGGTTTTCCTGCCTACTCAGAGCAGCCGTTAACCTCATCTGTCCGTGGCACCCTCTGCCCCAATAGCCCCCGGCTGCAGGGCAGTGTGGCCTCCCAGCAGCCACAGGCTTGTCTCAGCGTATCAAATGCTTATAATTTTACATCATCTCAGTGTCCATTTTTAAATTGAAGCTTAATTTTTTATACCAGAAGCAGGGCTCAGTCCCCGTTGGCACAGTTGTTAATGATATCCCCAATCCAAGTGGCCCCAGGCAATGGCCAGAAATAAAACTGAGAGGTCTGCCTTACCTAGCAGACTGGGCTCCTGGCTCTTCTGCCACTTCCTTAAAGGAACCATTCAGACATTTGCCACCTCTCAGACACAGCGTGACCTCCTAGAAATAGTGCCTGCTTGCTTTAAACCCAGCATTAAAGCTCCCCACGGGAAACCTGTTGGGATAACACCCTGGGCCCAGTGAGGACGTTGGCCCATGGGTCACTCCCACCACCCACTGTGCCGTGCTCCCTGACCTCCCTGTGTGCCTGTGTACGTGAGTATGTGTGAGTGCGTGCATGTGTGTGTGTGGCCTCTATGCATGCTGTGTACTTCCCAGGGTCTGTGAGTACTAAAAATGCTTAAAATTTCACATTGTGGTTGTGTCATTGAAGCTGTGCCCGCCATCTGACCCCTGATGGGGACTCACGCAGGTAGGTTCCTGCTGGCACTCTTTTGTCTGGGCCTCTCAGCTGCTGGCGACAGTAGTTACCGGCTGAGTTGATAATGAAACTCAAAGAGTTTCATTCAAAACACCCTCTTAGTGCCTCGCCCTGGAAGCAGATCAGAAACTAAACTCACAGAATCAGCTGTGGGACACAGTGAATGCCCTGATCACCCCCTGAGAGTCTCATTTCCCGTGGGCCATATGACAATGTTCCAGCCAATGGGTGTGAATGGAAATGCGCAGCCGACCTCTAGGCCACACCTTTTATTCGTTTATATTTATTTATGGATTCATTGTTTTAGAGACAGGTTCTCACTCCGTTGTCCCGGCTGGAGGGCAGTAGTGTGATCACAGATCACCACAGCCTGGAACGCCTGGGCTCAAGTGACCCTCCCATCTCAGCCTCCCAAGTTGCTGGGGCTATGGGCTCGTGCCACTGTGTCGGCTAATTTTTTTTATTTTTAGTAGAGAGAGGGTCTCACTATGTTGTCTGTGCTGGTCTCAAACTCCTGGGCTCAAGCAATTCTCCTGCCTCGGCCTCCCAAAGTGCTGGGATCCTGACAGCCGTGAACCACTGTGCTCGGCCTCTGCATCTTTTAAGAAGAAAATGGCTTGTCTCCCAAGACCTGATTTCCTCCTTCCTCCAGCTGGAACTCAGATGTGGAACAGAGGAAGTGGCTTCAACAGTGCAGGTGAGGTCAGTGCCTGAAAGAAGCAAAGCAAAAAGAGGGAAGGTCCTTGGCGCTGGGATTCCCTGTGGGGCTGAGCAAAGACCCGCCCTGGACCCACACACCTCCAGGCCGTTACCAGCAAGAGAGAGAACTGGGTATTGTTGGACTTCGATATTTTTGGGCCTCTCTTGTAGCAGCTTAGCCTGTCCCTTCAGGAACTCATAATCAGTGGTTTCGAATCTTAACTCGGAACCTTGAGTTATTTTAGTCATTGAAGTTTTCCTTTCCTCAGAGATTGTTTTTAACCTTCCTGCCCAAGTCAGTTTCCATAGTGTGCTTTCTTATTTCCACATACCTCCCTGTCGAAGCACTTATGGTTATAATTTTGCACTTATGGTTGTGCATCTATGGTCGACATCTAGCTTCCCTACTGGGCCTTGAAGACAAAATTTGTCTTTCTTATTTTTGCTTACTCATGTAAGCACCTAATCATGTATCTCAGCACCTAATACAATGATGCCATTACTTTTTTAAAGCATGGATGAATGAATGAATGAATAAATGAGTGAGAGAGGAAGGGAAGAAAAAAGAAAGGACAGAAGGAGGGAAGAAAGGACAGGAGAAAGGAAGGAAGGGAGGGAGGGAAGGAGGGGAGGAGGGAGGATCTCAGTGATTAAAGCTTTCGGAGATGTGAAACCTCAGTTTGGAGTCAGTGTGAGATAGAGCTGGTACATAAGAAGATGGAAATCTTCTGTTGGTGTGCTCATCCCCCCACCTCTGTTTCTCCTAGAAACACCTATAGAAAAAGGGAGCTGTCTTTCTAGAGGTCTTGGGTCCCTGAGATCCAGAGAAAGAGAAAGGACTGGGCACAAAGGGAAGTTGCTGGTGCACTTTCTCGGAATCCTAACAATAACAAGACACCTTATCGAGCATCTTGGAAACTCAGAATCAATCTTCAAGCTGCATTTCATATGCCACCTTCTCCTGGCTCTCAGAGAGCCTTTCTGTCATCCCTCTGTACAGTGCACCTCTTCTTGTATCTTTTTATATCAGCAACTGCTAACTTACAGAAGGCTGGAAGTGTGGGACATTCTTCTGGAACTCTTTGAGAGTCTGTCCCTGACCTGCTGCCATCACCTGTGTGTCCTGTAGTGTGTGTTTCCCACAAACAAGGACATTCTCCTGCATAACCACACTGCATCCATCAAAATCAGCAGGCTGGCACTGATGCATGGCTACATCCCATCCTCAGACTCACCCGAGTTTCCTCAATCGTCCCGGGAACATCCTTTGTATACCAAAAGTATAACCTATTGCTTCAGTTATCACGCCCCTTTAGAATTCTTCTTTCCCTGACTTGGAGGGCCTTAACACTTGAAAATTTCAGGCCAGTCCTTATGTAGAATACTTCTTGCCCCAAACTCAGATTTTCTTGATGTTTCTTCAAGATCAGATCCAGGCCACCAGATTGTTGCCAATATCCTTTGGCAAGGATATTGCAAAAGCAACATGGTGCTTGTGTTGTCCCATCCCTTGAATAAGATAGAATGCCCCGTCCCACTCCACTGTGAAATGTCTTTTCCTTTACAAGTACTAAGTATTATTTGGGGAAGTTACATTCAAAATATGTTCATATTCCATTCTTCAAGATATGTTCAATATTATTTATCAGTATAAACTAGCAGTTTCCTGTTTTATTCTATGAATTATAATCTATTACACTCATTCTGTTGCTCTGGTTTCTCTGATTTGGTCAGTGGGAACCCTGTTAAGTTGGCTCCCATGTCCTATGGACATGTTCCTTTTATTCTTTTTACGCTACTTTGATCTCTGGCACAACATGTGCCAGGGTCATTTTGTACATTCCCTTTCTTAGCCTTGGACATAGGCATGGCTCAAGAAGCCCTGATTCCTTTTAGAAGAGAATGGTGGCTAGAGGCCAAATCAGGATGTGAGGTGTGCTCCTCACTAATGGAGTGTGGCTGCTTCCAGGCGCTGCCATTGGGCATTTGTGTCTATGTCTATTTCTGTATCTATCTGCATAGACTGAAACCATGAGTTGACTGAGGTGAGTGATTTCAATCCACCATCAGAGAATGTATTCTAGCTTTCACCCTTCTGTATTGTAAGTCCTTCTCCCACTGAGAAATCTAGCTTCTCTCCCCCTTCATATATTCACCCATTCAATGAATCCTCCTGTATATGTCAAATCTTCCATGTCTATTGCCACCACCTACCCCACACAGACGCTCCCCTACTCCAGCTTAGGCTCTGAATTCCTCTTCCAGCTACCCCATGCATGGCTGCCCAACTCCCCGTGCCTGGGCTCCAACACTTAACACAGAAGGCATTCAATAAATGCCTGTTGTGTGAGTGAAGGAAGAACATCACGGGTAAAGCACAGAGGGAAGGAGGGAGGAACCAAGTGGGTCAGTACCGCTGGAGCAGGAGCCTAGGACTAGCTTTGGAGCAGGGAAGATGGAGAGGAGAGCTCAGAATTCTGTGGAAAAGAGGCTCTCTGAGTCCTCAGAAGAGTAGGAAGTTAAGAGCCATCTTTTGGCTGGAGGAGAATAGATGAGACCTGTGTTTTGGAAGCAGCTCTCTTGCCAACCTATGAAGGAAGAGCTATAGGGAAGGGAAGAGAAAACCGGAGGGCCACAGAGTGACTCGGGAAAGAGGCAGTGCTCTGTGTGTGTGTGTGTGTGTGTGTGTGTGTGTGTATGTGTGTGTGTGTGTTTGTATGTGTGTGTGTGTGTGTGTGTAGAGGGGCCTAGGGGTCCAATCAGAGGCCATGTCATCTGGTGACATTGCGACCTTCTGTTACTGACTTTCAGTTCTATAGTTACTTCTGCAAATGGAAATGCAGTCTCTCTCAGATGTGATATTTTCGATGCTCTCATGTATAAATGCATAAAAAAGAGAGATTCTTTTCATACTTCATCTACTTTCTTGTCAGTCTCAGCTTCATTTTCAATTCCCTACTTCAGTGTCCTAATTTCCTTCTTGATGGATTGCTTGATTCCATCCTTGTCGGCTCACTGCTTAAGAAAAGCAGCGTGAGCGTGGGGTTGGGTTGTCTCTCTCTCTCCCTCTTTTTTCTTTCTTTTC